>NC_000009.12:120720552-121345552 GCF_000001405.40 Homo sapiens | reverse complement strand
GGCTTATTGTATTGAAATTCTCATGGAAAATAGGGGGGTCACAGTTTCTTCAACAAATAAATTGCACAGGAAAGGTGAGATAGAGTGGAATAATCTAAAGATTAAGAGACTTTATAGAAAAATTCCTTAGGCTAATTAGCCATCGGGGAAATGCAAATTCACATTATAAGCGGATGTCACACTAGACAGCTATCAGAATGGCCTGAAAAGAACGGAAAAGAACCAAGTGTGGGTGAGAGAGGAACTAGAACTCTCATATTCTGCTGGTGGCAGTGTAACTTAATACAACCACTGTGGAAAACAGTCTGGCAATGTCTATTCATACTGAACATTTGTATACCCTATGAGCCAGCAGCTCCAACTCCTAAGTATGAATCTAACAGAAATGCACTCATATGTTTACCAAAAGGCATGTACTAGAATGTTCACAGCAGCACATTGACCCAAACTGTAGAATACCCAAATGTCCATTCCTAGCTGAATGAATGAAGTCTGGTTTATTCACATGTAGGCATACTACATAGCAAAGAGAATGAATGTAAGTGCTCACACACATAATTTGAGTGAAAGAAGCCGGTCACAGAAGAGGACAGATTCTCCTACGTGTTTCTCTGTATGTTAGGTTTGGTTTTTAAAGTGTTTAGACCAGCTCTTAGTGGCCTGAAATGTAATATCTTTTGTGTTTGCATCAGCTTTTATTTCCTTTTCATAACTCTCAGAAAAACACCTGGCACATGCTTTTGGGCTCATGTTTCTGGGTGTAGAAGTCTATTAATTGAGAGGATGGAGTGCAGAAATACAGATCACCTTTCTCTGCCTTTTCCTCTGCCCAGACCACCTGGTCTGCAGAAGGGACAGGTAGCACCAATTTCACATACATGAAAATGCCAGACTTTAAAATGATGTTCTATAAATATGAAATGTTGATTGCTATGAGATTACTGCACATTCGACAAAAGCCGTGCACACCCACAAATAGCTTGCTTTGCTCTCTAAGATCCTATCAACGGAGTGTACTTGGCCTGTATTTAGACAAAGCCGGTGGTGTTGTTTACATCTTTGGCAGCTTGCTCAGTGTGGCTTTTCTATGAACAAAATGTGTGCCCAGCCCGGTGGGTCTGGCTTCTCAGCCAAGCGATTGTGTATTGATTGGTGGTGGGAAATGAGATATCTTTTCAGTTGGTCCATGTCCAAAGAAAAAAGTGCCTAATTGGACATCTGAGATGATATGGAAAAAATGAGAGCCTGCTGCTCTCATAGCAGGGGATTTCTGATGTATTCTCTGTAGTGCCTACCTTGGAATACAGTTCTGTGGTTTTCTTTGAGCAAAGCTGGCACTTGTCCCTTCTCACAGACCTAGGCAGGACATGATGTGTGGCTTTGATAAATTAAGGTTTTTATCCTATAAGCTGGATCCTTTCTCTCAGTGAGTACTATATTCTGTATCCTATCTCCATTAATGGCACTAATCTATGCAACCAAAACCTGGAAACCTGGGTCTCAGCCTGTGTCCCCCTTTCCTCCTCCTACCTAGTCTCCAAATTCCACTGATTCGCCCTCCTTCGGGGAGGGAGAATAGCTCCCCAAACCATTTCATTCTCTGTCCCCACCACCTATGAATCGCACCGGCCACTCTAAAGCAGTTCCACTAGCAGCTTTCACTGCCTTCTCTTCTAACCTCAGACATCTGTCAGAGAGCTTTTTCAAACTAGATCTGATGGAGTTTACTTACCTGCTTAAAATCATTCTGCAGCTTCCCATTGCCTACAGAATGAAGACCAAACACCCTGGCCCTCACTGCCCTTCAGAACCCGGCCCCATTCATCCCCCACCTTTCCCCTCTTCCTGCCATAGTATTCAGCCATTGACAGTTTTCTGGAATATACCATTTTTATACCTCAGTACCGTTTCATGTGTTCTGCCCAAAATATTCTTCCTCATCTTTTTCTAAACAGCAAACATTTTATCATTTAATATTCAACTTCTATAACCTCACCACGTCACCCTCTGGAAAAGTTGCTTTCTTCTGTTTGCTTGCACTGTGCCTTGTACATATGTCTGTCAGCATTTATCACACTAGAATGAAATGATCTACTTCCATGTCTGCCTTCCCTACCTGACCAGGAGCTGAAGAAGGCTAGGGATTCCACTCTATCCTTAGCTTTTCCTACACAGGGCTTATTAACCCTAGAAGGCCCCCAAATTTTGCTGTGTGAGTGAATGAAATCTCACTGGGCATAAGACCATCACCTCCAATTCTGATATTCATGGAGTATTATGGACCATTAATTATTCAAGATTCAAGTGAGGATAATAACCTGGAGAAATTGTACTTTTAATCTTGATAATTATGGTGTCTTAATACCTTTCCTTCTTCTAGGATTATGAATTAAAGTAACTACCTTGAATCTTTTGTGCATTAAAGCATAGTTGGACCCAAAAATCAGGTCTTGTCACTTGCCATTCCTCTATAATAGCCCCCTTTATTCATTTAACACTTTATATACTTTCTCTGTCTTCCTCACAAGTGGTCCTCTGAAGTACATGTTAGTCTGCTTTAAGAATGGGAAACTGAGGTTCAGGATGTTCAGTAACCTCTCTGAGGACATTCGGCTGGTAAATGTTAGATTTGGGATTTGAACTCAAGTCCATTTGACTCCAGAACTCCTGTTCTGTCTACTACTCGAGTGATCTTCAAACTTTTTTGCCTGTGAAACCCCTTACAGAATTTAGAAAAACTATAAAGTCCATCAAACATTTTAAATCGGCATGTAAAAATTTTTCATCTTGAATTTATGTACTTGCCAAGAATATAATTCCTGGCATGTTGTAAATATTGACATTTTTAAATAAAACTGTTAACATCATTCTTTTAAATGTACCCAATGAGAAATAATAATGATTTAGTTATCCATTAAAAATATGTAAGTAAACTCTTAACAGTCAGGAGCTTTTTATTGTTTTTTTCTTCTTCTTCTTAAACCTAAGTTTTTTATTGCATCTTCACTTCCGCCAGATTCTTTTCCTAACATACATTTTGTCATGAATTATTTTATTAACATACTGCAACATATTTAGTCCATAAGTTAGAATTAATTTTTAAAAATTTCCTGTAACTAAAAACAAGGTTCTACAAACATTTCAGAATTTCTCCTAAATAAGAAGTCAATTTTTTTTTTTTTTTTTGAGACAGATTCTCATTCTGTCAGCCAAGCTGGAGTGCAGCAGTGGCATGATCTCGGCTCACTGCAACCTCCCGGGTTCGAGCAATTCTCCTGTCTCAGCCTCCCAAGTAGCTGGGTTTACAGGTGCTTGCCACAACGCCCAGCTAATTTTTGTACTTTTAGTAGAGATAGGGTTTTGCCATGTTGGCCAGGCTGGTCTCGAACTCCTGACCTCAAGTGATCTGCCCGCCTTGGCCTCCCAAAGTTTTGGGATTACAGGTGTGAGCCACTGCACCCAGTACCAGAAGTCAATTTTTACTAGAAATGCTTGTCTTTATAAGATGAATGAGAATTAAATCGTACATGTATAGATGGCTGTTGTTTAATGCTAGAATGAGACACGATTCAGCATCAATTTTATTCCTATTTTTCATTTTTATAGCTATAAGGACTTTGAAACCTTATTTACATAAATAAGTAGATGGAAATGGAAGTTCTGTTTAAAGTAGTATCATACAGTTCTTAGCACTTTGAATTTATGTGCTAAAAAAATCATATCACAGTCTTTCATCAAAAAATATTTATAATGACCTGTCAGCTTTCAGTTTAGTAAGGTACTCATCAGAGAATTGGAAATGCTGCTGACTTGCAAAAGGATTTGCCTGCAGTCATTAAAGTTACTTGCTTTCTCAATCCTGCACAGTATTTTGAATTATCCCTTTGTTTGTTACCCTGGAAAATGGGAGAAAGGCTATAGTAAAAGAGAATGTCTTGATCCAGGCACTAGTCAGGCAAGTCAGTTTCAGAAAAAGAAGCATATGGAAACTGAGTATGTAGAAATTGATTTTCTTAAAACTACTCTGGCATACGCCCTAGAAAGTTTTGTGGACCACCTGAGGTATACATACCCCCGGTTGAAGAGTGCTGTGTGTCCCCATGAGGTTTTCTCCAGTTCAACCCCTCCTTTCACCTGTCCATAGGTTATTGCAGCCGAAGGAGAAATGAATGCATCCAGGGCTCTGAAAGAAGCCTCCATGGTCATCACTGAATCTCCTGCAGCCCTTCAGCTCCGATACCTGCAGACACTGACCACCATTGCTGCTGAGAAAAACTCAACAATTGTCTTCCCTCTGCCCATAGATATGCTGCAAGGAATCATAGGGGCAAAACACAGCCATCTAGGCTAGTGTAGAGATGAGCGCTAGCCTTCCAAGCATGAAGTCGGGGACCAAATTAGCCTTTAACTCATAAAGAGAGGGTAGGGCTTTTCTTTTTCCATATGTCAATTGTGGTGTTCCCAGAATGTATAGCAGTTATAAAAATAGGTGAAAGAATTGTTAGCTTGTAAATACTGAGAGATTGGTGATTTATATAAGGTAATCTGTTAGTCTTAAAATAGTTAAAAGTTTGTATTTTTAGATTATTATGTAGTAGGTTAGATCCCTCTTGTTTTGACTTCCACTGACTCATTCTGAACCCCCTAAGCACCCAGGCCAGAGGCAAGAACCTGGGCTGTAACTGCCACCTGACACCGCTGACTGGCTAAATGCTTTGCAGAAAGTGATGACCTTACACCACAACCAGCTTCTCCAGGTCATATGTGCCTTACCTCCAGAGAGTCTTTTTTTTTTTTTTTCTGAGATGGAGTTTCACTCTTGTTGCCCAGGCTGGAGTGCAATAGCATGATCTCGGCTCACTGCAACCTCCGCCTCCTGGGTTCAAGAGATTCTCCTGCCTCAGCCTCCCCAGTAGCTGGGATTACAGGCTCATGCCACCATGCCCAGCTAATTTTTGTATTATTATTATTGTTTTTTAGTAGAGACGGGGTTTCACCATGTTGGCCAGGCTAGTCACGAACTCCTAACCTCAGGTGATCCACCCACCTCTGCCTCCCAAAGTGCTGGGATTACAGGCATGAGCTACCACACCTGGTTTGGAGAGTCTTAATTAAGGAAATTTCCCTAATGTTCATTTATTTTCTAAATCCAGACCGTGTTTCAGAATAATCCTTACTTGAGAGTAGCCATTTTCTTGCCTGTACTTGTCAGAACTAGAGGAAATAGCCAAGACTAATGAAAAAGATTACTCTAACCCTTAAAAGACTTTTAAATTCACTACTAGAGTGGTCATTTTAAAAATACATCCATGTTTTAACTTATTTGAGCCTTCTTTATGAGTAAATGATTCCTCCTTGTTCTGTCTTTCAAACCAGCTAAATATTTGTCACAAAAGTGCTTTTTTCTCACTGTTGCCTATTTTCATATATCAGGTTTTAAATAGTTTTAATTTTTTAATAAAATTTTCTCTACGTTCTATATGCAATTGTTATATATCTATTTGAATAGCTGAAGGACTAAAATACTTTTTTAAGAGATAACTTCAGGAAACCATTATATTTTACTATCTGCATGCTGTTAACTGTGGTACACTGTGAAATATGTTGATTACAAACCCATTCATTACATAGTATAAGGAATTCACAGTATATTGACTATATAGTGTCTAATGATCTTGGGCAGATACTGTCAAACTTACAATATCTATATAGATGTAGGTCTTTTTAAATTTACCTAGTCATTCTTCTATCATGTATATTGATGCTGAAAGAGGAACTGGTCAGCTCCTCTGGACAACAAATTCTTAGTCTATAATATTAGGAGACATCTTCTGTTTTGCAAATGTCTGTGAATCTGAGCAACCTGGCATTCTGCTTACTGGCCAGAAAGCTGGCGGGTGACATTTGTAACATTTCCTCTTTGAGACTCTGAGTTCACCTAGAGAAGTCTAAGCATAACAGCTTTCTTTCCCAGCACGAGCCTTTATAGCTCTCTTTAGCTCAACCACTCTGTCCATCCAGCCAATGGATGTCCCTTCCCCTGTACCCCAATTTCAAGCTTATTTTAGGAAGCCTTGAACTACCATGTATCCTGGCTCCTAGCTGAGTTTATTAGAGGTATGGAGCAGTGCAACTTAAACTCAAGTTGCACTTACATTTTGAATTTTAAAATGATGGTTTTATCTGTTGTGTGAAGTGGTTCACCCTTGAGGACCAGGAGCCTCCATATCCTGACTGAAAACCTTTTCTGAGACTTAGAGTAACAGTGCTTTTGGTTCCTTGAGTTCTCCTGTCTCCAGATACCAAATGACCTTGACTTTTCTGCCTTGTGAATTCGTAGTCCAATCAGCTGAAATTAAATCACTTGGGAGGGACGCATAGAAGGAGCTCTAGGAACACAGTGCCAGTGCAGAAGTTTCTCCAGGTGGCCTCCCTTTCCAACAATGTACATAATAAAGTGTATGCACTTTCACTAATATTTTTGGGGTGAGAGTCTGTTTCGGCCTGTATTGAATGTCTGTGGATTTCCGTTTTCAGAAGTAGTACATTAGATCCTCCGGTTCTGAGCTGGCTGGTTGGCTTCTTCGTGTGCTTTGTGGGCCAGGGGAAGGGGACAGGCTGCTGTGGGCCATCTGCTGTCTCCCAGGTCCAGGCACCCTCTGGTGCACTGGCCCACACATTTTCCCTGGGGAGTTTCAAGATCCACACACACCCTCCACCACCACCACAAAGCTTTAACTGACTTCATTTTCTTTTGCCTTCCTCCAAACAGGACAGGAACCCACTTCTTGCTGTCACCCAGTTAATCACATAGACATAGCCTTTACTTAAAAAGAAACAAATAATGATAAAAAACCAATGTGTTTTACCTGCAACATCTGACAGAACTGTCTTGAATTAGTGGCTACCATTTGGGAGCACCAGTCACTCAGCTCTGTGCACAAATACGTGTATGTACATTCTATCATTTTATCTCAAAATGGTTTGATAGACACTTTATTATCACCATTTTGTAGATGAGGACACTGAAGGCTCAAAGGTTAAAACAGCCAAAGTCACATGGTCGGAAAGAAACAGAGCTGGGATTCAAACCCAGATCTGTCTAATGCCAAAGATTTGTGAGGTGTATCAGTGTATCTTCGTGTGACACTGCCTGCCTCTAGTGCCCCCATCCACACACCACCACCACCATTTTGTAGATAGATCACAACTTTTCCCAAGACTATCAAAGTTCATTTGTCTTTACATTCACACCTAACTGGGCCCTAAACTTAAACTTTTGTTTTGGGCCATCCAATTCAGCCAAAGTTCACTATAAAAAGAGGAGAGTCAATTGGGCATTTGTTTGTTTTTTTTTTTTCTTTGAGATGGAGTCTCGCTCTTGTCATCCAGGCTGGAGTGTAATGGCGTGATCTTGGCTCACTGCAACCTCTGCCTCCTGGGTTCAAGCGATTCTCCTGCCTCAGCCTCCTGAGTAGCTGGGACTACAGGCGCATGCCACCACGCCCGGCTAATTTTTGTATTTTTATTTTTAGTAGAGATGGGGTTTCACCATGTTGGCCAGGCTGGTCTCGAACTCCTGACCTCAGGTGATCTGCCCACCTCGGCCTCCCAAAGTGCTGGGATTACATGTGTGAGCCACTGCACCCGGCCCGATTGGGCATTTGTAACCACAAATGTCATAACACACTGTCCTGAGCAGGAGGAAACCAGTGTTCCATAGACTCTCAGCTTATGTAGCATTTTAAAATATATCATTTCTTGTGATACTCACAAACCTGCTCTCACAGTTACTTGGCTAGTAAATAGTGAATCAAGTGCCTCTTCCTCTTACTTTCAGCAGCAAACCCCTTTTTTCAAAGGTAACTGCATCAGTAAAAGGTTTACGGTGTCTTTTGCCAGGATAAATTCTTGAGTTCACATTTATAACATTTACTGAATATAAAGTAACTCAATGAGAACAATGAGGCTGTTTTGAAAAACAATATTAGAGTTACGAAAGAGTTCCAATCTTATATTCAGAGTCTACATTCGATTTCTCCATTTTGCTTGTCTGTTTTTATTACCACTTTAAACATGGAATTTGAATCTAATATTTACAAAATCACAGAAGCACCTCATAGAATTCTACATATTTCTGTTTGAAAATCACTGCTCTGGAGTGCTTTCCTTGCTATAGCATCCACTTTATAATGTGACCTTGGATAAGTCATATGTTCTCTCAGCCTCATTTTCCTCACCTGTAAAACAGGGAGATTATAGTCCAGCTGTTTGGGTCTCAGACCTTTTGAGAATGTGTTGGAAGCTACAGAGCTTCGTCTGAAAACTGCACATAGTGTGCACAACACAAATTTGGATGCTTTGGGGGTACACTGGCCCCACTCCCAAACCTATCCAAAGACTTAAGAAATCCTGGGCTAGATCATGTCTAAGATCCAACTACACAGCTATGCAGTTACCTGAAGAGTTTTTACTTTATAGGAACCAAGAAGAAGGCAAAAGGAACCACGGTTGAATGCCAGCACTGTGCAAGACACTTTACACAGCTTTTTTCATGTCCATGCATAATCTCATTTGGCTGTGTTGACCAGGCCACAGGAAAATCTCCGGGGATATTAGTGATGATCTCTTCCTGTGATGTTGTTAACATCAGGTCTACAGCAGACCCAGGCTCAGATCAAGCTAGGATTTGCCTAAACCAGTCACACTGGCTAATAGGATACAGCCCCTTTCAATCTACCCTGTAGCCAGAAGAGTTTAGTGAGAAAGGAAATTGAAGCCGCTGTTAAAACTGTGGTTTTACAATAAACTCTAGAAACATAGTAATCATAATGCAGGCTGCAAATCTTCCCTAAAAGATTCCGGGGGAAAATGACTGGAAATTGAACAGTCTGAAAATTAATTACTGGATGCCACAGAACTGTAAGGAGCCATTACTTTTAATTTTCCGCATCTGGCCCCCAGAAGTCTCCAACAAAATGGCGGTCTACCCAGCATCCATTTATCTCCTCCCTCCTTCCTAGGAGCCATGACTTTGTTCAGATACCTCCCCCTGAGCGCTCTGACCTCAGGAGAAGAATTCACCCCCACCTGCTAGGATGAACCTAACTGGCCTATGAATAATTCCATCCTTCTAGCCCATGATTCCATCAGGAATGATTATGTGACCCAATATGGATTCTTGAGACCTGAGGAAAGGTTTTCCGTGGTCTTGGGAGCAGTTCCTCCTCCCTTTTCTGAAAACTTTTCTAGAAACAGTCCTCTTTTCCTCTGGGCATTGCTGTTCATGGGTGTGGAGCAACCAGAACACCTACAGATATTTTACTACCAGACTAGCAAGGGCCAAGAGAATGAGCAGGAAACTCAGGCCCACTACGTTTAGTCAACCATGAAGTCCCCCTCAACTCTGAACTGATTATGTATGAGAGCACATAAGTGTGCTTACAGTTTAATTTGGTTTGAGTTAGCCCTCCACTGCTTACAGCCAAAAACATCCTTTCTGATCCACAGTACATTGGGCCTTTGCCTCCGTGGTTGAATACTAGGTTCTGCTGTGGCCTAGGTGCTTTCATTATTTTTAACCATTTTCGAGCACTTACTATAGGCCAGACATTGTGCTAAGCATTACCTCCCTTAATCCTCATGAGAATTCTAAGTGGGGTGACACTGTTCTTATTCTCATTTTTCAGCTAAGGAAATGGCAAAGAACTTAAGATCACACTGCTAATGAGTGGTAGAGCTAGATTTGAACTGAGGTCTGACTCCAAAAGCCAGCTATTAGCCACTGTATTATACCACCTCCAGCTAGGTATTAATACAACATTACCATTTTGCAGGTGGGTAACTTGAGGCTCCAAAAGTTTAAGTATTATATCTATAATGCCTTGCACAAAGTAAGTACAAAATATCTGTTCAACTGAATTGCCCAAGATTGGACACAAGATCCAAGCCTAGCGTTGTCCCTCTGGCATCTGTCTCATTATTTCACGATGATTTTTCCATTGTAGGAGACGATGACGTCTGCAACTTTAGAAAGATAAAATGTGCGGTTGAAGTGATAGTGCTCCTGATTGGCTTTTCTGCCTTTGAGAGAAAAATAAGAAGGCAGCATCTCAGTGGCCCCAGGCTATTTTCTTTCTCAGAGCATTGCACAACTCTCTTTTGAGGCCACAGCCATACCCTTGAATGCTGGTATAAACTGAAATGAAGAATTAATGGGCAGGTCTACCTGAAATTTTACCTCCCACTAATTTCTAGGAAGTAAGCTAGCTCTGTCTAGACAGGCCTCTACCTGCCTCTCGTGAAAGCCCTAGAAGCTTTGGGTGGTAAATGCCACTTCTGTACCAGGACTTTGTCAAGTTGATTGCTTTGACCATGAAAGCAAACCTTTGGGGGTAGGCAAGGCAAGCGTTATGGGATCAAGTCCAAACCCTTGGTATGGCATTCAAAGCCCCAGCCTGCTTCTCAGCTCAGAGGCCTGCCACTCCAGGCTGCTGTCTGTCCCTGAGCACGCTGTTCCCCTCACAGCCCCCTGCCTGTACTAGCTGCACCCTCTGCCTGAAAGTGACTTCATCTTCCCTCCACGTTTCATCCAGAAAATTTCTTCTCCACTACCCTCGACACTTCTGCGATGAATCAGAATCTCTGGAGGAATGGCCCTTGGGGAATCCATGCTTTTAAAAAGTTCCCTGGGCAATTTGGGTGATCAGCCAGCTTTGGAGACAACAGTGTAAACACACACACACACACACACACACACACACACACACACACACACACAAACACACAGCCTGCCCATCATTTAAGCCCTCATGCTGGTTTCTGTTCTTTTACAGTCATATGCTTGCGAGCTTTCACATCATAACTCAATGGGGATGGAGTGGTGGTGGGAGGTGACACAGAACAAGACGGGGGGAAAACAAGGTGAGAAGAGACCAAAAGGACAGAGCGGGAGGACTGGGGAATGTCCTCCAGCAGGTTTCTTGGACTGGTTTAGTCTCCCAGGAGAAAAGATTATGAAACAACATAGAAATATCCAAGAGGGACTGTGTGACATGCTGAGCATGAGTGGAGAGTCAGGACCCAGGGGACCAAGAAGGCACAGAAGAGTCCCTTTCCCATACCCTGAAGACCGCAAACTTTGAGAGCATCCGGGGGCAGCTCTTGTGCTGGCAGCTGCTGCAGTTATTTCTCCACATAGCTTTGGGGCAGCAGAATGAATCTGTGGGAAACAGAGGCAGCAGGGAAGGTCCAAGCAGCTGCTACAGGATGTGGCAGCTATGAGGATGCACCCTGCCCGCTTTCTACTGCAGGGCATATAATTGATAAGGGCTCCGACTGCTGGCTTTGAACTTCATCCCACATGTGTCCCAAGGCCAGGCCTCCCAAAGACTGAGTGCAGGGGGCAGATAAGGCACGCCTGCTTACAAGAGACACACAATTCCTTTGCTGGCTGACTTTGACTCTGGCTCAAGAACACTTTGAATTGAACAGATGCTCATGTTCATAGCAGCCTTATGCACAATAGCCAAAAGGCACAAATAACAAAGAGTCCATTGATGGCTGAATAAACCAGATGTGGTATAGACATGCAGTAGAATATTACTCAGCCACAAAAAGGAGTGAAAAGTTGATATATGCTACAACACAGATGAGTCTTGAAAACATTCTGCTAAGTGAAATAAGCCACACACAGAGGACAAATGTTGTATGATTCCACTTATATGAGGTCCCTGGAATAGTCAAATTCTGAGACTGAAAGTAAAATACAGGTTACCAGGGGCTGGCGAATAGGGAAGAATGGGGAATTGGTATTTAATGGGCAGAGCATTTATATTGGGGATTATCAAAAAGTTTTGGGTACAGAGAGTGGTGATGGCTACATAACACTGTATATGCAATGTTACTGAAATACATACAAGTGGTTAAAATAAATACTGTGTTACGTACAGTTTGCCACAATAAAAAACAACAAAAATGGGACTATACCATTAAATTTAAAAAGAACACTGAATTTGGCTTTGGGACTGCCGACAAGCTTTGCCAAATCTTCCTGGATTAAATAAATGACCACTAAGACACTTCCGCACAACCTTCTCTCCCTTTTTTCTCCACCTAGGGTCAGACTTGCGTCGAGGGTCTGATGGCTCTCCCAGTCTTCCTTGGTTCCCCACCTATTTCCTTTCTTTTGAGACAGAATCTCGCTCTGTCACCCAGGCTGGAGTGCAATGGTGCAATCTCAGCTCACTGCAACATCCGCCTCCTGGGTTCAAGAGATTCTCCTGTCTCAGCCTCCCGAGTAGGTGGGATTACAGGCATGTGCCACCACGCCTGGCTAATTTTTTATTTTTAGTAGAGGCAGGCTTTCACCATGTTGGCCAGGCTGGTCTCGAACTCCTGATCTCAGGTGATCTGCCTGCCTCGGTCTCCCAAAGTGTCGGGATTACATGTGTGAGCCACCGTACCCGGCCCCTCCTTATTTCCTTTAGCATAGGTATCCCCCAGGACAATCTACACACCTCTCAACTCACTGTGGCATCGCCTCTCAGGGCACCAGGATTCACGCACAGGGTGGATGTAGCCTTTCTACTAGTTTACAGGCAAATGCTAGGCACCTCTCTGGCCATTCTCAGAATTACCAGGGACACAGGCAGAGAAGACGCCGGCTCTCACTGTCAGATGGGCACAAGGAAACGAGCCACACTAGAGTACACACTTCAAAATGTTTTTATTGGATTTAATTTCCCAAACACTGACATTTTAGACAATTTTGCAAGGACTCTGAATTTTTGCAGGGCTATTTTTGGATACTGTAAAAAAAAAAAAAAGAAACAACACACACACACACACACACTCATAGCAGAGCTGCTCTGCTCGCTCTAAGGCCTCTTTGAGGGAAGGACAGTTCCAAAAGGCACTGACCGGTGACATGGGTGGGCCCTGCCCCTCCTCAGGCAGCCAGCTCAGCCATGGCCCTGTCCAAGGGGTCCACAGACCAGTAATCATCATCCCAGCCAAGGAACCAGCCCACAAAGGAGGGAGGCTCAAAGCCTTGCTTCACCACGGTGATGGGCGTCCGCCGATCCCGATTGGCTGGGTCCGTCTCGATGTACCGCTTAGCTGCAGACACACGTGCAAGAAAAGGAAACCCCAGGAATTCTTAGTGCCTCCCACACCAGGGAGAGGGTGACTCAGGACAGGAGTTGACAAAGAAGAGGGTCTATGGTCCTACTGTCCCTACTGCCCACCCCCTGCCCTGGGCACCATCCTCCTTTAAAGGCATGATACCCACGTGGGCTCTCCACCACCCTGCTCAGGAACACAGGAAGGAACAGGGCTACGGCTTAATCTCCTGCTTCATAAAGCTTATTACTTTCCCTTGCAGTCCCCTACTGGAAGATATGGGAACCAACTTTTGGGTTCCCAGCTCACAAATCAGATCTATTCAGCTGCCAAGAATCTGCTTTGCAACATCTTTTTCTTTTTTTTTTTCATTTTGAGACACCATCTCATTCTGTCACCCAGGCTACAGTATAGTGGTGCGATCATGGCTCACAGCAGCCGTGAACTCCTGGGCTCAAGCAATCCTCTGACCTCAACCTCCTGAGTAGCTGGGACCACGGGTGTACACCAACACGCCTGGCTAATTTTTTTGTATTTTTTCTAGAGATGAGGTTTCACTATGTTGCCCGGGCTGCTTTCAAACTCCTGGGCTCAAGTGATCCTCCTGCCTTGGCCTCCCAAAATGCTGGGATTACATGCATGAGTCACCATGCCTGGCCTGCTTTGCCACATCTAAACCTTGACAAGTTCAGCTTCTGAGTATTCTGGGAACTTGAAGTGACTTCTCATCTGTCCCTTCCTTCTCCTGGAACAGAGGAGAGCCTTCTTTGAGAAGCCTCAGGGTTTCTGAAGGAACTGATGTGTTCTTCACTATCCCAGGCAGGATTTATGAGGGGCTGGCCCACAGAGGAGGAAGTCCCCACCCTATCTTGTCCATCAGTCCCCTGGAAAGATGCTCATTCCCAGACCTGTACAGGAGCCACTCCCAGCACCCCACAAGCAACGGACCCCTCCCCCCGCCCCCAGGCACTCGGGTCCTCACCAGAAGTCAAGGCTTCTGTCTTTTCTTCTTCTTGAGAATCCTTTCCAACCCAGACAAAGACCTGGAGGTGAGATGCAACAGGAAAGGTACATGAGGAGTGCTGATCAAATTCACGGCTGGAGGAAGACTGGGGAGGGGCCAGGTATCAGACCAGACAAAGCCCTCCCCTTTCTAACAGAGCCCATGAACTAAGACTGGAAGGATTTGGAACAGAGGTTGAAAACTGGCAACCTACAAACATGTTTTGTTTGCTCACCCACCACCTTGTGTTAGCCAACAATGTCTTTTTAAACCGTTATGACATAAAAATCTAGATTTCCAACTTCTCTTTAAAAATTGGAGGATCTAGCAGCCTGGGCCTTCAAACCTCACTTGAGTCAAGCTGCGCAGGAGCTGCCCCTTTGAGATGAGCAGTTCTAGTTTGCCTCAGACTCCACTGCTCCTTCACGTCTCCCCAGCCCAGCCTGCTTCATTCGCTAACATTGCCAACCAGGTACCATCAGGCATTGAGTTTGAGATTCTTCTCTAAAGGTCCATGAGTTATCTCTTGAACAGCATTCACTCGTTCAACAAATGAGTGGCCAAACATATTCTCACCCATTTATTTATCCAACAAATATGCACCGAGAGTCTACTATGTGCCGGTCTGTGTGCATCTTTGTCAAAATGGGCCTAAGGCTTGGAATAAAAATAACTCACCCACCACTATCACCATTTTGAGTCTTGTTACAAGTTCTATTACACATTATTTAGCTGATTTTTATGTATCATCTATTTTTATGCATATCTAAAATATTACTTCAAAGAGCACCTATCATTGATAAAATGGCATTAGACAATAAAATGTCAGACTTCATTTTTCTCACTTTTTTTTGAGACGGAGTCTCACTCTGTCACCCAGGCTGGAGTGCAGTGGCATGATCTCAGCTCACTGCAACCTCCGCCTCCTGGGTTCAAGTGATTCTTCTGCCTCGACCTCCCAAGTAGGTGGGATTATAAGCACCCACCACCAAGCCTGGCTAATTGTTTTGTATTTTTAGTAGAGATGGGGTTTCACCATGTTGGCCAGGCTGGTCTTGAACTCCTGACCTCAAGTGATCTGCCCACCTCAGCCTCTCAAAGTGCTGGGTTTACAAGTGTGAGCCAACATGTCTGGCCCTCTCTTACTTATTTATAAATGTGTTCCCAACTAAAGTGGAAGCCCCTCGAAGGCAGGCATTCTATTTTGCTCATCATAGGATTCTCAGCACTCAGCATTTTGCCTGCAAGACCATGGTGCTGAATAAATGTTGGCTGACTGAATCCCTAACAGATGAACAAACAGATTAAGTAGCCAATGGATCAATCAATGACAACTGCTGAATGGCTCAAGCTGCAATCATTTTTGGTCCCGATCTTCCAACTGGGGATTCCGAGCATCCCTGTGGGTAGTGTAGAGTCTTATGCCTTCGTGGCCAGCTGCTCCGTAACTCTGAGGACTCTGGGAGAAGCCACCTTGATAGGAAAGGTGACTGACCTGACACCCCTGTGAGAACGTAAGCCCTGGGAGAGCAGGAAAATGCCTACTTTATTCATTGCTCTATCCCAGCATCTCAAACATAAAGCACCTGGCACAAAGCAGTGCCCAATTAATATTGGTTGAGTAAGTGAATGGCATCTTCCCCTGCCAAGTCCTACATAATGGCCTTCTCTAGGAGATGAAGTGGAGACAGAGCCCAGAGCCCTCAAACCAGAAGCAGGAGCCCTCTAGAGCCTCTAGGTGACACTGGACAGTTTATGCCTGCAAACAAGATGCTGCTAAGTTCAACTTCCTCTGCCAACAGATTTAAAGGAAGAGTTCACGCTCCTGCAAGGTCTGGGAGAGAATGATGAAGGTCATGTGATTTGCCTTTATAGGGCGTTTTGCAGCTTTCAAGGTGAGTGTATCTGCAAGGGAGGTACCGCCACTCCCAGTTTACAGATGAGGAAATGGAAGCTCAGAAAGAAGAAGTGACTTCCAGTACCCTTAGAGACTTTTCTGGCAACACCTGGCACTGCCCCCTTTAGGTCCTTCTAGCAACTGATCATAGAACTGGAAGTCTAGTTTCTCCCACTCCCTCTGGCACAGAGAGCCTTCACCTGTCCTTCACCCACCTGGTCCCAGGTGTCCAGAAGCATGACGTCATCCGTTGCCAGGTCTTCCTGCATGAGCTCACCAGGAACCTCTTCGATCTGGGAAGGAACGAAAGAGCATCAGTGAGATGTCTTCCCTCCCCTGGGTGGCCTTCCTTTATCTGCCCCCTGAGGGAGTGGCACAGCTGGCTGCAGCTGGCAGGGGGCCCCTTCCTCTGTGCCACACCATCAGAACTGTTTCTCCTGCCCCTGCTGCCGGCCAGTCCTGTGGAACTCGCCTCCCGAGGGGAAAGCAGAGGTGTGACCTCCGCAGGGGCTCACCACAAAACGTCCAATCTTGTTGGAGCAGGCAAAGAGGCGAGGAGGATGGGCATCCATCTTCTTGTCCTTCAGCCGTGGGGATGTGCGGTAGGCAGCCTTCCCGCCCAGGGCCTCCCAGAAGCCATCTGTGAGGGGAGGCCACGCCAGTTGCCAAGGGACGCCATCACCCCTCTCTCCCATCTCATCGGACCCTGGGACCAGCCCTGCCCAAGCGCAACCAACTGCTCTCCCTCTCCTCCCTCCATCCTAAAAATCCCAGGAGATCCAGAGGGAAGAGGCCTGAGGGAATTGGAAGGTGACGAAATAGAGGCCCAGAGAGGGCAGACTTGGCAGTAGTCACACAGCCAGGACCACTATTGGCTTGAGGCTGACGACAGCATTGCGGGATGAGGACCATTAGCTCCACTCAGCTAATGAGGCAGTTGTGGCTCGGAGAGGTTAAGCAACTCACTCAAGGTCACACAGATGGTAAGTGTTAAGACCAGGATACAAATCTTGTCTGATTCTAACACCTATACTCTTTCCACTATACCTGCTCTGTCCATGTGCAGCCATTTAAATTTAAATTCATTAAAATTAAATTCGACTAAAAGTTCAGTTCTTCATTCCCACTAATTCCCACTGGTCGCATTTCAAGTGCTCAACAGCCACATGTGACTAATGGCTGTCAAATTGGACTCGGCAGATACAGAACATGTCCATCTGCATAGAAGGTTCTGCTGGACAGAGCTGCTTTAGACCAAGTCACTCTTCACCATTTCTGTTAAGCATCAAGCAGGTGGGAATGAACTCAAAGTAACAGTATAAAGACTGCAGGCTGGCAGAAGGAAGAGCTGCCCGGCCCACATTCTGGAAACAGAGCAGGCTGGTGGCATTTCTGTCCATGGAGAGTCTAGAGATGCAAGGAGACCACTGCTCCTCTGACGCTATCAGCCCTGCCTACCACCTTTCAAGGCTTCCTAGCGAGGGACCGCCTCCTTCCACAGACCAACTGCTCCTTCCCACACTGGGCTCTCCTTTCTTTCTTTCTTTCTTCTTTTTGAGACAGAGTTTTACTCCTGTTGCCCAGGCTGGAGTGCAATAGCGTGATCTCAGCTCACCGCAACCTCCAACTCTCGGGTTGAAGTGATTCTCCTGCCTCAGCCTCCCGAGTAGCTGGGATTATACAGGCATGTGCCACCATGCCCGGCTAATTTTGTATTTTAGTAGAGATGGGGTTTCTCCATGTTGGTCAGGCTAGTCTTGAACTCCCGACCTCAGGTGATCCGCCCGCCTTAGCCTCCCAAAGTGCTGGGATTACAGGCATGAACCACCACGCCCAGGCTAGGCTCTCCTTTCTTTAGCTCCTGGAGACCTCCCTCTCTCTGGCCACAGCCCTCATTTTAATGCAACTGCTTTTATTTAACATACATTAGGGGACAGGCCCTCAGGTGGGATGGAGGGGAGGATTTAGAGCCCCCAAGCTGAAGGAAAGAAGGGGGAAACTTAATAGCTGCATCCGGACAGCAGCAGGCCCCCCACCCCGGCTCCTACCTGGCTCGCTGCCTTCTGCCACCTGCACAGGTTGGGCCCGCAGCACCCTGAGCAGCTCCTGGGCCCCCGTCTTCTCTGCCTCGCTGGCTCCTGTACCCACCCACAGGTAGGCGGCTGAGGGGGTTTTCAGAACAAAGGCATCGTTGGAGTTCAGTGCACCAGCCTTAGGCAATACCTGGGAGGGTACAGCTTGGTTAATCAGGAACCAGACAAAAAGCCCTCAGCCCCCTCCTCACAGCCCAGGAGACCCCGCAGCAGGACTAGCTCTCAGGTGGGGACTTGGAGGAACACAGCCCATCAGAGCTGAGGGCACAGACTTTGGACCCTGATGGCCTTGGTTGACTCCCATGAGTCACTAATGCACTGTGACTAGCCAACATGATTCTAAAAATCAGGGCTGCATTAACAGAAGTTGAATGCCCAGAACAAAGGAGGTGAGAGTCCCATTCCCCTCTAGGCTGCTCAGACCATCCTGGGAATCAAGTCCAGATCTGTGCCTTCCTCCGTGAAAGGGATAGTAGGCAACTGGAACGTAATCAGGAATGGCATGCTGATTGTACAGAATGGTAGGTAGTGAGCTGTCCACTGTGCAAAGTGTGCAAGGGACACTGGGTATCCTTGAAACAGGGGGGAGTCTAAGACAGACAACCCTGTGGCCACGGCAGGAAAATACAAAAAGCTGCTTCTTACCCCGTCATTCACCATCCCCTGCCCCCGTTCCTGTGCCTGGAGATCTGGTCATTGAGCTGGGAGGTTTCAGGGAGGCCAATCCCTTCTGTGTTCCAGGACCTGGAAATTACCTCAACAGCCCGGGTGGCTCCAGCGCTGTTGGCGCGGACCTGGAAGAGGCGGGTGCTGGCAGGGGCTGTCTGCCCGCCCTCGCGGGAGGTGCCGCCCTTGTAGATGATCATGGGCTTCCCACCAAACAGGCTCATGAGGTGGGCGGGCTCCTTGCCTTGGACCACACGGCTCTGGCAGGGAGACAGGAGAGCAAGTCAGGGACCTTGGGGGCAGGCTTCAGTCCTTCTATGTCGCACTGGGCCCATCCCTCCAGACGAAGCCATCATGCTTGTGTCTGTGTGTGGCATGGAATGTGACCCGACAACACACAGGCAGGGACACCAGAATTCCAGGAAGGGTGGAGACAGTGCTATTGTCTGAGGTCCCCAGGGCACTGCTGCTGGGCTGCTCTCCATCTCCATGACGACATGCCTTCCTGATCCTCAGCCTGGTCCAAGAACCAGGAGAGCCTGTGTTTGCAAATGTTCCCTTAAATAGAAGCACAGGGATTGCTGGTGGACATTCTTCCAGAATGCTGACGTCAGGCCTGGGCATGACTGCTGGTGGAGTGGTAAGAACAGAGCATTCTAGATCCAGAAAACCCCCTCCTGCAGAGCCAGTGCACCCCAGATGCGGGCAGCAGTCAGGGGCTTGGTGGTGGGAGTGAGGCAGGGAAGATGTACACCCTCACATCTGCTCCTGCCCTGTGTGCGGCACCTTACCGTGGCCCCGGCTAACTATGTCCAGAAGAAAACCTCACATGTACGTCAGGCATATGGCAGTCGCTTCCCACCACGACCCACCACCGCTGAGTTAGGGCTTAGACCCCAACTCCACCCTGATGGTGAGAACTTGGGCACGTGTCTCAACCTCTTGAGTTCCTCCTCTGAAAAATGCAGCCAAGGATGCTACTCCCAAGGCTGTTGTCAGGATGCACTGAGCTAAGATGGTCATCATCTCATTTAGTGCCCAGCACCCAGTCTATCATAGTCAAAGGTCAGGGCACGAACCCCCGATGCCAATCTAGAGCCCTGCCCACTCCCACCGTAGGACGGAGGAAGCACAGTTGTTGTCCGCTTCCCCTATATTTCCACAAACCAGCTCTGCTGCCCTCCAGCGCCTGGCCAGAGTGACTTTTTAAACCAGAAATCCCTACACCTCAGACTTATCATTCAGCAACTTCCTGTTGTTCTCAGCATCAAGGTCAACATCGTCACTATGGCCTCTGGTGGTCTGGCCCCTCTGAGCACCTCTCTAGCCTCAAATCATGGCATTTTCCCCTTGCTTTAACACCCAATGCCCCCTCCCACCTCAGGGCCTTTGCATGTGTACCACCCTTTACCCACAATGTGCTTTCCTTCACTCTGCCTGGGCAACTCCTACACGTGCATCAGGTCCCAGTTGAACAGTCCCCTCCTGGGACAGGGGTGGGCTTTTCTAATCCAATAGGATCCTACCTAGGATTTACCTCCTTGTACTTAACACATATGTATAAGGGGGCACTTCTTATATGGCAGGCATGATTCTAAATGCTTACAAATGTTAACTCTTAATCCTCACAGCAATCTTGTGGGATGGTACTGTTATTACCCCTATTTTGAGGACACAGAGGCACAGAGAGGCTAAGTGACTTGCCCAACGTTGCCCAGAGGTGAGGACAGGATTCAAACCCAAGCATGCTGGTTCCACATCCGTGCTCAGCCACATGGCCTCTCCCATGTCTCTCTCCCAAGGTCTTGTCAATTTCACTCACTGCATCTGTCATAGCCATTGGTGTGCCTGTGTGTTGAATGTCTACTACCACCCAAGACAGCAAAGTCCACTAGGGCAGGGACAGTGTGTCTGTGTGTCCATGGCTACAGATGCAGTGTGGAACACATGGAAGCCCTAAATAAATACCTGTTCCATGGATGGATGGATGGATGGATGGATGGATGGATGGATGGATGGACAGACAGACAGATGGACAAACGAATGGATGGATGAGAGTCAGACAGATGAGTGAAGAGAAGGACAAGGCTCAGGCTGCAGCCCAGAGAGGCGGTGGGCTGGGCTCACCTGGACAGGGGTACCTCCCAGCTCCTCATCCAGCTGAGCAGTCAGGATGGCAGATGCAGCGACCTCATCCTGGGTAGACTGGGCACCCTGCCTGGAAGGGGAAGTGAGATTCAGCATCAGGGTGCACACAGAGCCCTGAGCCTCTCCCTTGCCCTGAGTCTGAGAAACCTACACATCTCCCTGTTACCAGTAATGAAACAGATAGAGAGGGAAGGGGACTCTTTCAGAACAACGAGAGCCAGGAACCACACCAACACTTCCACTCTCAGCCTAGCATCTTGCCCGCTTACAGAGATCTTAGTGCAACGCATGGATTTCCTTATGCTAAATGTGTCCCACAGGAGACTGGCTGGGTCATCCCATGCTGAACAGCCACAGAGAAGATGCTCTGAGACTCAAATCTGAGATGCAGAAAAGTGGCCAGGACATTTCTCTGGGCGGAAAAGCAGGTCGCAGAATAGCAAGTGTTACGAGAGCCTATTTGTGGGAAAAGATGTCAGTGATTAAGCCTCCCATGAACACGTGCAGAGAGGTCTGCACAGATGTTCACCAAAAAGGTCCATGGTGATTGCTCTTAGAGGGAAGATTTAGGGGGATTTTGCCTTTCTATCCCACCTCTTTGCATATTGTCTAAGTTTTCCATAACCAACATATGTCGTCGTATAAGCAAACAAAATCTGACCTATTAATGCGCTGATGCAGCTAATTTTTAAAACAGTCTTCTCACACATTTTGTACCAGGTGAATGTGTTATCTAGTCAAAAAAAAAATTAAGCTGTTTTTAAATGTCTGGGGTTGTCAAATTGAGAGACATTCTACAAAATAACTGACTAGTACCCTTTAAAAGTGTTAAGGGCATGAAAAAAAGGAAAGACCGGGCAACTGCCATAGATTCAGAGACTTTGGAGACATGATGAGTAAATGCCATGTGGGATCCTGGGTTAGATCCTAGATCAGGAAAAGAACAGTAGTGGGGGCCGGGCACGATGGCTCATGCCTGTCATCCCAGCACTTTGGGAGGCCAAGGCAGGCAGATCAGTTGAGGTCAGGAGTTCGAAACCAGCCTGCCCAACATGGTGAAACTCCGTCTCTACTAAAAATACAAAAATTAGTTGGGTGTGTTGGCGCACACCTGTAGTCCCAGATACTCAGGAGGCTGAGGCAGGAGAATTGCTTGAACCTGGGAGGCAGAGGTTGCAGTGAGCCGAGATCATGCCACTGCACTCCAGCCTGGCGACAGAGCAAGACTCTGTCTAAAAAAAAAAAAAAAAAACGGTAATGGGAAAACTGAGGAAATTTAGGTAAAGCCTATAGATTAGTAAGTAGTATTGTGTCAATGTTCACTTCCTGGCTTTGTTAATTGTGCTATGGTTATGTAAGGGTTATGTAAGATGTGAACATAGGTGAATATTCCATTGGGTAATGGATATATGAGAACTGTCTGTACTATTTTTGCAACTTTTCAGCAAGTGTCTAATATTATTTCAAAATAAGTTTAAAAAAAGAAGGAATCCAGCTTGGCGTGGTGGCTCATGCCTATAATCCCAACACTTTGGGAGGCTGGGGCAGGCAGATCGCTTAGAGGAGTTCGAGACCAGCCTGGGCAACATGGCAAAGCCCCATCCATACTAAAGTATAAAAAGTAGCCGGGTGTGGTGGTGAGTAGTGGCAAGTAGTCCCAGCTACTCAGGAGGCTGAGGCACGATAATTGCTTGAGCCCCGGGGGGCAGAGGTTGTGGTGAGCAGAGATCGTACCACTGCACTACAGCCTGGCCAACAGAGCAAGACCCTGTCTCAAAAAAAAAAAAAAATCCAACAGTCAATAATCAGACAAAAAGTTTTAGACTGTATAGTAAGAGAAATACAAGTTAAAAATACACTGAGACACCATTTTATAAACCATAAGATTGGCAAACGCCCAAAAGTTTGACCACACAATCCACGAGTGTGACTATAGGGAACCAGGGACTCTCACAGGTTGCTTGGTGGGAATGTAAAATGCTACGAACACTATCGAGGGAAATTGGGGGCTATCTACCAAAATGACAAGTGCAGTTACTCTTTGACCCAGCAATCTGACTTCTGGGAACTTACTCTAGAGGCATGTCTCTGCATGTTCAAAGTGATGTTTGTTTAAGGTTACTAATCACAGCAATGTTTGTAATAGAGAAAGACTGGAATCAACCCAAGTATGCATCATCAAGGAATTTGTTAAATAAACTATAGTACAGCCACCCAAAGGACTATTATGCAACTGTAAAAAAGAATGAGAAAGCTCTCTGTCTCTATGTACTGACATTATTGATCTCTAGGAAGAATGGAGTCAGAAAAGCAAGGTGCAGGGCAATATACAAAGTATGCTACCTTTTGTGTAAGGAAGGGAGGGACCAGGCTATAAATTATTTGCATATGTATTTTTTTTCACGAAGAGTTACTGGAAGGATATGCAAGAGAGTAAAGCAGTTACCCAAGAAGGGGTGGGGTCTGGAGAATGGGGTAGAGAGGGACAGGGGTGGGAATAAGATTTCTCAATAAATACCTTTATATTCTGTTTTGATTTTTGAACCATGTAAATGTATTCTCTGTTTTAAAATAATTTTGGGGCTGGGTGTGGTGGCTCACTCCTGTAACCCCAGCACTTTGGGAGGCTGAGGCAGATGGATCATCTGAGGTCAGGAGTTCGAGACCAGCCTGGTCAACATAGTGAAACCCCGTCTTTACTAAAAATACAAAAAATTAGCCAGGCATGGTGGTGGGTGCCTGTAATCCCAGCTACTAGAGAGGCTGAGGCAGGAGAATTGCTTGAACTTGGGAGGCAGAGGTTGCAGTGAGCGAGACCGCACCACTGCACTCCAGCCTAGGCAACAAGAGAAAAACTCTGTCTCAAAATAAATAAATAAATAAATAAATAAACAAATATAAATTTAAAAAAATTTTGGCTTGAAAAATATGTGTGGGAGGATAAACCCTAGTGTGCCTAGTACTTGTCATGGATTTGTGGGAGATGTTCTGTTTGTTTCTCCACATTCACTATATCCTACAATAGATGTATAATCATTTGGTAAGAAGAGTTTCAAAGTTGTTTGGAGAAATAAGCAAATGGTGTTGCCCTGTGGACAAAAGCCTCTCCCAGCAGGGAGTGGTGGTCCCACCTCAGGCCCTCACACCCTCAGTTTGTCTTCAGCCCTGCTCAGGGCCCAGCCAGTACCCCCACGACACACACCAATGGCCCCAGAACCTCACCAGTTATAGATTATCTGCCCCTGGCGGCCACCATGGCGGTAGTTGTACAGAATGATGTAGCTGTCGCCTCCATAGAACTGTCCATATGTGGCAGGGTCCACGGGCACCTTGTTGGAACCTTCGATTCTCCAGATCTGCAGGAGCAAAGCTGGAGTCAGATGCTGTGCAGCACCCCCACCCCCCAGCTCAGGCAAGCCAGGAAACCGCAGTGTGGTAGGTTGTGGTTAGGCCATGGGATGAACTTTTAATCACTTGGGCTCGGACTGGAGTTAAATGGTTTGCCCAACTCACAGAGCCACTAGAAGGCAGGGCTGGGACTCTGGGTCAGGGTTCCTGCCTGGGCTCCTCATACCATGCCCTGCCCCAGCCCGTCTGTCCTTCGCTGAGGATCGTCAAGGCAGCTCCAAAGGAATGCAGTACAGTGAGGGGAGGAGCCAGACACAGACCCCAAATCAGGCCCCTCATCCCCTTCCGGGCCATGAGACCTCAGACAACTGGCTTAACCACTCTTAGCCTCAGTTTTCCCATCTGAAAAATGGGGATAATCATAGTACCTACCTCAAAGTACTGTGAGGCTCAAACGAGATTACTCGTGAAAGTCTAGCACAGGGCCCGGCACAAAGGGACTGCTCTGTAGGTGGCAGCTGCTCTTATTGTCATAATTATTATTATTATCTTACTAATATCACCATTACCTCTATTGTTACTGAGCTGCCTGGATTCTTTCTTTTTTTCTTTTTTTTTTTTTTGTTTTTTGAGACGAGGTTTCACTCTTGTTGCCCAGGCTAGAATGCAATGACGCAATCTCGGCTCACTGCAACATCTGCCTCCCGGGTTCAATCAATTTTTCTGTCTCAGCCTCCCGAGTAGCTGGGATTACAGGTGCCTGCCACCATGGCCAGCTAAGTTTTGTATTTTTAGTAGAGACGGGGTTTCACCATGTTGGCCAGGCTGGTCTCGAACTCCTGACCTCAGGTGATCCACCCGCCTCGGCCACCCAAAGTGCTGGGATTACAGGCGTGAGCCACTGTGCTGGGCCTGCCAGGAATTTCATAGGTCACCTGCAGAGGCAGGGACACCACGAGGCAACCTCAGTGTGACCCCTGCTGGCAGGTCTCCGCAGCGTTCTGGTGACACTGCTTTTTCCAAGTGGTCACGAGGCCCGGCAGCGCCACCTGGTGGAGCTATGGAGACACGGAGTCGTCCAAGTCCTGGGAAACAGAATCCTAGAATCTCTGGATTTTGAACATTCTTGAAGGTGATGGAGTGGGATGAAACCCCACTTTACAAGTGAGAAAGTGAAGCTCAAAGAGGTTATGTAACTTGCCCAAAGTCTCACAGTCAGGCTGCCAGGGGTCTTACCACACCGCCCCACCCGAAATATTTTCATTGCATTCTCCCTAGCCACTGAAGCAACAAATGAATGCTAGCACCAAACCAAAAACAATAATATATAAAAATGAACACTTTGTTATTCCTATCATTAGGAACGGAGTCAAGTTTGCCTGAGGCGGATTCTACCTCCTAAACACCTCTGAACCCCACACCCCTCTTCCCCTTCTCCACTGTGACCTTCTTAGTCTCAAGGTCATCATCTTTCCCCTACAGTATTAGAACAAGCTCCTTATAAGCTCTCTACCTTCATTTTCCTGCCTCCAATCCATTTTCTTAGTTTTCTTTTTATTTTTCTTTTATTTATTTTTTAACTGATTTTTTTCTTCTAATGATATCCTGGAGTCATATTCCAACCCATTTTCACAGTGAGTTTCTAAAGCAGGTGGCCGGGCGCAGTGGCTCATGCCTGTAATTCCAACACTTTGGGGGGCCGAGGCAGGAGGATTGCTTGAGCCCAGGAGTTTGAAATTAGCCCGGGCAACATAGCGAGACCCTGTCTCTATTAAAAAAAAAAAAAAAGATAAAGCATAAATCTGAGCCTGTTGCATGTCTGATTTAATAAAAAGAAAAACCCCTCACTAGCACCCACTGGTTAGAGGATCAAGTCTACACCCTTGAAATTGGCATTCAAGGCCCCTCCCTGGGGATGCCATCAGCACTAGCCCCCTGGGATAGCTCCCTCCTTTCCGAACATAGCGAGTCCCTCCTGGAATGCCCATCACTCTCCGCTCTTCCTCTCCGGCAGCAAAGCTCTACTCCTCCTCTGAGACCCAACCCAAAGGTTCCCATCTCTGTGCAGGCTGCCCTGACCAACCACCCCCACTGCTTCCTGTGTCTGCACAATCCCCTGTGCTCCCTCCCATCTTCCACTGATCACACAGGTCTGTGGCTATGGTCAACTCCCCTCCCAGACCAGGCACTCCTCGGGGCAAGGTGGGGCCAAGACACTTGGCTCAGGGCCTGATACACAGGGTGCATTGGCTGTAAAAACTAAGTAACACCAAAGAATCTCAGCTACCAAAGTTGTGCAAACCTCAGAGAGAAACCTCCTTGGGGAAGCAAGAGGCAGTGCATGGGGAAAGTGAGGGAGGGGCCTGGACACACCCACCCCACGCCCTAAACGTACCTGTTTCTGGCCTGTGCCATCGTCATCCATGCCGTGCTGGGCGGCCATGGCAGTGGAGGTGTGCAGGGTGGCGGCGTCGAAGGGCACCCGCTCCACGTTGGCGATATGGCTGGAAAGGTAGGACAAGCCCAGGCCATCTGTCTGGTCTGGGTCCCGCCAGTTCTTGAAGAACTGCTTGAACAGTGGGGTCTCACCGCCCTCAGGAAGGACCGAGACCTGGGGAGGGGAGGCAGAGGAGCAGGATGTGGCTGGGCTGCCCAGCAGGGGTCCCCAGGGGAGCCTCAGATACCCCATCCACACTGAGGGTGGGACACCCGCCCTACTCCAGCCCATCCCCTCCAAACAGGACCCACCCCTTCCCATCCTACCTGGCCTCCAAGACTCACCTGAGTCTGCTTGGGGTAGTCCATCTTGGTGATGAAGTCAGAGGCTGTTTTGAGGGCAGCCTTCCTCTCCTCCGTGTTTGCCTGCTTGCCTGTTGGCAGCCAGAGGAAGTGATGGAGGGTTAGAGGCCCGGGATCCTGCTGCATCCTGACCTTTAACAGTCCAGGAGAAGGAGCTGCCAAACTTCCCTCCCTACTCTTCTTAGACTGTGGACAGCCAAGGCCAGAGACCCCCAGAGCCGACCACTCACTAGAGCTCCTGGTGTCCAGCCTGGGGCTGGCCAGTGACACCAATCACAACACTACTGTGGTCCATTTAGTGAGCATGTATTTTGTGCTTAGAACTATGCATAGATTATTTAATTCACAGAATAGTCTTAAGTAATAAAAAAAGTTGTTATCTTTTTCTGAGTATCTATAAGGAAGCTAGGGTCTTAGAGAGATTAAATTACTTGACCTAGGTTACTCAGTGAGTGAGAAGCTGCCACCCTGAGGGCATTCCCGTGCCAAGGAGCTCCTGGCCAGCCAGTGCTGGGCCTCAGTCCCAGCCTTCTCACTGCCAAGGCCAAGGTCCAGATCAGCTGGCCCAGGGCCCAGGGGGCCTAGAGAGTAATAATCATAATAGTGTCTCTCTCTCTCTCTTTCTCCCCACCGTCTCCCTTTCTCTCTGTCCTCCTACTGCCTCCCTCTCCTCTGTCCTCTTCCCCAAGATGAGCCTTAGAGAATCAGGGGAGGATATTGATGGGTCCTCTCAGAACATCTCAGGGCCTCTGGGAAACATCTGGGCCAATGGTTTCCAAGAGAATTCCCACAAGATAGTACCGAAAGAGTTTATGAACTTCTAGCTTAGCATTTCCCAAACCAGATCATCTTCATGAAAAGCCCCCCTGTAAATGAACAAGTTAAAAGTCCTACAGTAAACAAACTCGAACATTTTAAAATCCACTGTTGCCCATGAATTTATCTGACCATACAGTTAGATGTTTTCTACATAATTTCTACAGGATGCCAATTAGCCTCTCAGAGAACTGACGTTATAATGCACTTGGGAAACACCCATTTTAGCCCAGATCAGGAATCTGAGGCCCAGAAAGGGTAAGTAAAGTGCCCAAGATCACACAGTATGTCAAATGCAAAACCAAGGCCTCAGCCCAAGACTTCTGATTTCCATTGCACCAGGCACACTCCACACTCCCCGGGAGCTGAGTTCCTGGGAGCTGCAGAACATCCCATCCAAGATCCTACAGGCCAGTTGGGACCCTTTCCCTGTCTCCAGTACCTTTCCAGACAAAGATTTTCCCATCTTTGCCGTGGTCCAGGATGAAGCAGTCCTCTGACTTCAGGGCCCCCTGGGCGAAGGGGTTCTCATCAGCCACGAGGGAGACGGACATGGTCCCTGCACCATTGGAGACCTGAGGGGACGAAGCAGAAGGAACCAGCACATGAGTGTCTGTGGCCGCCCAGCCCTGAGACTTCCACCATCTTGCCCCACCCCCTGTCCCAAATGGCCCTGTAGAGTAACACCTGGGCTTCCTCTCGCACACATTTAGAGGTTCTTTTTCGTTTTCTGCTTTGTCAGAACCACATCTGCTGACCTACACGCAGGGGTAACACAAACTGCACATGGGAAGGGAGGGCGGGATAAAATTTGGGGAATTGGGTGCAGAGGGGAACTGCATAGTTTGCTGAAAATGTATTCAACTTTACTATTCAAAAAAAAGAGAAGAGGCCGGTTACAGTGTCGCACACCTTTAATCCCAGCGCTCTGGGAGGCCCAGGTGGGTGGATGGCTTGAGCCCAGGAGTTCAAGACCAGCCTGGGCAACATGGCAAGATCCCATCTCTACAAAAAATACAAAAAGTAGCAAGGTGTGGTGGCGCTTGCTTGTGGCCCCAGCTACTTGGGAGGCTGAAGTGGGAGGATCACTTGAGCCCAGGATGTCGGGGCTATAGTGAGCTATGATTGCGTCACTACACTCCAGCCTGGGTAACAGAGCCAGACTCTGTCTCAAAAATAAATAAGTAAATAAAAGAGAAGAAAAGAAAAAGAAAAGTAAAAAGAGCTAAATGCAATCTGGTATCCTGGATTGGAACCTAGAATAAAAAACTGGGGAAATCTGGCTAAAGTCTATAGTTTAGTTAATGGTACTGAAGCAATGTTAATTTCTTAGTTTTGACAAATGTACCTGGTTATGCTAAGATGCTAAGGAGAAGCTGAGTGAATGGTATATAGGAACTCTTTGTACTATCTTTACAATTTTTCTGTAAACTTAAAAATTATTCTAAAATAAAAAGTTCAACCAAGCTCAAAAAAAAGTTCTATCTTAAGAGTCAAAATTCAAAAGTTTAACAATATCCAGTTGGCAAGGCTCTGGGTAAACAGGCATTTAAGATCCCTGATGACAGTAATTTGGGAGCTGTTCCAGAGTACAGTTGACTGTGAGGTAGCAGTCCTTTAAATAATAATTATTCTACATGAATTGAGTACTTACTACTCTGTGCCAGTCACTGTTCTAAGCAATTTCTATAACTTGTATAATTATAGAACCCCTTTAATCCTTGCATATGATAGTTCTGTTACTATCCCTGTCTCATTCACAAGGAAACCAAGGCACAGAGTGGTTAAGGAACTTGCACAGCTAGAAATAGCTGACCTGGAATTCAAACACAGGTAGTCTGACTCCTGACTCCAAAACCAGTATTTTCTTTTTTTATTTTATTTATTATTATTATTTTTGAGACGGAGTCTCACTGTTGTCGCCCAGGCTGGAGTGCAATGGCACTATCTCAGCTCACTGCAACCTCCGCCTCCCGGGTTCAAGTGATTCTCCTCCCTTAGGAGGAGAGCTAGGATTAGAGGCACCCGCCACCACGCCTGGCTAATATTTTGTATTTTTAGTAGAGACAGTGTTTCACCATGTTAGCCAGGCTGGTCTCGAACTCCTGACCTCAGGTGATCCGCCTACCTCGGCCTCTCAAAGTGCTGGGATTACAGGGGTGAGCCACCATGCCTGGCCCAGAACCAGTATTTTCAACTACTGACTCATTCTTCGGCCTGTGACCAGCAGTTCCTTGTCTAGGAACTTGCCCTAGTGCTATGCTGTACTTAGCACAAGTGCACCAAGAGGGACTGTCTGCAACTGGAAAAGGTGGAACATCCTAATGTCCATCAATCAGGATTTGCTTAAATTCTTACATTCATAAAATAAAATACTATACAGCTGTTATAAAGGGTCGTGTTGAGATTTATTATAGAAAGATATTCCCGACCATGTTGAGTGGAAAAAAGACCACACAACAGCATGAATAGTTTGGATCCAGTTACACAAAATAGAAATGGCCGGGAGCGTTGGCTCAGGTCTGTAATCCCAGCACTTTGGGAGGCTGAGGTGGGCAGATCACATGAGCCCAGGAGTTTGAGACCAGCCTGGGCAACATGGCAAAACCTCGTCTCTACAAAAAATACAAAAGTTAGCTGGGCGTGGTGGCGTACATCTGTAGTCCCAGCCACTTAGGAGGCTGAGGCAAGAGATCGCTTGAGCCCGGTAGGCAGAGGTTGCAGTGAGCTGTGATTGTGCCATTGTACTGCAGCCTGGGTGACAGAGCAAGACCCTATCTCAAAATAAAATAATAAGATGGAAATGGAAAAGTAACTAGGCACAGAAAGCTGTGGCTGGACAAAGATGTGTTCTCTCATGAGGAGGAGAGGCTGATTTTTTAACTGGGTATTGTCATTTTTGTAATTAAAACATATTTTAAAAGTAATACTGGTTTTTTAAACCAGTGAAATTGCATGGACTTTTATTTTCTTTTTATATTTTGAATACTTTTTTTTCTTACAATAAACATGTATTACTTCATAATCAGAAAAAAAATCGATAATGTAGTAGTTTTTCTTTGGCAGTGGTGAAAATCGACATCCCCTTTTTGTTGTTTTACTGAAAATACTTGGGGCACAACGTAAGTGTGATTGAGCTTTCTCCCAGAGCTCAGCCAAGAGAGTTCCCTAGCTGAAGCTAAGCCTGAATTCAGTTGTGAAAATCACAAGAAAGAAATCATAAATAAAGTCATTAACTATAACCCACACCCCCAACCTCCCCACATACACACCATTTCTGTAGTATTTCCCCAAGTATTTTCTAAGCTGTTTTCACATCCATTTTATCTGTGGACTCCCAGAAATCCTACAAAGTCGACCATTCTGCTCTTCTTCCCACTTTACAGACTAGGACACTGAGACTCAGAGAGACCTCATGTATGAGCGTGACACAGATATGTACGGAGTTGATCGCATGCTCTTAGTGCAGGAAAGCAAAGGAAGTACACGAGCATCCACTGGAGACGTGAGAAAGCTGAGGCCCCCCTCCAAAGGGGTGCTTTGCTCAAGGTCCCATAGCAGTGGAGTGGGGAAGACCAAGTCTTCCACCTCCCTGTCCTGACCCCATGCCCAGGCAGACAGTGCATCTGGTGCTCACCTTGTAGAGCTTGGCCAGCTTGCGGTTGGCCGCATCCTCCTTGGCGGTGTCCTCGGTACCTGCAGGCAGAGCCGGCTTGGGGCCCAGCACCTGTAGGAGATAGAGAGATGGAGAGGAAGGGTGGCTGTGAGGGAGGGGCCAGGCTCCTGAGATAGCTCCCAGGCAGGCAAGGATCACAAGGACATCCACTGTGACCCTCCCCATGGAGTCTGACCTCCTCCAGACACATCCTGCATCTGCTCACATGTCCAGATCTGTCCATCAGAGGTCCCTTCCACCTTGTCTCCCTGACTCAGAAACTCCAGGAGAACACTCCTGCTCCTCTGCCTCCAGACAGCGCTTCAGATATTTCGCCTACCGGCTAATTGTGATAACTATAGCTACTGAACACCTTCTACCGCCTACCTTTAAAAGATGTCACTGCATCCTCGCAGCCAGGCCAGGAGGCACAGATTATCACTCTCATTTTACAGAAGAGGAATCTGAGGTCCAGAAAGATGAAGTCACCTACTCACACAGCTATTAGGTGGCTAAGCCAGAATCTGAACCTCCATCCCTGTGGCTTCAGAGCCTATTTTCACTCCCACTGTCCCTCCCAAGCCATGGTTGGTGTCCAGGTCCCTTCCCATAATAATAATCACCATTCTGCTCTCTCCAAAAGCTGGAATTGGATGCCCCCAGAGAAGCAGGAACCAAGTGACATGGAGCAGAGCTCATGGTCTTCTCCTTTTCCTAGTGAATCTTGCCTCTATTGATACGTCCTCAACGCACAATGGCTGGCAATCCCACCATGTGACTAAATGGGCCAAAAACTACCAGAAATAGTCAGAAGAGAAAAGAGGGGATTGGGGCTCAGTGGTCTCTTTCTGACCTTATTCTAGCACAAAGCTGGCCCTCTGGGGATGCTAAGAGACTGCCCTCCTTAGCTCTGCAGAGGACCTGGCCCTCCCCACTGGAGAATGCGGCTCACACTCACAGCACAGCCTTGGGTTCCAGTCCCACCTCTCAGGGTAGTCGGGGAGTTGTGCAAGAAACTGATCTCCCTTGCTCCCTAAAGTGATCAGGTTTGATGGAAAAACAGCCTCAAAAGTGAGGCAGGGCCAGCATGGTGACTCATGCTTGTAATCCCAGCATTTTGGGAGGTTGAGGCAGGTGATGGTTTGACCCCAGAAGTTGGAGACCAGCCTGAGCGACATGGCAAGACCTCATTCCTACAAAAAATTCAAAAGTTAGCCTGGCTTGGTAGCACTCGCCTGTGGTCCCAGCTACTCGGGAGGCTGAGGCAGGAGGATCACTTGAGCCCAGGAGGTCAAGGCTGCAGTGAGCTGTGATGGCGCCCCTGCACTCCAGCTCAGGCAACAATGAATAAGATCCTGTCTCAAAAATTAAAATAAAAAAGTATTTTAAAAATAAAAAGGTGGGGTAGAGCGGAAGTTTTTTTTTTTCCTCAAATTCACCTCAAATTGCCTACTGAACAGAAGAAAGTCATGAGCAGCGTGTCCCCATGGCCACCCCATTGCGCACCCCACAGGCACCTGGAGCATCGCCTCGGGCTCAGTGCCCTCCTCAGACACGTGCACTCGGGCCCGGCCACTCCGCTCGTTGTCCCGGATGCCCTTGGACACCTGTGTGGCCTTCAGTCTTTCATACCGATTGCTGTTGGAACCACACCACTGGTGGATGTTCTGGAAGACAGAGACCCAGGAAGTCAGTGCCCCGCCTTCCTATAAGCCCCGCCCAGCGACAGGGCTTGGGGAGTGTGGCGTGTGGTGTGCAGGCTCACCCTGTTCTGCACTTGCCCAGGTGAAGGCTGGCACAGTCTGCACACGTGCATTATTTACGTACAATTAAGTGTGATCTGCACACACCAGGAGATGGGAGCGCATGTCTGAGGACAGGAATTTTTTCACAGGTACAACTACATCTAGAATGTGTGCAAAAATGTTTGCCTGCTGAAGGGAATATAAATTGGCACAACCATTTTGGAAAACCATTTGGCCATAGCCACTAAAGCCGAATATACCTATTTCCTTATGACCCAGCAATCCTCCTTCTAGGAAAATACCTGACAGAAGTACGTTCGTATGTCCACCAAAAGACTTGTGCAAGAATGTTCAGAGTAGCACTGTCTGTAATAGCCCCAAACCAGAAGCCACCTCAAGTGCCCATCAACAACATAAAGGATACATAAATCATGGTACACCCACACAACTGAATCTTCCACAGCAAGGAAAATGAACAACCTACAACTAAATGCAACAATACGGATGCATCTCAGAAATGTAATGTTGAGCAAAAGGTCAGAGATAAAAGAACAAGGTTCCGTGTCTATAAAGTTCAGAAACAGGCAAAACTCATCTATGCTGTTGAGAAAGTTCAGGATGATGGTTGCCCTTGGGGTGAGGGCACCGAAAGGGGCAAAAGGGGCCTTCTAGGGGCTGGTGAGGTTCTGCTTCATGATCCAGTGTTACGTGAGTGTGTTCGCTCTGTGTAATCCATCAAGCTGTACACTCAGGATTCACACACTCCTCTGTGTGCCCATGACGCTTTAATAAAAAGCTTACACTAAATCAGTGTGTGCTCATGTTTGCACGGACATTATATCACAGGTGTATAAGCATATGAGCTTTGGGGTAGAAGGGCCGTGTCCATTTGCAGGTCTGCGCTCCAGGGATTTGTGAGACAAGTGTGTACAAAGCGTCACACATCTATAAGGTGGGCCTGGGTAAGGGCATCCCACACACATTGCCATAGATCATGGGCATGTGCAACTACATGTATGACATACACATGTGGGACCTTAAACAACATACCCGAGTATACATGTGTGGGCATTCATGATGGTGCACATGTGCACACCTGGTGGGCAAAAGCCCAGAGTGTTTGCCCATGACTGTTATATATTTATAAGCATGTGAAAAAGGACACAAGACGTACATATGAACAGAAGGTGCCAGGAAGTCTATATGTCAATCAAAGTCCAAGTACGCACTATACCCGTGGTGTGAGTCTACATTTGTGGGAGTCTTTGCATACAGACATATCTGTACGTGAACAATGCTGGTCCCTGTGGTTTGCCCACCTGCATCTATGCATTTGTTCACGTGGATGTACCCAAGTCCCTGATCAGACCAGGAGCACCTCAGTGGCTCCTGGGAAAGAGGAAAGCAGGACTCACGTTGCCCAGGTCCAGGATGAAGCAGTCGCCATTGTTGAAGCTCTCCCAGGACACAGGTACCTCGGTGGCACGGACCACACGCCGCCCTTTGACCTGGAAGAGTCTCTGCACCACCACCTCGTTGGGTACCACGTGCTTGAATCCTGATGCCACACCTCCTTTCTGTGGGGCCAAAGAGACAGCATTAGCCCAGGGGAGAAGGCCCAGGGAAGCAGATATGGAAGAAGGGGACAGAATTGAGGTAAAGGAAATTCTGGCTTGTGGACCAGGGGCTTTCCAGCAACACAGTGATTCTCAGTTAACTCAGGACTTTCATACCCATTATCTTGTTTGAGACTGTTTCAGAGTAGGAAACTGAGGTTTAGGAAAGGAATAAAATTTGCCCAAGGCCACACAGCTAAGAAGTGAGAGATTCCCTGCCCACTGCATCTTTCTGCCACCCCTTTGAATCCCATACTCCACTAACAAGGACCCCTGTAGCCACTTTCTAAATCAAAAAAACTGCAACAATTCCTTCCTCAAAACCGGCGTTTCCCAAAGGCACACTAGTCCCCTAAGACATTCTGCAAGGAAAGAGTTCCACGGTCAAATAAGCATAGGGAATGCTTCTCACTCACCCTCCCTGACTGTTATACAACGCGCATGTGCATAATAAAGGCTCTGTCAAATCCTATGGTGAATACACCTGCTTGCCTTTTGTTTTATACAGTATTTCCCTATCTTATTGAACCAAGAACTGCTTTTCTTTCTTTCCCTCTTTCTTTTTTCTTTCCTTTCTTTTTTTCTTTCTTTCATTCTCTTTCCCTCTCTCTTTCCTTTCCTTCCTTCCTTTCTCTCTTTCTCTCTCTCTCTCCTTCCTTCCGCTCTCTCTCTCTCTTCCTTCCTTTCAACAGGGTTTCACTCTGTCCCAGGCTGCAGTGCATTGGTACAATCACAGCTCACTGTAACCTCAAACTCCTGGACTTGAATGATCCTCCCATCTCAGCCTCTCGAGTGGCTAAGACTACAGTTATGAGCCACAGTGCCCAGCTTACTTATTTTATTTTATTTTATTGTAGACATGGGGTCTCACTATGCTGTTTAAGCTGGTCTTGAACTCCTGGCCTCAAGAGATCCTTGGGTGCTGGGATTACAGGAGTGAGTCACTGAACCCAGCCCAAGAACCACTTTTCTTCACCATATCCTGCCTCCAGCTTGAGTATTTTGCAAAAGCCACTTTGAGAGGTACTAATCCAAATCTTTCTCATCCTTCAAGGCTCTCTGGGAAGTCTTTCTGGATTGTTCCAGCCCATGCCACCCTTCTGCTTTCCCCTACGGTACCGCAGCAACTCCCACCCAGCAGTCCCTTCAGAGCAGCTATGGGTAAGGGACAGGTGCCCCGCCACAACAATGCTGGATGGCTTTGGGTAAGTCACTTGCCCTTTCCGAGCCTCAGGCCTCTCCTTTCTGAAGTGGAGACACAAGCTCCTGCTCCCCAGCCCTCTGTAATCATTACTGCATCCCAGAGCAAGGCGTTCAGGAGAGCTTCCCTGCTGCAGTCACAACTGCCCTCACTCAGAAGCAAGCCAAGGAAAGTCAGCTGGGCTTTCCTGTGAGCAGTCCCCAGCTCCATGCCCCAGAGTTGTCAAATCAGAGTTGGAAAGGTCCTTCTACTTCACCCCACTTTACCCACGGTAAACTGAAGCCCAGAGAAGTGAAGTGACTTACTCAAGGGCACTCAGCAAGTGCGTGGCCAAGCCAAGGCTGGAAACCTTGTTTCCTCCTCCCAATCGGGTGCTCGTCTCCCTGCTCCGGAGACACATGGGGGTGGAAGCAGAGGGCTTCCACTCAGGCCAGCAATGCAGCCACCCCATCCAGGGCCCCTCAGCCCACTGTGCTAAGTCTAATTCTAGCCGCACAGACTCGAGGAGGGCAAGGGACAAACGGAGTCCGTGTATATTGGGCTCCTGCTCTGTCTTCCTGTGTCAGCAGTATACGTGTTTGTGAAATGATGATGCCCACTGTGCCGGGCATTCTTCACGCATCGCCTGCAAGGGAGGTGTCATTGCTGCATCGCACTGATGTGCAAAATGGGGCCCACAGGTGACGGGACTTGCCCAAGGTGGTGGAGCTAGAATTCAAACCCAGGCATGTCTGAATCTGTAAGATCCACATTCTTCTCTCAATATCAGGTTTTCTCGCTCTGTTGCCCAGGCTGGAGTGCAGTGGTGTAATCTCAATTCACTGCAGCCTCCACCTCCTGGGTTCCAGCGATTCTTGTGCTTTAGCCTCCCAAGTAGCTGTGATTACAGATGTGCACCACCATGCCCAGCTAATTTTTGTATTTTTTGTAGAGATGAAGTTTCACCATGTTGGCCAGGCTGGTCTCGAACTCCTGGCCTCATGTGATCCTCCCGCCTTGGCCTCCCAAAGTGCTGGAATTACAGGCATGAGCCACTGTGCCAGCCAATATCAGGTTTTCTTAGAGCAAAGATCACTCAGTCATCCAGGATGGGAGGCAGGAACAAGCCATTATTCAGAGCCCTCTTTCAAGTAATGGATGTTTTTGGGTTGCCAGTGGCTGGAGGACTCCCTGGTGTCCCTTCTTGGTCTCAGCTAAGGCCTTTCAAGAGTCCCTTGGGACTAGCAGGGCGGCCAGTGCTCACAGAGCTAACAACCTATCTTTCCACCCTGCTTCCAGGGCCCCTTCAAGGGAGCTGTGGGTTGGCCACACTATGACTGACCTCGGTGTGGAGCAAGGGGTAAGACTGTGACTTCTGCTCCTGAATTTGCTGCCCAAAACTGGGAAGCAAGACAGTAAATTTTTCCATCATCAGGAAGGAGTGAGTTGGGACTCTGGGGTGAGGGACTGACCAGCTGCAGTCACAACTGCAGTCACAACTGAGGGGGTCCGAAGGCTGGATGGCCGTGAGGCCTGGGATTGGAGAGCCAGGCAGAGTGCAAAGGACATAGGTCAGGGCAATGCAGGGGAAGCGCAGAAAGGCAGGGGAAGCGCAGAAAGACAGGAGGGTTCTGAGACCGATGTAACCAAGCCTGCCCAGAGCAAGTGAGGAAGAACCGCCAGGGAAGAAAATGCAACAACCTGCGCTCACCTGTGCTCAGCTGTGCTTACCTGAAACAAGCACAGTGGCTGCCACTTACCGAGCTTTGCCAAAGCTGGGGCACCTGCTTTAAGTGCATGCAATGAAGTCCTGACCACAAGCCCCTGATGCAGGAACTATTAATAATTTTCCCACTTCAAAGGCAAGGAAACTGAGATTCAAAGAGATTAAGCATTGTGTCCAGAGCCCAGTGCTGGGCGGCAGTGCTGGGTTCTATCCCCAAGATCCCCCTTCCAGGGACCCAGCTTCATTCAACTGTCAGCCTAGGAACTCCTGACCAGGGGACTTCATTCACCTGGACATAATGAGAGAGTGGATGTGCAAACCTTTTCCAAAAGGTGCTAGAAGGACTCACTGTTTCTATTGATTCCTCGGAGACAAGGAAATGGGGGGAAAGAAAAAATTTTTACCCCTCTAAATATTTTACTTGTTGAAGTATGCCTTTCATTTTTGTTATTAAAATCTTTACCCTATTTTTTAAAAAGGAAAAGGGTTGCTTCATGTCATAAATCTCACTTCTTAAAAATTCTCTGTATTTATTTATAAAATAATTCTTTTTTTTTTGAGACAGAGTCTCGTTCCATCGCCCAGGCTGGAATGCAGTGGTACGATCTCGGCTCACTGCAACCTCTGCCTCCCAGATTCAAGTGATTCTCCTGCCTCAGCCTCCTGAGTCGCTGAGATTACGGGCACCCGCCACCACGCCCGGCTAATTTTTGTATTTTTAGTAGAGACAGGGTTTCACCATGTTGGCCAGGCAGGTCTTGAACTCCTGACCTCAAATGATCCACCCATCTCGGCCTCCCAAAGTGTTGGGATTACAAGTGTGAGCCACCGCACCCGGCCTTATAACATAACTCTTGATGTTGAATTATTGCAGCCATGAGCTGCCTGATTAATTAACTCCTCTAATTTTACTGGTCTAGGGAATTAGAATTGGAAAGATTAATTAACAAAAATAAATTAAAGCAAGCTCTTAGAAGACATTAGTGGATCTACAAGGGCAGGGGAAAGAAGTTTTTTGAAGTTTTTCCTGTTTTTGACTATCATCTTTAGCACTGATTGCTGCTTTCTGTGGTCTAATCATTAGGTGAGCAAGATTGGCATCAAATTATTTGAACAAAATTCTACAGGATAAATTGTTTTAAAAGCCATTTTCCAAATTAAAGTGATTACATATATATGTGTCTGTCTACCTATATACGTTCAGAGAGACAGAAAGAAATTAGCCACTATATATCTCCAAGGGGAGAATCATGTTGGGAGGGCTTTTATTTTCTGGAACCTATATTTCTGTAATGTTTGACATTTTACAATAAGCTTATATTGCTCTTGTAGTCAGAAGAAGGGGGAAAAGAAGCAATGAAGATTTACATGAAAACAAAAGTTAAACTGTTTCTAAAACAAAGAAAAATGAATTGATCAGGCTTGGGCCCCTCCACCCTCTAAACTCAGAGCTCCTTATCTAAGGAATAGGAGAGAGGGAGGACAGAAAGGTTCCAGTGATTCTATGGGTTCCCAATTGTGTTCCTCAGGTCCAAGGGCTCCTAGGTCTCTGCCTAGCCCAGATTCCATTTGAACAATGGGTTTCAAATAACCCAGCCCCACGGGGTCTCCAGGATTCAGTCCAAAAATGGGGGTCTGCGGAGTGGGAGGAGGAGGGGCGGGGAATCAAGGGATTCTGAACTCTCTTGCAGGGCAGTGATCTAAGGATTTGGGGGTCATAGAACAAGAGGGCCAAGCCCCATGTCAGCCCTTTCTAGTGGCTTGCTGTCCCCTCCCTGCCCCTTCTCACACTCCGAGGACAGAATTGGCTCAGAGGAAGAGGCTTTCACAGGAACAAGTCTTGCATAACAAGCCCTGCTCCTCCGGGATCTATAATTGATGAGGGCGCCGGGGCGAGAACCTTGGGCTGGACCTGCCAAGTGCGGGGGCAGACTGAGGACTTACAGAAGGTGGTAAACAAGACCAGCCCTGGGCCTCCCATTCACACCAGGAGCCAGCGCCTTTCAGGACAGAAGCCCCAAATCTGGGCCCAGCTGGAGCTTTCCTCGAGTGTGATCCAAGAACATCCTGGAAAATCATCGGGGGGCCGGGGAACCTGGCTATCCAAGTAGATCCCAGGCCATATCCGAGCGAGGATCAAAGATCAGGGAGCCTCCAAATGTCTACTCTGAACCAGGTCTGTGCTAGGCCCTTCACACCTGGGTTTGCACACTAGTCCAATCACTTACTAGCTGTGTGACCTTGGAAAAGTTGCTTAACATCTCTGTGCCTTAGTAGCCTCATTTATAAAATGGTGCTAACAGATACCCTACCTGTTAGGGTAAAATGAGTTAAATGAGTAAAGCACCCAGAAGAGTCCCTGACACACAGAAAGTAATAGATAAGTGTTCAATGACAAGCACCTTTTACTAGCTGTGTGAACTTAGGCAAGTTAGTTTGCTCCTCTGAGCCTCAGCTTCCTCGTCTATGAAATGGAGCATTACCATCCACCCTAAAGGCTACAGTGAGAATTAAATGAGATCTTGTAGTCAAGGCTTAACACACGGTAAGGGTTATTATCATCCTTGTTTATTCCTAAAAATCCGGGAGCCTATGACCTGCTCTGCAACATTCTCTGACCTGGAAAATCACCCTTTCTGTGTATATGAGAACTCTCATATTTGTAACCATGTTAGACTGTCAGGTTATGCCCTAAGAAACAGTGACTAGGACAAGATAGATTAGCAAACACCTACTCATCTATCTCATCCCTGAACCCCTCTCAGAGCTGAGCACTCCCTGGGATCCCACATCACCCCACCTGGAGGCAATGGATTAACTCTTCGTGAGCCTGCCAGTCTCCCCAACTCCTCAGAACACTCTCAAGGGCAGGGACCCACCTTCTTCACTTGGGCACCCCAGCACCCATCACAGGGCCTGGCAGAGTTAAGGGAACACAATCCTGGTTTGAATATAGTTATGTGACCTCTCTGAGCCTCCAGTCTCATCTGTAAAATGGAATGGGAATTACTTACCTCCCAGGACAGTTGTGAGGCTGAAACGAGATAACCTACATTCCCAGTACCATATCTGCCATAGTGTAGCAACAATGAGCTGGTGCTGCTGTTATTGAGGCTCAGTAAATATTTGCTGAATGAATGATGAATGGAGGATGATTGAGAACACCCGCCCAAAGATACAAGACTTGCCCAAAGTCTCACAGCAGTTACAGAAGGTAGCCTTCCAACCTGAATCCCAATCTCTGTGATTCCTGGGCAAGTGTTCGTTCCATTTCTTGCTCCAGAAGTTGCAAAAAGACCTGGTCCTTCTCCAGCTCAGGGGACTGGCTCCCAAACTTCTCACCTCTCCTTCTGCAAGGTATCAAGGCCCCAGAAAGGGCTGTGGGAAGAAGGCAGAGCTGGACACCTCAGCAGGAGGAGCTCAGTGCAAGGGCACAAGGGGCTCCAGGGAATCCAGCCCAGCCCTGCCCAGCCCTGGACTGTGAGTTCCCAGGACACACCCTGCCCATTGCTATCTGAGTCTCACTGGCACTTTCCCATCATTCAATCTCTTATGCCTCACCAGGGCAGACAAGGTCACCACTCCATTGACATAGATGATCCTGAGGTCCAGAGAGGAACAGTGACTTCTCTAAGGTCACACAGCACATCAGCAGCACAGACAGGCTTGGACCCTACCCTAGGACCCTGGTCATTAGAGGTATGTTGGTTTAGTGGAAAGAATGCTAAGAGTCAGAACATCTGGGTTCTAGTCCTGGGTCTGGCACCAATTCGCTGTGTGACTCTGGGCCAATTGCTTAAGACTTTCTGTGTCTCAGTTCCCCTTCTCCCCTGGTAAAATGAGATTTGGACTCTGACATTAAGGCCCACCTGGCTGTGAAAGCCTGTGATCCCCTTCTCTATCCTGACCAAGGAAAACCCCAGCTTTGTAAAACTACAGTGTTTCCATAGCCCTTCCAGATGGCCAAGCCCCACGCAAGGCATTTCCCAGCCACCCCCACACCAAATCCTCTCCCAGCCCTGTAGGGCAGGTACAACTGGCTCTCAGGTAACCAGAGAGGAAAGGGAGGCTCAAGGAGGTCAAGTGGCTTGCAGGAAGTCACCAGCATATTAGGGTGCAGCCTCTTGGAGCTCCCAGTTTGGCCTTGCTCTGCCCCACCTGGCTAGGAGCTTGGGAAAAGAGCTCTGTCTTGATCCAGACTCTGAAGAGTTCAAGTTCAAAGGGGATTCTAGTGAACAGAAAGAGGGATGTGACTAACAATGCCCTATTAAATACTTAACACGGGGCCCTCTGTTGGCAAGGCCTTAAGAATTAAGGGGTACCAGAACAGGACTAGGCCAAAGCCCCCCAGGGCCTGCAAGAAGAACTGGATTTTCACCTCTGGCCCACTCCTCACTGTTGGGGCTAGGAAGACAACACTATGAACTTATGGGGAATTTTCTTCTCCCCATTTTAAGATAAGGAACCAGAGGCTCAGAAAGGCAGTGTGATTTGTCCAAGCTCACATGGCTAGAAAGAGGCCAGGATTTAAACACAATGTTGGTTGACTCCAAAGCCTGACCTCTGATCGGTCTGCCCACTGCATCACAAGGCCAAAAGATAGATGGGCCTGAGTGAGCCCTGTTACTGGTGCATCTGTCCCTACCGCTCAAGCAAGGTGGGGCCCAACCCACCTTGTACTTCAGGCCAGACTTGAAGTAGCCTAGGAAGGTGGCCGACTCGAAGCCCTGGACCTCACGGTGCTGCACGGCCCGGCCGTTCAGGTAGTCATCCAGCTGCACGGTAAAGATGGCGGCCGCCCCGCTCTCATCCTGGCTGCACTCATTGCCTACGGGACATCAGAGCAATATGAGCCTGGCTTTCCAGAAGTATCCCAGACCCCTGAGGAAGAGGAGGTGGAGGAGGAACCCCAGCACTGCCCTGACCTAGCTGTAGAAGCTGAGAAAGCCCTTGCCTTCTGTGAGCCTCAGTTAATCCATCTGTATAACAGGACGATGGACCTCATTTTTCTCTAAGCGTCCTCCCAGCTCTGTCACATTCCCTTATGTTCATTCTCAGCCCTCCTGAGCGTAAACTCAGGACTGGGAGCATCAGATCAATTCACAGATTAGGAAACTGAGGCTCAGCAAGGGGGCAGAACTTATAGCATCCCACGGCAGAGGTGTGGCAGGGACTCCGGGCTCCTGACTCAAGGGCAAACTGGGGAGTGCCTGGAGCTGGGCCAGGGAAGTTGTGGAGAGGTCCAGGGTCTCCAATTCACCCACAGTTCTGAGTGTCACAGTAAGGTGTTTAACGCTCACAACATTCCTGTGAGGTAGTGCAGAGCTATCATCATGTCCACTCCACAGGGACACTAAGTGACTTGCCAAAGGACAGAACATGGGTTAGGGGCAGAGTGGGGGTGTGAACTTGGCCAGGCTGGCTCTAGCGTCTCAGGGCATGAACCACCAGTCAAGGGCCCAGCACATACTAGGTGCTCAATAATCAGTTCCCTCCCTGGGGACCATGCCCCAAAGGTCTGCACTGTTCAGAATGGGGGCTGGGGCAGGGGCTGGGCAGGGCCAGCCTCACCCAGCCAGTAGTGGAGGTCATACTGCAGATTTCCGTTCCTCAGCTGCACTGTCTTCAGGATGACGTAGGCGTCGCCCGTGAAGAAGTCTCCATAAAGGTTGGTGGGCACGGGCACCAGATCGAACTTCTCCACACGCCAGATCTGCAGGCCAGGCTCCTTCCCTGCCTTGAGGAACTCGGGGTGTTCCACCACCATGCTGTTGGGCTGGGATGAGACAGGGCAGAGCCTAAGCGGGGCAGGGTCCTGGCAGGGAGAGACCCCAGGCATGAGGGAGGGCGGTTTCTAGCACCAAGAGCATCTCACTTGAGCCTCCTGCTCTCCCCACGCCCCAGGGAAGTCTATCCCCTTCTGGGCACCCTGTCTCAACGAGTCAGCAAACAGGGCAAGAGTTTTATGCTTCAAAACCTGTGCCCTGGCCAGCATCTGTCCCTCCTACTCAGCCCCTCTTCAGCTTTTTCTGGTGATGGAGGGTACAGAGGGCTCTACCTCCCTGCTCCTTTCTTTTCTTTCTTTCTTTTTTTCTTTTTTTTTTTTTTTTTTTGAGACAGAGTCTCGCACTGTTGTCCAGTCTGGAGTGCAATGGTGCAATCTCGACTCACTGTAACCTCTGCCTCCTGGGTTCAAGCGATTCTCCTGCCTCAGCCTCCTGAGTAGCTGGGATTACAGGCATGCGATACTATGCCTGGCTAATTTTGTATTTTTAGTACAGACAGGGTTTCGCCATGTTGGTCAGGCTGGTCTGGAACTCCTGACCTCAGGTGATCCACCTGCCTTGGCCTCCCAAAGTGTTGGGATTACAGGCGTGAGCCACCGCGCCCAGCCTCCCTTCTTTTCTTATTGCCAATTGGATGTGATAACCGAGGCACAGAGAGATGAAGGGACTCTGCCAGGGACCTCCAGCTAGGAAACAGTGTAGCAGGGGTTGCCCCAGGCTCCAAGATCACAAGCTCTGGGATGATGGGTAGACCCCTCAGATGGCAATAGTAAATCTAAGGGTCCCCAGGGCCTCAGCTTGCTTCCTTCCAGCATCTTCAATGGCTCTTGAAACCAAAGGGCCCTCTGAGAGCTCATTATCCAACCCCAATCTGCAGACAGAGAAACTGAGGCTCAAAGAGGGGAGGGGACTGACCGAAGGTCACACAGCCTGTTTGCTTTTGCTCTTTGGAAGTGGAAAGATTTCCAGCACGGGGCCTGGCAGACAGCAGGCGCTAGCTCTGTGCACGCTAAGTGGGTGCACTCGCAAATCGAGGTGAGCCCACCTGAGCCTCCTGTGATCCACAGGAGCCCCCTCTCCTCTCTGTACCCATCCCCATCATACCCCCAAGAAGGGTCCAAATGGCTGAGTCCAAGTGGCCTCCTGCGCTGTCTGCCTCCTCCCTCCTGCCCCACAACACACCACCCCCAAATTTCATTTCTTGGAAGAGGAGAAGAGGATGCACCAGGGTCTGCAGGAGGCTGTTGGAGATGAAGTGGTTAAAAATGGGGAGGCTATTACACATGCACTGGGGCTGGGGCCGGGGAGGGTGCAGGAGGGTTAGGCTGGAGTCGAGGACAAAAATCAGCAGGTGCAGGTCACCTCTGGCCGGAGAAGAGATCTGGTGGGAGTAAAAATCAGAGGAGAGAAGTCAGAGAAACAAGGTGGGGAGAACTCAGGCAGAAGGGTGGAAAAACACGAAACCAGACAGGGCAGGGAAGACAGCAGAAAGGAGAGAAGAAATGATAATAATGACCATAAGCAGACAGGCGAGGTCATACAAGAAAGAAGGAAATATTGGAGAAGGAGAGAGATCAAATGAGAACAAGGAATCGTAAATGGAAGAAGACATCAGAAGAGAGAAGGAGAGAAGTGAGGCAGAGGGGAGAAAAAATCAGAGAAGGAAAAGGAGAATTCAGGAGACAGGAGGTAAGATGTTAGAGGAGGACAGGGGAAAAGAAATCCGGCCAAGGTGAGGTTAGCTTCCTGGGAAGGAACAGCCAGGGCCCCGAGGCTCCCACCCTCGTCTGCGAGCCAGAGCCCCGGAAGCAGCAAGAGATACTTACAAAGCAACAAAACAGTTTTTCCATTCTAGACCTGAATTACTCCCCTTTTCCTAGCGCTGTATCTGCAAGAACTTACAATAGAGAGTTACTCCGGGAGCCCCGGGGCCCCCCGGGCACTCACCCGCGCCTCGGGCACCCGCCCCTGGGGCGCCCCCGCCTGGGACGCCCCCCGCGACGCAGTGGCCGCGCGGACGGGCAGCGACAGCGCGCACAGCGCCAGGGACAGCGCGCAAAGCAGCGCGGGCGCGGGGCGGTGCGGAGCCATGGTGGCGACAGCGGCAGGGGACCCAGTCGGCAGCCGCGGCCTCGGGTCGCCGACCTTAAGTAGCCGCCCGCCCATCCCGCCCAAGCCGGGGACCGCCCCCCAGGGAGGGCGCGGGGCGGGGATCTGTCTCGGATCTTGGAGACATCTGGGTTCCCACCCGGATCGACCCGACAGGGCGCGGCAGCCCCTGCACCCCAGCTCCGGGGCGGAGACCCAGCACCAGGCCTGACATACGGCGGGCGCTAGCTGTGTGCACACTAAATGGGCGCAGGCACGAGCGGCGGCGAGCCCAGCTGAGCCTCCTGCGACGCACGCGAGCCCCCTCGCCTCTCCGCACCTAACACCTCCAGCAAAAAAATAACATGAACTAACAATTTTTGAAAGCTTTTCACCGAGGCATCAGCACATCCTTTTCAGAGAGGGTACAACGGCCAACCCATTTTACAGAGGGGGGAACAGCGCAGAGTGGTGAAGCAACTTGCACACAGCTTGTAAATGGTGCTGCCGGGATTTGAACTCAGGCCGTAGTGGGCCTGGGCAGAACCCCCACCAGGCAGCATGCGCCGCAGCAGGGCAGGGGACCCGGCTCCCGTGGGCAGGTGAAGCCGGCAGGACTCAGAGGGGCGGGGCAGAACGCTCAGCTCCTGGGATAGCCCCTCCTACTTTTCTTTCCTTCTTTTTAAAAAGTGTTTGTTTTTTAAAAGTCTTATTTTGATCAAAACGTAAAGTCACATGTTTGTACACAGTTGTTCCCTCTCCATCACATTTACCTCTCCCCAGGGGCAACCACTGCTATCTACCTCTTTTAGCTGATGGTTCAGGGTTTACCGTCATGTCTCTAAGCAAGCCCTTGTTACTTCCTGAAGTTGTTTTGTTTGGTTTCCATTTTAGGTACTATTCATTGACTCCCCTGGGGGAAGACAGAGTTTGCCTTTCCTCCTCACTCCCAGGCTCCCTTCCCATCCCCATCCCTCCACCCTCCCACTAGAGTCATTGGGTTAAGGGAAGTGCTATCCAAACTGAAGGAGGCCTACTTCCCACCTACTCCAACCCCTCTCCTCCCTCCTAGCACTGCACAGAATCCAACTGCTCCACCTCTAAGTTCTCTTTGTATCCCAGACCTCCCCTTCACCCTGCAGCCTGATGCAGTGACAGGAAAGAGGACTGGAGAGTTGGAGAGCTGGCTTTCATTCCCACCTCCACTGTGCATGTTTTCAATGTCTCATTCTTCTCATCTACTAAATGAGTACAGTAGTTGAGAATTAAATCGGTCTGTGGGTATGAAAATAGCCTGGCCAGCAGCTAGGTAAATGTGAGTTCTCCACCCCTCCCCAGAAACTATGGTCCCCCTTCCCAGCTCTTCCGGAAGTCCAGCCTCTATCTAATGAGGCTGAAGTTTGCCCTCTCCCACCCACAACTTGCTCCCACCTAAGGGGGGATATGGTTCAGATAAAAGACTAAAGGAACACAGAGAAGACAATTCAGGCTGGAGAGATTATAAGAAGGCTTCGTGGAGAAAGGGACTTGTGACCCAGGCCTTGAAGGACAGGGAGGACGGAGATTAAGAAGAAAAGACATTCCAGGGGGAGGGGACGCATAGGCAAAGGGCAGGCAAACATAACCATATCCAGTGAATTACCAGGGGTCCAGTATGAAACACAGGGAGCAAGAGCAGAGGAGGCTGCAGAGGGCAGCAGGGGTCACCGAGGCCTGTGTGCCACACTGAAGAGTCTGAACTTTGTCTCGGTGTCTGTGGGGGGCCCCAGAGGGATACCTGAGTTCTCCGGGCTCCAAGTCCAGGCCTGGGCCTGCCCAGCCTGCAGTGGGCCAGCTCTGGCCTAAATTCAGAGAGCTCTCCCTTCCCCCTAGCCATTTGGAGGATGATATTATAAAAAACCCCACAGCTCCCATAGGCTCTTAATGGAAGCATAAACCAGTTTCACCTCTCTAGATAAAAAATTTATCCAAACTCAAAACACACAACGCAACAACAGTTCCACTTTCTACAGAATTACTTACCAACAAACACAAAAATATATGTGCAAGGATGTTCACTGAAGCATTGTTTGAAGAAAACTGGAAAGGACCCAAAAGTCCTGGTTAAATAAATGATGGAGCCACCATTACAATAGACACTATGCAGCTGTGAAAAAAGAATGAGCTACGTCTGATTGTGCCTGGCATATAGTAGGCACTCAATAAACACAGGGAGATCTCCAAGTGCAGAAAGCAATTGCACAACAATGGCTATAGTATATCTCCTCTTCTCCTTTTTACAATGGTGCCTGTTTTTGCATATACCCTTAAAAAATCAGAGGGTAAGCACCAAACTGTTAAGGCCGTTTGCTGGAAAGGGAAGAAGGAGGAGAATTTCATCCTCAAACATTGCCGTGGCTGCCTGAGGCTGGAGGAAGTGCCTAGATCACTGCAGTTGGCATGAGGGAACTTTTCGGGGTGATAAAAATATTCTAATACTAGATTATGGTGAAGATTATATAACCAATTAAATCTACTAAAATTCATAGAACTATAGGTATACTTAGTGTGTGAATCACTATGATATGTAAATTATACCTTAATATACTAGCCGAAAAAATTGTAAAAGCATTGCCGTAGCATTTGAAACTTTACAAGTGTATATCCAATATAGTTTTGTTCTTTTATAAAACACAAATCCAGAAACAATCCCTTTTAAAATATGCTTATAGTGATGCCTGCTCATTAGACAATTTGGAAAATTCAAACAAGTAGGAAGAAATTTTCTTAGCTGCCCAGCCCCCAGACTGAACCTGGGCCAGCAACTGCCCAGCTGAGGGGCCCCTTCCAGAGCAGTGTGACTCTGACCTGCATAGTTGGTGATTAATAGAGGGGCTGCTGTGGCTTGACCTTGGCCCCAGAGGCCACTGGCCATCAACCCAGGGACCACGTTAATGATCACAAAGGGCCTGCAGCTTTGCCTGCCATATAGCTCTGGAGCCCAGGCCCTTGGCACAGGAGAGCTGGTGAACAGACCCCACCCTTGCCCTCTGGGAGCCCTCACTACAGACCCTGGAGCCCTTGCTACAGGGCACTGATGAGTGGAGACCATGATGCGGGCAACATTGTCTTACTCTGCTTCCAGCCTGGAAGAAGATGTATGAGTTCAAGGGAATGGGGGAATTCAGGTACAAGAGAAGGACCCCTAGGTGGAAAGGAAGAGGCCCGAGTGCTAGGGCTGGCTCTGACACTGACTTCCTGGTGACCTTGGGCAAGTCACTGTACCTTTCTGGGTTTCAGTGTCTTCATATGCAAAATACAGGGTAGGGCCTGATGCTCTGACTCGAAGCCTCTTTCCTAGCCCAAGCAGTACCAGATACTGGTTGTACAACCAAATCCAGGACCTACAAGTCTCTGAGCTTCAGGGTTCCATCTGTAAAATGGGTACATTCGGCCAGGTCACCTCTGCAGGCCGTTCTGGATCAGACAGTCCACAGCCCCTGACTTGAGGAAGGAGGCACTGCAGTCACTGATAGCAGCATGCCACCTCACCTCTGGGCCCAGCCTGGGAAACTGAGACTCAGGGAGGTTCAAGTCACTCAACTGGAAAGAGGTGTTGCCAAGATTCAAACACAAGTCTGACTGGCTTCAGAGCCCAGGCTCTGTCTGCGGAGACCAAGCAGGAGCTCCTAGCACCACCTGACCTGGGCAGGGAGCAGCAGTGCCCTTTCCAGGTAACAGGCTAAATCAATCAAGCCCAAGTCAAGCCTGGCAGCCAGGAGTCTCCGGAGCAGCTGTCCCCACGACACTTCCCAGGCCAGGGCAGGAGGTGACACCGGGAAAGCCCTCTAGCCTTTCACACACCTGATGTGACTGCCCAGGCCAAAGGCCTGGAAGATCCCCAGGCTGTGGCCATTTAGTGCAGGACTGGCTGTGGCACCTGCCCTCTGAGCCACATGGCACTCAGGTCTGGCATGGTTTCTTTGATTTGGAGGCAGCCCTTCTGCTACCAACTCAGTACATGAGCATGTCCTGGTCTCTGCTTCTGTGCACCTCGGAGATCTCCTTGACCTCTGATCTCGGCTATTCCTGGATCCTGCCCAGCTCCAGGCACACAGTAGGCAGATTCTCTGTGTCTGCCACAGGATGGGGGCTGTACAGCCCATGTCCCCCTGGGGGACCCCTCCCTCCCCTGTAGTTGACCCAGGACCTCCACAACACAACCAGCTCTGGGCCCTCCTTTCCTCTGTAACCTTGGTCTCTGTATGTCTGCGGGACCCCCTACCAGAGACCAGAGGAGGTGGCCTCCCCCGCCCCTTCCATCCCCAGCCACAGTGTACAAAAAGGCCTTGGCTGGGCCTGGAAGACACCACCCTGTTCTTTTCTCTTCACTCCAAACACTGTTGTTCTTGATTTTCCAGGCAGCCAGCCACTCATGGAAAGCCCTCTCTTGGAGTCTATTTACTTTTTGGCTCACTGCTGTTCTCTGGGTCCTCCTAGGAGCACCCGCCCTTCTGACCAGGGATTTTGCTAATTGGGACAATGGTCAGTAAACAGAGAAGCCAGTTATGAAACCCAGTGGAACTGAACAGGGCCTGGAAAAGTTCCGGCAAGCCCTGTGGACAGGTTTGCGAATCTGGACTCAGCTTCTGCAATCCAGACCTCAGTTTCCTCATCTCTAAAAGGGGGAGAATGGTACCTAGAGCATGGAGCAGTGAGGAAGCCCAGGATGTGACGCACAGGAGCTCGCCAAAAGTAAGCACTCTTCTTTCTGAGCAGCCTGTTTTCTGCACAGACGCCTGCCTTCGGTATGTGATGGTGCGGGAGAAACGTTACAGATTTCACGGTGAGACGCTAGAGTTCAGGTCTGGGCTGTGTAAGGCAGAGCAAGTTACCTTCCCTCTCTGAGCCTCAGGTCACTCATCTGTAAACAGGGACAGTGATGCCCAGTTGCAGGACTTTTGGGGGAACAGAAGTGAGACTGTTGGAGTATGTTGTTCAGAGCAGGACTTATTAGCAGCAGTGTTCATTAGTCTGTCTTCTCTTTTGTAGATGATCACACCAAGAACAAGAGGGTGACTTTTCAGGGTCACAAAGTCAAACAAGTGCCTGGCAGAGTAGATCTAGAACTCAGGTCTCTCAACAACCAGGCCAGAACTGAGGCCTGGGTCTCCATGACACAGCAGTGCTCCCCATCGGGGCTGGCTGGCCTTCTGCTTTGGCCAAGTCCATCCTGGGAGTGGCCAGCTGTTGGGGAGATGGCCAGCGGGGCTTGGCTGAAGCCAACTCCAGGAGACCAACTGTCTCAGGGACCAAAGCCATGGTCCTTTCCCAGCTTCCGGAGCCAGCCCCACCTAGTGCTGGGACCCAGGGCTGGACATCTGGAGGGGCCTGGCCCTGCTACTTCCTGACCCCATGTCCTGGAAGCAGCCAGATTTGGCCATGGGTATGAGCTCTGGGCCCTTCTTGCTAGGACCCACTTCAGCAGTCTGTCTCCCCTTCTCTCGGGGAGGAAATGGCCCTGAGAGGTGTGGTGGGTCAGTAGCCAGGGCTGCAAATAACTGTCCTAGCCCCTTCAGCACCCCACCACCCACCCCTGGGAAGCCCAGGCACAAACGCAAATCCACAACAAGACAGGGAGGCCTGGCTGCAGATGCTGGGACCGTGGAACCAGCAGAAGACTTTGGAGAGTCACAGGCTCTGCAGAGCTGCAGGGGAAGGCAGGGTCTACAATGCCCCAACCCAAGCCAGAATGAGCAGGAGAAGCCACAGGAGGCAGCTTCCTGCTCTGCAGAGGAAGGACTTTCCAAGAGGGAGAAAAACAGAGAGCAACCTTCTGTTATGTGATCGTGGAAAGAGCTCCCACCAGAAATGCCTGCATTTAAGTCCCCGGTCTATCACTTATTAGCAGTGTGGCTTTGAGCAAGTTGTTTTGGCTCTCTGAGCCTCCGTTTCCTCATCTATAAAACGGGGATTATAATACTTTTTTCCTAGGGTAGTTGTGTGAATTTAATAAGGTAAAGAACATTTGGGGCTTAGCACAGTGCTTGGTACAGAATAAGCACATATAAAGGAGGCTGCTTTTATTGTTAAAAGAGAGACTTGGATAAGTTTCTATCTCTCTGAGCCTCAATTTCCTTACATGTAAGATAGGGTTAAAAATGCCTTTCTTTTTTTTTTTTTTTTTTGAGATGGGGTCTCGCTCTGTCACCCAGGCTGGAGTGCAGCGGCGTGATCTCGGCTCACTGCCACCTCCGCCTCCCAGGTTCAAGTGATTTCTGGCTAATTTTTGTATTTTTAGTAGAGACGGGGTTTTACCACGTTGGCCAGGCTGGTCTCGAACTCCTAACCTCAAGTGATCTGCCCTCCTCGGCCTCCCAGAGTGCTAGGATTACAGGTGTGAACCACCGCGCCCGGCCTATTAAATGGCAAATTTTATGATGTGTGTATGTTTCCACAGTTTAAAAAAAAAAAAATGGAAAGACAAATGCTGGTTTCCTTCCCCTTTTCCAGAGAGATAATGAGCTGCCCAGTGGTGATGAGGTTGAGGGGACATAGGTGACAGGAAAATCGGCCCATGTCCAAGAACCCTTCAGGCCCTGGGACTCAAGGATGCTAAAAGACACACAGCAAAAAGCAAACAAGTTTGTGCATCTGGCCAGGGTCCCCTCCTGCCTGCCTAGGGATCAGATTCATCCTTCACTGGGATCTACCAGGAATGCTGGAAGCTTCCCCAGGCCAACCACCTTCCCGATGGGGACAATGAATGATGCAGCACATCAGATGATGGTGCCACATCCCTCCTGCTGCTGGCTTCAAACAAAGCCCTTCTGTGTCCCCAAGCCTCCCATACCAACTATGGCCAAGATTTCCTCCTTGCTGGGCTCTGGCAGGAAGTGTGAGCCCATTGTCTGGATGTGGAAAATCGGGGTCAAAGTGCCTTTCTTGAAGGCTAGTTGAGACGATTAAATGAGACCATAAATGTGAGGGATCCGTGGACCATGCCCCGCAAAGGCACTCTGCAGGGAGAACTCCCTGAGAAAGACAAAAGGGGGCAGGTGCGGGGAAGAGGGAAAAGACAATGGGATCCAGGAGTGCCTGCGGAGTCTCTGTGGGCTGGAGATACCAAAAATGACCAACAGGGTGAGGACAAGTGACCTTCCAACCTAAGGAATATGAGGCAATGTACAGGGATGAATCTGGACAGAGCCCAAATCCCTACCACCAGGGAACTTGAGCCAGTGGCACCTTCTGCGGCACTTCAATTTCCTCCTCTGTAAAATGAGGTGAAGATGCCAACCTGGTGGGGTGTCTGGTAGGACTGAAGGAGCCCTGGCACTGTGTTTGGCACACAGCAGGTGCTCAGTAAGCATAACATCCAAAGATGACCTACAGCATGTGTCCAGACCCTATACACACATACAGCTCACTGGCCCCTATACCTGCCCTATACCTACCTCATACCTAGCCCTCTACCTCTGTGTCTTTGCATACAAAGCAAGGGAGACAGGGAGGGTTCCAAACAAGGCTGGTACCAGGGATGGGGATGCATCTCAGGAGAGGGCCTCAAGCCAACACCTACAGAGCCAGCCTTGCTACCCAATCCCCTCCATGAGACTCCTAATGACACCCCCTCCCCTCCTCTCTGACTTTGCCTGTTCTGCCTCACCCAAAAGAACAAGGGCTCTTGGCTGGGCATGGTGGTTCATGCCTGTAATCCCAGCACTTTGGGAGCCCAAGGCAGGAGGATAGCTTAAACCCAGTAGTTTGAGAACAGCCTGGGAAACAGAGTGAGACCCTGTCTCTACACAAAATTAAAAAATTAGCCAGGCGTGATGACATGCACCAGTAGTTCTAGCTACTGGGGAGGCTGAGGTGGGAGGATCACTTGAGCCTGGGAAGTCGAGGCTACAGTAAGTTATGATTGTGCCACTGCACTCCAGCCTGGGTGACAGAGTGAAACCCTGACTCAAAAAAGCAAAAAACCAAAAACAAAAAAGTGAGGGCTCTGGATCCCAGTCCTAGCACTTACAACTGAGTGATGCTGAGCAAGGGACACAACCTCTCTGAGCTTCAGTGTCCACAGGGATAGAATGGCCATATTATCTCACGGACTCACCAGAACTTGATACAAGTACAAATCAGTTAGAGAAAAAGTCCAATGGGGGCCAGGTGCAGTGGCTCACACCTGTAATTCCAGCACTTTGGGAGACGGAGGCAGGTGGATCACTTGAGGCCAGGAGTTCGAGACCAGCCTGGCTAACATGGTGAAACCCCATCTCTACTAAAAATACAAAAAATTAGCCGGGCATGGTGGTGGGCATCTGTGGTCCCAGCTACTCAGGAGGCTGAGACAGGAGAATGGCTTGAACCCACGAGATGGAGGTTGCGGTGAGCCGAGATCGCGCCACTGCACTCCAGCCTGGGTGACAGAGCAAGACTCCAACTCAAAAAAAAAAAAAAAAAAAAGTCCAGTGGGGAGACATATCAGAGAATAGTTGTCCCTCCCTATCCACGCGGGATCAGTTGGTTCCAGGACCTCCCTCAGATACCAAAATCTGCAGATGCTGTACACCAATATATAAAATGGCATAGTACAGTATTTGCATACAACCTACATATATTCTCCCATGTATTAAACTTTAAATCTCTCTAGATTACTTATAAAACCTAATACAATGTAAATGCTATTTACATAGTTGTTATACTGTAGTTGTTACATAAAAATGTAAATGTAAATTTCTATGTAACAATAAACTATGTAAATAGTTGTTACACTGCACTGTTTTTAAAATTTGTATTATTTTTACTTTTTTTAATTTTTATTTTTTTTTAATATTTCTGATCTGTGGTTGGTTGAATCCACGAATGAGGATATGGAGGGTGCAAGGTAGCAGATACGTGGAATGAACAAGTGTAGAGAGCTTGTGCCTGTAATCCCAGCACTTTGGGAGGCTGAGGAGGGAGGATCACTTGAGCCCCAGAGTTCAAGACCAACCTGGACAATGTCGTGAGACCCTGTCTCTCTCTATATTAAAAATAACAAAAATAAAAATTTAAAAATAAAAAAGAGCACTAATGTGCAACATGAGGACTATAGGGAATAAGTTGTACTGTATTTTGGGATTCATGCTAAATGAGCAGATTTTATTAGTGCAGTGCAAAAGTATTGCAGTTTTCGTCATTGAAAGTAATGGCAAAAATTGCAATTACTTTTGTGCCAGCTGAGATGATGAATATGTTCATTTGCTGCACTATAGTAACCTTTTTACTATCTAAATGTATTCATAACATCGCGTTATATACCTTAAGTATATACAATAACTTGTATTTTTTAAAAGAGAAAAACTCCACATAGCATGATTAGAGATTCTTCACAATTTATCTAAAACTTTTGACTACAATAGAACCATCAGAGATTCAAAGATATTTTTATTGCTACTCATCCTTTTAACTCTAATAGGTTTTATTTAAAATACTTTCCCCTCCTTTAACCCAAACAGAGGTATAGTACTGGAATGCTTTTCTTCCTTCCCCAGCTTAGAGGATAATCATAGCCAGCCGGAAGATTTAAACAAGATCCAGCACCTAAAATACAGTCCCTGGCACGAAGCTGGGCTCCCGTGTGGGTGCTGCCTTCTGTCCCCGGGTGTGCTTTAGGCCTCACCTCCATCCAGGCACCTGCCCAATCACCAGCACTATCCTTCAAGTGCCTGTCCATGTGGGAGTTTCTAGAACCCTCTGGGATACCCTTGGAGGCAGGACCCAACCACGGTCATCCCACCAAGACAGTACATAAAGGCTGAGACCAGAGCAGAGACCAAGCTCATCTCCTCTCCACTTTATACCCACTTCTCACCCCCACACTCCAGCCACTGTCCTGGTTTGGTGTCCCCATCTTTTCCCTGGGATCATAACATCAGCTCCCTCACTCCCTTAAACTCTCTCTGCACTGGGCCTGTCACTCATACAGATTGCATCATCCCTTCTGCAGACCTCGGTGCAGACAGAAAGAAGTCAGGACTCCTGAGTTCGGTCCTCTGTGATATGGGGCCCACAAGCCCTTGCAGTCTCATTGCCCACTAACCCCCCAACAACATCCCCTGTGCCATCACCTCTATACAACCTCACCTGCCTGCCTCCGGGAGACCAAGGTCTAGCCTTGGCTCTGCCTCCCTGTGTGACCTTAGGCAAGTTCTTTGCCTCTCTGGGCCTGTCTCCTCACCGGGCTACTGGGGCTTTATGCAAATGAGACAAGATGAGGTAGTGAGTGCCAGGTGCCAAGAGGCTCAAGAAATGTTAGCCTGCAATCCACGGCCTCCTCTTCCGCACATCCAACCCCTCCTACAGCAGCTGTTAGCAATCTACTTCCTCAACCTTAACAGCAGCAGGTTCTCTCTCTCCTAAGCTCTGGAATGCAGACGTGCTCACAGCCAGCACCAGCAGGCAGGGAGGGGAGCGGAGGGAGGACAGCTTAGAGGAAAATTACCCGGCTTTCACCCCAGCCAACACTGGTGCTCACAGCTATCTCAGAGAGAGGGGATCTGGGGGCCTGGCAAACCCTTCCTGAGCCGTGGGCTTGGCCCCAAGCTTTGACCCTTGTCTGAGCTGATGGGATGGCGGGGGGTTACTCTGGCCACCACTCCGCTGGGCCCCTCCCACTCTTTGGCATCCAAAGAGACAGGGAGGAGGAGGGAGAAAAAAAGAAAAAAAAGAAAAAAAAAACAGACTGCCTTTGTGAGGAGGAGGAACTTGGTTCCTGCTGTTGCTTGCTGGGGCCCCAGGCACCAACATAATGGAGGATCCCTGATGACAAAGGGTCCCACTGTGGCCAAGAGCCTGCCCAGTTGCCATAGCTCAAGTCTCAAATCCTAAGTACCATGTCTCTGCATCATAGAGTTTGTCATGCCCAGTGTCACATACCCTGTGACTGTGCCACGTAGCAGGCCCTGCGTTCCTCTTGCTTTGTCCTGTGTGTCTCCCTTTAGCGGCATCCCATGCCTCTTACCCCTGGGTCATGCTTCATGCACCATGTGATGTCTGTTTTGTGACAGACTCTATACCATGTACTATCTCTTGAATGCCGTGTCCATGATACCAGGTCCCACCCCTTAGAAGTATGTGCCATAAACCTTGTCCTGGATCTATGAATTGTGTTGTCCCTTGCTTGGTGATTCACATCAGGAAGGGGACAGGATGATGTTTAGGGAGGACAGGCTCTCAGATGGACTCCCAGCCCTATCAACTATCATCTATGTGAGCCTGTAAAAGTGACTTCCCGTCTCAGTGCCCGTTTCTTCAGTTATAAAATGAAACTGATACTCACATTCACCGAGGATTAAAGTAGGTAATGCATGTAAGATGCTTAATCTAAGAAGCTGGCACAGAGTGAGTGCTTTAAAATGTTTGCTAGGCCTGTGCCAACCGTACCTGGGCATCTGTGTTATGTCCTGTGCCCTGCGTACCAGCCTCCCACGTGCCCAGCTCCTCGGGTGCGTCAGACACTGTGCACATTAGTGAAATTCAAACAACCCCCTACAAGGAGGGTAGGATTATTCCCTCTCATACAGAGGAGTAATGGAAGGGCAATAATTTGCATGAGGTCACAGGGCCAGCTGGAATGAACACAGCTCTGGATCTTCGGAGAGACAGAAAGCAGGCCAGGTGAGGTGGCTCATGCCTATAATCCCAGCACTTTGGAAGGCTGAGGCGGGAGGAATCCATTGAGTTCAGGAGTTCAAGATCAGCCTGGGCATCACCACAAGTCCCCATCTCTACAAAAAATACAAAAATTAGCCAGGCATGATGGTGTGTGCCTGTGGTCCCACCTACTCGGGAGGCTGAGGTGGGAGGATCGCTTGAGCCCAGGAAGTTGAGGCTGCAGTGAGCAGAGATCACGCCACTGCACTCCAGCCTGGGTGACAAAAAATACAACAATAAAACAACAAAGAGACAGAAAGCAGATGCGTGGTCAGCTATGGGGTGTGCATAGAGATGGACGTAAGCAAGCATGAGGGATCCTTTTGGGGATGATGAAAATCTTCTCAACTGGATTGTGATGATGGTTGCATAACTCTGTAAATGTACTAAACATTATTGAATTGAGTGAATTATGTGTATGTAAATTATATGTAAATTTACTCCAATAAATCATGTAAATTATATTTCAATAAAGCTGTTTTTAAAAAAAAAAGAAAAAAAAAGCCCACACGCTTCCTGTGTACTATTCTGCCAAAGCATTCTGCAAGAGAAGGGCGCTCCCTGTGGGTCAGTGAAGTTCAATCAGAGGCCGAGCTGCTCTGAGGCCCAGCTGGGAGCCAGTTTGAGCCGAGCAGTTCCCTAACACCTCTGTGGACCAGGTGTGCAGCAGGATCACCCAAGGAGCTCAGGAAACAATAGATTCCCAGGCCCCACCCCTAGCCTCTGAGTCTGTAGGTCTAGGGTGGGGCCCGGGAACCTCTGATTCTGAGGCTCAGCCAGGACTGGGCCCACATCTTCCTTTCACATTTGGGGAAACTGAGGCTAGGCAGGAGAGGGGCCTGGTCAGACCTAGTTGATCAAACAGTGGGAGAGCCAGGGCTAGAATTAGAGCCCTTTCCTCTTCTCGTCTCTCCATTCCCTCCGCCTCCCTCCCACTCCTCCCCCTGTCCTCAGCCTCCCGGTGACTCAGGGCTGAGTCACCCAGAGGCCCCACAGAGGAAACTTCTTAGGAAAAACAATCGCCAAACAAAGCTTTCCCTGATCTGGGGAAGAGAATAGGCCCAGGGGGCCAAGAGAGGGAGGGGAGGGAGAACACAGGGTGGAGTCGGAGGCTCCAAGACTTGGAGTCTCAGCCACTCCCTTGTGTGGGGCCCTAGATAGGGACGTCCCCGGAATGAACGTCCCCATCTGCAAATAACACCTCCTATGCTCATAGAAGCCCATTGTGATGATAAGTACTTTATAAGCATTGTCTTGTTGAATCCTCCCCAAAACCCATGGCTGGCATTGTCTCCTTTTATAGACGGAGGAACAAAAGCTCAGAGAGGTTCAGCCCAAGGTTACACCATTAGGAATTCAGGGCTGTCTGACTCTGAAGTCCGAAGTCTGACTCTCACTTCTACACACCTTTAAAAAATACCTACTGTACACAGTGGCATGAAGATCAGCTCTCATCAGACAGGTAAGGAGAATGATGGCCACAGTGGCTGTTCAATCACAAATTGTCTCCTTTCTTTCTCTGACTTCCCGGCCCAGAGGGCACACAAACAGGAACACCAATAGTCATTCAAGCAGTTGTGGGCCCTGGGAGCACAAAGGAGGGAGCACCCATGGCCCAACAGAGCCACGGAGGAGGGGCATTGGGGCAGAGCCTTGGAGGATAAATGGAGTTTCCCTTTTGGGAAGGTGGGAACAACAGACGCAAAGGCTTGGGGGTGTGGCCTGCACAAGGAAGCGTAAACAGTTTGGAGAAGCATGGCTGGGGTTGAGACAGTGGATACCTCGGGGAGAAGGGGTCTGACTGCTACGGAGTCCTGGCCTGACCGGACACACTGAGGATTTTTAAGCAGGGAGAGAATAGAATTGGAACTGGTTTCATCTCTGCAGGGGGCCTGGCTGGTGTTGAACTAGGAGTCAGGAGCGGGACTTTCCCTCGGGTCTCCCTGGCGTCCCTCCTCTGAGCTGGCTTCGGGGACCACCCCAGATCCCGTGCTACTCACCCATGGGTCAGAATTGCCCCTGAGGGCTTCTTCCTCGGCCATCGCGAGGCTGGGGGGAGCTATGTGGGCCTCTCCTGACACAGGCCAACCTAATCATCTCAGCCTATAAATAGGACTCAGGATTAGTCTGGAAATAGCTGTGCCAAGCCAACTCCGCAGGCATCACAGGCACACACAGTTCCGGAAATGGTTCTTCTCCTCAACACAATTAAAACCCAACACTTCCTCAGGAAACTATTGTTCACACTCCACTTTGCTTCCTTAAGCACAAGGCCGTCAATTTTGGGGGGAAGAACCTGCCTGCCTACTGCTGATTAGTGGGGGTATGCTTTGTGGAGAGGAGGCCCTTTTCCTGCTTCTCCCTCTCTGAGGACCTGAAGGAGTCACTACCATTCTCTGGGCCCCAGTTTCCCCAAAGGTAAATTAGGGAGGTGGGACATGATGCCATTTTTAACTTACCAGGATTTCAAAAATTAGAATTGTAATAAACATGTGAGCAGGGAGAAATGAACAGGTTCAGGGCCTGCCACTGAGGAGCTGAGTGGCCTTGGATGAGCCACTGTTCCTCTCTGGGCCCCAGATTCCTCAGCTGTAAAATAAAGGTGCTGGGGGATGATGTCCAAGATTAATAATTTTTTTTTAATTTCATTTTTTTGTTTAGTATTTTTGAGAACCCAGCCACCTGGCCATGCTGTACCAGCCTTGTGCTGAGTGCTGGGGATAAAGGAACAAATAAAACCCAGTCCAGGCTTCTGTGTGCCCAGCCCTGTGCCGGGTCCCAGTGGGTAACAGCATGTCCAATCCCCTCAGTGTCCCACTAGAGGCTTCCTTTGGGGCTGCTGGGGACATCTTGTTTCTAGTTGAGAATTCAGATTTATGTCCAAAGACAAGAACTCCCTGAGGGGCAGATTACAACATGGACTGGGCCATTACAATCAACAAGGACACAAAGCTAACACAGCCATCGTTATACACCAGACATGTGCTAAGGACTTGATTTCCCCATTGTTTAATCATCACCAACTCCATTATCACCCCCATTTCACAGATGTGGAAACTGAGGCTGAGAAGAGTAAGGGACTTGTCCAAGGGCACAGAGCAAGTCAGGGCTACGGTGATGTTTCAGGCCCAGACCTGTTTGCCTCTGGAGCCCAGGGTTTAACACACCCCAGTGCTGCTGTGAAAGGGCTCTGGACAGCTCAGGCTGGCCGGCCAATTCGGGGATAACCGAACAGAGGTATGGAACAGAAAGGGGCGTTGAGGATGTTGCTGTGTGTGTGCGGTGGGGGGAGTGACAAGGCTTCAGCAATGGTACTCATTCTCTCCAACCAGCTCCCAGTGCTGCTGTCCTCTGATCCACCCTCCGCTCTGCCTGCCATGGACTAATTGTTCTGAAATCCCATGGATCAAGTCACTCCTCAGCTGAGGACCTGTCCATGGCTCCCTGGTACCCAGAGGATAGAAACCCAGCATTCAAAACCTCTCTAACCAGCTCCCCACCTCAACCCTCACACTCCTGCTCACTAGCCCCCAGGCGCAGTGGGCTCTTCCAGCGGCCAAGCCTGTGCCTACGGTGCCTTCTTGCCTGGAATGCCCAACTCCCCCTTCTCAGCCTTCTTTGACTCTCAAGTAAGGAAAAGCACTCTTTGTCTCCCTGAGCCCCTTGGCACTTATCACAGAGCACTCTGGGCGTTAACTTCCACTGTCTCCGTCTTGGATTAGAGTGGATCTCAGAGGGCCCGGTGGTGTCTGCTTCACCTCCCTCTCCACTGCAGCAGCTTAGCAAGGACTGGCCGGGTAAACTAAAAAATGCAAAGAGCTGAGAGAATCCTGGGAAAGTGCACATTTCCCAGGACTGCCCAATGACAAGCCCCGTACCAAGGCACAGCATCAGGATACCCTGATGTGGAAGAACCAAAAATTGCACCCTCATGGCTTATCAGGATGGTCCTTGTGTCTGTCCCTTTCAAGGGTTCTGATAATGAAATCTGGGCAAGTCACCCTCCTGCTTTAAAACTTCCAATGGTTCCCAGAGGTCTAGCATAAAATCCAAACTCAAGGGCCCACATAACCTAGGTGCTGCCTGGCCCCCAGGCCCTCCTCTTGCCACGCCCCCCTCCCTGGCCAGCCTCCCTCACTTCTTTCAGTTCCTCAAGGACTCCCCCTCACTAAAGCCTTACCCAGGTCGCCTCTCTGCCTAGGGGGCTCCTCCATTCCCTGCTCACTCAGCCACCTCCCTCTCCCTCTTCAGGTCTCACTTTTTAGGGGAGGCTTCCCTGATCTGTCCAGATAAGACCTCACCACTCCCACCCAATCCCAAACGCTCCCATAACCTGATCGTTTCCTTCACAGCAAGAATTAATCTTCAGTGTAAATAATGATCTACTGAAGACCTATGAGGAATGGGAAAGTCTTGTTTTTTGCTGATTCTTCAACACCCAGCTCAGAGCCTAAATATCTCTCAAATGAATGAATATATGAATGAATGAATGAATGAATGAATGAATGAATGAACCTATATACATAAATCAAGACAAGAAGGTGGGCAGAATCCTAGGGAACACTGAGGCAGGAAAAGCAGGGCCCTGGGCCAGGCGTCATGGCTCACACCTGTAATCCCAGCACTTTGGGAGGCCAAGGCAGGCAGATCACTTGAGGTCAGGACTTTGAGACCAGCCTGGCCAACATGGTAAAACCCTGTCTCTACTAAAAACACAAACATTAGCCGGGTATGGTGGCACATGCCTGTAGTCCCAGCTACTCAAGAGGCTGAGGCAGGAGAATCACTTGTACCTGGGAGGAGGAGGTTGCAGTGAGCTGAGATCGTGCCACTGCACTCCAGCCTGGGCACCACAGCAAGACTCCGTCTAAAAAAAAAAAAAAAGAAAAAGAAAGAAAGAAAGAAAAAGAAAACCAGGGCCCTAACTAAAAAAGACAGGAGGAAAAACAGGGCCCTAACTAAAAAGAGAGGAGGGGCCCTAACTGAAAAAACCAGGGCCCTAACTAAAAAAGTCAGGAGGAAAAACAGGGCCCTAACTAAAAAGAGAAGAGGAAATAAACCAGACAGTGCAGCCTCCCAGAAGCAAAAGGAGGGAGTTTCTGGAACTGCACTAGAGACTGGCACATGGAGTCCTGAGGAAAGAGCACTGGATTGGACATCGAGGAGGTCACTGGGGCCTCCCTGATTGAACCAAGGTTCCGTGGAGGTGGGCACAGGGCTGGTACATTGCAGGGGGCAGAGGAGTAAAGAGGGATGAATAAGCAAAGCTCTCAGGCGACGGTTGCTCAGCTGGGTCTATGCCAGCCTGGCCCTGCAGGGTCTGCGGAAGACAGGGCCCCTGTGTCATAGTCACCAAAAGCATCAACAGAGCATAACATTCTTTTTGTTGACAGATTACATTGAGGCAACTTGGCTTTTGGAGTTATCAGGGCTCAGTCTCAAAGGCAGATGCATCAGAGCCAAGACCCGGCCCTCAAGTCCTCCTATTAGGGCAGCACTAGGGCTACCTCTTTGTCAGCAGAACCTTTGGATAGCCGCTGATGGGGTGAGTCAGCTTTCTGGGCCCGGCAGACCTTTTGGGAATCCCTGGCTTTTGGGGCACAACATCCTGGGGACCACCAAAAAGCCCTTTCACCTGAGCTTTGGGAAAGAGGAACAGCTCCGGCTGTGGGTGGCTCATGTCACCATCTGGAAGCCAGCTGGGCCACAGCAGACGCGTAAGTCCTGTATTCATTCATCCCCTTCTCCTTTTGGCAGAAAAGGGATGGCGTGGGTTGGAGGGGTGTTTTCCTGGGTTCTTGCACAATTGCTCATTAGAAATTCACTTCTGTTTGGGTGTTGGAAGCTGGGCGATTCCCCCTAGTAGTGATCCTTCCTGTCTCACTGGTCACAAAGCCCTTTGGCATCTACAAGCTCGTTGGGTCCACACAGCAGCTTTGTTAGGTGGGTAGGGGGAGACCAAGGCACCCATCCTACAGGTGGAGAAACCGAGGCTGAAGCTGGGAGGTGAGCCAGTCTCCTGGCTTCCAGCCCAGGACTCTGCACTCCTCCCCCCACCTCCCCACCTACTTCAGCAGGTCACCTGTGAATCTGATAGTCAGGTGGGCCCCACCCTGCCAGCTGGCCCCAGCGGGCATGACTCATCCGCTTCCCCATGACTCACACACCTCAGGTGCTCCTCCTCTGGTCAACAAGTCCAGAGACTTGGCAAATGGACCCCCATTTTTCTCACCTCTCCAAAGCCTCTGGGAAGAATTCCTGCACCTCCTCTTTATGGGGACTCTGCTCTTCTACAGAATAGCAACCAAGGCCTTGAGAGGGAAAGCAACTCTCCTAAAGTCACATAGCAAGCAACCAGCACAGCCAGGGTGGGAGCCAGGCATCCGGGCACCGAGCCCAGTCCCGGCCTCCTCCCTACAAGATCACTCTCGCCTGACCTCCCTCTCAAGGACAGGAAAGGAGCAGAGACGCACTCTGAGCCTTATTAGGAAGACCTCAGGGACTCCCACTGAATCCACTGTGGCTACAGCGGCTGCTTCCACCACTGAAGTCCCCTCCAGGCTTCCCTGGGCAGCCAGGGCGGGGTTTAAGAGGACGACAGGTGTCTGTATTGCTCTACCTACCTAACAAGGCTGTGCAGGGTGAAGAGTGCTGCTCCGTGGGAAGGCGCTGGGACCAAGGCCGAAGCACTGGACAAAGAGAGCTATGAGCACTACCTGTAAACAAAGGGCACAGAATGTCAGCCTCAGGGGGAGTTCAAGGTCATCTGGTCAAATCCCCATTTGATGTTTCAACCCCTTTCCTCCCCTCCACCAGGGGTCACACAATCAGTACTTGCACACATCCAGCAACACCGCACTCACTACCTGCCAAGGCTGCAAGACCTGCTGCTGGAGGGTTTGGCTGCGTAAAAGAATTGTCCTAAGGATGCACTAAAATCTCTCTCTTCTTATGCCTTGTACCTGCTGGTATTAGCTCTGCCTCCTTTTGGGTCAGCCAGAACAGGTCTGTCCCCCTCTTTCCTGATGGCTCTTTGGAGATTTGAAGACAGTGATCCTGGGCCCCTCAAGTCTTCTACAAATTGTGCACCCCCTTTCCTCCAGCTCTTCCTGAGACCAGGGTTTCCGGTTCGCTCACCCTGTTCCCTGATCTGCTCCAGATGAAACCTGTCCCTACTGACAGCACAAGACCCAGAATTAGACAATCAGTCAAGCTCTATCCAGGACAGGGCAAGCAGGACTCTCACCTCCTTCATTAGAGATATCATGCTTCTATTAATTGAGCCTAAAATCCCATTTGCATTTAAGGCAGCCCTATTGCATGGCTGAATTCAGTTTACAGTCAACTTCAGAGCTGTACGTTAGTACTCTGAAGTTATATAAACTGGGCCCTCACTTAACTGTGTAACTTGAGCAAGCTACATCACTTCTCGGAGTCTCAGTTGCCTTTGCTGTTCAAAGAGGGATAATATTAGAACCTACCATGAGATAAAACATGTTCAGGGTTTTGCACAAGGCATGTGTTTACTCTAATTATTACCCTGATTATTAATAATTAAATTTCTAAGTCTTTTGCCTGCAAATTGTATCTTTCTCATCCTGCACATGTGCGATTTGGGGACCCACCCTGTTGATATGTCATATTCGCAGCTCTGTACCTCAGCATCAGTCTATTATTGTTCTAATGCACTACTGCTGAGCAAGACTGCATTATCAGTGTCTGGTGATAGGACTTTCTCTCCCTCTAGGCTGTAAGCTCCTTGGAGGCAAGGATTCTGTCTGCTTCACCTCTAAAGCTTCAGCATGGCATGTGCCCTGCAAATGGCAGTGCCAGTGGACATATGCTAGATGAGTGGATGAAGGACCATCCCACATCAGCTCATCGTGGAGTATGCAGCTCAGTCCTCCCGCCTCTCAGGGACAACTTGGATCTTCACCGTTCTTCGCCACTAAGAATTCCAGTCATCTACATTCAGAGGGAAGCTGAGCAAACTGGCTCCTGCCCACACTGGAAAATTTCTCTGCCTAAACCAGCTTCCCTAAGCCGAGGGGAGAGTCCAAGATCCCGAAGATGGCAGGGCCGTGCAGGCTCCTGGGATTAAGACACAAACAAGCCCTGTTCTCAGGCTGACAGTAAATGGTTCAGACAGTCCTGATGACTTGTGCATTGTGACTGACACGGGACACAGCCACGGAAGTGGAGTCACGGTACCCAAAACCAGAGAGGTCAGAGGCCAGACACTTATCTGGGCTGCAGGACCTGGTGCCCACCTCTGTGGGTCTTTCTCAAAGACTATGGCAGAAACTTCCTGGTTCCAAGGGACAGACCAAAGCAGAGTTGGGTTCTGTTGTTTCTGCAAATGACTAATGACCTCCCGCACTCTGTCAACTCTGTGTGAGGATGAGCCTTTCGAATCCAGCCCCCCTTCTTTCTACACACCCCAAATTGCACTCTCATCCTCAGATGCACATGGTGGTGCTGCATTTGTTCCCAAGTACAATGTGCTCCTCCCCTACTGCACCTCATCTCGGCAAACAGCACTACCATCCACCATCCACCATCCACCCGGTGGACCAGTCCAGACACCAGGCCCTCACCCTCCTCAACACACCACTCACCCCTTTTGCTCTGTCACTCTCCCCTCCAGTGTATCACCATGTCTTGCTAGTTCAACCCCTGACTGCATCCAGAGTGTCCCCCCTTCTCCCCACCCCAATGCCAACATCTGGGTCCATAGCCCCATCACCTCTTGCCTGCATGACTGCAGAACCTTCCTAACTGATCCTCCTGCAACCTCTCCCTCCTACAATGCATCCTCCTTAGAGCAAGCCCAGACCATGCCACTCCTCTGCCCAGACCTACCATGGCTCCACTATGGCCCCAGATAAAGTCCAAGATCCTTAACAAATCTCTCCACATTCTTCATGACCTGTCCCCTTCAACTCCTTGAGCCTTGGCCCTCATGGCTTCCTGTCTTCCACTATACCCCACCAGGCTCCAGCCAGATGCAATGGCACTCTGTTCCTGAGTCCTCCGTGTAGTCTCCGTACAGACCTCCACACCCCCTAATCTGCCCGGTCACACTCTACTGTAATAGTCTATTTGCAAGTCAGCCTCCCCAATTGCTCCCATGTATCCCAGAGCCTGGCCTAGGGCTGGGACCACCGCAGCTCAAGATTTACCAAAGTAAGAAACTATGACTCCCATGCGTGCACACGTGTGTAACACATACGTGCACGTGCACACACACATTCACAGAGCCGGCAAAGAGTGCAGATGCTGCCATCTATGGGCAAGAAAAGCATTACACTCTCCCTGAGATTCAGACACACCCCAGGAGCTGAGTTTTCAAACTCAGCCAGGTTTAGAATTAGCCCCAGCTAACTCCAAGTTGGTCTGTTTTCCATTTTGGACCTTAAGGCTGCAGCAGCTTAAAAACAAGGTCAGCAAAACCACTGATTCTAGTCCACCACCCACACACTCCAGATGGAGCCATAAAGAGAAGGGTTTCATTCCAGCACTCACAATCCCAGCCTGGGGCTCTCACTACGTGCCTGTTTGCTGAATCACATCCTAGGACATAGGAACAGAAGACGCCTTCTAATAGTCTCAGCTGTGGAAAGGCCAGTCTTTGGGGAGAGAGCTCGCCCGATGAAAGTCTGCAAGCCACCATGGAACCCTGTCTGTCTAGCTGGCTAAAAAGGAGCTTTCTGCTCTGGAGGTGGGATGGGGGGATACTGGAGCAGAGTATTTTTCTCTCCTAAAAGACTGCTCCCAGTTCATTGGGAGGGCCTTCAGACCTGATGGGAGTAACATGATATCTGTCCATTAATGCCATAAGCGTTCAAATGGCCACCCCTAATAACAATAGTTATCATTTTCTGTGCACCTTCCAAGCGTTAAACTCTACAGGCATGTCTCATCATTGCAATAACTCTACCAGGCAGCAATCTTTGTCCTCATTTTGTGAAGCTAGGACACAAGCTCAGAGAGGTGAAGTAATGTGCTCAGGGTCACACAGCTAAGATGTCTGGGCAGTTCCCACCAACGCAGGCTGCCTCCCCTACGTCTTGACCTCACTATATTTCAAAGCTATAAGGCTGGGCCTCTTGCTGACTAGAAAAAAAAAAAAAAGAACATGCAAATCTTTGGGTACTCTAGATCATGGGTCAGCAAACTTTTTCTGTAAAAGGGCCAGACCGTAAATATTTTAGGCTCCATAGGCTACACACCCTCTCTGTTGCATATTCTTCCTTGTTTGTTTGTTATTGTTGTTTTTTAACAACACTTTAAAACTATAAAACCATTCTTAGCTCAGAGGCATACAAAAACAGACTGGGGCCTCCCCAGGACTGTAGTTTGCATCCATAAATACAGAAAGAATGTTTATAATCTCAAGTATAAAAACTTCTGGTGAAAGGGTTGATCAAATGCTAGCTGTATTTCTCCCCCTTCCAATGGCTTTCTACTGAGTCACTCTCTTTCCTAAAGAAGAACCTACTTTGCTACATAATTAAGCAGCAAAGTATTTTAAGGGCTGTTCAGATTCTAGAAACTCATAGCTGCAGATAAAATAGACAGATAAGTCAGATGTCAAAGACAAGACATTAAAAGATCTGGGCTCCAGGCTAGACCCTATTACTGTCACTGGGTCTTTAGCCCTGAACAAGGGACTTGCCTCTTAAGTCCCTTATCTCATAAGTATTGATTCTACACTAATAACAGATTGTTTTCAAATCTTGCAACTGAAAGTGTGATCCCTGGACCAGCTACATCAGCATCACTAGAAATGCAGAGCCTCAGGCCCCACCCCAGACTTGTGGAACCAGAATCTGCATTTTAACAAAAGCCCCAGGCGATCTTAGAATGCTCTAGAACATCTTTTTTGTCCAGCTGAAACACAGTTCATAAAATCTTTGTTAGCAATGAGGAGAGAAAGGGTCTAAAGACATCTTTCATGATGTCATGGTATTAAGTCTCTGACCTAACACATGTACCAGTGATTTCATAAAGCATTCCACTCTAGGACCAATTGACAGACCAAGATCTACCACTGGATCTTAAAATAAAACCTTAACCAGGTAGAAAGGAGACCTAGGGGAACAGGAAAATGTGTATTCCCCATATTATGGAGGGGTGGGGGCAGGGAATAGGTTAGAGAGAGAAATGACTTACCCAAGACCACACAACCAAGACAAACTAGGCGTATGACCACCACCAGGTTTCTTTCTTTCTTTTTTTTTTATTATACTTTAAGTTCTAGGGTACATGTGCACAACCTGCAGGTTTGTTACATATGTATACATGTGCCATGTTGGTGTGCTGCACTCATTAACTCGTCATTTACATTAGGTATATCTCCTAATACTATCCCTCCCCCCTCCTCCCACCCCACTACAGGACCCGACCACCACCAGGTTTCTTAATCTTCCTTAGTCAGGCCTTAGGTTTCATGAGAACTGAAATCATTTTGGTTTGGTAGAGCAGCAATCAGAGGGCTTGCTGTTGGCTTTGGGAAATTCACTTGCTCTCTCAGGGCACAAGTATCTGTAGCCATGAAGTGAGAGGGTAGAGCCAGGCGATTCCTAAAGCCCTGCTATAAAAGTCATGGTTTGGAAAGTTTTGAGATGAGGAGGCAGTCGGGGGGGTGCGCTATGCCAAGGGTCACCACAGTCACACCAAAGTCTCTGGGGGATGGGATCACAGAGCCAAGTCATTCGGTCCTTTGTGAGGAGGCTGAGGAGGGACCTGGCGTGGGCTCTAGCCATGCATCCCCTTGGGGCCACCTCAGCTGGTCACCACAGGCTGGCACGGATGCTAAGGATGTAGCCCATTTTACAGATGAGGAAAATAGGTCCTTGAGAGGGGCTAGGGCTTCTTACCAAAGCAAGGAATTCTTCCCTTCAACTGACAACAGTGCAAGGGTAGCCTGTATTAAGAAAACCTAACACATGAACACACAGATGTGTGCAAATGGTTGATTTGGGAATAATCAGGCTCTTTATAAATAGTGCATTATATTTTACCAACAGATTTGTTACAAAAAGGATTCATTCAGGGCTTTGATGGCAAGGCTCCCAATGCAATGCTTCTCACACTTGAATTCGCACACGAATTCCATGGGGATCTTGTGAAAATCCAGATTTGGATTCAGTAGACCCAAGGTGGGTAGGGTTGCCAGATAAAACATGAGATGCCCAGTTAAATCTAAATGTCAGAAAGACAATAAGATGTCTTGGTATAATTATGCCCCAAACATTCCAAGGGCCATACTCATGCTTAACTGGCACACTGTTTTTTATTTGCTAAATAAGGCAACCCTAAAGATGGAGTCTGAAATCCCACATTTCTGAAAAGCTCAAAGATGAAGCCTTAGTGCATTTAAAATGCAATTTAAATCTATGAAAACTATATTTTATGCAACCATGAATTTTATGGTCTCTTTTTTAAGACCACTGAACAGTCTAGGCAGGCATCTCCCACCTTCTAAAAGAGCATAGAAAGAATTCTGGCTGCCACTGGAACTGGGAACTTGCCTTCCAAGAGAAACAGGTACTGTGGTGGGAGGGGAGGTGGGAGGGGGATGGATACAGGCTAGCCCACAAAAGCCTGTTTTACCTCCGTTCTGAACGATACAGTTCCTTTGGACTACCAGTTCCTGAAGTGAAGCTCAGGACACCAAGAAACATGGCCGTTTCTTCTCTGAGTCCATGAAATGGGAAGGATCTGTCCCTACCTGCTTCCTTTCCAGGGCTCTTTGGAGTCAGATGAGATAATACAAATTCCCAGCATCCACATGATTGCACTGGCCAAGCATTGTGTTAGGTACTTTGTAGAATTCTGTGAAGTGGGTATTGAAGCCCTAACTGTATAGCTGAGAAAAATGAAACTCAGTGAGGTGATGTCCTCAAGGTCTTAGGGCAAGTGCAAAACATAAACCAGAAGGAGAACCAAGTTCTCTCCACTTCTTCGGCCTGGGATCTTAACTTGTTATGCTTTATTGCTGCTGAATTGTGCAAGTGTATTTGCCAAATGAATGAATGAAATGTAACGTTTCAGGAAAATGGTCGCTGTACTCTATTCTATAAAAGGACAGCTGAGCTTTTTATAACCAGCTTCAGATGCTCCTGAAGAATGCTGCCATTCTCACGGATGGCTGGTAGGAATAAGGACTACTGTAACCTTTATGAGCAGAAATTTGGCAAAATTTAGCATGACACAGATTATTTGCTTGGCCAAACTTTAGCCAGGCTTCTGAACCTTCTCCTAGGCCTACCTGTGCACTTCCTTGTAAAATCCAGTTTTAGCAAAAGAATCCTGCTAAGTCTGTTTAGCCAGAACCCCTCATCCTTGATATCTGATCAGGCTCCTCATCCTCCACCATGCCCCCACTGATGTTTGAATCACCCTGGTTTGTCTTCATCAATAATTTTGTTAGGTCGGTTTAGCAAGAATATCCCTTATTCCTGAGCTTCCTCTTAGTAATTTTCCATCCGCTGACCCCTACCCTGCTCTGCAGCTATCAATTCCCACTCGCCCATGCTGTATTAGGAGTTGAGCCCAAACTCTCTCCCTCACTGTAGGACCCTGTTGCAGTGGTCCCTATGCCCAAGGCAATGTTCCTGAATAAAGACTTCCTTACCGTGTTTTCACAAGTGTCACTGAATTTTTTTTTTAACAAGAAAAAGCTATAAAATGTGTCATTTTGACTCAGGAACTCCATTTCTAGGGCTCACTTCTAGGAAATAATAAAAGAAGAACACACAAAAAAAGTATGCACTAGGTTGTTCATTGCAGTATTGTTTATAAACTGCCTAAATGTTTCATAATTGAGGATTGTTAAGGGAACATGGTACAGGCACACCAAAGATAGAATAATAGTGAGTGATGAAAACTCGGGTGGGCATTTATTTCTACCATAACAAAAAAAAAGTAGGAGGCAAGACCCTTGTTTAAGGACTAAAGAGCCACTGACAATAACAGGGTACAGCCTAGTGCCCAGATCTTTTAATGTCTATATTCGATATCTGACTTATCTGTCGATTTCATCTGCTATGAGTTTCTAGAATCTGAACAGCTCTTGAAATACTTTGCTGCTTAATTATGGAGCAAAGTAGGGTCCTGTAGGAGAGAGAGACTCAGTAGAAAGCCATGGAAGGGGGAGAAATACAGCTAGCATTTGATCAACCTTTTCACCAGAAGTTTTTATACCCAAGATTATAAACATTATTCTCTCTGTATTTATGGATGCAAACTACAGCCCTGGGGAGCCCCAGTCTTGGTTCTTTGGGGGTGATCTTGGGCAAATCCTGTTTCTCTCAGCCTTTTTGTTAATAAATAAAAAGCATTATTTCATTTTTTAATCCCTAGGACTATTGGAATAAAAGATTTAAATTAGAATAAACATTTATCTACTTAGGTATAGTATGCTTTTAAAACTTTTAAAAATTAAATTTAAAAAGAATCCTTAATAACATGAGAAAAATACTTACGATATAATGTTGAGAAAAAACAGAAAGTCAGAACAGACAATTATAAATATAGGATAATTGTGTGGGGGTAAAAAAAAATGCACTGAAAATATCAGGAAGGAAGGGCACCCAGGTGTTGGCAGTGATTTTCTCTGGTTAGTTATGAACACTTCTTTTTTATATATATACTTTTTTATTTCCTAAATTTTCTATCACAAGTGTAATAGAAATAATAAGGGTGGGGGGAAAAGGTCCTTGGAGGTGGGGAGAAAAAAGTACATATGCCACCCACATCATCAACACACACCCAACAAGTTAACTAGTATTTACTTAGTACCCACCAAAACCCAGCTCAGCCACAGTCTCTGTAGCAGGGAAATTAAGGGCCAAGCCCCACCCTGAAGGCTCACATATGTAGAATATATATACTTTGCTTGGCAAATAAGCTTGGCTCTGATGATATTCTTATTGAGGTTGGAAAATAACAGGACTGTTTGCTTAGCCAGCTCAGCAGAATAAACGAATCCACTCCCACTGGTGCGACCCCTTCACTGGAGTTCCCTGCGAGGCTCCATGGCTTAAAGCCTTTCTGGATCACTCTTGGGAAGAGTCAATTTCAGGGATACTTTATAGCCCAGGAAGAAAACTGTTCTCATCCCTTAACCCAGGCACTGAATGCAAGAGGTGAAGAGGCTCCCCATGAGGCAGAGCAAGCAAGGGAGGAGGGAGGAGCAGGAGGGCCTGGGAAGGAACCTGACAGGCTGTGTGTGGGCCCTGGGGACCCCTGGGCAAAGGAGCTCACGTCTCCAGGCCTGAGTTTCCTCACTGGTAAAATGGGTCACATAATGACAACCCCAGGACTATTGTGAGACTCAAAGAAGAGAACGTAAGTCCTTTCATTTTTCTAAACTGAGCCTCAGTTTCCTCATCTGTAAAATGGAGTCACTATCTCTCCCCTCGTAGATCTGTTAAAAGATTAAAGCAGATAGTGAAAGCAAAAGGTGAACATACATAGTAAGTGTGTTACATATGGTGGCCCTTATTATTGTTGCTTGTAGAGCAGGGAATGGGATACATCAACAAATCCTAGGCCTCAACTCCCTTATCTGCAAAATGGGGCAATCAATTCAGTCCGAAAAGATTAAATTCAAGAACAGTAGCTGAATCACCAGTTGCACCACTGCGGGCTCACTTTGTGTCTCAGACATGCCGGACCCAAGTACATGTGGGGAGCACAAAGCCCTCCAACTCAGAGGCCATCAGAGCTGGGAAGGCTGACATTATGCTGTCCACCCTACAGTGCAGAATGGACACTGGGGCCCAGAGAAAGGCATGCATTAGCCCAAGTCACCCAGTACTTTGTCACTGGCAAAGCCAGGACCCAAGCCCAGGCCTTCAGCTGCCTACCCTTGCCCACAACACCCACTGCTTTTCTCTGCCCTATTCTTAAATTGCTGATGTGGTCCCAGGCAGGGCAGACGAGAGCAGGCATATGGCAGGGGAGGGACAGAGGGAAGGGGAAGCTGGCCAGCAGCAGGAACTGAGCCTGCCTGTGGTCTCCAACTTCACAAACCACATCAGGCTGAAATATGACACACGCTCACTCCGTTGAAAGCGAGGAGATATTTTTACTTAACATCCCCCGGCTGCCTAAACACTGGTCTCTTTTTTTCCCTTCCTCCCCAAAATGCATAACCCCTGGGACGTGCTTTTCTCTGCTTCTGCTGGCATTTTCTCAGGGAATAACCAAGGAGCAGGAGAGTGTCCAGTTTTCCTGGCTTCGCCAGATAGATTTCCAGAGCATAAGCTTGATTGATGAAAAGGGGGGACCAGTCCTGGCTGGGCTCTCACCTCACCACATGACCTTGCTGGGCAAGTCCTGTGTCCTTTTGGAGCCTGGATTCCCTGAAATGGAGGGGAGATTGACCTGCACTGAGGGTCCTGCGGATGGCACAGGAAAGCATGAGTTTACAAACAGCCCCGGGAGGCCCCTCCAGGCCTCTCTGCTGCAGGGCTGAGCTCTCCAAGCTCTGCACACCGACACCCACCCCTCATAAAAGCATAACAAACTCCCTTACCAGTTCTCCTAATACCAGGACTAGAAAGAATTTTCAAGAGAATGTTTAGTGCTGTCATTAATAGCTATGGCTCTGTCGTCAGACCTCTGGAATCCTTGCACCATCACCCAATAGCCACACAACCCGGGGCATGTTATTCAGCCTCGGACTCAGTTTCCTCATCTGTAAAAGAAGATACTAGTATCTACCTCAGAGGAATGGTTGCAAGGAATCAATAAAGTAATTAATGTTCCAGTGCTTGGTATATTAAAAGATAGCTTTTTTTGTCTTTTCTTTTTTTGTTTTGAGACAGTATTGTTCTGTCATCCAGGCTGGAGTGCAGTGGCGTGATTTCAGCTTACTGTAACCTCCGTCTCCAGGGTTTAAGCAATTCTCATACCTCAGCCTCCCAAGTAGCTAGGATTACAGGAGCATCCCAGCACGTATTTTCAGTAGAGACAGGGTTTCACCATGTTGACCAGGCTGGTCTCAAACTCCTGGCTTAAGCCATCAACCCAACTCGGCCTCCCAAAATGCTGGAACTGCAGGTGTGAGCCACCATGCCCAGTTAAAAGATAGCTTTTTATTATTATCATGCAAACCAACATCTCTCCATTTTACACATGAGGAACCAGAGGCTCAGAGAGATAGGATTTGCCCAAGGTCACCCAAAGAACCAAGACTGGGGGTCCATTTCCAAGTCAGTGCTTCTAACTTCTCTCACACCTGTGGTCTCTGATAAGCAAATATACACACCCAGAGGCCGCAGACACAGGATGTAAAAGTTTTCTTAAAGAAAACCAGAGCTCAGTGTCTCAGCAACGTACCATAGACCAAGCAGAAATCATCTCTATGACCCACATCACAAATGACCCAAACTATTCACATGGAGTAGGGGAAAGTGACCCACTGTCACTGGATGGCTAAAAGTGAAGGCATCCAATCAACGTGTTTGGCAGGAGTGCACACACCATTGTTAACAGTGGCGACCTCTGGGGAAAGAGGCGGGCTTGGAGGGATTCTTTAACAATTTTTGTTTGTTTTAAAACTCATGAAAAAGAAAAAAAAGTTACAATGCTGAATACCTTAGCAACCTTCTCCAGTAGGTCTAGCCTGTTGTCTGCTTTTAGATGAAATTTATAGCAGGTTCTGAGACCTTCAGCTGGGCTTCCAGAATCTGCTGCTCTGACCCATCCCAGTGGCCACTGCTCTAGTTCAGACCTGCAATCTACTTCACTTGAATCATGCAACAGCCTCCTCAGGGCCTTCCTGCCTCCAGATCAGCCTCGTTCAATGCATCCCCTACATCAGCCATTCAGAATAACGAGTTTTTAAAAATCACTGCTCTGTCAAAACCCTTTCTCAGCTCTTCATTGCCTTCAGGATGAGGTCCAAACCCTTAGCTTATAATCTAGTTCCATTTTCATTTAGATTCTCAACCTCCCACCACCCCGCCCTTCTCCCATCCTCCACTCTAGCCACATGGATGGCTCAGAAAATCTCAGTGCCTTTGCACTAGTGGTTCCTGCTTCCCAGAATGTCTTTTCCCCCAACTCCTGTTTCTCCTGGTAAATGATTATTCATTCTGAGGTCTGGCTCACCTAGACAAAATTAGTCACTCCTCTTGCAGGCTGAAGTCACTCTTAATATGGCACAAAAGTGTCAAACAGTATAGATGGCAAGCATCTTGAGGACAGAGAGCTCTGTCCTCTTCCAAGGCTCTTTGGCCCCTCGCAGGGCAAGGCACAGAACACAGGCCCAGAGAAGTGCTGAAAGGAGGGAGGCGGGGAGGAAGGAAATGCCATGCGGGGCAAACCCTGCAGCCACCCCTCCTGGGAGCAGCCTGTTTCCAGGCTCATGTTAGTCCCTAATAAAAGGACTGTGGAAAATTCTGGAGTAAACTTTCCTCCCCTGATTCACACAGAAACCTTCTTTGCTGCTGTGTAACTCACCGAGTGCCAACCCAAGCTCCCCTGGCTGTTTACAATTTCCCTGGCATTTATAAATAGCATGGCCCCAGAAAGAAAAATGGAGTTTCAAAGGAGCTGAAAGCCGACCGTTCCCACCCCCATCCTTCCTCCTCTGTTTCCAAGCCTCTCCCCCTTAACAGCCCCAAGAAACACCAACCAGCACCCCCAAGTGTGTATGTACAGGGAATGCTTGTCCCTTTAGTAAACGGAACACCCAAGAAGGAGGCTAGAGTCCCTCCCAGCAAGGAGTCCGCAAACGGCAGACCGGAATTGGGTCTCAGCCCTACCCTGCCTCACTGTGTGACAATTAGCCCATCATAAACTCTCTGGGTCCTTGACTTTTCTCAACTGTGAAATGGAGGAAATGGAGATGGGGTAAGATTCTAGCAAGCTATGGTCGCTGTAAACGGCAGAGCGGTGAGAGGTCCTGGTGCCCTGGTCAGAAATGTGGTCCTGGGAGAACAGGACACACAGGATTAAGTGTTTGAAAAGTCCCCAGATGCCAAACAAAAGCGAAAGGCACCTCCCCAGAGGCCCCGCCTTCCACAAAGTCCAATTACCCTCAGGACAGCCCAGAATGAGTTCTGGGTGTTTTAAAGCTCCCTTCCATGCTCTGAGGAGGGTGTGAAGACAGGATAAAGCGACAGATGTCTGGGCAGACAAGGAGCTAGGAAGAAAGCCAATGTCTCCTGCTCACCCACACCCCCAGCCCCCAGCCTTCCAAGGACTGGGGCTTCCCCCTGGGCACTGCCCAGACCAGCCAGCCTGCACTGGACCAGAGGGAAGTTGCTGTTATTTAGGTTCTGGGGGGCTGGACCCCAGAAGACATGGGGGCTCAGGGAGAAGGGGTTCCAATCACTGTCTTCAACTCCAGAAGAAGCTTCCGTGTGAGTCAGGGAAGGGAACACTGCAGGGCCGGGGAGAAGCCAGCACCTACAGGTAGCAGGCGCCTGAAGATTTCAGACAGTGTAAGGAAGAACTTTCTAACAGTCCCCAGAAAGAGGAAGCAGCTGGAGAGGAGAGCAGGCACAGGTATCGTCCAGGAGGCAAGGGTCCTCTGAGTGGACTCCCCAGCAGAGTCACCGCCCAGACCGTAGCTGGTGGTCCCCTGCATGCCCGGGTCAGACAACCCAAGTGCAGGGGTGACCCCGGGCCAGTTCCCCCATCCCGGGGGCGGGGTCGAGGTTATTAGCTCAGGTGCTAGCAGCACAGTGGAATCACGGGGTGGAGGCCTGGCCCCTCTCCTCTCCTGCTCCGGCGTCTCCCCATCCCCCAACTCCCATCCACACTCTTTGGTCCCTTGGAAGACGGGAAAAGTGAGCGAGGAAGCCCTTTTCCAGCGATGCCCCCGCGGCCGGGCCGAGCTCCAGGCGCGGGCGAGATAGGACCGGGAAGGAAGGGAGAGGAAGGACTCAAATCAGCCCGGGACCCCCAGATGCCCGGGGCCGGGGCCGCGCGCCTCCCCTACCTGCTGCTGCGGCACTGGAGACAGCGGCTGCTGGGTCCAGCTGCGCTCAGCTGGTTCCGGGCGGCGGGGCGGGGGCGTTGTGGTGCGCGCGGCCGGGGTGGGCAGGGCGCGGGCGGGAGCCGCCCTCGGGGCGGGGCGGCCGGGCAGGCGGGTGGGGGAGGAGCGCCAGGCCCTCCCGTCGGCTGCTGGGCGGGTGGCTCCAAGCTCGCCTTCGTCCAGGGGGACCCCTCGCTTCACCTCGCAGGAAGGCACCAAACCAAGCCCTCTGCTTTCCCCTGGAGGAAACTGAGGCCCGGAGCACGGAGGGGAGATCTGAAGAGGCCTAGGGTCGGGGAGGAGACCCAGGGCAGCTCCTGAGCTGGGCTGGGGCCAAAGAGCTCAGATGGGACGGGCAAGCGAGCAATGCTCAACTAGCACCAGCGGAGGCAGATTTCAGCCCTGGAGAGAACGGACTTCAGGAGGCAAAGCCCTCGAAGAGTGACATAGGCTGCATGCAAAGCAGGGGAGATTCCCTCCCACGGAAGGGAATAAGGAGGAAGAGCGATTCCCAGCTCATTCCGAATGAAGTAACGAAAATGCCAAGTGCATCCCTGGTCCTTAAAGTGGACCATTAAGCAGGCGCCTCGGAGTCAGAAGGCCTGGTTTGGAACCCCAGACATCGACTAGTCCTGTAACTTTGGGCAAGCGAGCTCACATGTCTAAGTCTCCGTTTCCTCGTTTGTCAAATGGGCATCCTGAATTGCCGCTTCATGGGGCGGTTGAGAAGACTCAGTGAGAAAAAGACTCTCAGCACAATGACAGGGACCGTGGCTTCTGCATAAACGGAAGGGATGTTCTTATTAGTGTCATGGCAGATACTGTTTTAGGAGATTGAGGAAATCCACATTGGGTAGAAAGATGAGTGCAAGGTCAATTTTAAGCAAATGTAATACTTTGTTGATTTCAACAACATCTCATATGCATTTGAGACGATAGCCGTTTATAATGCAGCAAGGCATAAGACGGCCTCCCAGCAGTCCTGGTGCACACATGAGTTCCCAGGACTTTTGGAGTTGCCGCGTGACTCCGGTTTGGAAGGATTCACACACTCCACAGGAGACTGCACCACATGACAGAGATGTCCATTCCCAGCCTGGGTGCTGGCAGCAGCCCCATGTTCAGCCAGGGTAAAGCTCCCTCTTAACACAAGGTAAAATGTACTAGAGTCAGTAATTGCCGGGTGCTGGGGATCAGAGCAGAAAAGGCTGTTGTTTAAGTAGCACAGAAGCCAAGAGCACAGTGCTCACTCCCTGGTTTTTCCATTGAATAGCAGCCAGGGAAGCCACAGGACCCAGGGAATCTCACCCTGGCTCTTCCTCCTGCCATTCTCTCTTTGTTCAACACCAGTAAATACAAGAACCATTTCTTGAATGCCTCATGCCATGCTCTGGGCTTCCCACGTATTACCGACTTTAATTCTCACCTCCCTACCTGGCCTCCTAAGGGAGGCATTACCATGTGTATTTTTCAGATGAGCAGGCCAAGCCCACAGAAAGGGTTAAGTACTCTCTGGAGGTCACACTACTGATACTGTGCAGTCTACTCTTCTATGCCTGAGTCCTTGGCCCTCGCTTCTTTGCTCAATGTCTTATGTCACACTCTGCCACCTTTCCTGGCTTGGGAAATTCTGCCCAGTTCCACTTTCTCTGAGAATACAAGCAAGGTATCCACCCCGCAGGGAGGCTCACACCATCTCTGCTACTCTCTGCTTTCTCCAGAGGCTGCCTGGGGCCCAATGCAAGGCTGCTGGGGAGAAAAGCAAAAACACAGGCTTATTTGGCTCTGGAATCTTTGATTACAAGCCCCGGCATACACATGCCTTGGAATTATCTAACATATCATTTCCAGCCCCAGCAACTGCTCTCAGACAAAGGGAGGTGGAACTCTGAATCTGTGTCCCCATAGAACTGGAGAATACCACATCACGATGGAGGAAACATTGGAGAATGTCTGCTCCAACTCCTCCCTTTAGAGATGGAGAAACTGAGGCCAGGAGAGCAAAAGGGTTCACATTCTAAGCTAGATCTAAGGTTCCATATTCTAAGCTGGGTCAGATGCCTACCCATAACCCTGTAATTGCTCCATTTGGTGGCTGGAGAGGAACATGGGAACAGGGTATCACCAGGAATCATTAGAAATGATAATGAAGATAATGATGATGATGATTGATTGATGATGATTGTGATGATGATAACCAATACTTACATGGGAGTGCTCCTCTAGGAACACTTCTAGAAATCTCCTGGTGCTTTGCTTTATGACTCAACATGTGTATTTTATAGCTGGCAGGATATATCAAGTCTGCCTTTCATGGATGCCTAGAAGTCTTCTTGGTATCCTGTCTTCATTCCTTTCTAGATACCTCTTTGTACTTCTCCCCCCATTGGATCTAGGTAAGGTAAGGCCTGTTTGTCCTGGATCCTCACCTCAGAGTGAATGTCTTGCTGATAAGGATCTCCTCTGATGGAAGAACTTTGATATCTTCTTTTGCCAGAAGACCACCTCCTTCCCAGAGTGAGGCTGGGGAGAAATGAAGGCCACACACAGGCCAGGCATTAGACAATCTGGGGGTACCTGCTCTCTCCTCTGAGAACGCCTCTTCCCACCCAAGGGGATGGCCCTCACTTGCACCCAGGTTTGTACTGTAACCTTCCCCCACAACACAGTTGACAGCATGAGGAGTGGACGGCAGAAAAAAGCTGGACTATTAGAATTTGGAGCTGGAAGTTGAGACATGACAATCATGGTTAATTAACTGGGTCTGTGAGGACCAATGATCTCTGAAGGCCAAGGCTGCCATTTTGAGGTGGCCATCTTCCATCGTATTCACAGAGAAAGCCAATGAGGCTCGTTAAATGACTAGAAGGGTGTCGCAAAACTCACAGAGGAGATGCCTGGGCTGGGCAGCCCAGGAGGCTTCAGGGTTCAGGGGCTCTTCTGATTACAGACCTCTCCTGGAGCTGGCTTCAGAAAGAGAAGTTATCAGCACAAGTATTTGTTGAGCATCGAATGCCTTGTAGTTTGTCCCTAGAAGCAGAGGATGAGACAGGGATTTCATACAAGGGATTACTTGAGAGAGCACTCTCAGGAGATCCTGAAATATCCCATGGAACACTAGGGCAGGGGTGCAGCTGGGCCTCAGGATCAGACCACAAGCAGGACCTGAGTACTAAAGGGAACCCAGAAAGTACTCTCTCCCCCATCTTTCATCTCTGCCTGTCTGCTCACATCACACAAGCATTTCTGCTTTCCAGAAAATGGCTTTTACCAGCAGCAAGCTGGAATCTTTGTTTGTAGTCCACATTCTAAGTTGGATCAGATGCCTACCCTTTATCTAATTAACTCTGGCCCGAGTGACAGGGTCCTACTGCACAAACCTGGCTGCTCCCACTGTAACCTGTGGGTGGAGGGGGTGCACTTCCCAGAGAAAAGGGGAGGGGAAGCCAAGCAGAGACAACGGCTTGGATTCAGTCAGCCTTGAAAGGATGGAAAGAATAAGAGTGGAGGTGAGGAAGGGAACAGCATCTTCTGCTAAGAGCACAGAATAAGCAAAGGTGTGGAGGTCAGAGAAAGACAGAGCTGGAAGAAGGAAAGGAGACTGTTATTTTCTCCAGCCTCGGTCCCCTTTAGTGTTGTGCTAGTGTTGTGTTCTTAAGAACTGATTTAGTGTGTTTAGTGTTGTTTTCTTACGAACTGATTGCTCAATTTCCATGAATTTTTGTGGATTTTTTTGAGACAAGATTTCACTGTCACCCAGGCTGGAGTCAGTGGCACAAACATGGCTTCCTGCAGCCTTGACCTCTGGGCTCAAGCAATCCTCCTGCCTTAGCCTCCCAAGTAGGTGGGACCACAGGTACATCCCACCAGGCCTGGCTAATTTTTATGTTATTTGTAGAGATGAAGTCTCTCTATGTTACCAGACTGGTCTTAAACTTTTGGGCTCAAGAGATCCTCCCACCTCAGCCTTTGAAAGTGCTGGGATTATAGGAGTAAGCCATCACACCTGGCCAAATTTCCATGCATTCTTACACCCAGCTGTATTAAGGCTGTATTAAGCACAGCCTTCAATAACAATCTATATAAACTTATAATTAAGTAAATTATAAATTGATATGGTCTGGCTCTGTGTTCCCACCCAAATCTCATCTCGAATTGTAATCCCCATAATCCCCATGTGTCAAGGAAGGAATCTGGTGGAAGGGAGGTGATTGGATCATGGGGGCAGTTTCCCCCATGCCGTTCTCATGATGGTGAGTTCTCATGAGACCTGATTTTTTTTTTTTTTTTTTTTTGAGATGGAGTTTCCCTCTCGTTCCTAGGCTGGAGTGCAATGGCGCAATCTCGGTTCACCGCAACCTCCACCTCCCAGGTTCAAGCGATTCTGCTGCTTCAGCCTCCTAGTAGCTGGGATTACAGGCACCCGCAACAACGCCCGGCTAATTTTGTATTTTTAGTAGAGACGGGGTTTCTCCATATTGGTCAGGCTGGTCTCGAACTCCCGACCTCAGGTGATCCACCTGCCTCAGCCTACCAAAGTGCTGGGATTACAGGCGTGAGCCATCTTGCCCAGCCGAGACCTGATTCTTTTAGGAGTGTTTGGCAGTTCCTCCTTCACACACTCTCTCTCCTGCCACCACGTAAGACTTGCCTGCTTCCCTTTCCACCATGATTGTAAGTTTCCTGAGGCCTCCCAGCCATGTAGGACTGTGAGTCAATTAAACCTCTTTCCTTCATAAATTACCCAGTCTCAGGTATGTCTTTATAGCAGTGTGAAAATGACTAATACATAAATAGAGGTAATAAATTCTCAAAACTTAGTACTTCATAATTATTTTACTATATTTCACTATTATCTGTGCTCTTATTTTCACCATTTATCTATATGGTAGAAATACTGTATAATTGTGTGCAATTGCATTTCTACTCGCAACTCCACACTCAGTGACATCATGCTGGTAGCCCAGTCCCCACGGTGGGAATATTTACACCATGGAGATCAGGAAAGGCTATAAATCAGGGTTTTCCTTCTCCCTCCACCAAGAGCCTTTCGTTTAACATTTACCAGCACACCACTGCTCAAAACCTGGGCTTCCCCCATTCGACTCACTGCATTCAGATTGTCCATTTATGTGTATATCTCATTAGACTGGCAGCTCAGTGGAAGGAGAAAATGTGTTTGCTTGGTTTTCCGACATCATCCCAGTGTCAAATAGTGCTTGGCACAGAGCAGATGTTTAGCACGTTTTTATTGGATTAATGAATTGGTGAATGAGGAAAGTGACCACAGATGGGTTTGGTCAGATAGAGTGATTGGGGACACTACGGGAGGACTCAAGAGAGGGTTGCTCTTTGAATTTCAAGAGCCATTATTCTAGACATGTTCTGAATGCCCCAGGCAGGAATGTGTTTGTCCCACTATTTTAATGAGAACTTAAAACTTTGTGTTCCATATAAGCACTGCCAGCTCAGCCCTAAGACTTGGATTCCTAGCAGCTATGATTCTGTAATTATGCCCAATAAATGCCAGTAAGATGCTAAACAGCATAAGCATCAGTGACTTCACTGTTACACAGCAGAGGATTTCCCAGCTAGCCAGCCTCCCAGGTTAGATTTTTCAGGAAAGAGCAAAACTGCCTGGAGGTTCTTCCTCCACAGCTTAACAGAGCTGGCCCTATGACAGTGGCATGCATAATAATAACTAAAAGCATAATTATAACTGCCACATTCTGAGTGCTTACTCTATGCCGGTCACTTTATTATTTCAATTAAGCTTGACAATTGCCCTCTAAGTTAGGTATTCTTGTCTCCAATTTTACAAATAAAATAAATAGGCTCAAAAAGGATAAGTAATCTGCTTAAGCTTCCACAGCTAGGTGAGTGGTAGAGCTGGGATTTGAATCCAGGTCTGTCTCCAAAGCCCAGATTCTTTCTATAGCCAGAGTGAAAGAAGGCCAAGGGAAAGGTAAGGTCTTTTCCATGCTCCCTTCTCAGGATCAAGAATTATTTAATTTCATCTCGACAACGTTAGGATCTGATGTTAGGCCCCTCTCTGTACACTTCATATAATGGTTGACTACAGCTCGTTGTTTCTTTGTATGGAAGGTATTTGGAGCTGTTCAAGAAATGTGGAACTACTCTCAGAAAGATTGTGAACTGCTGTGCTTTAGAAACAAAAAGTAATTCATAAAATCCCTTAAACACACCCACACCAAAAAAATCTTGGAGATGGTGCTATTTTTGTACTCAGAGGCCTTGAAGGACAGGACACCCTGAGTTACTCAACCTCTCTGAGCCTTGGTTTCTTCCTCTGATGATAATATCCACTCAAAGAATTATGGGGAAATTAAATGAATTCTCTGTGTCAAGGCCTCAGGCATATAAAGGGCTCTGTCAACAGTGGCTGGTGTCATCATGGGAACCCCCTAGGTACGGGCGTGGAGGTGTTTAAGGTGAATGAGCTTGAGCCAGTGTGTCAGGGATACAGGGTACATCCACTGAGTTACGGGAGACCAAGCCATATGGCAAGATGGATGGGTCTTATAAAAAACGGGAGGAAACCATATTCATGGATGCCTGCTCTGGGCATTATCTCCTCCAAAGCTGACGAAAATTTCTCAGATTGGAACTACTCTCACTCCCAGTTCATAGATCGAGAAACTGAGGCACAGCAAGGTGAAATCTCTTATTTACATTTCACAACTAGGGAATGGCAGAGCTGGGACTGGAACCCAGGTTTTGCTCCAAAGCCACTGCCTTTCATGTGGGGCTGGGAGCATGCCAGGCTGAATGAAGGCACTGGGCAGGAGGAAGCTGTCGCAGGCTCACACAGGAGACTGACACTGTTGGAGCAAAATCAAGACGTTTCCTGTGGAGGGGCACAGGGGCCCACAGCCCTAACAGCCCATGCCTGCCAGGGATTTAGCAGGAAGAGCTGGCTTTTGTTCTAGATGAATCAGCCCAGCTGTTTCTGAAAGCCCAGCCCCACTCTTCTGGGCTCAGCGGACCAGAAGGCATTCAGCTGTCCCCGCAGGCCACCAGTGGGATGGGAGGGGGCAGTACTTTGTACAGTGGACTGCACCATTTACAGAGAGTTATATTATCACAACACCGAACAATGGGCTTTTCAAATGTTGTGCTGTTTCTTGGAGTTGAAACACAATCGGGCCAGCAATGCATTACCTTCTTAGGAATTTAGAGAAACTTAAAACAAACAAACAGACAAACAAACAAAAAAACTGATGATTGGATTAAAGTTTCAGTCCAAAGTTGATCTCCCTCCTTTCTCCTCCTCCCCTTCCACTTTCTCCTTCTTACATTCCCTTCTCCCTGTTCTTTTGCACTTCTGTTTCTTTTTCCTGGTTTTTCTCCTCTCTCATCACTGTTGTCAGCAGTAGCAGACTTTGCTGTGAAGTTCTAATAGCTTTGCCCAGGGAAGTAGAACATCCGAGTTCCACCCCGTGTCTCCTCTACCTTGCAAATGACCCTGGGCAAGTCATCCACTCCTCTGAGTCTCCATTGTGTCATCGGCAAACTGGGACAATAGAACAAAGTAACTCCAAGAGAGATTATACCTGGCTCATAAAACCAGGAGCTTTTCCAGCCCCTGGTTGTGCTGCACTAGCCCCAGCACAGGTTTCCTGTCCCAGGGAGAACCAGAGAGCATTTGTCTCATAAGATCCATTCAATTGCCTTTCAAAACGTTAGCTCTTAGGTCAAGTCACTCTAGGTTGTCTTACTTTACATCTGGAATTTATAAGAATGTCTTCAAAAATGCACAGTGCAAATGCAATCACTTCACTTAATTTTTTCTCAAACCAAAACCACCAACTTGAGAAATCAATACCTAATGAGCAAGAAGCACGTTTCCCCGATGGAGATTTCCTCTCCTCCTGAATGCTCCCCAAATTCTGAGGCTGAGGCAGTCCCAGCGAGAAGGGGTTCATCCTGCCACACCAAGCAGGCAGTCTAGAGTTTTGCTTTCTCCCTGGCGCAGTCTTGCTGCTTTGACCTTGACCTCAGCCAGATGACCCTGCAGATCCAGGTCTCTAGGTGAGCCCCCTTGGGGTCTCAGGGAGCTGTCCAGCTTCCTCTGTGCTTAGTCCAGACTCACGCTCAGCTTCTCACACAGCCATTCTCCAAAGTCTTAGCTGGCTAGAAATCTTATATCAAATTTGTTTGTATACCTGTCCCTCTTTCTTGTCTCCAGATGCCCTACATGTCCCCCTGTAGGGATGGGGGAGGAGCCTTTAAACAGTTTAAGGTGAAGTACCCCAGAAAGACTTTCAAGCCTGTTTTTCCCTAGAGCTGAAGAAGAAAAGCAGTTAAATCTTCAGCAGCAAGCTGTGATCTCTCTTTTAAAGTATACTACTTGATCATGGCATAAAATATTAATACAGCAGATGCAGTCTGGCTTCATGAGACCCACGAAAGGCTCTGGGAATCCCCGGTGCCAACAGTCACGGCTCTTAAGCTCTACTTTTTATCACTAATCCAGACAAGCTCTGAGCTTCTTTAGCCTGGCGTTGGTGGCCACACATGATCTGGCCTTGCTTTAACCCTCCAGCCTCATCTCATCCCCTTCCCACCTGAACCCCATGCCCCTATGCCACAGAATCCTGCTGGTTCCTGTCAGGTCATGCTTTGTATCACCCCAAAACCTTCAAACCTTGGCACCCCAGCTCTCTTTCTTGGGACTGCGTGTCCTAATACTTTCCCCCTGTTTAACTCTCCTTTATTTTTTCAGGCTCAGTTTTAGAGGACCCTCCTTGCAAAGCCTTCCCTGTCTCCTCCAGGGTGTATTACATTAGCAGCCCCTCCGTGGTTTCACAGTTCCTTGCACATGCCTCCATCATAGTACTTTCTGGACCATTCTGCTGAAATAGGCTCCCCTGTCTCGTTATTCTCCACTCCAGAACTCTGCTTAATTCCCTTGTAAGTGATGGTTATTTGTAATGATTTCATTACTGGGTTGTTTACCATCTCCCACACTAGACTTCGAGCTCCCTGAGGGCAGGGCCAGATATCTCAATCTCTGCTTCCTGTGAAAATGCCCAGCACAGCACCCTGGACAGATCAGACCCTCAATACACACTGAATTGAATGAATTGCACTGACACTTATCACACTGTGGTATACTTACCTGTTTATGTTTCTAGCTCTATCAGTGAATCCCTCATGGGCAGGGACCAAGTCTTGTTCACTATTGTGCTCCCAGTGCCCAACACAGAACTTGGTATACATTAGGAGACTAGTAAATGTTGAATGAATGAATGGATGAATGAAATGAATAAAGAGATGAACTAACATGAAGGCAGGATGAACAGATGATCAAATAAAGAAATTCCAAGTAACCTTTCTGAAGAAACTAATTGATATTTTTTACTTTTACTATTTGAAATAAATATCAGTCTCTTCTCTTGATTCTGCTCACTTATGCTGCTGGGAAAAAAAAAAAACTTGTAATAGAATTGGTCAAGGCTAACCTTTAAAAAACAATCACCACAGAAATCCAATAACTGGAGTAGCCTTTTAACGAGTAGGCAAGATGTTGATATCAATTTACGTTAATTAGTAAGGCTAAGATACCTTCTCAAAATGTCTGCTTCTGCAATCTTCTAGATTTGTATCAGATATCACCCCTTAGTCTTTCCAAGTTTCATATTTAAAAAAAAATCAGTAACTACTTAAATATCTTCAATATAGTTTTTTTTTTTTTTCTGATAAGGAGTCTCACTCTGTCGCCCAGGCTGGAGTGCAGTGGTGCAATCCCGGCTCACTGCAACCTCCTCCTCCTGGGTTCAAGCAATTCTCATGCCTCAGCCTCCTGAGTAGCTGAGATTACAGGCACACACCACCACGCCCAGCTAATATTTGTATTTTTAGTAGAGACAGGGTTTCACCACGTTGGCCAGGATGGCCTTGGCCTTGAACTCGTGGCCTCAAGTAATCCGCCTGCCTCAGCCTCTCATTCAATACAGTCCTTATCTTTAAGTAAAGTAGCCATATTTCCCCAAGTTCCCTGAAATCAGAGCATAGCACCAGATATAGGACTGACAACAGTCTGACACTGTAAACCGAGGACTGCCCTAGAATACTCCGGATGGGTAGTCAGCACACCCACAGATGTTTCTATTTTTACACAGTTGTGATCATCACATTTAAGCAATTATAGACTATCATTTTTTCCTCCTTACATTATTAAGCAAACATTTTTCCATGTTGCCATATGTTCTTTATACTTTTTCTGAACAAGTCATTTAACCTCCTGAGCCTCTGGCTTTTTGTTTTGTTTCATTTTTTTGTTTTGTTTTGAGACAGGGTCTCACTCTGTTACCCAGGCTGGAGTGCAGTGACGCAATCTTGGCTCACTGCAACTTCCACATCCCAGGTTCAAGTGATTCTCCTGCCTCAGCCTCCTGAGTAGCTGAGATTACAGGTGCACACCAACACACCCACCTAATTTTTCTATCTTTAGTAGAGATGGGGTTTCGCCATGTTGGCCAGGCTGGTCTCGAACTCCTGACCTCAAGTGATCTGCCTGCCTTGGCCTCTCAAAGTGCTGGGATTACAGACGGGAGCCACCACATCTGGGTGAGCCTCAGTTTTCTCACCTGTAATCACTTCATCTCCAGGGAACCTCCCCTAGAATTCTTGAGAGTTCAATGAGCTAATGGAAGGGGTTATTCTAGCAAGTAAGAGTACAGGTTTCAGGGGTCACATACCTTCGTGGAAGCCTGGCTCTGAAAATTCCTTATTAGGTTAACTTTGGGAAGTTACTTATCATCTTTGATTCCCGATTTTCTCATTTGCAAACTGGAAATTATAGTGCCTTATGCAGAGAATTGGTATGTGGATTAAATGGGCTTTTTAAAATGTATGTGTAATATTTAACCTAATGCCTGACACATGGTAGGTCTTAATAAATTATAGCTACTATTATTATAGTTACTATTAATTATCATACTTTTCTTTTCCGTAGAGTATATATATAATGATTACTTGACCTTTATCAAATGATTTCCTGTTTCTTACTCTTTTTTTTAATTGATAAATAATAGTTGTACATATTTTGGGGTACAAATGATATTTTGACACATGCATATACAATGTGTAATGATTGAATCAGGGTAATTTGGATCTCTATTGCCTCAAACATTTCTCTTTTTTGTGTTGGGAACATTACAAATCTTCTGTTCTAGCTATTTTGAAATATACAATAAATTATTGTTAATTATAATTTACTGTACTATCAAATTCTAGAACTTATTCCTTTTTTTCTTTTTCTTTTTTTGAGATGGAGTCTCATTCTGTTTTGCCCAGGCTGGAGTGCAGTGGCACGATCTTGGCTCACTGCAGCCTCTACCTTCTGGGTTCAAGCGATTCTCCTGTCTCAGCCTCCTGAGTAGCTGGGACTACAGATTTCCGCCACCACGGCCAGCTAATTTTTTTTTTGTTGTTGTATTTTTAGTAGAGATGGGGTTTCACCACGTTGGCCAGACTGGTCTCGAACTCCTGACCTCAGGTGATCCACCTGCCTCAGCCTCCCAAAGTGCTGGGATTACAGGCATAAGCCACCGAGCCCAGCCTAGAACTTATTTATTTTATCTGACTGCATTTTTGTAGCCTTCAGCCAACTTCTCTTCATCCTCTCTTCCTCCTTACCCTCCCCAGCCACAATTCTACTTTCTACATCCTCGAGACCCATGGTTTTCACTCTCACAGATGAGTGGGAACATGCAGTATTTGTCTTTCTGTGCCTGGCTTATTTCACTTAACATAATGACTTTCAGTTCCACCCATGTTGCTGCAAATGACAAAATTTCATTCTTTTTAATGGCTAAATAATATTCAAGTGCATATATACATCACGTTTTCTTTTGGCTCCTTACTCCTATAGGTAATTTCTGCAAGGTATATCCTCAGGCATACAATGTTTTTCTTCTCAAAAAAAGAAAATCTCTTCAGATTAAACAGATTAAACTCCCAAGAAAAGCCAGCACAGGCACATAGCCTTCCCCTCCCGCTCTTACTTGGTGAGCTCTTGATTTCTTAAGACCCAATTCAAAATATCTTCCTCTAAAAAGGCTCATTTGACCCCCGAAGAGAGTAGATCTCCCCCAGCCCCACTTTACCGAGAACTCACCATCTCTCTCATAGGTATCTCTAAGTCCTCTCCCTCCAAACAATTCCCTCATGACCCCAGAAGGATTTTTCTGGAAATCATGTAAAGCACTGTGTGGGAAAACAGAATTTCTTGATGTCTAGTTAGAGTGTAAATTGATGCAAGATGAAAAAGGACAATTGGAACCGCTATTCTCTATGATCCAGCAGTTCCACCCCCAGGAATTTTTCCTACAGATGTACTCAAATGGGCAAAATGGCATATTTACAAGTTATTAATCATTGCTTGCAATAGCAAAATAATGGAAATCACCTAAAGGTTCACCAAAAGAAGATTATTTAAATAAATTTATTTAAATAAATCATAATACATGCATACAGTAGAATGCCATTCCATTATAAACAAAGAAAGTGGAAATCCTTATGTAGTAAAATGGGGGCATTCTCAAGCTATATCTATATTTTTATGTGTATGGAATATCAGCATATGTGTTAAAAATAAAGAGGGGAAAGAATAGATACATGAGCTAGGCATGGTGGCTTATGCCCATAATCTCAGCACTTTGGGAGACTGAGGTGGGAGGACCACTTGAGGCCAGGAATTTGAGACCAGCCTGGGAAACACAGTAATATCCCGTCTCTATAAAAAATACAAAAATTAGCCAGGCATCGTGGCGCACGCCTACTCCCAGATACCCAGGGACTAGGTGGAAGGATCACTTGAGCCCAGGAAGTTGAGGATGCAGTGACTGTTGTGCCACTGCACTCTAGACTGGGTGACATAGCGAGACCCTGTCTCAAAAATAAATAAATGGCCGGGTGCGGTGGTTCACACCTGTACTACCAGCACTTTGGGAGGCCGAGGTGGGCAGATCACAAGGTGAGGAGATGGAGACCATCCTGGCTAATACGGTGAAACCCTGTCTCTACTAAAAATACAAAAAATTAGCCGGGCGTGGTGGCGGGCGCCTGTAGTCCCAGCTACTCGGGAGGCTGAGGGAGGAGAATGGTGTGAACCCAGGGGGCAGAGCTTGCAGTGAGCCGAGATCACGCCACTGACTCCAGCCTGGGCGACAGAGAGAGACTCTGTCTCAAAATAAATAAACAAACAAATAAATAAATAAAATGAAGATATATGTATTTGCTTGTACTTACGTAAAATACTTTTGTAAGGGTATATAAGAAACTGGTAACACTGGTCACCCCTGGGGAGAATACTAGGTAGCTGGCAGGCAGGGCAAAAGGAGATTTTTCTGTGTATATCCTTTTGTTGCTTTTGAATTTTAAACTAGATATATGTATTAGCTATTCAAAATAATAATAATAACATTAGAAATAAAACGTGGTGGAGACACAAACATATTGCTACGTGTGCTCATTGCTAAAAGGGCTAGCAGAAGAATTCATCTTTGGGAGAAAATTGCTCTTTCAGAGGAGAGAAAAATCTTTCTAAAGGTCTTTTGGTTGTGCAAAGCCAAAGACCAGAGCCTGGTCTGGAGAAGAAAGGTTAAAATCATCCTAAAGAGAAGTATGACCTCTTTAGGTAAAGAGGCTCTGCTTTTAAATAATTCTTTCCTCCTGTGTGGTGGACCCCGGAGACAGGAGTCTGAGGGAGCAGGAACTTGGGAGAGAGAAAAGGGAAGAGAAAGAACTTACATTTAAATAAGAATGAAACCCAGGACTGAGAGACTCTGTAAATGGTATAAAGCCTAAGGCATTTAGAGCAGGTGATCTTGTTTCACGGGAAGCCAAGTCTTGCTATTACGCATGTAGCAGGCTGTGGAGGCTAAAACTGTGTTAGGATCAAAGCTGAGCTGTTTTGTAGTTGCTTCCCTTTCTTTGCCTACCTGCCACAATTTTTGCCCCAACTGTATTATGCAGTTTGAAGGCTGAGCGCTCCTGACCGCTTAAGGAAAAGGAAATGATCTTTTTTCTTTTTTGGCTTGTTTTAATTGCTGATGATCCAGACTCTAGATTAAATAGGTCATCAAGTCTTCTGCTAAAGAACGAGAGAACAGAGGAACTGGTAGAGAGAAAGAAGGAAGTACTATTGAGGAAGCCAAAAAAGGAGAAAGAAGAATTTTCTCAAAAGAGTAGGAGACCAGAGGAAAGGAGAAGAAGAAAGTGAAGGGAGGGTCACCCCAAGAGCCCTGCCAGCCTGGGAGCTGATGTAGGGTAGTTTACCAAAAAGGAAGAGGACCTGAAGCTCAGTGGAGACAGGTGAATGGAACCAGCAAAGAAGGGTTTCAAGGGACATTGTTTGAGCAACAAGGAGCAGGATGAGACTTGAGTCATTGTCACAGATCTCTCAGCCATAACCAGAGAGAGAACCGCCAGTTCCTGCACCAAATAGAGAGAGAACCGCCTATTCCTGCACCAAATTCATCTACACACTTTGTTTCACTGTGGGCAGCTGGTAAATATGTCACTCCATTAGCAGTGAACACATTGATGCCTGCCAAGCTGGAGAGATGCCCACTCATACCATATAACTTCGAGATGAACCTGTCCCGTGACTCCAGGTTGCTGATACCTACATAATGCTGCAGGACAAAACCTATAAGCTCATAGCAGGGGAATGGGGCTCTGGGCCCAGAGCAGTGGTGACAAGAAAGCTCTGGGCCTCTGTACTTGGTAAGGGAAAGATAACAAGAAATATGGGAGCTGAACTGAACAAGCTCAAACCCTCCTGAGAGGAGACAATGGCTAATGGCACCACTGTTACAAACAGATAGGGACAATCTGGATGGCAGTTGTCTGACAAATCTGACAACATTACTCACCTGCTTAAAACCTGTCAAGGGTTATGCAACGGACTGGAAGCTTGTGACCACCAAAATTTGTAGGCTGACATTCTAACCCCAATGTGATGCTATTTGGAAGTGGGGCCTTTGGGAGGTAATTCGGTTATGAGAGTAGAGCCCTCATGAATGGGATTAGTGCCCTTATAAGAAGAGGCTAAAGACCCAGCTAGCTCTCTTCCCACCACGTGAGGCACAATGGAAGCTGGTAGTCTGCAACCCAGAAGAGGGCTCTCACCAGAGCCCAACTATGCTGGCACCCTGATCTTAGACTTCCAGCCTCTAGAACTGTGAGAAATAAATGTCTTTTGTTTATAAGCCATCCAGTTCATGGTATTTTCCTATAGTCCCCCCAGACTGACTAAGACAAGCTACTTTCCACCTCCAGGGTAAATTCTGAATTTCTTACCCTGGTGTATCAGTCAGGAAAAGTTAGGTTATATTATAGTAACAAATTGCCCCCCCGAAATCCTAGTGTCTTAATACAGCAAAAGTTTATTTCTTGCTCATGACACATATCCAATGCATGTGCTCCACATAATCACTCATGGACCCCAGACTGATGCAGAGGCCACCATATTGAAGTTGCACTTGGAAGACGTGGCTGCCTTGTTCATTACAGTGAGGCAGGAAAGCTAAGGGAGAGCTCACACTCACTCTTTTATGCTTTAGCCCAGAACTAACATGTGTGGCTTTTGCCTATAGCCCATTGGTGAAACTAGTCATGTGGTTCCTCCAACTGCCAAAAGACTAGGAAATGTGGAAAGTAGGTAGATAGATACTTGGTGAACAGTAAATGTCTCCGTCATATGTAGCATTCAAGATCTTTTGAAATCTGCCTCCTGGAGCCCCTCCAGCTTCATTTCCTGCCACTGTCCACCTTCCCAAACTCATAATCCACCACTGGCCACAGGAGTCTTCTCCCAACTCCCCAAGCGTGTCCTTGAACCATCACTCCCCCATATCTTAGCTCACGCTGGTTTCTGAACATATAATGCCCTTTTTCTACCTACTCCAACTGTCAAAATTCTACTTCTCCTTTTAAGCCCAGCTCAAATGCTACCTTCCCCATTTCTTATCCCTGGGGTAAAATGAATTGACCCTTCCTGGTTTGGCCACATCTCTTTTTATATACCCCCATCAACACTTAAGTTCTATGGGACTGACTTCCTGGCATTTTTTTTTTACAGTGCCTGGTACATAGTGGGCACTGAATAAGCATTTGTTGAATAAATGCTTCTAATTTTTCAAATTATACTTGAATTGTTTGTATGTCTTTTGTTTGTTTGTTTGTTTTGGAGACAGAGTTTTGCTCTTGTCGCCCAGGCTGGAGTGCAATGGCATGATCTCGGCTCACTGCAACCTCTGCCTCCCGGGTTCAAGTGATTCTCCTGCCTCAGCCTCCTGAGTAGCTGGGATTACAGGTGTCTGCCACCACACCCGGCTAATTTTTTTGTATTTTTAATAGAGACAGGGTTTCACCACATTGGCCAGGCTGGTCTGGAACTCCTGACCTCAGGTGATCTTCCTGCCTCAGCCTCCCAAAGTGCTGGGATTACAGGTGTGAGCCATCGCGCCTGGCCATTTGTATGTCTTTCTCCACACCCATTCACCTACCCTCAACACCTCCATTGTCCATTACCTACCAGCATCAGCACATTTTTCAATGTTTAGAGGTGATATAACAATATTATTTCTTATATTTAATTTAGAATGATGATTTTAAAAATAATTGCAAATGAGTTGTTTAAAAATGAACATCAGGCTGGGCACGGTAGCTCACGCCTATAATCCTAGCACTTTGGGAGGCCGAGTTGGGTGGATCACTTGAGGCCAGGAGTTCGAAACCAGCCTGGCCAACATGGTGAAACTCTGTCTCAACTAAAAATAAAAAAAATTAAAAATTAAAAATTAGCCAAGTATGGTGACAGGTGCCTATAATCTCAGCTAATTGGGAGGCTGAGGCAGGAGAACCACTTGAACCCGGGAGACGGAGGTTGCAGTGAACTGAGATCATGCCACTGCACTTCAGCCTGGGTGAAGAGTGAGAATCCATCTCAAAAAAAAAAAAAGAACACATCAGCTGTAGGTATGTTATACTTCAGTTCAAAAATTTACTTAAAAAAACAAACAGGGTCGGGTGCAGTGGCTCATGCCTGTAATCTCAGTATGCTGGGATGCCGCGGCAGGAGGATAGCTAGAGCTCAGGAGTTTAAGACCAGTCTGGACAATGTGGCGAAACCCCAACTCTACAAAAAAAAATACAAAAAATTAGTCAGGCATGGTGGCAAGTGCCTGTAGTCCCAGCTACTTGGGAGGCTAAGGTAGGAGCCAGACCTGTCTCAAAGCACACACACACACACACACACACACACACACACACACACCCCAAGCAGGCATGATAAGCAAAAAAGGGAAGGATTGGAGGGGCATGGTGGCTCACACCTGTAACCCCAGCATTTTGGGAGGCCGAGGCAGGTGAATCATGAGGTCGGGAGTTCGAGACCAGCCTGGCCAACATGGTGAAACCCCATCTCTACTAAAAATACAAAAAATAAGCCAGGCGTGGTGGCACATGCCTGTAGTCTCAGCTACTTGGGAGCCTAAGGTAGGAGGATGGCTTGAGCCTGGGAAGTAGAGGTTGCAGTGAGCCAAGATCACACAGCTGCACTACAGCCTGAGTGACAGAGCCAGACCCTATCTCAAAGCACACACACACACACCAAACAGGTGTGATAAGCCAAAAAGGGAAAGATCGGCTGGGCGCCGTGGCTCACGCCTGTAATCTCAGAATTTGGGAGGCCAAGGCGGGCAAATCACAAGGTCAGGAGTTCGAAACCAGCCTGGCCAACATGGTGAAACCCCGTCTCTACTAAAAATACAAAAAATTAGCTGGGTGTAGTGGCAGGCACCTGTAATCCCAGTTACTCAGGAGGCTGAGGCAGGAGATTCACTTGAACCCAGGAGGCGGAGGTTGCAGTGAGCCAAGATTGTGCCACTGCACTCCGGCCTGGGCGACAGAGTGAGACTCCATCTCAAAAAAAAAAAAAAAAAAAAGAGAAGGATCTAGAGAGTAAATTGCACAAAGGCAAAGGTACTTCCAGAAGATATAGTCATTGGTGTGTGAGTTTTGTAACAGCATCTGTAGACAAATGTATGAAAGTACGACCAGAGCTAGCTCAAGCAACAGGGAGCCAAAGGCTAGACTTACATCCCGGCTTCAGGATAAGGTAGCATCATCTCCAAGTTCTATGGGAACCACACAGCCCTCTTTCTTCTCTCATCTGTTTCTCCCTGAGCATAGACGTCATTATTCTCACTCACTAAAAAACCAGCTTTTTTACTTCTCAAGAAACAGCCACTTGAATCATCAGCCAAAGCCACCTAGTTTCCATTTCTTTCAAGAAAGCAGCAGCCATTTTCTTTCCCTAATTTCAAGAACACAGAGAAGGACTCTGATTGGCCCAGCTTGCTCACGTGCCCACCTGGTCCAATCACTGGTGACCAGGGCAGAAAGTCCCCAGGTATACATGTGGCTATTTCTCACCATGACCTTGTTTATTGAGGAATCAGACACCAGAAAACAGGAAGTGGAAAAAAATATTGCTGCCCAAACCAGAAAGGAGAACCAGTCTTGAGAAAGTCGTATCAGAGAGAAAGAATAGATAAATAGAAATATATCCTCTGAAAGGAAGGGATGATAAGGACATGTTATTTGGGAAGGAATTAAGTGGCATGAACCACTTCATGGTTACTTTCTTGCATCTTATTTATTTATTTATTGAGACAGGGTCTCAGGCTGTCGCCCAGGCTGGAATGCAGTGGCACGATCATGGCTCACTGCAGCCTCCACCTCCCAGGCTCAGGTGATCCTCCTGCCTCAGCCTCCCAAGTAGCTTGGACCACAGGCACATGCCACCATGCCTGGCTAAATTTTTGTATTTAAAAAAAAATTTTTTTTTTTGTACAGACCAGGTTTCACCATGTTGCTCAGGTTGGTCTCAAACTCCTGGAGTCAGGTGATCCACTCGCCTCACCCTCCCAGAGTGCTGGGATTACAGGTGTGAGCCACCACGCCCAGTCTCTTGCATCTCCTTAGACATCATCCTGCCTGCACCTCTGTTGCCAAGTCCTATCAAGTCTATCTCCTCAATCTTTTGAAATAAGCCCCTCCTCACCATCTCCCATTGCCTCAGCTCCTATGTTATCATCTTACATCTAGATTGTCACAAAAGTCTCCTAACTGGCCTCAGTGCCCCCAATCTCATCTCGTGCTAATCATCCACTACACGATGGCCTCTAAATGATCTTTCTTAAAAACATAACCCTGTCATTTCCCTGCCTAAAAATCTTCAACAGCCCCCATCACCTTCCAGACCTCTTAGCACAGCCTCCAAGGCCTTCCTTGATCTAGCACCAGCCTCACCTACTCGCCTTCTTTCCCAGACACCAGGGCTTCTCCCCTGCCCACCCCACCAATAATCTATGTTTGTGTGTCTTCTAAGGCATTTGCTCTCTCTGTTCCCTCTGCCTAGGATGCCTTTCCCATTTCCATGACCTCTACCTGGTCGTGTTACTTATCCTTCAAGGCCCAGTTCAATGTCCTCCTTGCCTCTGAATGCCTCCATATTGTATCCATTTTTAGCTTTGGATACACCTGTTCCCCTGCTGTGTTCTTTCAGAGCAGTAACCAGATCTCATGTATTTTCAAACCCCCAGTTTCAAGCCTAGGTCTTGACCCATAGTAAGACTCAATAAATTTATGGAAGGAAGGAGGGACGAGATGGGGAAGGGAGAGGAGGAGAGAAAAAGGAAAGAAGGAAGGCAAGAGAAGGGAAGTGAAGGAAGGGAAGGGAAGAAGGGAGAAGGAGGAAGATGAAAGAGAGGGAGGGAGGATTAAGGAAAGAGACAAGGGCTTGGGTGTGGTGGTGCACACCTGTAATCCCAGCTACTCAGGAGGCTGAGGCAGGAGAATCACTTGAACCTGGGAGGCAGAGGTTGCAGTGAGCCGAGATTGCATCATTGCACTCCAGCCTGGGCAACAGAGTGAGACTCTGACCCCCCTGCTAAAAAAAAAGAGTCAAGGGCTTGAAGTTATAACAATTGTTTTCTTCTTTATGTATCACTGGCTAATGGGGATACTTTACAGCACTTCTCTGAGACTCAGTCTCCTCCTTTATAAAATAACATCTGTCCTATCTAACTCCCTTTGTTGGGATCAAATAAAGGAGAGAATGTGGAAGCACCTTATTCATTTCTATGCAAATACATAGCATAGCATATACATACTCTCCTAATGAACTGAAGACTGCCCCTCTTCATGGATGGCCTTCATTGGTGAGACTCCCTTGCAGTGGCGGGGTGTGGTGGGCACTGGGGGTGGTGGGGTGGGGGGGTGAGGTTGCTTTACCTGGGCTTTATCAGTGACCCATTACCAGAATCTCGTGAGTCAAGTAGGGCTAACATTGGGGTTCATTAGGATCCCAGTGTAACAACTAAGTCAATTTGATTATTTGATTTGGTGATTTGATTATTCTATTTTGGATGCTTTTTGTACTTATTTTAAATCTTGGATGCTCTTTTCCTCCTGATTCAAATGAATGCTACAGAATACCCACAGCTATTGCCTAGATTAGTGATTTAAACTCAAATAAAACATTTTCTACTCACTTCTCTCTCAAGCTTCTGGATCAGTTTAATTGAAAAGTAGCTTAAAAGCCAGACTGACGTTGCAATGGAAGATGAAGAAAAACGATTTCAGTTTGCAACTACTTATGGGTGTGAGTCAGGATGTTCTCAATACTATGTCACTAGAATGGAAGGTGGAAGTCAGAGGCTGCACAGTTGGAAGGCTACAGTTGTTGCGTTGTATTTTTAAGCCTGATGGTGTAAGAATTGGAACAATGTGGGACAAATGCCAGACAGCAGTGTGGCGGGGGCTCCCTTGCGTGGGAGTAGATGGGCCCTTGAGCACTGATATAGCCTTTCTTTCCCTGAGCACCAAGGCCTGAGCACCTCTGGTCTGGCTGGTTCCTGACTATCCATGGGCTGCAATGACCACTGAACTTGAGCAAGCCCCTGTGAGCACCCTGGGGCAGCCGGGAACCGAGTCTTCCTTGCCCCTGCTGGCTGACTTTCCGCAGTCAACCAAAATTCAACCTGCCCAAGGCATCATTCTCAGCAATTTTTGCACCCATTCATGATCTCATGATCTGGCCTGACTCAACTATATAGATGCCTATTGCTCTGTCTGCCTCCCACTTCCCACCTACACGTCTCTGGGAATTGCTCTTCTGCCTACAGGAACACCACAGGAACCACAGGAGCAGCCATATCACACACGCCTTAAACTCTGGCCATGACTCACTTAGGAGTGGGCCCTCCCCACTGGACGGGACAATCTCAGCTTCCGGACCAATCAAGCTCTTCTTCCAGAAGTTTTGGAACTGGGTCTGGAGAAAAAAACCTGTCTCTATCTGAATGGCTGAACTTGGACTTGTGCAAGTTTTCCATGATGTGGGCTGGAAAATGAAGGAAGCTGGTCTGCAATGAGAGGGTGGTGATAGACAGTCATGGTAATGCTGAAGAGCGGCGATGAGAGCTGGAGAAAGGATATGGAGGGACCTGATATTGTGAACTATGTTCTTCATGAGTCTTGGTGGCACTTCTGTCCTAGAATTCTGAATTTCCATAATAAATCTCTAAATTTTGCCTAAACTATGCTAAGGTTTCTATTAGTTGCAACCAAAAAAGTCTCATGAATATACATGGATAAACCCTAGTTTCAATATTTGTGTCCATGATAATTGCCTCATTTTCGCATTAACTAGCTTTATAATTAAGTTAAGAAATTTGAATTCATAGAAATGGAATACCTATCAAATTGGATGCTTTAGGCCTCAAGCTTGCTCTTTCATTCTCACAAAGTGACTGCAGCAGCTCTGAGCATAGCATCCTCAGACAACTATCTTCACATCTCCTTTTTAAAAAAAAAACTTTTTTATTATGGAAAATGTTAAAACCACTCAAATGTAGAAAGAGTAGTATAATGATCCTAATGTGCCCACCACCCAGCTTTTACAATTGCCACTAAATACTCATCCTGAATCATCTACGTGTTCACATACCTTTCCTTTCCCTGCCCTCAGATAATTTTGAGGCAAATCTTAGATATATTATTTCTTCTATAAATATTTCAGAATATATCTCTAAAAGGTACAAGTTCTTTTTAAAAAATACAATACCATTATCACAGTTTAACATATTGACAATCATTTCTGAGTTTCAGTAAATATACTATAACATTTATATTTCTCTGGTTGTCTTTTAAATGCGTTTTTCAAGCTGGGCACGGTGGCACACATCTGTAGTCCTAGCTACTCAAGAGGCTGAGGCAAGAGGGTCACTTGAGCCCAACAGTTCAAGGCTATAGAGAGCCATGATTGCACCTGTGAATAGCCTCTGCACTCCAGCCTGGGCAACTTAGCAAGACCTCGTCTCTTTTTTAAAAAGTGTTTTTCTTTTCACAGTTTACTTGAATTTCAATTATTTTTAGTAGGCATAGCTAGGAGATGTATATTGTTTTCTAAAGATAAAAGGGACAAAGCTCAGTGGTTCATGCCTATAATCCCAATTCTTTGGGAGGCCGAGGCAGGAGCATCGCTTGAGCTCAGGAGTTTGAGACCAGCCTGGGCAACAAAGTGAGACCTTGTCTCTAATAATATGTTTTTAAAAAATTAACTGGGCATGGTGGTGCACACCTGTAGTTCCAGCTACTAGAGGGGCTGAGGCATGAGGATTGCTTGAGCCCAGGAGGTCAAGGCTGCAGTGAGCCCTGATCATGCCACTGCACTCCTGCATGGGTGACAGAGTGAGACCCTGACTCAAAATGAAAGAAAGAAAGAAAGAAAAGGTATAATGCATCCATACTGATACTTCCAATTGAAGTGGAGGACTATAGACTTTTTGCTCAATCTTATCAATCTTAGATTTATATCTCCTATCAACTATGCCAAATATCTTAATTTTTAAGGACATCAACATAATTATTATTTTCATCCTGTAATACACAGCTCTTTTTGCCAGATATAGTCTTCTAGGAGTATAGAATCGAATGATAGTGATTTAAGGTCACTAAAGTCTTCTTTGTGTGGTTACGTCATCAACTGGACACACAGGGTCATTTTAATTTAACATTATTTTTACTTTCTAGGAATTTGATTTTTTCTTAATTTTGCATGTAATTACATAAAATGTTTACATTGTTCCAAAGTTAAATCTACTTTTTTTTTAGAAGCTAGCTTCTAAAGCTATATTTTTAGAAGCCTAGCTTCCATCCCTGTACCTTCCTTTCTATTCTTTCCCTTTTGCTATGGGAATATTTTATTAAATTTTTATAGTTTTTCTCTTATTTGTAGATAAATGATTGCATACTATACATACTTTTCTCTTTTTACTTAAAAATATATCCTGGAGATCACACATAGTAGTGGAGTAATTTCTTGTCCCTTGTAGTAGCTGCATAATACTTCATTTGGGGGATGTACCATCATTTATTCAATTAGTTTTCCATCGATTAAAATTTGAGTTTCCATTTTCTTGCTATTACAAATAGAGCTGCAGTGGCTAGCCTTGCACATGCACCTTTTTATATTTTTGCTACTGCATATTTGTGATAGCTATCTAGAAGTGGGATTACTATACCACTGCCTACCTCTCAGAATGGCTAAAATTAAGAGAAAGAAAACTGACAATGCTAAATGCTGATGAGGTTGTGGAGCAACTGGAACTCTCATACATTACTAGTGGGAATGCAAAATGGTGCAGCCACTTTGGAAAACATTTTGCCAGTCTCTTATAAAATGTAACATGCAATATATTTATAATACGGCCAACAATCCTTTTCCTACATATTTACTCAAGAGACATGAAAACATATTTTCACATTTGTCTGTACCTGAACATTTATAGAAGCTTTATTCATAATCACCAAAAACTAGAAGCAATTCAAGTTTCTTTCATCTGATGAATACATTGTGATACATCTATTTAATCTAATTGCTACCCAATGATAAAAAGGAACAAACTTCTGACCCACTACAACATGGATGAATTTCAAATGCACTGTGCTAAGGGAAAGAAGCCAGATTTAAAAAGCTACATATGCTATGATTCCATTTATACATTCTCAAAAAGACAATATTACAGGGACAGAGAACAGACCAGTGGTTGCCAGGGGCTAAGCCAAGGGGGTGGTTTGGCTACTAAGGGGCAACATAAATTAATTTCTTGGGGTGATGAAACTGGTCTACATTTTGATTGTGATATAATTACACAACTATATGTGCTGGTCAAAACTCATACAATTGTGCACTAAAAATATGGCTAGGTGCAGTGGCTCACACCTGTAATCCCAGCACTTTGGGAGGCCAAGATGGGTGGATCACCTGAGGTCAGGAGTTCAAGACCAGCCCGGCCAACCTGGTGAAACCCTGTTTCTTCTAAAAATACAAAAATTAACTGGGCGTGGTGGTGCACACCTGTAATCCCAGCTACTCGGGAGGCTGAGGCAGGAGAATCTCTTGAACCCAGGAGGCAGAGGTTACAGTGAGCCAAGATCGTGCCATTGCACTCCAGCCTGGGCAACAAGAGCAAAACGCTGCTCCCACCCCCCTCAAAAATGAATTTTACTATATGTACATTATACCTCAATAACCCTGACCTTGAAAAAAATAAATGTACAAGTAATTTTGCTAGTTAGTACCAAAATTCCCTCTGTGGTAGGCTAATTAATGGCCCCTACAGATAACCAGATCCTAATTCCTGGAACTTTGGGATGTTAGCTTATATGGCAAAAGGGATTTTGCAGATGTGATTAAGAATCTTAAGATGGGGAGAATGTCCTGAATTATCGAAGTGATCTCTAAATGTAATCGTAAGTTTCCTTATAAAGGATAGGCAGAAGGAGATTTTACCATGGAGGAGAAGGCAGTATGAAGACAGAACAGAGATCCGAAGATGCTACGTGGCTGGCCTTGAAGATGAAGGAAGGAACCATGTGCCAAGGAATGCAAGGAACGAAACTCTAGAAGCCAGAAAAGGCAGGGAAGTGGATTCTCCCTGGAGCCTTCAGAGGGAGCACAGCCCTGCCAACACCTTCATTCTAGCCCAGGGAGACTGCTGAACTCCAGAACTTTAAGAGAATAAATTGTGTTGTGTTAAGTTACCAAGTTTGTGGTAATTTGTTACAGCAGTGATAGGAAACTAATGTACCCTCCATAGGGGTTGTGCTGTTTTATGTTCCTGCCAGAGATGTAGGTACATCACCCTTTCCTTAAGGATGAGGAAAATTTACGCAGAAGCCCAGGAGCAGGCAGGGTTTCTATAGGAAAATTTTCCTCTTTCTTAAGGAAAAGATGACATGCCTTACATCCCCTGTTATCTCATAGGCCAGAATTGCATCACATGCCCATTTCTAAACCAATCACTGGCCAAAGTAATCAGGCTTCCTCCTGCCCCTTGTCCTGAGGCTGCACCATTCTCTCCTGAGCCACTCAGCTGTCTGATCCTGAACAATTATCAGAGCTGCGCTGTCAAGGAATGAAAAGGGCATAGCTTTGGTTTGGCAACCAACAGTCCCTACCTCAAAACTTATTTGCAGAAAAAGAAATTTCTCAATTTAACATATATTTTATAAAAGTTAAAAACCTTGGACCAGACTCTCTAAGGAACCATCCACTGTGGTCTCCAGGCCATGGCTTTCCCCTGTCTAGCCCCATTTGGTTCGTTACTCCTCTATCCCCCTTTTTCCAGAGGACAGCAGGCCCAGCCGAACTCTGTGAGTCACCAAGGTTAAATGAGGCCTTATGATGAATACACAAGCCATCTTCCAGAAAAATCTCTCCCTTGCAAGTACTGATTCAAGCCGTATTAAGGGAATCTTTTCTGTTTCCTCCCTGTTTTAGCTTTTCTCTGACATGTTATCCTAGATTTTAAAGCTGCAAAGGCCCTTAGAGTAATAATAATGATGGTAATTATGATAGTTAATTATTTACAATGCTCATTTATTGAGCTTTTACTAGGTTCCAGGCACTTAGTATTTATTATCCCATTTAACTCTCAAGTCTTCCTGAAGATTGATGAGGTAGGTATCATCCCTTTGAGAAATACTAATAGATATAATAATAGAGATTATTATCATGCCTGTCTGATGGATTTTGGAACCCAAGAAAAGAAATAATAAGTTGTCCAAAGTAATTGCTGGCACTACATTTTGAACCAAGATCTGTAGAGACCCAAAGTTCATGCTGTCAAACACCCTGAAGTCCAAAACCTTTCACTCTACAGATGACAACACAGGGGTGTGGGGTTGGAGACAGAGGGGAGGCCATAAGCATTTTGCTCAGTTCCATAACCAGAGAGTGAGCCCTCACTTACTGAGCAGCAAACAGCTTGCATTAGCTTTTTTCTCTCCTTCACAGGAATCAAATATTTACAAATCATGATGTATCCGAGTTTAATAAGAGGTGTTTATCTTCTTGCAGAGCAATGGACTCCTTTTGCATTGTGATTTTTCCTATTTATCTGGCATCATGGAAGAATAAAAATAGCAACTATAGCATGAAACGTGCTTTACAGTTTATAAGACACTTCCAAATACTTTCTCTCACATGATCATTGCTACAGCTCTGTTAAGCAGAAAGATAGGATTATCCCTCTTCACAAGAGAAAAAACTAAGGCCCGAAGAGGTTACATTACCTGCCCCAAGGTCTCACAGATCATTAAATGACAGAACCAAAAATCAAAACCTGTGGGGAAGTTTTTTGGCTGAGGATATGACATCCACGGACAGGGACTCTTCCTATGAGTTTTAGACTCATATTTTCAAGTTAAAAGACCTAATTAGGATTTTGATTGGCTCAGATTTGATTTTGTTTGTTTGCTCACCTGAAATCTTTCAGTGAATTAATCCATTTACCTAGGGAGAAATTACATCTTTATTATCCCAAGTTTTTCTACCCTTTGTCTTTTACGCCTCCAAGGAGAATCTGATGTTTTCTCTTAATAGATGCCCTTTGCACTTCTTTCCGAGTTTATTCTTTTACAAGCTGCCTTTGTAGCTAAGTTGAATAACATCTTTGGTTCTTTTATGCTTTCTTTCTAATTGATCTGTATGGCATTATTTTTATTTCCAGTTAGTAACTTGATACTTGGTTGAAGTTTCCTGTTTCCAAGAGCTTTTCAGTTGATTCCCTTGTTTTCAAGATGGAATTATACCATCTGCAAATATTTAAAAAAGCCAAACAAAACCTGCTCTCCTGATTTCACCAAGAGTGCTCTTTTTAACACATGACACTGCATTTCCCCACAACTCTGCGTTTTCCAGATGACTAAAATGGCTCCTTTAAGTGCCATAACATTTAGAAACACAGCTGCAGAGCAGAAGTCTTTCTTAAACAAAGTACAATGTGTAGCAAACTCCTGCGGTTTCACCTGCACATCACATGCCTCCCCCATCTTTAGTGGCCGCCCCTCACTTTCTTTTGGAGAACTGCCCCTCCTCTACCCCATGAGGCCCTAGCAGGATTGTCCGTCACTTGATCCCACTCACAAGCCCCAAACAGGTCCTGGTTCCACCACAAGCTAACCCAACTGACTCTTCCAAGAATTTGTATCTTGAGAAAAAGGATACTTGGCCAGAAGGATATTGACGCAGAATCATCTGGAAAGCAGGCCCTAAAGAGATGTCCAGGAATTTTTGCCTCTCCCGAGGCCTGATTGTTGAAGTTCTCTTTTGGTTCCAGGAGCCACCCAATATACTTCCAGTACATTCTCTTTCTTTGCTTAGGTTTGCTTCTGTTACAGAGCATATAGATATCAGCACCCAAGAGCTGATTGCAGACAGCAGACTTTGTTATGAGTTGAATTGTTATGAGTTGAATCCCCAACCCCTACACAAAACAGTGTTGAAGTCCTGTCCTCTAGGATGTCTGAATGCAACCTTAATTGGAAATAGGGTCTTTACAGAAATAATCAAGTTAAAATGAGGTAATCAGGCTAGGCCCTAATAGTAATATAATGTGACTGATGTCACTTAAAAAGGGGAATTTGGACACAGAAACAGACAAATACAGAGGGAAGACAATGTGCAGACACACAGGGAAAATGCTATGTCAAGATGATGGCGCTGCAGGCGATGTGTGGGGTTATGAATGGGCCACACCCAAACTACCCAAGCCCGCTGGTGGTGGGAGCTCAGGAGCAGGTGCTGGCAGTTAGTTGGAACTACCTCTCCCAGCCTTGCCTTACATACATCACAGTATCAAGAGTCCATGGTCTACTAGTGATCTTAGATCACGTTAAGTTTCCCATAGACGCTGATATTGTCCACTGGACATTACTAGATGGCACAGAGACATGGGCAAGTTCTAGAAGTTGGTGGCTCCAAGGCAGTGGTTCAGGTATTTCAAGGGACTGGGGATATTCTCCAAACATCAGTGTCTGAGGATATGCTTTGTTGGGTATTAGTTGGATCGGGAAAAACCCATTGACAGAGGTCCTCTTGTACTGGCTGAAGATTTCTTTGATATCATGCGATGGCCAACCAATCCTCAACGTCAAATCTACCCAGAGGACATGATTCGGACCAGCATTTCAGCCATAGTTGGTATGAACAGTATTGCCGGGGCAGAAAATTTTTATCTTCTCTGCTGCTGGGTTACTACACAAAGATTGCAGCTCAAATCTGCCACCAGACTGGTTTGCTAAATGAATCCAAAGACGTAGACTACACTGAGGAAAATTTTCCAATTGTATTTGCTGCTAAGGATGTAAACATGGAAACTGCCTGGTTCTTCAAATCTGGTTTTGAAGAAAATGGCTCAATGGACAACATCTGCCTGTTTTTGAACTTGGCTAATGACCCAACTATTGGGTGGATTGCCATCCCTCACCCGGTTCTAACCACAGCCGAATTTCTGGCATACCAATATGAGAAACATGTATTGGTTATCCTAACAGATATGAGTTCATCTACTGAAGCACTTCAAGAGGTTTCTACAGCCAGAGAAGAGATTCCTGGTTGATGAGGCTTCACAGGTTACACTTATACAGACTTAGCCACTATATATGAACATGCAGGTCGAGGAGAAGGTAGAAATGGCTCAATTACTCAAATTCCTACTCTTACCATGCCTGCCAACGATATCATTCACCCATCTCTGAACTGACTGGGACAGATCTATGTGGACAGACAGCTACACAAGAGAGAGATTTACCCACCTATCAATGTGCTGCCTGAACTATCACTGTTCATGAAGTCTGCTATTGGAGAAGGGATGACCAGGAAGAATCATGCAGATGTATGTAACCAGCTGTAGGCAAGCTATTGGGAAGGATGTACAAGCCATGATTGCTGTAGTTGGAGAAGAAGCCCTTAGCTCAGATGATCTTCTTGACTTGGAATTTCTGCAGAAGTTTGAGAGGAACTTTATTTTTCAGGGTCCTCATGAAAATCACACTGTCTATGAGACTTTGGATACTGGTTGGCAACTGTTCCTAATCTTCCCCAAAGATATGCTGAAGAGCACCTGTACTGGTCAGGTTCTCCAGAGGGAGAGAATTAATAGGATAGATATCTACATAAAGGGGAATTTATTAAGGAGTATTGATTCACACGCTCACAAAGTATAGTCCCACAATAAGCCGTCTGCAAGCTGAGGAGCAAGGAAGCCAGTCCAAGTCCCAAAACCTCAAAAGTAAGGAAGCTGACAGTGAAGCTTTTAGTCTGTGGTCGAAGGACCAAGAGTCCCAAAGCTGAAGAACCTGGAGTCTGATGTTGAAGGCCAGGAAGCATCCAGAATGGGAGAAAAATGCAGGCTGGAAGACTAAGCCAGTCTAGTCCTTCTACATTCCTCTGCCTGCTTTTATCCCAGCCACATTGGCAGCTGATTAGATTGTGCCCACCCAGATTGAGGGTGGGTCTCCCCTCCCAGTCCAACTCAAATGTTAACATCCTTTGGCAACAACCTCACAGACACACCCAGGAACAATACTTTGCATCCTTCGATCCAATCAAGTTGACACTAAGTATTAACCATCACAGCAGCAAAGTAAATTTTACCCTTGAGACTCTGCAAAGCACTGGCTGCTGTTTCATCACTGCTTAATATACTTGTGAAATGCTGGTTCTGTTTTCTTTATTCCTTTAGCACTCCCCTAGCCTCATCTTTGTGTTGGAGTTTACCGTGTTAACCTATAATTAAAAACAAAGAATACGTAACATATTGTTCCAGTGTTGAATGCTTTAAACTGCTAACAGACTTCAAACTATTCCCTATTCAGAAAACCTGGGTCTTCAGTGCTTTGCTAAAAGTAGCTGCAGGGATGCAGGTGACGTTTTCTTATTGATGTTTGCATTGTACACAGTGATATAGTTAGTTACCTAATAATGTCCTCATTATCTGGGTCTCTTGGACTTTACCTCTCAACCTCCTCAAGAGTATCAGCCTCTGAGTTATAATGCTTTGGTCTCTAAATTAAAGGGGCAAGATCAGGTCTAAAAGATGACTCCTTTCAAAAGAGCCAAGATGCTCTTTCTTGAGCATTTTCTTTTGGGTTGTTGATGTGCCTGTGGTTCTGTGCTGCTGCTCTAAGCAAATAGTTTCTTTGGTTGCTTGGTTGGTTGGTTTTGTTTGTTTGTTTGTTTTTGAGGCAGAGTCTTGCTCTGTCGCTCAGGCTGGAGTACCGTGGTGTGAGCACAGCTGCTCCCAGGCTCAAGCAATCCTCCTACTTCAGTCTCCCAAGTAGCTGGGACTACAGGCATGTGCTACTCACATGCAGTTAATTTTTTAATTCTTTTTGTAGAGACAGGGTCTCACTATGTTGCCTAAGCTGGTCTTGAACCCCTGGGCTCAAGTGATCCTCCCTCCTCGGCCTCCCAAAGTGTTGTGATTACAGGCATGAGACATCACCCCTAGCCTAGCAGATGATTTTGACTGCCTACTTGCTCTTTCTTATACAATAAATAGATGAGCAAAAGAAATTTCCTTTTCCTGTTTATTACATATGCATTGAGATTCCTGTGTCTTACAGCTCTCCCTCTCTGAGCAACACACAAAATCCTGCAACTTTTGCACAGCTGATATTTATCTGATAGCAGTGAAAAGCCTTGTCTTTGGTGACCTTTACTGAGTTTCCATGCAGAAGAATCACATGACTAAAATCATTAATAGAGTGGTTGCTTGGGGTACAACAAAAGAAGAAAGAAAAACCTATAGCCATTCTACATTCTGACATGTGAACAGTGGTTTAAGTTTCTAAAGTGTTTACCAGATGCTGAAGGCAAGGTGAGAAGCAAAGGCTCTCATGTTTGTGGATATTTTAATCTCTGTTAGGAAGCAGCCTTTGGAAAATCCCTGATTTGGTTCTGCTTTCGGACCTACCTCTGCCTTTTCAGGGTAATGTTGTGGCACAGGTGGTGGCACTTAGAAGTTTTGGAGTTTTATTCCTGCTCCTTCCTGATGCAAGCCCTGAGCTGTCTTCTATGCAGTTGTGCCTTATTGACTGTTTGGTCTCTCTGTTCTTTGTTACTCAGGTGCAATAGCAACTTCCCTACTCCATGCATTCTACCTTTCAAATTGTGTAAATTTCTTTTCTTTTTTTCTCTTAGGGTGTAGGGTACGGGGGAAGTCAGTATAATTTTAATGTAGAAAATGTGATATTTGGATATAAATGAAAATACATGTTGGCCGGGCATGGTGGCTCATGCCTGTAATCCAGGCACTTTGGGAGGCTGAGGCGGGCAGATCACGAGGTCAGGAGTTCGAGACCAGCCAACGTGGTGAAACCCTGTCTCTATTAAAAATACAAAAATTTGCCGGCCGTGGTAGCGTGTATCAGTAGTCCCAGCTACTTGGGAGGCTGAGGCAGGAGAATTGCTTGAACCCAGAAGGTGGAGGCTGCAGTAAGCCGAGATCGCACCACTGCACTCCAGCCTAGGCAACACAGCAAGACTCTGTCTTGGGGAAAAAACAAACAAACAAACAACAATAACAACAACATGTTAAATAATGGAAAAAGAAAAAAAAGAGAGAATTAGAGTGAGGCAGCCACAAACCAAGAAACACCTGTGGCTGCCAGGTGCTAGGAGTGCGGTCTGGAGAACAGCTCCTTCCATTGCCTCTTCAGAGGGAATGTGGTCCTGTGGACACCTTGATTTCAGATTTCAGGCATCCAGAGTGTGAGACAATACATTTCTGTTGTTTTAAGCCACCCAGTTCATGATACTTTGTTATGGCAGTCCTAGAAAACTCATTCAGACCCTCAAGGAAATAAGAGCTATTTGGAATATGTGGCCGAGACTGCTAGGTGTTCACCAAAAGGCTTTCCATTCTACTTTTTTGCCTAAGTATAATAGGAGCCAGGCACATGGCTGTCCCCCTAGACTGTCTTTGCCAGCCTTGCTTGTGTTTAGGGTGGCCAGGTGCCTGAATTCTCACCAGGGGAATGAAGTGGGAGTCACGTGTCATTTCCGGGCCTGGGTTCTAAGATAACCAGCAAGCTTTCTCCACTGTCTTCTTTCCCACCAGCCAGAACCCAGCTGCACCGATGCAGAAGAGAACACTGCCCTGGGGAAGAATGAGCGACAAAGAACCAAAGCTGCCCTTCTGCTCTGGGCCACTCACCTCAAGGGGAAATAGGCTACTCTAGTTTGCCTTTTTATTACAGGAGCTTAGCTTTTCCTCCAAGTGATCCATGATTCTTGAGCTGGACAGGGAGAGAGGCACTGAGAATCCTAATTGTCTTCCAGAATAGGAACGACCAGCCCTTGGAAGACAGTGGCTAAGCACATAATCTCTTTGGGTAATCTGGGACTTTGGACAAGCTGAAGCTAAAATTCTCAGCCACCTAAAAGGGAGATGAAAGATGTGGAAACCAGTAGGGTGGCTGCTTCTGAAAGCATCAGGTATCTTGATTTAGGATAAGGACAAGCTCACGTCTTGAGATGTTTGCCACAAGGCACAAAGTGAAACTCACGACTTTTCTCTGGCCAGATGGAAACTGTTCACTGGGGCCATGGGTGCGAGATTGCTAAAGCCAAACTCGGATTCGGGGAGTTGCTGAATTTCAGTGACAGCCAACGGCATGACTTTGCCAGGTTTCCTTTAGGAAAGGATGGTGATATCTGGGGCTTGCGAGAGAACTTGGAGAATTCCTACCCACTAACCATCTTGGTCTGCAGCCTTTCCTCTGCGCCTCCCTCTCATGGAGAAGGAAGGAAGCTAACACTCTTCCTTCTGCCCCACACCTCCCTGTTTCTCAGCTGGGAACTAACTCCATCTGGAACAGCCAAATTGTTCTCATGGCAATGTCCTACATTTATTTATTTAACTATTTAATTTATTTGTTTAGAGACGGGGTCTCACACTGTTGCTCAGTCTAGTGTATGGTGATGCAATCATAGCTCACTGCAGACTTTAACTCCTGGGCTTAAGCGATCTTCCAGCCTTGGCCTCCCAAAGTGCTCGGATTACAGGTATGAGGCACCATGCCCAACCCTACATTTATTTTTTATCTGGATTTGCTTTCCCTGCCCTTCGTGCCTCCACCAGCACCACAGCCTGAGGGCTTATAGAAGCTTTTACCTAGTCATCGTATGTCACACGATGCTCCCTCTTATCAAGGAATTCACTTCATGGCAAAAGTGGCAGTGACTTAAGGCCTGTGGGATTCACTCTTCACCTAACAGACCCCACCCATGACCCAGGAGCAGCTGGCTCCTATAGCACAGTAGAATGGCCTTGTGGAGGCTCACAGTGCCCATGGGGAGATAACTGCTTGCTCCCCTCCGGAAGGGATCGGTGCTGTGAGTCAGCATCCCATATGTGATGCCATTTCCTGTGTCTCTCTATTACTTTTCAAGATGTAGCAGTGAGGCAGGCACTGCAAAGTGTCTCCCAATAGCCTTTCTTACTAGAAGTAGTAGAATTTAGAGCTGGGTGCATGGCCACCCAAAATCAAGATACCATTTTCCAGTCTCCCTTGCAGCTAGGCACGGCCGTGAGATACATATTAACCAATGGAATACAAGAAGAAGCCACATGTGGTGGCTTTAAATAACCTTCTACAGGAGAAAGCACCCTTTGTGTTTGCATCCCTTCCTCTGTCCTATTGCCTGAAGTGTCATCTTGACCCACGAGGCTTAGGTCATGCATTGCATAAAAAAAGCATAAAGAACCAGGGTCCCTGACATCTTAGAGCACTATTCCAGTCTGGATCACTTACCCAGACTTTTGTGAGAGAAAGAAACTTTCGATTTGTTCAAGGCATTATTGTCTGGGGTTTTCTGTTGCTCAGTGAAGGCAAACTGAATTCCAATCGAAACAATTGCTTCAGGAACGAAGGGGTGGAATTGCTCAAGGTGACACCTAACATCTGCTCTCCAAATGTTAGACTTCCTGTCCTGAGACTCTAGGCCTTGCTAGCTATAGGTTTTAGGGTCTCTTTTGGCTATCTGTTGCTGTACAACAAACCACTCCAAAACTTTGTGGCTTTAAATAGTAAAATATTGTTATCTCTCATGGTTCTATGAGTTGGCTGGGCTCAGCTCAGTGGTTCTTGCTTGGAGTCTCTTACGAGGTTGCAGCCAGTTGCTAGGTGGGGTTGGAACCATCTGAAGGTTTAACTGGACTGGACATCAAAGATGGCATCTTTATTTGACCTCCTGTGCCTCAGTGGTCTTATTCTGTGTGCCTGGCAGAATAGCCTGGATATTTATTTATTTATTTATTTATTTAGATGGAGTCTCGCTCTGTCACCCAGGCTAGAGTGCAGTGGCGTGATCTCAGCTCACTGCAACCTCCACCTCCTGGGTTCAAGAGATTCTCCTGCCTCAGCCTCCTGAATAGCTGGGATTACAGGTGCATGCTACCACGCCCGACTAATTTTTTGTATTTTTAGTAGAGACGGGGTTTCACCATGTTAATCAGGCTGGTCTTGAACTCCTGACCTTGTGATCCACCTGCCTCAGTCTCCCTAAGTATTGGGATTACAGGCATGAGCCACCGCGCCTGGCTTGCCTGGACTTCTTATGTGGCAGCTCTGGGCTCCAAGAGGGAGGAAGAGGAGGTTGTTAGTCTTATTAAAGGCCTACCTCAGAGCTGACAGAGAGCATCACTTCTACCACATATTGTTGGTTAAGCAGTCTCAGGCCAACCCAGTATTCAAGGGCTGAGGAAACACATTTCACCTCTCAACAGAGAAGTGATAGGGAATTTGTAGCCGTCTTTAATCCACCACAAAGCCCAAGGGATGAAAACTTCTATCAGGGGACTCAACAATGGTTCCTCTGAATTGTAAGCTGAGAGTGCCATCGAGCCACTTTGTCTCCTCAGCCACAAAGCAAACATCAAGGAAAGCGGAGGTTCTTGAAAGGAAGTACCCATGAGTCTCTACTTCTATGATCCATGGAGTTTTGGTTTCCGGCCTGCCTGAGACCTAACTGTTGCCTTTCCTTTGGCAGAGTTCTTCCAATCAATTTCACAAACACAAATACTTTTTATTTTCTTGGCTCAGGATAGCAAGATTGAATAAGCTCCATAGATCTGCTGTACAATATTACATCTATAGTCGATGATACCATATCGTACACTTGAAAATTTGTTAAATGGGTAGTCCTCATGTTACGTGTTCTAATCACAATAAAATATATTTTTTAAAAAGGTTGCAAAATTGGAGTCTGCCCCTTAACTGATACGTTCATCCCTATCATGCATACACACATGGCTTTTTACTTATGTAACTCTGCCAAGAGTGCCTGAGGCTGTGAAAAAGGGATAACTGACTAACCAGCCCCACCAGATAAATCAGAAGCCTGGCTTTAATCTATACAGACTAATAATTTTTGCAATCATAGTGAGGGCCCTAAGGTGTCAAGAAGATTTTCAATCACATTTCCTAGATTTCCTCATTACATAAATGTTTCCTAAGATCCCACCAGATGCCACACCCTGTGCTCAGCACTGGACAGTCATGAAGCAGGTCCAGTCCCTGACCTCAAGGAAAACCAGTCTACATTGTACCACATTATAACAAGTTAGGTTTGGGATTATCAAATCTTCTGGTCTCTCCCATCACTTCCTCCCATATTAATCTGGAATAGCTGCAAATGCTTTTATATACATATATATATTTGAGACAGAGTCTCGCTCTGTCACCCAGGCTGGAGTGCAGTGGCATAATCTCAGTTCACTTCAACCTCCGCCTCCTGGGTTCAGGCAATTCTCCTGCCTCAGATTCCCAAGTAGCTGGATTTACAGGCACCCGCCACCATGACTGGCTAATTTTTATATTTTTAGTAGACACGGGGTTTCACCATGTAGGCCAGGCTGGTCTCAAACTCCTGAGACCGCTTTGGCACCCCAAAGTGCTGGGATTACAGGTGTGAGCTACTGCACCTGGCCTGCTTTTATATTTTTAAGATTAAAATTTTTTCCCATCTTTCCCTTCTCTCTCTCTTTTTCATGATTCCCCATCTTTAAAACAATAGAAGCCTGCCTGCTACATCACCACGAGAGCTCATACTGTAGGACTCTGTGGTCACTCTGTTGAAAATTTGCAGCACTTTCTCTTCCCTCTTCCCAGCTCTCAGTTGAATTGGCTGGAGTTCTGATACCCACTGACATTACTGTTATTTTGTTTTTTGTTTTTTCTTCTTCTTCTTCAAAATCATGTCTGAAGTTAATTACAGCTTCAAAGGGCTTTTCTGGTCAGTTTCTTCAGTTGAGGCAGTTGGTTCTGGGCTGGCTCGGTCTCCGCTACCTTCACCCAGTTCTTATTTGAAGTGTAGAGTCCTTGGTAGATAATATTAACCTAAGGCTTTCACGAGTTATCAAAGATAGAGAAGAAGGAAATCCTTTACAAGGATAGAAAAGAAGAAAAAGAAATCCAAAGTCACCTGCTTTCCTCCCAATGACATTTTCCATGGAAGGAATGCCGTTTGCTGATGAGAGTACTCTTCCACCTTCACAAGGCTCTGCAGCATTGTGGAGCGTTTTTCACAGCGAGCTCTTCTTTCTCCTTCTAAACAGTGTGACCTATGGAAAAGGACAAACATGGAGGTCAGAGAGTGCCTGATGGAATCCCAGCTTTGCTTCTCGTTGGCCCTGGACTGCCAATTGATCATGTACTAAAGGAGGAGTATAGCGATGCTTACCCTTTGGTTTTAGCGTTAGGAATGTGATTACCCTGCACGTAGTAGGTGCTCATGAAATCCATTGAGTGATGCTGTGAAGTTTGCAGTGAAGAGATTATGAACCCTGATTTACGTGTGAATAAAATGAAGTTCACGAGAGTGGGAGTAGGACTTATCCTAGGTCACAGAGGGTGGGCGAGGGTCTTTAAGAATCTAAATCTATTGTTTTTTCTATCACATTAACCCACTGAATAACAGGATTTTCTCAGATTTTAATAATAATAATAGCAACGGCACTGATGGTAAAGGTAGCTTTTGTCTATTGAGCATCAGCATGTGCCAGACATTACACTAGGCACTTTCTATGAATGAACCCATTTAACTATGAGGTGGGTATGATTACCCCATTTTACCGATGGAAAAAGTCTGGGATTCAACAAGGTGAAGTAACTTACCCAGAGACACACAAGGGCTGAATCTGCTTGAGTCTTAAAGGAGACCTTGGTTCTTCCTTACTCCAAAACCCAGGCTCTTATCCCCCACATTGCAACTTCCTCAATAAATAAAATATCTTTGAAATGTGTTACTAATTGTGTAAGTTCAAAGATACCATCCAGATGTCTCCATCTTATTAGGCAAGCTCTGTGCGCAGACAGCTAACGATTTAGCTACATCTCTTCATGAGGTCCTTTCTGCACTATAGGATTGTCTGGCCTTCCAGTTTAGCTACTTTCCTAAAAATTTGGAATTGAACGTCCTGAGCTTGAGCAGGATCTCCCAAACATTGTGAGAAAGCAAGCCGTTTTCTCTCTCTGAGCCTCCTTTTCCTCCTCCATAAAATAAGGGTAAAATTTGAGCCTGGAATATCTGGTACCAGAAAACAAAGAAGGTTCAAAGCTATTGGAGCCACATCAAAGCACACAGCAGCCAGCTCAAACAAGCAGCTCACACTGGACAAACATGAGACAATTTGAATATCAAAATGAAAAGTGATCAGAAAGGATTTCTACACACTGAATTAAAAAATATCCCTCTACTCAAAGGATTTCTACACATTGAATCAAAAAGGATTTCTACACATTGAATTTATACAGTCCATGAGTGTATAAAAAAAGAATCCATGAGTATATAGTGATATTCTAACCAAAAAGAAAAAGTGTAGATGAAATTAGAAAAACACTATTTTGCAACCATGATAGAAATAATTGATTCAGGTAAAATTATCAGTGAATGCTAAAACACTGGGTGAGAAGTTGTTGGATCCACATAGTCTCAAAGTGTCTCCCCAGAAATTACTTATTAATTACAAAGATAAATAGGTAACTTTACAATGAAGATTTCTGATAACCACCACTTTAACCAACTGATAAAACTTAGCATCCCCAGTAATGAGACAAGCTGACAACATGTGTGACACCCTGGAAAGACACAGAATCACCTGAATAGCATTTTGGCCCAAAAATGTATAACTTAATCTTATAATGACAAACCTAAATTGTGGAACATTTATAAAACAACTGGCTTGGATTTCTCAAAATTTCATTATGAGGCCGGGCGTGGTGGCTCAGTCTGTAATCCCAGCACTTTGGGAAGCTGAGGCGGGTGGATCACCTGAGGTCAGAAGTTTGAGACCAGCCTGGCCAACATGGCGAAACCCCAACTCTACTAAAAATACAAAATTAGCCGGGTGTGGTGGCGCATGCCTGCAGTCCCAGCTGCTCAGGAGGCTGAGGCAGGAGAATCACTTGAACCCAGGAGGTGGAGGTTGCAGTGAGCTGAGACTGCGCCACTGTACTCCAGCCTGGGCGACAGCGCAAGACTGTCTCAAAAATAATAATAATAATAAAATTTTTAATTTCATTATGAAAGACTGAAGACAAAGTAGGGGGAGGGAACTGTTCCAGGTTAATGGAGACTTGAGAGTTATGAGAATTATGTGCTCTCTATACTACTGGACGAAAATTAAAAAGCTATAAAGGATATATCAGGCCAACAGGAGAATGCAAACATGGTCTGCTCTTAGACACTACTTTTGTGTCTTATGTTTATTGATCGTGACAATGGCATCATGATTATGTAGAAAGCGGCCTTCCTCTTAGGAGATATTTGCTAAAGATATTAGAAGCGAAGAGTCTTAATATCAGCAACTTTCAAATGGTTCAGGAAGAGAGAGAGAAACAGAGCGAGCATGTGTGTATGTGTGCATGTGTGTCTGTGTGTACATACATGCACACAGAGATTTAAAAACTGTGGCAAAATTACTGAATCTAGATGAAGGATGTGTGTGTACTGTTCTTTCAACTTGTCTGTTTATCTGAATTTTTTTAAAATAAAGGGCTAAGGGCCGGGCACAGTGGCTCTTGCCTGTAATCCCAGCACTTTGGGAGACTGAGGCAGGCAGATCACTTGAGTCCAGGAGTTTGAGACCAGCCTGGGCAAAATGGTGAAACCCCATCTCTACAAAAATTATCCGGGTATGGTGGCACACACCTGTAGTCCCAGCTACCTGGGAGGCTGAGGTGGGAGGATCTCTTGAGCTTGGGAGGCAGAGGTTGCAGTGAGCCAAGATCACACCACTGCACTCCAGTCTGGGTAACAAAGCAAGACCCTATCTCAAAAAAAAAAAAAAAAAAAAAAAAAAATATATATATATATATATATATGTTAATCAATGAGATTCTATACTTAATGTGTCTATGTGTCTAGCACACAGTAGATGCTCAACAAAACATAGAACTGGGGGGTAACAGTTATCCAAGATCAAATAAGTAAATATTTGCAAAGTATCGTTTATGATTCATTCAACAAATGTGCTCTCTGCAGCACCTCGGGTGTGCAGGGTCTGTGCTAGGAGCTGGGGACAGAAGGAGGAGGAAGGCATGCTTCCTAAGATAATGGAGGTAGACATTTGAGTAGGTAATTACAACACAGGATAAATATCAGAGATGGGAAAGTGAGCCTTGGCAAAGGAGAGTGAGTGACTGCACCACCGTTAAGATCAAGAACTTGCGGCTGGGTGTCCACTTCCTGGTTGCAGTGGTGCAGCAGCCAGCAGGCTGCACTTGAAATTCTGGGTGCACTAACTAGCCCCCATATGGACCAGGTCACCCCAGAAGTAGTGCATTCCTGGCCCCGGGATGTCCAGGCTGAAGCTGGGATGAATCCATGTGGGGTGCTGGAGCCAGAATTCCTAAGCTGGGAGTGCTGAGCCTGAGTGGCAACTGCCCTGCCCAGGCTCCAGCCACACTGGCCTTTGCTTGGTATCCCCAGGTATTAAATATAGAAAAAAAACCCAAAAAACCGAAGTGTGTATCTATTCTCATGTACCGCTCAACACAACAGTCTGACACCAATGTGAGGGTGTATTTCCCCTCACACCAAGCAGTTCTCCAGGGGACATCTGCTAGGTGTCCTCTTACTGAATTCAATTCTAATACTATCTATCTAAAGATTGTGTTGGATTCCACAGGTGAAGGGCTCAGTCCCACAAGACTGTTTCCCACTTCAGATACACATTGCAAGTAGTAGGTTATCATCTACACTTCTGACCAATGAGCTATAAATCGAGGCTCCCACTACCACCTACTTGGGTCCAATTAATTTGCTAGTGAGGCTCACAGAACTCAGGGAAACACGTTTACCAGTGTCTTCTCTCTCTCTCTTTTTTTTTTTTTAGATGGAGTCTCGCTCTGTTGCCTAGGCTGGAGGGCAGTGGCGCCACCTCGGCTCACTGCAACCTCCGCCTCCTGGGTTCAAGCAATCCTCCTGTTTCAGCCTCCTTAGTAGCTGGGATTACAGGCACGCACCACCACGCCTAGCTAATTTTTGTATTTTTAGTAGAGTCGGGGTTTCACCATGTTGGCCAGGCTGGTCTCAAACTCCTGACCTCAGATGATCCGCCCACCTCGGCCTCCCAAAGTGCTAGGATTACGAGTGTGAGCCACCATGCCAAGCCTTCAGTGTCTTAATAAAAGTTAAAATAATGGATACAGATGAACAGCCAGATGAGAAGACACATGGGACAACGTCTGGAGAGGTGCTGATTGCAGGAGCTTCTGTCCCCATAGAGTTGGGGTGCACCACCTCCTGGCACTCAGATGTGTTGGCCAACCCAGAAGCTCACTGAACCTCATACTTCAGGGATATTTATAGAGCCTTCATCACGTAGGCATGATCGATTATTAACTGCATTTCAGCCCTTCTCCCTCTTTAGAGAATGGAGGTGGGGCTGAAAGCGCCAAGCTTCTAACAGTGGCTTGGCCTTTCTGGTGACCAGCCCCCATCCGGGAGCCCAATAAGAGTTGCCTTATTGAAACAAAGATACCCCTATTACCTAGGAAATTCCAAGGAATTAGGAGTTCTGTGTCAGGAGCTGGGGTCAAAGACCAAATATTAGAATAAAAGATGCTCCTAGTTCACCTATGTCTCAGGAAATTGTAAGAATTTTAGGAGCTCTGTGCCAGGGACTCGGGCAGAGACCAATACTTATATTTCTTATTATTTCACCCCAGGTAACCCTGTGCCATCTTGTTCAGACCTTACCAGGTCTTCTCTCAGCCTGGATGGCTCCAACAAACACAAATTCCCCCATCCATCAGTTCCCTTTCTCTGAGGACCTTTCTGAACACCTCCCTGCCACCTCATCCCCTATGACTCAGTCAAGAGGCTCCTGATACAATCTGGGTTGCTTTTCCTCATAGCTTTCCTTCAATTCTAAATAATTTGTTTTTGTAAAATTATCTGTCCCGTGTCTGATGTCCTAGTGAGACTGTAAACTCCAGGAAGGAGAAAGTGCCTCTCCCATGCTAATGCTGGTCTCTGCAGCACCTGCGCAGTATCCAGCATGCATACTTGCCCAACCAATATTGATGGAGGAATGACTTGAAGAGCCTGGGTGAGCTCCCAGAGAAGGCAATGGGAGGGGGAGCACACATTTTTTGATTGTCTAATAAGTGCCAGGCTCTGCCGGGCGCAGTGGCTCACGCCTGTAATCCCAGCACTTTGGGAGACCGAGGTGGGGGGAATCACAAGGTCAGGAGTTCGAGACCAGCCTGGCCAATACGGTGAAACCCCGTCTCTACTAAAAATACAAAACTTAGCCAGGCATGGTGGCAGGTGCTGGTAGTCCCAGCTACTTGGGAGGCTAAGGCAGGAGAATCACTTGAACCCGGGAGTTGGAGGTTGCAGTGAGCCAAGATTGTGCCACCACACTCCAGCCTGGGCAGCAGAGTGAGACTCTGTCTCCAAAAAAAGAAGAAAAAATACCTGTGAGGCTGTGTGCTGGGCAGTCTACGCTAATCATCTTATTCATTCCTCAAAAACATTCGGAGATGCAGGTCTCAATAGACCCATTTTACAAGCAAGGAGATAAGAGTTCGAGATGGTGTACATCTCATCAAAGGAAAGGCAAATGCTGCAGAGCCCGGATTCTAATCTGGGTGTGGCTAGTTTGAAAACCTGAGTTCTTTTCCACTTTGGAGGAAAAGTGATTAACGGACAACTCCCCCTTCACACCTGTATCCATGTCCGATGCTTTTTCCAGACAGATTTTGGCTGCAGAGCTGGAAATCACAAAGATCATAATGACAGCTCTAACAGCCGTGCCTAGGCTGATGAAAAATGCCTTTGAACAGCCCGGGCTCACAGGCATTATCTTTGCTAATCCTATAATTGGCCTGACAAGTGGTGAAAGCATAAATGATTTCGGATATGTGCTTTTGTGTTTAAAAGACTGGGATCTGGGGTGAATTCTCCTTTTGTCTTTCAAGTCCATTTGTAGTTACTTTTTACAAAAAAATTTGTTTTTGTTTTGTCATGTAGACATTTTAAAGCATTTTGTAGTCCAATTTGTTAAAACTTTCATTTATGATTTGTTTTATAAATTATAGAAGAAACTACAGAACTAACTTACTCATTTTTCTTGTAGTCTATTTATTTATTTTACATTTGGCTGGGCATGGTAGCTCATGCCTGTAATCCCAGCACTTTGGGAGGCCGAGGTGGGAGGATCACTTGAACCCAGGAGTTCGAGAATAGCCTAGGCAACATAGGGAGATCCCGTCTCAACAAATAATTTTAAAAATTATCCAGCGTAGTGGCATGCGTCTGTGGTCCCAGCTACTCTGGAGGCTCAGATAGGAGGATCACCTGAGCCCAGGAGAATAAGGCTGCAGTGAGCCATGATTGTGCTGCTGCACTCCAGCTTAAGTGACAGAGTGAGACCCTGTCTCAATAAATTTATTTATTTATTTATTTATTATTTTAAGTGTTTGGCCCATTAGTGATACATACAAATTCAGTTTTCTTTTCTTTTTTTTTTTTTTTTCAGGTAGCCTAGCTAATCATATCTCTATTGATTGACCAACTGAAGGACGAGTTTACTACTGATGGGTCCCCAGTCATTCCCACTGGTATTCAGACTAAAAGCAACATTGGTGGCAGGAAAGTCCACAGGAAAGGCTCTATTTCAGGAAGAAGCCAGAAACCCTGGAGAGAATCCTAGTTCTGCCCCTAACCTGCAGGATGGCCTTAGATGGATCTCTTTTTGTACCTTACTTTGAGTTTATAGCTCTACCACTAGGGAGAGAGGAAGAGGAACAAAGTAATCTCTGGCACTGATAATTATCTTTGCATAACCCTTGAATTCTTGTGATAAAAATAAATGTATAGACCGGGCGCGGTGGCTCACGCCTGTAATCCCAGCACTTTGGGAGGCCGAGGCAGGCAGATCACAAGGTCAAGAGATCGAGACCATCCTGGCTAACACAGTAAAACCCCGTCTCTACTAAAAATTTTTTAAAAAATTAGCCGGGCGTGGTGACGGGCGCCTGTAGTCCCAGCTACTCGGGAGGCTGAGGCAGGAGAATGGCGTGAACATGGGAGGCGGAGGTTGCAGTGAGCCAAGATCGCACCACTGCACTCCAGCCTGGGCGACAAAGCAAGACTCCGTCTCTAAAAAATAAATAAATAAATAAATGTATATTCAAATAACACCGATATACCTTTTTTTTAACCTATCAGACTGGCAAATACTGAAAAGATTGATATTACTTATTATTGGCAAAGATGTAGGGAAATTCTCTTAAAAAACAAAAACAAAAAAATCTCAGGCTGGGCACGGTTGGTCATGCTTGTAATTCCAGCACTTTGGGAGGCCGAGGCGGGTGGATTACTTGAGCCCAAGAGTTTAAGACCAGCCTCAGCAACATGGCAAAACTCCGTCTCTACTAAAAATACAAAATTTAGCCGGCGTGGTGGCACACGCCTGTAATCCCAGCTACTCGGGAGGCTGAGGCACGAGAATCGCTTGAACCCAGAAGGCAGGGTTTGCAGCGAGCTGAGATTGTGCCACCGCACTCCAGCCTAGACAACAGAGTGAGACTCTGTCTCAAAATAATAATAATAATAATATACTTATAAAGTACGTTATAAGTAAAATAATACTTATAAAAAGTGACATAATACTTATATAAAGTACTTAAAACAGTGCCTGACACTCCCGGAGTAAGCATTCCCCAAATATTAGCTAGCTATTGTAACCATGATATATACTTTGGTGACAAATTGTGAACGTTTATCAGGTGTCCTTTTAATGGCATACTCTGTGTTGTCTAGATCCTTTGGGGGTTACCTGATTCTATAGGGGTCTTTCCCTGTCTCTGACTAGGCTATTTCACAAGTCTATGAGTTCTAGAAAAGTAATAGTAATGTTACAGTAGGTAGTTAGTCAGACATGAGCAGGGCAGGAGAGGGACCCCTCTCACTCGGAATGTTAGGTGATCATCAGGTGGTTATTATACTATCTCTCTAAAATGAGAATTGGTCAAAGCCAGGGCTAGGGAAAGGCAGTTTCCCAATAGAAAACACCTGAAACCGGTGATTAGTAGCTTCCTGACAAGATCTCAGGAATTGGGCAAGTGGGCTCAAGCATGCGCACTCAGAGGCAAAATGGCGGAGTGTAACGGCTATATGTCCCTCCTGTAGGAACGCCGGACTGGTAAGGGAAAAAAATGCCTCAAGTGAGCATGTGCACAACTTCAGTAAACACACTGCACATGCGCCCCTCTCAAGTGCTGGCAGACCACTGTGCATGCAGACAACGCACCCAAAGGGAAGAATCAGGGGAACAGTAACGCAACCCTGCCAGCATGCCAATGTGTAAGACCCCCCCCCAAGTCCAAGGTCAAACCACACACTGGACTCTCTCACGTTACCCACTTGGCTCTCTTCCAAGTGTAGCTTTTTACTTCCTTTGGTTCCTGCTCTAGAAAATTTTAATAAACTTTTACTCCTGCTCTAAAATTTGCCTCAGTCTCTTACTCTGCCTTAAACACCTCAGAAAAATTCTTTCTCCTGAGGAGGCAGGAATTGAGGTTGATGCAGATCCATATGGATTCACCACTGCTAACATACGTTGGTGCTGTGAGACTCAGATACGCCCCCTAGAGGTAATTGTAATGCAAATTATCCTTGCCCATGGAAATGCAAATTTTGTCCCATAAATGTACAATAAATAAATGTACAGAGACAATTCCAAACATCGCATTTTATTACCCTAAAAATAATAACCAATTTTTCATCTATCAAATTTATTTCTGCATTCTTGATTGCCTATATATACTTGTCTGTTAATCAGATTCTCCTTTGAACTGGCTTTAATATATTATTTCATTAATAATCGAGTAAAATAAAATCTTTGACAAGCACTCATTTTATATTTCTTTAAGAGTCATGATTTTACCTTTTAAAAATTATAACTATTTCTAGTATGATCCTATCTTCATTAAAAAGATGTTTGTCTTTCTATTTCTTAGAGAAAACTTGAAAGAATGAACACAAAAATGTTTACAAAGGATATCATGGCAGAGGTAGGTGGAAAACATTTCAGTTGCCTGTTACTCTCTTCTTTATACATTTCATATGATCCAAACATTTGTATACTGGGCATCTGTTTTATAGCAACTTAAAAAAAAACCCACCTATTCTCCCTTTTAAAAGACAGAACAGGAGACTTTCCTGCTGGAACCAGTCCTTTGGGATGGGAGGAGAGAGTGTTGAGGGGTCAGATGTGAGCAGCTTCCTCACTCTGTAGGGCTTGGTTATTTATCTAAGGAGACCCCTTAAGAAGCAGGGCAGGCCAGCTTATTTCCCAGCAGACCTGTTTTTTCTGACATAACGCACTTAGGCATAAAATCAATTGAAAGTGGCAGAGCATCAAAGTCATCTTAGTGGCCAGGTTGAGGTGGTCAAGCCTGAGAGCTGGGCCTCAGCTCTGGCTAGCTCAGCCTCTTTGACTATGTGCTGGTCAACTAGCTCAGACTCTCGCTGTGGCCCAGAGAATGTCAGCCCTGGAAGAGACCCACCTAATCCCATCTCTTCTTTCTATGAATGGGAAAACAGGCCTGAAGAGGGGAGGGAACCGGCAGAGGGCACACAGCAAATTGGGGTCACTCTAGCACTCGAACCCTGATGTCCAGAGTTCTGGCCTAATGCTCTTTTACCTCTCCGTATTGGGCTGATTGTGAAGGGCCTTGAATGCCAAGCCAAGGAGAGAAACATGTCCCAGAGAAACATGGCACGCTAGAACAGGAGAGGGGACCATCAAAGCTGCACTGTAGAAAGTCTTCACTTAGAGCAGGGAGGAGTTTACCTCTCTCCTTCTGGGGGCTGGGCTGGGAATTGGGGCTGCTCTTAAGACCTAATGAAGACCAGGCCTTCAATAAACTGCCCTTGCAAAGCAGGCTGCCATTTAATTGCATCTGAAGGAAAAACTGGCTGCTCTTTTTTTTATTTTGGGAAGAACATGGTCAGGGGACTTTTGTTATGTAAAGGGAGATGGAAATCCCCTTGAAATGGAGAAGTTTCGGACAATAAAGTGGCATCATGGAAAGGTTGAGTTTGTGATGTTAACTGGCTTTTCTCGGACTGGGCCGAGGCGCCCCTCCTCGGGGTCTCTGCCAGAATGAGTGAGAGAGGCGGCCCCTCGGCGCTGAAGAGAGCAGGAGATGGAGTCTGCCATCCAGGCTTAAGTTCCTCTTTATTACGTACACTGTTCCCAAGCCTGAGGCCCCAGATCTCACAATTTTTGACATTTCAACAAACGAATCACACCATTGTTTACTTAATATTTTTCTGTACATCTATTCACTTTTAACAATTGATATTTTTAAAGAAAATTTCTATTGCTACATCAATAGAAAATCAACTTCATTTCCATAAAAATAAATACAAGGAAAACAAAACAACGCGATTAAGTTCTGGCTAGATACGGTTGCCTGTTCTGTCTTTGTTAGAAAGGGAGATTGGAATTGCATTAGAGAACTTTTACTGGCATATTAGAAACAACTGGAAAATTTCCTTGATTTAATCAAAAGGAAGGGAAAATAATTGAAAATAGAATAACTATCTCACTAGGTGGTTTAGTTACCTAATGTGTTTGTGTGAAACAGCTGAAATTAGCTGTGGTTCCACCACTGATTCTAGCCAAACCTTGGAAAATGCTTTGGACGGGACCTTGCTCTCCCACCCATTGGCTGAGTGACCGTGGCAAAGTTCCTCAACCTGTCTGAGCCTCTGATTCTTCACCTGCAAAATGGATGTGTTAACAGAACCTACCCCCTCGGCTTCTGGGGTACACAGTGACAGAAAGTATGGGAAGAGCTTCACCTACTGTGATCTCTGAGAGGTGAGAATAGTAAGAATACTAATGATGCAGATATCAGTGGGCTAGGGGAGTTCCCCAAATACCTGCAGGACCTCGGCCCCGGCTGGTGTCCAGGCTTTTGACGCCACTGCGGGAAGGAATTCAATGACAAATCAGAAAATAGTGAAAGTTTGGAGAGTTATTGCAAGACAAAAAGTACACACTCAAGAAAAGGCAGTGTGGGCCGGGTGCAGTGGCTCACGCCTGTAATCCCAGCACTTTGGGAGGCTGAGGTGGGCGGATCACCTGGGGTCAGGAGTTTGAGACCAGCCTGACCAACATGGAGAAACCCCATCTCTACTAAAAATACTAAAAATTAGCCAGGCGCAGTGGCGCATGCCTGTAATCCCAGCTACTCGGGAAGCTGAGGCAGGAGAATCACTTGAACCTGGGAGGCGGAGATTGCGGTGAGCTGAGATCGCGCCATTGCACTCCAGCCTGGGCAACAAAGAGCAAAACTTCGTCTCAAAAAAAAAAAAAGAAAAGAAAAAAGAAAGGGGAGTGTAGGTATACTTAAGAGAGAGACAGTCATGCAACCGGGTTTGCAGTTTCCATCTACATGAGTTTCTTTAACCAAGAGGGGGAATATTCATGAAGATTCCTGGAAAAATGTGAAGATTTCTCAGAAATCTGGTGCCACTCATTTTTACACCAAATATGGGTGTTCCAGGATCTGTCCTGGCACTGGTGGGTGTGTGATTGACTATGTTAATGAGCATATAATGAGGTCCTAGGTGAGACCTAAGTCAAATCCAGCGCCATGTTGGGTCTAGTTGGTCTTAGCCAGCTTGACCCACACCCTGGTTTTTCAGGGTCTTCTCAGCCCCTAGCTTCTGCAGCTGTTTAAACAGTTCCCTTTTGCTAGTCATATAAAACTGCTGCCTGGAATGTGCTGTTCTCCTGTGTCAACGCTGTATCATTCCTGTCTCAATGCTATCAGGAAGGCTTTGGTAAAAATCCCTTAACTTGGTGGTGTGCTGTGGCTCCCCTCTGTAATCCCACACCTTGGGAAGCCAAGGCAGGAGGATCACTTGAGCCTAGGAGTTCAAGACCAGCCTGGGCAACATGGTGAGACTAGTCTCTATTTAAAAAAAAAAAAAAAAAATCCCCTAACTTGAACCTTCTGGTATTTGGTGTGTTTTGGGGAACTGAGTCAGGAGACCGGGTAAAGAGAAGCAGCAAGCGCAGCAGCAGCAGACACAGAGCCCTGGCAGAACTGCCCGGCCAGAGGAGTTGGCCCCCACCAGGTGGATCTGTCCATCAAGGAAGCATCCTCAGGACTCTGAGAAACATCAAGGAAGTGAAACTGAATAAAGATATTGGACTTCAGGTGTCATGCAGGATGGATGCTTGGACAAAACTGGTAGGGTAACCTCCAAATACCAGATCATTTCAGGACCCTGGGAGATGAATATTATTGTCCTCCATTTTACATACAAGAAAAATGAAACTTGTGAAAGTTGCCAGTACCAAAATGGAGTCACTTAGGCTAAACTCTCACAAAATGGAGAGGGGAGGCCATGAAGGAAGGGTCCTCATGCATGTATGCCTACAACAGAAACTATCCAAGAAATTCCACATAAGCCACCTGGCTTGCACAGGGACATTTGTCCAACAGTGGCTGTCTCCACCAATAAGCTAATGCCAACTCCTGCAACAAGCTCCTGTAACCAATGGTCTTTTTTTCAAATTAGCTTACATGTACGTTTCCTCCTTTCTTTATTTTTTTTGAGACAGAGACTCACTCTGTTACCTAGGCTGGAGTGCAGTGGTGCGTTATCGGCTTACTGCAACCTCCGCCTCCCGAGTTCAAGTGATTCTCGTGACTCAGCCTCCTGAGTAGCTGCAATTATGGGTACACGTCATGATGCCTGGTTCATTTTTGTATTTTTAGTAGTTACAGGGTTTTGCCATATTGGCCAGGCTGGTCTTGAACCCCTGACCTCCAGTGATCCACCTGCCTCAGCCTCCCAAAGCACTGGGATTACAGGCATGAGCCACCGAGCCTGGCCTCTCGTCCTTTCTCTTAAAAGCTTCCTCTTGCCCCATCCCCTTTGGTGCACCTGTGGTCCACCACAGCATGTGCACCCAAAATCGCAATTCCCTGTTATTCTCAAATAAACTCTTTGTTTTGGAGAACTGGTCTCTCTGCTGTTTATTTCAGGTTGACAGACCTAAAATATAATACAATATTAAATGACTGCCAGACAATTCATAGCAGACCTATACTCCATGACCACCCTTCTTAAGAGCTCAACAAATGTTCTGAACATGCTTAGTCATAGCTAAACTGTGAGTCAGGGCATGAGGTAGACTGGACACATACATAAAAAGAATGAATAAGATCAGGATATGCAAAACAATATGGACAATTTGATCGTACTTATGTAAAAGAGAAAACACACACCAAAGTTATATCTTTATGTATGTACCCTTATATACGCAAAAGCTTGAAACAGACCTGGTAGCAGTATTAACGGTTGGGTAGAAAAGAGCAGAGAAAGGAGGGCTTGTTTTGTTTGAGGTTATAATAATAATAATAATAATAATAATAATAATAATAATACATTTCTATATTATTTGAAATATTTAAAAATTTAATTAAATTTAAAAAATTTAAAGAAATGGCTGTTGTGGGCTGAATTGTGCCACTCAGCCACATCCCAATTGAATTGAAGTCCTAACCCCCAGTACCTCAGAATGTGACTGTATTTAGAGACAGGGTCTTTAATGAGGTAATTAAATTAAAATGAGGTCACTAGGGTGGGCCCTAATCCAATATGAATGGTATCTTTATAAGAAAAGGAGATTAGGGGCCTATTGGAGGGTTTAGGTTGGGAGGAGGGAGTGGCTCAGGAAAAAGAACTAATGGGTACTAGGCTTAATACCTGGGTGACAAAATAATCTGTACAACAAACCCCCAGGACAGAAGTTTGCTTCTGTAACAAATCTGCACAGGTACTCCTGAACTTAAAATAAAAGTTATTTTTTTTTTTTTTGAGACGGAGTTTTGCCCTGTTGCCCAGGCTGGAGTGCAATGGTGCGATCTTGGCTCACTGCAATCTCCGCCTCCCAGGTTCAAATGATTCTCCTGCCTCAGCCTCCTGAGTAGCTGGGATTACAGGTGCCCACCACCACACCCAGCTAATTTTTTTTTGTATTTTTAGTAGAAACAGGGTTTCACCATGTTGGCCAGGCTGGTCTCGTGATCCACCCTGACCTTGTGATCCACCCGCCTTGGCCTCACAAAGTGCTGGGATTATAGGCGTGAGCCAATGTGCCCAGCCAAAGTTGAATTTTAAAAAAGAAATCTCCTTAAGTTAGAAAAATACTTTAAAAATCTAAATAAAGTGGAAGACAAAACCCAGAACTAAAAAAAGAAGAGGAAATTAGGATGCAGACACAAACAGAGGGAAGACCATGTGAAGACACAGGAAGAAGACAGTCATCCACAAGCCAAGGAAGAAACCAACCCTCAGAAGAATGCAACGCTTGGACATCTTGATCTTGGACTTGTAGCCTCCAGAATAAAATAATTTTCTGTTGTTTAAGCCACTGAGCCTGTACTATTTGTTACGGCAGTCCTAGCAAACTAATACAATGACCAAGGTAAAATTCCTGTCTTCCAGGAACTCCTAGCCTAGTGGGAGAAGTGGGTAATAGAATAATCTCACTATAATACCAAGAAAACAGGGAGAAGTCCTGCAAAATACAGAAGCAAGGTACTACGGAACCTGGGGGTAGGAGGATATTACAAGGCCTGGCAGGCATCACAGAGGAAGTGGCTTTTGAGCTGGGCCATGAAGGATAAGAAACAGAGAAAAGCAGGCAGGTAGGAGAGTTAGGGACTGTTTCTGGGGGAAATATAGCAAGCAAAGTCTTGGCCAGTGAATGTCTGTCCTGTGTCAGATTAAAGCAGCAATGTTTTCCCTGAGTACAGGCTTCAGGAAGTGGTGGAGACGTAGCTGGAGGTAGTTGTTGGCAGTTTCATTTGTCAGCTGTTCTTGATAGCTGTTGGCCATCATGGAGGGTTACTAAGCATGGGAGTGACATAGTTGGATTTGCTTTGTAGAATGATCACTCTGATGGTCCATGAGGCAGGAGTTGAAAAGTGATGGGCCGGGTGCAGTGGCTCACGTCTGTAATTCCAGAACTTTGGGAGGCTGAGGCAGGTGGATCACCTGAAGTCAGGAGTTTGAGACCAGTCTGGCCAACATGGCAAAAACCCGTCTCTACTAAAAATACAAAAATTAGCCAGGCCTGCTGGCAAGCCCAGCTACTTGGGAGGCTTAAGCAGGAGAATCGTTAGAACCCGGGAGGCAGAGGCTACAGTGAGCTGAAAAAAATAATAAATAAATAAATAAATAAGAAAAGTGATGGCCTAAGAGCCTTTCAGTCCACAGAAATGTTTTGTTTCACTCACCCAGCTATTTTTTTCAAAATTAATTAACTATTCTAACAGTTAATAAATTACAAACAATTATAGGTATAATTATAATTTATATGATACTTGAAATATATGGCTTGTAATATAATTTCTAATCATAAACATTATAATTAATTTTCCAATAAATTAACATAACCATGTTAATTCTATTGGTTGATTTACATGTACATTATAAATATTAGTAAATTGGAGAGCTCTTAAAATCTTCAGGTTTTTTTTTTTTTGAAACAGAGTCTTACTCTGTCACTCAGGCTGGAGTGCAGTGGCGCGATCTTGGCTCACTGCAACCTCTGCCTCCTGAGTTCAAGCAATTCTTCTGCCTCAGCCTCTCAAGTAGCTGGGATTATAGGCACTCGCCGCCACACCTGGCTAATTTTGGTATTTTTAGTAGAGATGGGGTTTTACCATGTTGGCCAGGCTGGTCTCGAACTCCTGACCTCAGGTGATCCACCCACCTCGGCCTCCCAAAGTGCTGGGATTATAAGTGTGAGCCACCAATCCGGCCAATTTTCAGGTGTTTTAGAGATCTTTTAACCAATGTTACGGGTTGAATTGTGTCGCCCCACAAAAAGAAAAAAAAATGATATGTTGAAATTCTAACCCCTGGTACCTTTGAATCTGATCTTTTTTGGAAATGAGGTCTTTGCAAATGCAACTTAGATGGAAATTAAGATGGGTCATATATGAGTGTGGGGGGGGGGGTCCTTAATTCAATATGACTGGTGCCCTTAGAAGAAGAGGAGAAGAGATACAAACACAGGGAGAAGACAGCCATATGACAATGACAGGTACAGCCTGGAGTGATGCAGCCAGAATCCAAGAACAACAAGGATTGCCGGCTACCACCAGAAGTTGGGCAAGGGCAAGGAAGGATTTACTCAGTCTCAGAGGGAGCACAGCTGTGCTGACACCTTGATTTTGGACTTCCAGCCTCCAGAACTGTGAGAGAACACATTTTTGTTATTGCAAGCCACCCAGTTCATGGTACTTTTATTATAGCAGCCCTAGGAAGCTCATACAACAAGGAGCCTATATTCCGACCTAACCAGTGGCTGCAGCCCAGTAAGGTACTTCCAGGAGGTACATCTCCAGCCAGATGGCATCGCTCATCCATCTAAGGCATAGATGCTACAACAGAGGTCCAGAAGAGAAAAGATAAGAACTTAACTAATGCAGTAGCTCCTGGGGTCTCAAACTGGGTTAGCTCGTGAGACCTTGGACAAGAGCTCCGTAGGAATATGACATAGGATAACTCAGGAGAAATGATGTGTTCCTGGGAATGCTATCTGCTAAGTCTTTGGAATTGGTAGGAATGCAGGCTTATCCCTCTTTGTTCTTAGAAACAGTCATTCCTTACTTCATGAAAGAGGATAAACTAGTATTTATTATTAATATATTTTGTACACTACCATGAACCAGGCCTTGTTTTGTGGGTTTTATTATATATGTTGTGCCATGTAATCCTCCCACAATGCTTTGAAAATTCTCCACTTTATAGACAAGAACACTGAGACTCAGAAAGATTATGGAACCTAGATTTTAAAATGTAGAACTAACATCTACCCTTTGGTTTCTGGCTTATGGAAGAAGAAGAAAAGGAAGAAGAGGAAGAAGAAGAGGAAGAGGAAGAAGGAGGAGGAGAGAAAGAGAGAAAAAGAAGGAAAGAGAGAGAAGGAAGGAGAAAGAAGGAAGAAAGAAGAAGAGGAAGGAAGGAAGGAAGGAAGGAAAGAAAGGAGGAGGAGAGAAGGGAGAAAAAAAGAACTAGCATTTTCTCAATGCCTTCTAGGTGCCTGAGCTGGCATTTTAGGCATGCACTCGTTGAATCTTCACGAAACCCTGTGAGGTAGGTGCTTTTATGATCCCCATAGTATGCCCTGCACCATTCAGATAAGGAGACTGAGACTGAACAGGTCAAGTAATTGCTGAAGCTGGATGAGGGATACAGCAGTCTGTGCTTTTGTCTGGATCTAAAGTCCTTGCTCTAAAAGAAGGTACGAGCTCGTCGGTTGAAAGGGCTTTTAATCTTTTCATTCATTCATTCATTGATGAATGCTCTTTATCGTTTTATGGATTTTGGAAAGAAGGCAGCTGGGTGTAGCTGAGAGGACCCCAGCCCATGTGCTGAGAGACTTGGGCTCTGGTCTAGCCTGAGCCTCAGTGTCCCCATCCATGACATGTGGGGGCTCTAAGGGCTGATCTCAAAGGCCCCTTCTTGTGCCAAGAGTCTATGATTTTGTGATTCCCCAGCCTTGGGAAGAAGTCACCAATTAATATTAATACAACAGCTCACAATGCTAATTTGCCAAGATCTCAGCTGACGGCAGAGTCAGGATTTTAATCCAAGCCCACCTGACTGCAAACTTCTTCACTTTCTTCTGGCTTGGAAAAACAGAGGAACTAACAAAGAGACTGAGGAAACAATGCTGCCAAACCAGGTGTGCCTGAGCAACACAAATGGGAGCAGTAGCCACAGGCTGGGAGTTCTGGCAGTCAAGAGGGCCTGGCATGGGCCTGCTGCGCCCTCTGGTGGAGCACGCCTGATTCGGCTCCTCTGGATTTGTCGTTTTGATACCAGAATAGACGAAGGGATACAGGAAGCCGGAAGTGGTTTTCCCCATAGTTTTTGGAAGCCAGTGACCCCAGCTATTGTCCTAAAATGTAGACTGCTTGGAGCCATTTGTCACTCCTCCGTGAAGCCCAGCTGCCCTGGGTTTATTTATTGATGAGACTAATTATATTTTGTTTCTGATTTTATAACTTGTAGATACTTAGGCCGGGTATCGAGCAGTGAACCCACCAGAAATGGTACCTTTCCCACTCAGCTCAGGGTGAGGAAAGGCAGACATTAAACCTGTAAAATTCAAAATAAATATATGGGCAGGAAGAAATTCTCCTTCCTTCACGCTGCCTTTTCTCCTTAGCTTTCCCTCCAATCTCTGGACGGGAAAAAGATCTTTGTCAAGAGCAAGAGCCAGGTGCAGTGGCTCATGCCTGTGATCCCAGCACTTTGGGAGGCCGAGGTGGGTGGATTACTTGAGGTCAGAAGTTTGAGACCAGCCTGGCCAACATGGCGAAACCCCTACTCTACTAAAAAAAATATACAAAAATTAGCCAGGCGTGGTGGTGCGCACCTGTAGTCCCAGCTGCTCGGGAGTCTGAGGCAGGAGAATTGCTTGAATCAGGGAGTAGGAGGTTGCAGTGAGTAGAGATCACACCACTGCACTCCATCCTGGGCAACAGAGCAAGACTCCATCTCAGAAAAAAAAAAAAAAGGCCAAGGAGTGAGACCAAAAGACTTTCAAACATAAAAAATGCTTTAAAATTATGTCTAGCTTAATTTGTCGCAGATACCATGCTCTGGGGATTCTAAAATAATTTCTAATCTGTACTGAAGCAATGCCCAGAGTCAACCTTGAAGGCTGTATTGTAAGCCTCCTCCAGGAGGGCACTGACTCCCTGGCAGGGAGAGAAGAGGGTGGGAAATGATAGAGGGCTACGGTGAAGTGGGATTTTACACACATTTATAACCTTCACGACAATCCAATAAACTAGGGACCACCATACCTATTTTACAGATGAGGAAACTGAGGCCCAGAGAGATTAAGATGCTTGCCCAAGTCTCAGAGCTAATAAACTGCAGAGTTGGAATTTAAATCTTGGAGAAACAACTGATAAGGATTAGAGAGTCTGGTTTCCAGTGTGAGCTCTGAAAACGCTTGCTTGTATAGCTGCTGGGATATCTGTTTTGTTATGTTTTTTTATCGCATTATGAGGGCTCAGTTAAAAGGCATCCATAGTCTCTTCCCCATCGGCCCATATAAGGGACTCTACAGAAAAACGGGAAGGTGGTCACTGAAGGGCTTCAGTGGACAGGAGGAGACAGGAGCCCAGGTTTGAGCTCAATCATTAGTCATTGATGAATGAATGCATGGTTAACCCAGCGGCCTCTCCTTAATCTCACAGCTTCACCAGTAAGCAAATACAGAGTATCAGAGCCCTCAGAGATTCCCTTATCCAGCTGTTTTTAAAGTTTTTGAACAGAAGTCCAATTCATAAAGCCCTTCAAAAAATATATTTTTTTGCTATGGGTTTTTTCTTTTGGTGGGGAGGTGGTTATTGGGAGAGAACGGAAGAGGAGATAGAGCCCCATCTACTTGAACTGCCCTGCAAGACTGTGGTCCTTTGGTCTGAAAAATAAAATTGAACTGAAAAGATCAACTAACCTCTCTACATTCCAGATAGGAAAATTGAGGCCCAGAGAGGGGAAGCTACCCAGCCAAGGTCACACCGCTGGTTTCAGCTAAGTCCTAACCTCAAGCTCTCATTCCCAGTTCAGTGCTTTATCCACCTTACCCCTATCCCAGCCAGATCCCCAATTAATTATTAATAGCAACTTTTACACCTGGAAGTATTTATAAGCAGTATCAGCTACTAAAATGCCATCACCTACTTACATAGTGGCTAAAGGATCTGTTGTGTGAGCCAAATTGCTCAAAGTTTCAAGGCATTTTAAGACTTGTGGGTTTTTTCAGCTTTGTTTGTTTGTTTGTTTTTGCTGTCATATGCTTTTTTATGTGGTAAAATATAGATAATATAAAATTTACCATTTTAGCCACTTTTAAGTGTACTATTTAATAGCACTAAGTACATTCACATTGTTGTATAACCGCCACCACTATCCATCTTCAGAACTTTTTCATCATCCCAAACTGAAACTGTACTCATTAAATAATACCTCCCCATTCCTCTACCCCCAGGGGAACCACCTTCCAATTTTCTGTGTCTCTGTATTTGACTATTCTATGTACTTCATATAAGTGGAATCCTATACTATTTGTCTCTTTGTGACGGGCTAAATTCACTTAGCATAATGGTTCATCCTTGTTGTCGCATGTGTCAGAATTTCCTTCCTTTTTCAGGCTGAATAACATCCCATTATTATCAACAATATCCCCAAATGTGGCATGTATCACATTTTGTCATCCATTCATTCCTCAATGGACACTCAGTTGTTTCCACATCTGTGAGTGGAGTTAATAACATTACTTACCTTGTGGTATAATTGCAAAGACTGAATGAGGTAAAGCGGTTTACACAGTGCCTGGTTATGGGCTAAAAATTCGGCAAGTCATTCCTGTGGGCAGAGAAGGGGTGAAATGTTTTATAATGTGTTCTTATCCCTTCCAATGCACTCATACTGGTATTGAAACCCTCTCATGCAAGTGTGGTAGTTTACAGTTGCCAAACCACATGCATGTCGGTGATCCCACGTGCATTCCTAGCCCTTCTCTGTAAGGTTCACAGGACGGGTGCTGGTATCTCCATTTCACAGAGGATAAACTGAGGCAAAGAGAAGGCCCCAGATCAGCCAGATATTAGCAGCTCTCAGTGGCTGTCTCTCTGGCTCTTGGGGAGTCCACTGTGGTAGACTGGGTTACATTCAGCTATATTCACCTCCCCAAAGGAGAATTATGCACCCCAACTCTATCAATATGAGGCTATAAGACTTGCTCTGGCTAAGAAAATTTGAGCATAAGTGATGTGTGCTACTTTGGAGCAGAAGCTTGAAGACTTAGCACGTCACTCACCAGGTCTCTTTTCCCTCCGCCGTGACATCTGACAACGTTCCAGAGAGAGAAACGGAGAGACACAGACAGGCAGCGTGCTCCGTCAGCCTGAGTCCTAAAGTGAAGATGGTGTGGAACAGGGAAGTAGTTGACACATTATGGACATAGAGAGTGGGCAAGAAGCACACCTTTGTGATAAGGTTTAAATCCGCTGAGATTTTGGAGTCATTTCTTACACAGTAAAACCTAGCCTCTCCTAACTAATATATCTATAAAGGCAATATCCTTTCCTGAGAGTAGGGATTTATTATATCACCTCTAGATGAATCTTGACTGGTCTATTGTGCATGTATGCGTGCGTGTATGTGTGTTCATGGCACAAAGAATATGAGAAAGTGAAGGCCTAGCCCAAATTGTTCCAGATACTATGCAGAGAGGCCTGTTTCTCATTCTTCATCTCTTCTCTCCAATTATTTGTATTACTCTAAAGAAAACTTTCTGATTTCTGTTGAATTCTATGATAGCAGATAAAGGTTTTCTTCTTTCCTAACTTACTTGGGGAAACTGCTTTCAGGAGCTATGTATTGGCTCTTGGAAATAATTCTAGCAGCTTCTGTTTCCTGAGTGTTTATTCCCTACCAGGCACTATGCTAAGAGCTTCTCATGCTCTGCTTCATTTTCTCTTAATAATTCACATAGGTATTAAATGCTGCTGTTTCCTGATTTTTGAGACAAGGAAATGAAGAATTAGAGACCTTAAGGAACTTTCCAAAGCCACACAGCTACTAAGAAGCAAGGCTGGGACTGAAATCCAATTACAGTGTTGGATGATTTCTGACTTGTCAGTTTGGGTCCCTCATGTATTTGTAGGCACTATTATGCTTGCTTCCACTGGTATTTCTTCCCCCCTCCCCACCCCCCGCTGCTAATTCCAAGCCCCACTCTTTGCTCACCATGGATGGTAGAAGGGAATCTCCTTTCCTTAGTCCTGGTTTCAGTGAGGAAGGATTTTTTTCTGAGCACATTCTTGGTTCCTCTCCGTGCTTTATCCATTCCTGGAAGGATGAAGGATTGTACATTTGAGAATACCTGGTCATGCCCAACTCAGCACTTCTTCTGATAGGGAGGGAGCTGCTCCTCAGCCCTGCTCCCTTCAGCAGGAGGCCTGCCCTAGTCTTTGCAGCCCACTTCTGGGGTTCACTATTAGTGGCACCCTTCAGCTACCAACCCTAAAAGTTTCTTCTCCAACCTGGCAATATCACTAATAAAGAAAATATTCTGGCCTTCCTCTGCATCTTTTTGTTGATATCTCAACTTGTTCAGAAGTCAGACGAGGCAAAGGAATGCTATTTATTCAGAGTCCTGCATAGAGCCCCAAATGGGCATCCTAAGGGAACTGCACTGGTGGGAAAGATTTCATGGTCCACTGATGGTCCCTGTCCTCACCTTGGTGGCCTCAGGGTTTAACATCAGCCTCCCTGGACCTTCAAGGTGCTCTAACACCTGCCCCCCTTTTAGGCAATGAAGGATGGTATGGCAAAAATAGCTGGTTGTTTCTCAGTATCCATTCTTTTCTTCCCTCATTAGTAATAATCCTCCCCAGAACAAAGACTAAATTTCTCTGCATCCCTTTCAGCTAGGTGTGACCATGTGACCTACCAATGGGATGTCAGCAAAAGCAATAGGTACAACTTCTGGGTCATACACTTAACAGGAAGGCATGTGCTATCTACTTCTTTTTCTCCCCTCTCCTGGTGTTAGCTGGAGTAAGTATTTTGAGCCATGATATAGAAGCATGATTTGGGGGTGGCAGTGCCATAACCAAGGAGGAACTTACATCTTGCTGCCTTCAAGCTGCTATATCACCTCTGTACTACTTACCCAGACTTCCATGTGCGGGAAGAATACATTTCTATCTTGTGAAAGCCACTATCATTCTTTAGTCTCTTGTTTGCAGCATCTGAACCCATGTATTCTAAGCAGGTACTCAAGAAGTGCTTTCCAACTGGGGAAGGGGTTCAGGGCTCTGGCAGGAACCTAAGTGTGTGCCTGATTCACATGGATGAGGGAATCAGTGAATAAAGGTAGGAGAGAAGAGAAGGACCAGGCATTTGTTGAATGCGTGGAATATTCTAGATACTGTACCACATACTTTCAGTTACACTTTCCCAGTTAATCTGAACAACAATTCCGTGTGTGTATGGGTGAGGGGAAAATCTATTATCTGATTTTATAGTTGAGGCTCAGAGAAGTTAAGTGATTTGGGCCAGGCACAGTGGCTTATGCCTGTAATCCCAGCACTTTGGGAGGCCAAGGTGGGTGGATCCCTTGAGCTCAAGAGTTCAAGACCAATCTGGACAACATCAAGAAACTCTGTCTCTACAAAAAATACACACACACACACACACACACACACACACACACACATATTAGCCAGATGTGGTGGTACGTACCTGTAGTCTCAGCTACCTGGGGGGCTGAGGTGGGAGGAGTGCTTGAGCCCAGGAGGTGGAGGCTTCAGTGAGCTGATATCGTGCCATTGCACTCCAGCCTGTGTGACCAAGTGAGACAGGAAGAAAAAAAAAAAAGAGAGAAGTTAAGTGATTTGTCTAAGGTCACAGGAAATGAAACTGAAGTCAGTTTGAGTCTCAAAACCATATACTTTCCTCCATAGCATACCATTTACTCATTAACTCCCTCCACCAAATACAGTACTATATTCTACAATACAAAAAATCCTGCCCCTGTTGGGAGATGACCTTCCATGGGTCTCATGTTTCTGTACATTTTGTGAGCATAGGCACTGACTGCCCTTTGTCCTAGACTGTCTTTTCAAGGATGTTTGTAGGGCAGGCTTGGAGGATAGAGATAGTGTTTCCCTCTACAGCAAAAATAGATATAATTACTTCCCATTATAAAATATGTGATTTCCCTAAGCTCAGGGTTCTTCTGTAATACAATCCACTGTGTGTGCTGGTACCCCTTCATATCACTGCCCATGGGTCTTTGGCACAAAGAGAACTGATGCACATATGCTGATGCTCATGCTGCTTGCTGTGCTGTGAATAATACAGACCTCTGTCTTTGACTCAGAAGTCTCACATCTTCTGCCTGTATCCATGAAACTGGCAGGCTGGCTTGTTAGCTTGCAAGTAGAGTAAAATCTCAGTTCTCAACAGCACCTTCATCATCACTTTAATTCAGTTGTGTTACATCACACATGCTTTTAACTCGCATTATTTCAACTAAATGTACAAAGTCAGAAAAAGCAATAAAGAAATAATTTAGATATCAATCTCCCTTCCCTTTTTCTGAATAAGTGCATGCCTTGGAGTGAGCATGCAATGAAAGAGTTAAATGTTTTCTCAGTAGGTCTCAGTTTCCATGTGGATCTCACGGTGTGGTCATTATGCCCCACTGAGTGTGAATCTAAAGTTGAAAGATGTTTACCAAGCATGGTGGCACATGCCTGTGGTCCCAGGCTGAGGTGGGAGGGTGGCCTGCGCCTGGGAGGTGGAGGTTGCAGTGAGCCAAGATCACTGCACTCCAGCCTGGGTGACAGAGCCAGACTTAGTCTCGAAACAAACAAACAAACAAACAAAGTTCAAAGATGCATTCTTTTTTTTTTTTCATGTAACATGGCCTCTTAAGTCGAAACCACCAACTTCTGGTCGTCAGCCAAAGGAATGCTTCAATGACAATAAATGAGTCTCCGGTAGGGTGCTTTCCTGGGAAAATTTCAAGCTTGCTTTTTACCTCATTAATGTCATGCCCTCATAAGCTGTGACACGAGAGGATATTTTTTGGGAGGGGGTGGTATAAGGTGTATGGGGAGATGAAAGGGCACTATTTCAATGGACACACAATTTCTTTTACAATTGAATACAGAATGTACTTATTGTTACATTTATGCATCACCTTTTTTTAGTGTGATAAGTTGAATCTAATCCTTTTTCATACCCAGAGACGAATGAGTCTCATGCCCTTGATTTTGATTTCTTTGTCAACCTACTAAATTTTGAAGTATATTAATTGCTGTTTCTGTTTTGGTTAATGTCGACAGCCATACCACCATGACCGCACCTGATCTCAACTTTTTTTGGTTAAACTAGCTTTTTTGACCATTTCTTTTTAATTAAATTATGTATCACTGGAAGTTAATCAACTACATTAAAATATATTCGTTTTTTAAATTAGGTAGAACACACATGTGGTAATAAAATTTAGAGTACAAATTGTATTAGTTCTTCTAAATCTTCAATACTGCTTCAGGAATTGGGACACCAGTATTTTAAAGTCTGAGTGTGGCTCGGTGGCAACTCCAAAACCACTAAACAAAAAAGATTCAAGCATAGGGGTAGGGGGGAATCTCCAATTCAAGATAAGCCTATGAACCAAAATTCACAAGCATAAGAGGAAAATGAACAAATAAAATTAAGCCTATAATGAGGAGATGAATTAATTTTGTTTAAATAAACACAACAGAGAGATCTGAAAATGACTTTAATTGTTTAGGCTCTGGGAAGAGATGAAGGATAAAATAACATCTACTTTTTACAAAACAATTTATAAAAATACAAGCAGAAATGAAGCCAGAGCAGGTGACAAACAACCTGCACACCTGGAGGATTCCAGGCATCTTCCCAGGAACAGGTGACCCCTCACACATTTGCTATATCTTCCAGCAGATGGTTAGCTTGTGTCATTATGCCACACTCCTCTCTGATGGACACTTCTTTGCCGTACTCCAATCTGGGACTAGAAAGTCAAGGTGGGAGGAAGGGATAAGGGGAAGCAACTTCAGCCCCTCTTCATCTAAGGTTCTCCCCACACCATCCAAAGCCCCTCCAGTGCTGTCTCTCTCCATCTGTGTTCTCCTTTGTGCAGGAAGCAATAGGGCAGAGCAGATCAGTGCTGCCCAAACAGATAGATATCCAGGGAGTTGTCAGTCCCATCTTCCTGCAGGCACACCCAATCCTCACTGGTGATTCTTTTGGAGCCCCTCTCCTTTGGTTCTAGATGAGGACACAGTCTCCATGAGGGGACAGAAAGAAGGCGTCTCTTTCCATGACATTACAATTTCCCTAAAGGCTGACTTCCCTCCCATGTCTCCAATCTTTCTTTCCACAGATTACTGGTGATGGTGTGTCTGTGGGGATGGGGTTGGAAATGGGGAATAGGTGAGGGAGTAGTGGAGTGGAGGTAGAAGTTGGTCAAGAGCTGACTTCTTCAACAACTGCTCTTCAAATTCCCTGCTAGAAGGTAGCTGGCCCCAGCCACTGGCAGTTTTTTCAGTGTAGAATGTGAGCTCCTTGTGGGCTTTTTATTTTCAAGTTTGGGCTTCAGCAACAGATCCAGGACAATAGGAAGAGATGTATACATGGAATAAACCCCTCTCAATGTCTAGTTACATAAACATACATGTCTTCTTTGCCCTCCTCTTATAGTTTAACAAATGTTGGCATACTATTTAGTTTTCTGCACCTTGCTTTTTTCCCTCCAAGTATTTCCTAGACATTGTTCCATATCAGGACATATACATGGGCCTCATTCTTTTTGATGGCTGCATAGTATTTCACAATATAGATGTACTATAATTTACTATTACAGCTTTCTAGTGATAGACATTTAGTTTGTCTCTAGTTTTTTGTTATTACAAACAGTGCTGCAGTGACTATTCCATGTATACATCTCTTCTTATAGAAACAACTTTTTAAAAAAGTTAAGTAGAAACCCCAATGGATGTTTGGCACCCAATGGACAGTCCCTCTTAATTATGCTGCAACTGGTCACATACACTCTCCTCACTTTGAAAATTCTGGGACTTATTAAAAGAATTGACCATTCCTACTGTTTTTTAATTGCATTCCTTAGCATGTGATAGGCACTCTGCATCCACAAGAGTGTTTCTGTTCAAAGCTGCATCAAAGTGTAATGTCTTTCACATAGGAAAGCAGCAGTTAGGGACCTGCATTTAAGCTGGCTATTGTGAAACAAGAGCAAATAAGGGAGGAAATGGAATAGGGCTTAGTACAGCCCTGAGGTCACATGTTGCCAGATTTAAGTCCCACCCAATTTTCACCTAAACGACTTTAGATCTGTATGACACTCAGTTTTTTCATTCATAAAATGGGGTAAATATAGTACTGACTTCATGCGGATGTGGTAAGGATTAAATGAGAAAATATGCATGATTCTTAGGACAGTTGCTGGTACATAGTAAGTGTTGAATAAACATCAGCTATACATAAAGATCTCCCTTCAGGTGATAATGGCTATAAGGAAACTTACTAGCCAGGTCTAAGTTCATACCTGGGCAATTAATGATCATTGGTTCACAGTTTTCTCCTTTACTTGGCACAGGCAAATTTCTTAGTTTCAAAAATGTTAAAGTGTGACAACAAACTATACTTATTAAAGAATGTGGAAATAGAAGCCTAGACCTCTAGGGTTGCAAAAGGATTTCAATATCACCTTAGATTAGATTATCATGTAATAATCATTTCCATTTCTTATTATATACCAGATATTTTGCATATACTATCCCATTTAATTTTCACAAAGACCTATTTGAGAGAGATATTACTATTTTCATATTGCAGAAAAGACTGACAATCTCAGAAATCAAGTGACATGCACAACTGCATACCATTAGATTATAGAGCAGGAATTCGAACCCAGGTCTCTGAAAATATGAGATGTACAAACTGGCACACACTTTTACAGTGAAATCTCACTTGTTCATGGCAGAACCAGTTCATAAAAGGTCCTGAACGCTAAGAGAAAGATTGATTTAATTTGGGGGTGGGGAACTAAGGCAGGGCCACCTTATCCATTAGGCACAGTACAGTATGCACAGGGCTTAGGGCCTCCAATACTTTTAGGGGCCAACAAAAATGAATATTTATTTATTTTAGAGACAGGGTCTCCCCATGTTGCCCAGGCTGGAGTGCAGTGGCTGTTCACAGGTATGATCCCATTACTGATCAGCACGGGAGTTTTGACCTGCTCCATCTCCGACCTGGGCCGGTTCATCCCTCCTTAGGCAACCTGGGTGGTCCCTCCCTCCTGAACTTAAGTGCAGACACTCTATCTAGTGACACAGTGCACTACAGCCCAGAACTCCTGGGCTCAAGCGATCCTCTCTCCTCAGCCTCCCCAGTAGCTAGGATTACAGGCGCAGACTACCAGCCCTCCTTGCTTACGTTCCTTTTTTTTTTTTTTTTGAGACAGTCTCGCTCTGTTGCCCAGGCTGGAGCGCAGTGGCGCGATCTCGGCTCACTGCAAGCTCCGCCTCCCGGGTTCACGCCGTTCTCTTGCCTCAGCCTCCCGAGTAGCTGGGACTACAGGCGCCCGCCACCACGCCCGGCTAATTTTTTTGTATTTTTAGTAGAGACGGGGTTTCACCGTGTTAGCCAAGATGGTCTCGATCTCCTGACCTCGTGATCCGCCCGTCGTGGCCTCCCAAAGTGCTGGGATTACAGGCGTGAGCCACCGCGCCCGGCCGGCTTACATTCTTTTAAAGTCAGAAGAAAAAAATGAACTTTCAGGTCAGAGAAAATATTTTGTTATATAATATTGATACGTCATGTTTATATCAATGCAGTTGTAAAATATGTTAAATATTTATACATATATTTAACTTACATGTGTGTGAAATATATGTGTGTGTGTAATGTACAAGCCACAAGGCAAAAGTGCTCAGGGTCCAAGAAAGTCAAAACGTGTCCCTGCACCCGAAAAGCACGAAACCTTCTGGGGCAGTGATTATGGCAGAGCAAGTTGGAAGATGGCAGGTGGTAGACAAATTGTGAAAAATATCACATTTCTCTCACCCTGTCAAAGGCAACCCCAAAGTGAAGTCAAAATAGAGATGAAATGCAGGGTCACTTCCTAGCTGCGTGATCTTGGACAAGAGAGTTGACCAACCTGAGCCTCAGTTTCTCCATGGATACAATGGGGATGCGTGCCTCCGACGTTTGTTGGACAGGACCGGTATATACGAAGCATACAGCGGTATATACAGTAAATGCCCCCATAAATACACGTTGAATGAATGCAGTAAATGCATGCTTAGCATGGTGGCCAGTATACGGTAAGCGTCCAATAAGTGGTAAATGTTGGCTTTAAAAATTGTTCAAAAGTCTCCACGAGCGACAACCCTAGTTCTCCAAGACGCAGGCGCACCCCACCAGGTTCCACGCAGACCTGCGCAGTAGCTCCCCCAAGAGGCGAGGACACGCGACTGCGCTTGCGCATACGCGCTTTCCACCTTCCCTCCGGGCGCGAGCGCCCGTGGGGCGGGCCTCAGCGGCGGCGCGACAAGTCCAGAGGTGAGGGCTGAGGAAGGGGCGTGGCTAGCGGGCTGGCCTCAGCCACCCTCTTCCGGGCTCCGCCAGCTGCGCGCGCATCTTCTCCCCCTTCTTTTGTGGTCCGGCCCATTGCGAGGGTGACAGGAAACCCTGTGCAGGGAGCGCCGCCATCTTGGACCAGCCCGAGGAAGATACTGAGGGAGCACAGGAGCAGTCACCGCTGCCACTGCTACTGCCGCTACTGCTGCCGGCGCGTCTGCACCTCTCGGCCTGCCAGTGTACCTGCCGGCGCCTCGGTCGACCGCCCCCGCCCCCTCTCCCGCTGCGTCCGCACTCCTGTTCCTGGTCCTGACGCCCCCCTCCCGCCCGGAAAGCTGCCCAGCCACCAGCAACCCCCCAGGTAACCCGGGCCTTCCGTAGTGTCCGGCCGGCTGATACCTCCTCGCGCCGGGTTCTTCAGAGGGGCGTGTGTGGGGACGGTGGAGACTGGGCCGCAGGCGGGCGGCGCCCCGGGGCCAGGCCCCGTCAGGCCGTGGCTAGCCCGTGGGTCGGCGGTGAGCGCCGCGGCGCCGGCCTGACAGGACTCCTGGGCGGGGGCGGAGGTGTCCCCTGCGCGGCTCCGGCCTGAGCCTCCTGCCCTCCCCAACCGGCGGGGCGCTCCGAGGCGTGCAGGGAAGGGTGTGTTCCGGCCTCGCCTTCCCCGCCTTCTCGGCGCGGCTGGGCAGGACCGCATCTCCCGCGGGCCCCCCTCTCGCCGCTGTTCCCCGCGGCCGCAGCCCGCCCCCGCAGGGTGTACCCACGCGTGCCGCGCCGCCCTGCAGCCCGCAAGCCCCAGACGTGGCGGTCCCGTCCCGTAGGCCGCGTCTGGCTCTGAGTACAAAGGCAGCTCTTCGCAGCCCTCTTGGCGTCTCGGGGCAGCTCCGGTGTCCTTGTCGATGTGGGGAGCCCGGCCCTGCAGCCGGGCCGGGCCGGGGCCGGGGTCTGGGTCTGTGCGCCTGTGCTTGCGATGTCCTGGTTTTGGTGCGTTCCTGTGAGGCCCGTGGACAGCCTCTACGGCCCTGAACCTACAGAGCATCTAGAAATAAGAGAAAGTTGTGGCATTTCTAGAATCTAAGAGAAGACGACAGAGCTGGAGTGTTTTAAGCGTTTTAACTGTGGGCCAGGTACATATTTATGTATTTTTGTACCTATTTATCTTGCCCCGCGTAGCCCTCGGAGATAAGTTGTCTCCACTTCATAAGTGAGGAAACTGAGGCCTAAAGTTGTGATGTGTGTCTGGCTGTTGATGGTACATTACAAACTGGCTTCGGCTCACACTGTGGCTGGTGGTTTCTGTACTACATTCAAAAATTAGGCTAGGGTTACAGACATGACCATTTATAATGTAGTTACAACTTTATTCCTTTTTTACTGTGTTCGCATTGGATGACAGCTGATTACCCTTTTATGACCTAAAGTCCATAAAGTCAACCACTACACTGGCAAATCCTCATGCTTACAAACCCCAAAGGAGAGATGCCAGGATTTCAGTTTCATATATGAAGAAGAAACGGGTTCCAAGAGGACAGGTGCCTTCCTGGTGACCCCACAGCAAGTGTCAGAGCCCAGATTTGAACTCTTGCAAAGTTTACTGCTCATTTCGTTACTATCCCAACTGCCTTTAAAAAATTCTTTTATTTTTCTAAGGTAAATATTGTAGAGGAACAACTGCCTTTTATTTAGATTTGATTGTTGAAGACAAACTTGACCTTGCAGTAATCCAGCTCCTACCCCTTTATTCCCCCAAGCCTTTCCAAATTTTTTCTTCCAAGTTCTGTTTAGGCAGTTTTATTTGATCATGCCTAGAGGTATGTCGTGGTTAAGAGTTTTGGAGTCATACTGTCAAGGGTTCTCCCTCCAGTACTGCCACTTCCTAGTTAAGTGATCTTAAGCAAGTTACTTAACCTTTCGGACTCAGTGTCCTTATCTATAAAGGGGATAATTGGACCTGCATCTTAGAGTTGTTGCTAGGATTAAATGGGGTTTAAAGAAAGCCCTTAGCACATTGCTTGGCATATAGTAAATCAGTGCCTGTAACAGTGCCAGGCACATAGTGGGTGTTTAATATCTTTTGAATGAATGAGAGAGGAGTATAGCTTTGGAGAGCTACATGTAGAGTTAAACCTGGGCCTTAATTCTAGCTCTCCATTTAGTAGTAGTATGACCACGGGTAGATCACTTCGGTTTCCTTATCTGAAAAATGAGTTTTTAGGATTAGAGACTGTTTATAAAGTAGCTGGCATGTGTTAGGCCCTCAATAAATGGCAGTTATTGTAAAGACGTAAAACCTTAGATTATAATAGCTATTAAAAAATCCCTTGAAATTAAAGCTACATCTTAAAAAGTTGTTGCTTTTTTTGTATTACAGTTAAACTTTATCATTGTTGCATACTTCAACTTTGCAACAGAATTTGGAGTGTTCATTTTTATCAATATCAAATATCTTTGCATAGTCACAGTAAGATATTGTGCTAGTGGAGGAAACTTGATTAAGGTAAATAAAATGTGAAAACTTGGGCTATTGAGAGATGTTTCATGTTTTTTAAAAGAGGCTTGAAACATTTTTATGTGGTAAAAAATGCCAGGCATGGCTAAAGACAACAGTTTGACAAATAGAAGTATTAGAGGTACTGTACTTGACTTTTAAAAAGCTTCTTATTCTAGACAATTTTAAATATATACAAAATCAGGTAGCATACTGAGCATTCATATACCTATCAGCCAGTGTCAACAGTGATCAGTCTTGCTTCATCAATATACACTTGCCTCCTCCTTGCCAAATTATTTTGAAGCAAATCTCAGACACAATATCGGTAGTAAAATTTTCACTATTAATCCTTTTAACTTGAGCAGTAAGTGCAGGGGTTTTTTTTGGCTTTTTGGTTGTTAAGTGCTTTCTTTCTGTAAACAGAGGTCCAGTATTAGAATACTTTATTTCCTGTATATAGAAGACCATCAAAGTTACTTTTGCCACATTAAGCAATCCAGCTTTTAAAAATGATTCACATTATTTATATAAAAGTGACATTAAGTATATTGTCAAAAGTAAGGTTTTTTTTTTAAGTGGGTGGGCTACTTGTACTACTGTTGAGGAAATTGACCACTCATTTTTATTAGATTAGATTATTAGATTAACTACAGAAGTTTTATCCGCCTGACTGACAAATCAGGTAGTAGTGGTCCATTTTAGTGGGCCTCTAAAGCAAGTCAGCATGCTTCTGTTGTTGAGTTCCACGAAGGCAGAGACAGTGTTGTCTTTTTTGATCATTGCTGTCTTGCTAAAGCCTGGCACAATGCTTTGTGCTTAGTAGATACTTAACAGATATGTTTATGTTGGAACTACAGAAGCAGTCCATCTCAGCTCTGGTATTTTTAACAAAACGTCGTGCATGTTAAAAAACAAACAAAAAACTTATCAGTGGAAATAACAAGGATAAGAATTAAATTACCTGGAATATTTAATGGGTTGCTTTTCCCTTGTTATGTCTTGGATCAGCTATGTAAAAATTATACAGTAACATCATAGGTTCTAAGGAGTAGAATAGCTGTATAACAGTTTTTAAAATCAGAGCAAACAGTAAGTAGTTAAGCTATTAAAAAACTCCCAAAAATATGCCCTCTACTATTGAGTGTTGGTTTTTCTATTTTGAACCCAATCGTATTATTGGCTTCATAAGATATTCCTCTTATTATCAGTAAATGCGGAAATAATGTTGGGAATATTATGAGTGGGAGATTTGTTTGTTTTTGTTTGGGTATTCTTTAACCTGTATTAAAATAGAAAAGGGCTTTTGAAATATTTATCGGTAGAGAAAATTTTATTTTTAATTCATTATAGTAAGTCAGTGCAGGGATATATAAAGAAAAGTTAATAATTTCTCTATTCCCTGTTTCTCCTGTCCATGTATTTTTCACAATTTGGTGTGTATTCCATATTATATGAATATAGGGTTGAGTGTGTGTGTGTGTGTGTGTGTGTTTGAAAGTGGGGTATGCTGTTGCATAAAACTCTGCAACATGTGTTTTTTCACTTAACAAAATCATGGATGTATTTCCAGGTTAATGCATATCAATCAAAATGGTTTCTAAACTACATGGATATTATTTTGTATTATAGATGTACTTTATTCAGTCATTTCTTTGCTGATTATTTCCAGTTTTTTGCTGTAAAAATGGTGCATTAAATGCACTAATACCTGTAGCCTTATGGGCTGAAGCTTTTGTATATGTAGGATACTTTCTGGGCCAAAGGATGATTTGGATTATTGTTAAGATTTTTAAACATACTGATTACTTTCCAAAATGTTGGCACATTTCCACAAGCAGTATGTATGAAAGTGTATACCTTCACATCTGTACCTACATGTTTCAAAACTAGTCGTTTATATGTCTGTGTAATCTTAGAAAGGTGTCTGATTCAGTAAATAGAAACCATGCATTCTATTTTTGTCACAACAATAATTAGTGTTTAATATTTGTTCAGTAACCACTTAGATCTAAATGTACTGACATGAAAATGTGTCTATCATTTTGTTGAGTAAAAGAAATATGCAGAATTTTACAAGATGGCGTACCCCATTTTAAAATACATTTTTCACCTTAACAGTGGTGAAAATGGTGGTGAAAAATGGTATATTTTCACAGTGGTGAAATGGTATGTTTCCCCAGTGGTGAAAACTGGTATGTTTCATGTTCAGGAGATGAGGTTGAGAAATCCTTTATTAAAGCAATATTAAGCATATTAATATTTTTAAGGAGTCAGTTGAATACATGGCACAGTTGTTAGTGTTTACTATGCATTTAGTAAATATTTCTCTTGGCAGCAAGGGTAGTTTATAGCTAAATTTTACATGCACTAATATCCTTCCTCTTTCTCTGATTTTTATTTTATCAGTCTACCTGTACATACCTGAAATAAGCTAATAATACCTTAGAGAAAATCATGGTCTTTGGAATCAGGCCTGGGTTCAAGTTCTAGGTCTACCATTTACAAACTTTATAACATTGGCCAAATGAGTGAATTTCTCCAAACCTCAGTTTCTTTAATTTTTTGCATGGACATAATGATAATGACTCTGCAGAGTTGTGAGAATTAAGTAAGAATTATAAAAAGTAGTATAGATCATTACATGGTTTACTCTCAAGTGTTCTCAAGAAACTTTTTCTAAGTAAATGAATTATAGTATTATAAGTTAGTATTACTAGTATTACCAGTCATTTATATCTATAAATTCTGACTGCAGTGCATCCTCTGAATGTAATTCATGTATCTTATTCAGAATATTAAATTATAATTAAGCGAGTGAATACTGCAGAGCTACATGGTACAGCTGATAACCATGTGGAGGAGGCACGACGGTGGAGAGGGCAGGATGGTGTGGTGGTTAAGAGGGGATCTCTGTAGTTAAAACAGTCCTAGGTTCAGTACAGACTTGGCTGTGTGACCTGGGCATGTTACCTCTTGAGTCTGTGTCCTCATCTGTAAAATGAGGATAATAATTAACTATGTTATAGGATAGTAGTAAGGATTAAATGAAATTGTATGTAAAATATTTAGCACATTGCCCGGCATATGTCAAGTACCCAATAAATAGTAACTCACAATTGTATTTCTTATTAGTTTGCAAATTGTTGATTATGTGTTAAATGCCTGTTGTCTAAATATGTGGTACTTTTTTTCCTTTAAAGGCAATAAAGATCTTTTACTTACATATGAACTTGATTCGAATACTTTCTGTAAAATGTGGAATAAAGTGAATTTTAATTGTCCCGGTAGTTGTATACAAGTTATAGAATATTACCAGGATTTTTTTTTTCATTTATGGGGATTGTAATGTTAAGTGGGCTCATGTTTTCAGAGTTTGAACCAGACCAGCATTTCCTGTCCTTTTTTTTAGACTCAAGAGTTCTCTAAGTAAAGCAAAAGTACTGTTAAATAATAGGGGAAGAATTTTTTCCCTTCCAAAGTTAGGTAAAAATATATTCCTCACCTTAACAATAGTATGTTTCATGTTCAAGAAATGAGACTGAGAAATCTTTTGTTAAAGCAACATTAAGCCTATTTAGTATTGAATATAATTCTACTGCAAATACTTTTGACTGAAATGTATTAATATCAGTCAACTATGGGAATATATTTAAATCTAGACAGTATCTTCTTAGAATAAGAAAGGGAAGACCTGTTGTGAGTGTTGGTGGCTACAGTGTTAAATGTTTTCTGCCTTTGTTTACTGAAATTAGTAAGTTTGAGTAGTTTTCCTTTAATTCTGCTTTTATGGTTTTTATTTGTAATTTTTAAAGAAACGAGCAAGAAAAATGTGTGGTGTGGTGAGACAGAGCCCTGGTATTAAATCCGAAATAGTGATCATTTCTTTTATTTGGAAATAGTTTCTACTATATGAATGTTTGTAATTTTAAGATACATTTTCAAAATTAGTTATCTCACATTTAATGAATGTATGATAATTAGCAGGTACACAAATTAGTACAACTAAAATTGGGTCACAATTTTATGATAGTCTTTAAAGCATTTGAAGTAGAAATTTGGGATTGTTAGAAGTCATAGCTTTAACATAAAATAGAAGGAGCAAAGTATGTACAGCTACAACCTTTAGTTAGAAGAGGGAAAGAAATTAGGAAAATCAAGGGAGAAGAGCACAGAAGAGACAGTAATTTGAAGGTGACTAAGTGATTACTTTTACCCAGGTTTGAATGGGGAAAGAATTTAGAAGAATTAAAAATTGATTAGAAGAGTCGGAAGAATTCAAGTTAAGAAGTTAATAATCTTTAAATATTTTTAATGTAAGAGATTACTTTTCCCCCTTGTGTTTGGCATCTGGTTCAGAGATCAGGTAAATAATCCAGACCAGTTTTAGTCTCAGGACCAAGTTCATTCTTAAAAGTTTTGAGTTCCTAGTGCCTGGAAAAGGGAATAAAGTTGTTGTGATGTTCAGAATCAGTTAATCTAACTAGAAAAACTCCCTTTCCTGAAAGAACTGGTTAAGGGAGTTTTCTGTGATGCAGGAGACTGATTATAAATGTGTTAGAACATGCCAAACTGGAATGGGTAACAAGGCTTCTACTTTCACTAAATGTAATACAGATAGCTAAGTGAGAAGACTGTAGTGTGTGGAAGTGATTAATACTTTACTGTAATTAACAACTTCCTCTTCCCTTATAATAATACACTTGTTTTAAATATATATTCTTTCTACGGGTTCAATGTTGTTATATAGAACTTTTGCTTGAAATATGGTATATAGTAAGGTGATAATTTCAGTAAATAAATTTCTCCAGTCATATTAAATGTCTGGCTTGTGTAATGTGACATTGACAGAAACACTAAAAGCCAGGCTTAAAAATACTGTAAGTCAGATTTTTTTAAATGGGTGAAATCTTTATATGTATAAATAATTTTTGTCTTAAGCTGAAAGCTGGTTTGAGAATAAACTTTATTGAAAGTTATTACCAGTTTTACAGTTCAGCCCCTTGTTTCTCTCTAGGACCTAGCACGTGTCTTACACATTCAGATAATTCATTTGAATAAATTGGAAAGTTTTTTGTTTTCTTTTTAAGTAGAAGAGAAATTAGAATTCTTTAGGTTAAGTCTATTTGAGGGTAAGAAATGGGCTGTGATCTTTTGAAATATCTTCTAATACACAAGCTTTCAAATTTTGCAACCATAAGTACAATTTTATGACATTATTTCTTTCAGTCCCTAGAATAGTGTATGGGAAGCACTTACTATGTTGTTAATCTGGCTGGGCACAGTGGCTCATGCCTGTAATCCTAGCACTTTGGGAGACTGAGATGGGAGGGACGCTTAAGGCCAGGAGTTCAAGACCCAAGACCAGCCTGGTCTTCAAAAAATGTGTGTGTGTGTGTGTGTGTGTGTGTGTGTGTGTGAGTGATAATCTGCAAGTCCTGTATTAGGTTGAGCTATATGAAAATGCCAATAAACTTTGACTTGAAAAATCTATAGGAAGAACAGTTTCATGTGATTCAGTCTAGTTCCAACATTGATTTGGAAATCATACGATTGCTCTTTGCGCTGCTAACTGTTGATTTAAAGTAGAGTAAAAACGTTGTTTTGTGTTTATAAATTAAGTGGTTCCTTTATATACCATTCTGTTTAATATCAGAGTTCTGAACAAGTAGATCATTAGTAACTTACTTGATCAGTTAACAGGGAAGGGGACTTTAAGGGGAGAAGAGACTATAGTGATGTTTAACTTAAATTTATAAAGATTTTTTTGTTTGACAATTTTCAGATTAATACTTATTGGATTTTTTTTAAATTATACTTTTAAGTTCTAGTGGATATTAAGTGAAATATTGGAGTTGTGGTATAAATGGTTTCTTATATTTCTGTGGATAGCACATGAGAATGTGTAAGCATCATTCATCCAAGAGAATTTGTGTATTTGATCAGTTTGTGAAATGCAGTTTTATTTTGACTTACTGTAACCAACATTTGTTTGTATTCAGTGTCCTTTTCTACCTTTAAAGGATATCAGTCATCCGTTTGAATTACTTGTATATGCTTTCCTTCTGAAGTAACAGAGATTTCTTTGTTTTTAGTGCCACCATGGCAACTGCACCATACAACTACTCTTACATCTTTAAATATATTATTATTGGTAAGTTTATTTAACTTACACTCTTGTTCCCAAAAGAAGGTTAACATACAAAATATTTATATGTTAATACTTAAACAGTACCACTTCAGGACTGAGTGATTTTCTTACTGTAAAACTAAAACTCCTTTTATAAGATTTATTTTTGCATTAGCAATGCAGCTTTTGCATTGTGGCCATGGATATTTCTGTGGTACAGTGCTGGTGGGTACCTTGTGAAGTGATGTTCATTGTTCTTGAGGGCTGCTTGAAAGCTTTTTGATGCTAGGAAGTATCAGTGTTTCAAGGAGTGCAGAAACATTCCTAAAATACTGTGAAAGCTCTCAGATTCCCCTGGGTTTCTGTTATAAGGAAAAATTGGTAGAGAATATTGTTTGATTCCAAATCAATTGTGTAATATATATAAAATATAGTATTTTTCTTAATTGGTGTTTTTTTCCTTAAGTTTCAAGAAGGTTTTGCTCAAATTAAGTCTTAATGCTATTTATCCAAACATAAAACTACATTTGAAAGTACACGTTTTTCAATGAATTGTTCACATTAGAACAGTTTGCTTTCATGTTGAACTTAATGTGTCCTTTCTAATGTTTCCTTCATCAAGGGTTAACATTGCTATAGTACAGTCAGAGATGACATCTTTTCTCCTGGGGTTTTCATGTAATGCAAATTCTTTTCTTTCATAGAATAATACAAGAAGTATAAGACAGGGACCTAGTGAATCAAGCTTCCAGAACTCAGTTTGTTATTTCTGCTTGTTACATGCTACCCCATTTGTCAGTTTTTGAAATTTGTTGCTTTTATGCATGAGTTTAAGGAAAAAAACAAAAGAAAACAAAAACATAAAATTTTGAAACAGCTCAAAGTAAAAAAAATTCCATTAAAAAAATAAGCACTTCCCAGCTGGTGGCTATTTATTAACAGTAATAATTTACAGCCAAATTCTGTCACTGCTAAAGATTGGGAATAATATTCCATTTGTGTCTCACAGTGAAAACTTTTGAATCATTATAAAGTAGGAAAATAAAAATTTGTTAAGTGTCCCAGAAACTTGTGATATGTTATATGGTAAGGAATATAGCGATCATTGCATAAAATTGAGAAATGTAATTGCCACCTGAAACTTCTTTTTTTTTAAACAGGGGACATGGGAGTAGGAAAATCTTGCTTGCTTCATCAATTTACAGAAAAAAAATGTAAGTTCAATACATGAGGTAAACATTAATAGTTTTCTTTATCGCCATGTTTCTACTTTTTAGAAAGTGTCATTTTCAGTATACTTCATGCATTTAAATATAACCTTTCCCTATATTTGTACTTTTTTTAAATGGGTACAGATAAAATGAAATATGCCAGCATATTTTAGGGTTGATTTTTATACACATTATATAATCTGATTTGCTTGTTTTGATTTCTTGATGTTAAAATAATTTTTAAAAATACATAAAATAATGTCAAACTTAATCTTTTTATTCTCTGACTTTCTGTTACAGGAATTGATTGTCTTATTAGGAGAAATTTGCTGCATGTATCATTTGTTAAATAACAGATTTGAAATACTTAAAATGGAATTCTTTCTACTCTTTCTTGGGTGATAGAAGGGACCAATGTGTTGTAACTGATATGCTAAATATAGTTGAAAGTGTTTCTGTATAGTTGAAATTATTTCTTTGACATTTTTGTGCTGCTTACCACAGAGGTTTGATGTAACATTTTATGAAGTGCCCAGAAGTCTGTGTCCTTGTACTGGAGAATGGTGGGTTTAGGTTTTAAGTGGCCTCATTATAAGGAAAGGACTAATAAATTTGTTAATTGGCTTAGACATATATAACTTGTCATTGTATAATAAGTAGTATATGTTAGCCAGGTGTGGTGGCTCATGCCTGTAATCCCAGTAGTGCTTTGGGAGACTTACGTGGGAGGCTTGCTTGAACCCAGAAGTTCGAGGTTACAGTGAGCTATGCTTGTGCTACTGCACTCCAACATGGGTGACAGAGCAAGACCCTGTCTCTAAAATATATGCATATATATATAAAACATGCTGATTTTCTTTGAGACACTGATATTTTCTGGGATAAGAATCTGTTTGACTAACAACTCCTAGGGTACCAAGACCATTGATTGATCTGTTATAGATAATGATTGTAAGAAGGCTAAATGGTATAATGTTGATATTGTGAAGAATTAATTAAAATCCTTATTTTTACTTAGCAGATTATTTTAGTCGAGGGGTCAGCAAACGGTGGCCAGTGGGGCAAATCCAGTCACTGCCTGTTTTTGTGAATAAAATTTATTGGAATACAACCATGCCTGTTTTACATATTGTCTCTGGCTGCTTTTATGCCTCAGTGGCAGAGTTGAGTAGTTTGTGACAAAGACCTTTTGACCTGCAAAACTTAAAATATTTTCTGCTTGGTCCTTTCTAGAAGTTTGCTGACCCCGATTCTAGTACAGTCACATTTCCCTGACTTCTTACTTCTGGGTGTTTGTTAATTTTTTTTTTAGCGGTAGCTTTAGTCTATTTATAGCCTGTAAGTATTAGTAAGCCATTTGCTTATTTAGTGGATTTTCCCCCTCTAGGCTTAATTTGAAGTTTTCTGAAAATTGGGCTATTACTTTTTTTCCTCCTTAACAGTTATGGCTGATTGTCCTCACACAATTGGTGTTGAATTTGGTACAAGAATAATCGAAGTTAGTGGCCAAAAAATAAAACTGCAGATTTGGGATACGGCAGGACAGGAGCGATTTAGGGCTGTTACACGGAGCTACTACAGAGGAGCTGCGGGAGCTCTTATGGTCTATGATATCACTAGGTAAGAGATAATTTTTCAACCTTCATATGGGGAAAATAAATCTACTTTGGGCATTTAAAAAAAAATTGATAGGCATTTTTTTTAGTTTGTAATTGTATGACTGTGAATGAACTTACTTGTTTTTTATGGTTTCTTAAGTTGCCATGTAAAACTTGATATAACACATTGATATTTTCCAAAAGTTTTTATGACTGAAGAAAAATTTAGGGAGTTAGTTATTGGGTGAAGCTAATAGAAGAATACAGTTCTGAAAAGCAGCTTCAGTTGAATGATTTGAGGAGAAATAATATTTTATATAAAATGTTCTTTTAAGTAGAAAGCAAGCAACTCACTCTTGGGACTTACTCTATTTAGTCTCTAGTGTTAAAGTTTACACCTCTCAAAAGAAGGCCAAGCAAAGAGTTTTGCTAGTCCAGCATGGTAGATTATAAAAAACTTTATGCTTGCATCTGAAGGTGTTTGAGTATTTATTTACTAATTTTTTTTTCTCTTAAAATGGATAGAAATGACTTCAAATACTACATGCAGTAGGTTTAAATTTATTTCAACATGACTGTTTCTGGAATTCCAAAGCACTTGATGTAAAGTAATAAAACTACTGTACATAAAGGTTTGACTTTGGAGAACATGGAAAACTGTGCCACTTGATTAGACCCTGCACTGTTTGTCTACTGTAAGCTAGAAAATGAACTGGATCACCTTTCATGTTGATGTAAAGTGCCAGTCAAAAGCAATGTGACTCTGTTTCTTGGGGGTAAAGATGGGCGAGTGGGACCAAGTGATAATTAGAGTTTAAAGCATATTTCCTTTCGGAAAATGCCTTAAAAGGTTTCCTCTTGATGTGTCATAATGTGCGTTAGCATATTAAGACTCTGGGAAGTTCTGCAGTAAGAAATTCTTTGCTGTATGACTTTATTTAATTTGGTGTTTCCTAAGCTTATTTTATTGAGGAACACACTTTGGGAAATGCTGCCTTAGAATAAAGATATTGACTAATTATAATTATAGTGCCTAAAGTTTTCAGTAAATTCTAGAATTGGGTGGCCTCAAAGGGAAACAAGCCTTAATGCCCTTCATTATAGCCAGGCAATCTGTGATATGATCAAGAGTATTATGGGAAGACTGTTAATAAACCTGGCCGCCTACGCAGAACTGTCTGATTTTATAAGGAATGCATTTCTGAAGACTTCACATAATTAAAAACTCAATAAAATTTAAGTATGGTGATGTGTGCTAAGAATATTGTTTTTGCTTTTAAGCATATCTTTTAAGCATAGTTAATACTTTTGGTAAAATCTGTGTCTATTCAAGTCATCAAAAAAAGTACTTCAGCTGGGAACAACCAGAACATGCATCAACTGATGAATGGATAAACACTGTGATATATCCATACAATGAAATGTTACTCAGCTATAAGGAAGAAGGAAATACTGATACAGGCCACAACATAGATGAAACTTGAAAACATTATGCTAAGTGGAAGAAACCAGACACTAAGAGACACATACTGTATGATTTCATTTATGAAATATCGAGAATTTATATTCTGGTAAATTTATAGAGAAAGAAAGTGGATTGCCAGAGGATGGGAGTGAGTGACTTCTAAGTGAGTTCAGAGTTTCTCTCTGGGGTGATGAAAATGTTCTAGAATTAGATAGTGGTGATCAGTGCACAGGTTTGTAACTATCCTTAAAACAACTAAATTACGTACTTTAAAAGAATAAGCTTTATGATATGTTCATTATATTGTAATAAAAACTGTTACTGGAAAAGAGTACCCGAGGCTTTAGTCAGGCGCTAAAGTGATACTTTATAGTGACTTTGGTGTTGCAGTCATGACAGCAATTTTTTTCTGTTATTCTTTGACATTTTACAAACGTAAAAGTCCCTTTTTATTTTTGTCATTAACTCTCATTGTTACAGGGTGCTTTTCTAAATTGACAGCGTAGCTTGTCGTGACAGTTGTTTTGCCATAACATTTTGACATATCTAGTATTTTAGCACTTTTTTTTTAGTACTAGTACCACCAATTAATATTTGAATAATATTTATTTATAGATTTAAAATTATAATTATAGTGAATATTAAATTAATAACAATTACCAGAATCATTGGCAGAAGTTATAGTACATGTAAGTAATATGGTTTATATGATTTTGGTACTAGGCTTTTCTGTGTACTTCACTCTCTGTGTCAGCTTTGAAATTTTAAAGTTCATCAAAGTCAGTAGAAATGTTCGGACTTGTTTAAGGTTTATGCATGAAGTAGTAAAACATACCTGTTGTATAAAGTCAAGATATGCCAATAATACGAATATCAAACACAGATAAGGCTTGTGCTTTTTAAAAATTGTATTTTATCATTGTTTACTTAGAAAATTCTAAAACATTGGGGGGAAAGGGGCTATTTTGATATATATGACTTTTTTGACATCTAAGTGGTGATTTATGAATAATATGATGTAACACAATAAAAGTCTGACTAAGGAGTTCTTTTCAGTTCTCATTGGGAAAGAACTATATACTTTGAATAACAGATTTTCTATGAGAACTGGCAGCTAGAGATCATGGAATATATTCACAGGACTAAACTAGAAACACTTAAAGGACATGTGGTATTTGTAAAAGAGTTCTAGGCCTGATTTTGACACCAGTTAAGTCTTTATGGGCTTCCGTTTCCTCACATGTTAAACGAGTAAGATAGACTAACATTCTGTGAGTCTATAAATCAGAAACATTTTTAACCTCAAAAATTTTATTATCTTTGACCCCTTTGGTAGATTCTACTGTGTATGATATTACAAATATTTGGGTTTGTTTACTTATCTTAGAGCTTACTTGGCTAGTGCAAATGAGCCTATGAGTTTTTAAACTCTTGCTTGGGCAGTTAGAATTCCAGAATAATTTAGCTGCCTGATAGATAAGAGAACAAAGTTAGGACGAACTTTTTCACTGATATCTGGGGACTTGAATTCTTGTCAAATGTCTTCAAAGTCAATTTTATGCTGTTATAGTTAGCTTGCTCTTTAAATTATTAAGGAAAGGTGAATTGTATGCCAGCTTATAATAGTGTGACTTGGTTTTTAATGAAATTAAAATTTAAAGACAAGCAAAAGTGTCTTCCATTAAATGTGTCATGTTTAGGCATTTTGATACAACTTTGTGCTTTGTGATTGAAAGTCTGTATGATTTCAAAGTAATTTGAGTTTTGACTCCACATTGGCATTTCCATCAATTTACTGTGTTGTTCCTTGCTTGCTTATTGGTCTGTTTACGGTATGCTTTTAGGAGTAAACAATTTACTCCTGACCTGTAATTATCAAAGTTGTTGGATATTGAGTTGTTTATTTAAAAATATTAGGTTTGGCTAGATTTTTGAAAAGTATGCAGTTGTATTTCACAACTACTGTTCTGAGTAACTGGTCAAAGCAAAATTATTATTTTAGGATATGTTGATTAAATATGTATTTTAAATATTTAAGTTTTTTTTCTATAATTATATGGCAGTCACAAATTTAAACTTTTATTTTTGCAGAAGAAGTACATATAACCACTTAAGCAGCTGGTTGACAGATGCAAGGAATCTCACCAATCCAAATACTGTAAGTTAAATGGCATCTTATTACACAGAAAATTTAAGAACTAAGCTAACCCAAAAAGGGAAGCCATTTACTGGTGAGATTTTTGTCTTCAGGTACTAAGAATGAGAGAATTTTTATTGTATTCTTCAATTAGTTGAAGAAAACCTAACAGTTATTTTTCAGTTCTTATTAAACCAGGTTTTGCATTTTATTATACCTAGGTTTTTTGTTCATGTTTGTCATTACTATTATGAATGTAGTGGTGATCTCATGTGAAGACTATGAAATCTGAAATTATGATTTTAAAAGGGATCTGCATTAATTTCATAAAACTTTAGCATTGGAGGATACTGGGCAAAACGTAGAAGAGATCTTTCTGTACTGTTTTTTACAACTGCATGTGAATCTGCGTTACCTCAATAAAAATTTCAACTACAGGAGGAGAATTAAGGATAAAAATTTCAGTCAAAAATAAAAAGGATTCTATATGTGTTAAAACATTAGCTTCTTAACCAGACTGAGATGATATTTATTGAGATTTTAAAGGCTAGCCACCATGCTAGACTCTGCAGTATACAAAGATAAACATGGATCCTTGGTCCCAAAGAGCTTATAGTCTAGCAGGGAGAGAACCAGCAGATATGCAGATAACTGTGCTGCAAAGTAGATTGAAGCACGAATTAGAAATAGAGGGACTGGCACAGTGCTGGAGAGCCTAGGATGATCAGTGCCGTCTGGAGAGAAAGCAGCTTTACAGAGGAGTGGTGTTTGAGCTGGTCCTTGAGGGGTGAGTGAAGTTTCAGTAGATATTGTTGAGGGTATGCCAGGAACAATGTGAGGAAAGACACACTGAGCTGTGACTTGAGTTTCTCAGGAACAAGGCTTGTGTCTCACTTGGCTTTATACCCCCAACATTTGGTAGAGGCCTCCTTCAAGAACTGTGTTATCAGTGGTAAGATGAGCTTTTATCAGGAAATGGTGGTTTAATCATATTGAGAGTCAGTTAACATTGTTTGCCTATCATGCTAGGGACTGTGCCTGAAACTTTCATTTCCATTATCGCATTAAACCCAAGGTTTACATACACACCTATAGATGGGTGTTCATAGCAGCTTTATTTCCAGTAGCCCAGAACTGGAAACCTAGGTGTTTCCCAACCTGGCCATTGACAGGTGAATGGTTAAACAGTTCGGAACATCTCTATAGTGGAGTACTACTAAGCCGTACGTAGGAATGAATTCTTTATATATGCAGCAGTTGAGCTGGTTCTCAAGGGCATCATACCCAGTAAAAAAGCCAATCTCAAAAGTTTACATACTGTATGATTTCATTTAGAAAACATTCTCAAAATGACAAAATTGTAGAGATGGGGAGTAGATTAGTGATTGCCAGGGATTAGCAAAGGGGGTGGAGGGTGGTAGTGGTGTGATGACATAGAGGGCAGCACAGAAGCAGTTTCTTTGTAGTGATAGAACAGTTCTGTATCCTGATAGTGATGATGGAGATCTGCACCTGAGATAAAATTACATAGAACCACCCATGCACGAACGCACATGTGCCTGAGAATGTGTAAAAACTGAAATCTGAATAAGGGCTGCAGATTGTACCAATGTCAGTTTCCTGGTTTTGAGAGTGTATTATAGTTACATAACATCCTACCATTAGGGAAGTTTGGTGAAGGGTACACAGGACCTCACTGTTATTTTTTGTAAGTCTCTGTGACTCTATAGCTATTTCAAGTAAAATATTAAAAACAAAACTCATTGTAGAGGGCCCGTGGAGGAGTATAATAAAATTAACCTTACCGCCCTGTGTCCTTCCTGCCTCATTTATGTGCTTTGAAATAGAACCAGATCAGGAGAAAAAAAATTTCTTGAGTTTTTCTTAAGTGCTCCATTTTCTATAGAATTGCCCTTGATTTCTGTGTAGAAGTTGTGTTCTCTACCATTTTGTTGTGGGCATGTTTTGTATCTCTGTAATTAGCATGCCACTTTATGTCTTCCCTTTCAGGGAGATAAGAAGCCTTATTTGGAGATTCATAGGGAATCAGGAGCAGGGCAGTATTTCTTGTTTTGAGTACCTATCTTGTAATGGCCCTATGCTAGTCATTGTGGCTTTACCAGACTTGATTTTTTATAAATTGATTTCCTTTTTAAGTATCATTATTTTATTCTTTTAAAATACTAATGGATAGTATATGAAAGTTTCTTCCCCTTCACAGTGGGCACTTTGTCCACACTGTTTAAAGAATGCTCACTTTTGTTGTACTACTTAACTGTCCTTGCATGAGGTTTACATTCAGATAAAAATGATTATTTGGTTTATGGACACACATTTTTGAAAGTGGAAGAGCCAGGAGCTGTAATTTTACATGAAAAAAAGTTAATGGCTGAAGTGCCTTTTAGTTGAAACCATCCATTCCTAAAGTGTTCATATCTAGATTACCATATCTGTTTGGAAGGGGGAAAAAGGGAAGGATTTTACCAGTTGGTGTCAAATAAGCTCATAAATGTACAAAGACAGTTTATCCATAACCCCCCTCCCCACCCCAGGTAAAGGCCAAAGCCCTTTGCTGTTTCCCAAGGGTACATATTTTTTTCTTACAACTTTGCAGAGCTGCCTTTAACTTTGGCCTAACTTCACTTGTATGAATGGTTCCAAGGTGGATATAGGTTGGTGGGTGATATTTTGCCTTGGATTTGAACTTACTGCATACGTGCCCCCAAACCCCTACTCCCAGCTGCCCCTTGTGTATACACATAGACATCTCTTATCAGTTACTGTTAACTATAAACTCAATCCTTTCTAGGGATAGTGTGGGGTAGGATAGTATTTGTCTCAAGATCTCAGTTTGGGTTTCTACCTGAGATCTAATGTCCTCCTACCACTGACTCACTGAGTGACCTTCAGCAAGTCCTTTTGCCTTATTTGAGCTTCAGTTTCCTTACTGATAGCCTAAAGGAGTTGAACCTAGTGGCTTTCAAACTTTTTGAGGATCTCAGAACTGTTTGAAAACCTGATGGAAGCCATGAATCTTCTCCTCTAGGGAATGCCCACAATTACAGTATTTACAGTATTTCAAGGTATTTACAGATCCCCTGGAGCTTGTCCATGAACCCTTAGTAATCTTACTCAGCTATATCGTAATCTTTGGACTAGACCAGGTGTCACCAAAGTATGTATGGCCTGTGGGCCACATTCAGCCCACAGCCTGTTTTTGACTGGCTTGTGAACTAAGGATGATTTTTAAATTTTTAAAGGGTTGTTAAAAACAACAACAAAAAAACCCAGCAACGAACATGTAACAGAGACCATATGAGGCCCACAAACCTGAAGAATATAGTATTTATTCTTTACAGAAAGTTTGTCAACCCCTGACCTAGATCATTGCTAAGGTCCTTTGTAGTAATGACTTCATGAATCTGTAGCCCTGTCTAGTGGATAATTGCTAGTACTTGGTTTTCTTTTTAGGCCCAGTCATTTTTTCTATCAAGATTTTTGGATTTCAGAATTTGCATGGTTGGTTTAAATTACTGCTTTTGTTACAAGGTGTCTTTCTTTTGATCACAAATTAGGTAATAATTCTCATAGGAAATAAAGCAGATTTGGAGGCACAGAGAGATGTTACATATGAAGAAGCCAAACAGTTTGCTGAAGAAAATGGTGAGTTTCTTTAAGACTTAATGGTCACAATTGGGAGAATTTTTAAGGAAAGGTGGGCTTGACAGTTTTGTTGGTTTTTTTTTGCATTTTTTTTTTAAATGCAGACTCAGAAATCTCAAGAATGAGGAAGTAACAATGTGTTTCTATTTCTGTGTGATTTATGTTGGAGCAGTACAGTTATTTAGTGACAAATATAAAGATGCTCTCCACCTCAAACTTACATACTTTTTCATAAAATACTATGGGAGGAGTACTAAAAACTGATGGGAAACTTTTTCAGATGTTACTAAAGAAGTGCACTTGTGAGTTAGTTTGAAGTGTCCTAATTATAGTCTGAATTTTATTTTTAGGCTTATTGTTCCTCGAAGCGAGTGCAAAAACGTAAGTGTGACCAAAATACAGATATTTCAATTATATTCAAGTTTCTCAAAGTAGAACCGTATATATGAAAAGTATATAATGTATATACACATATAAAGTACTATCTATAAATGTGTAATGCTTACTGCAGGAAGAACAGCAAACATCTCTTTGCTTCCTTTTTTACATTTCAAAATAATATGAATTTTTGTTACTTAAAAGATTGTACCTTGATTATGCCTGTTGGTAACCCAGGTTAATAAATGAAACTTTGTTTACATTTCAAAAGTGTTTGACTTTTCCCAAATGACAGTGTTTGACTTTTCACAAGTGAGGTTGAGTTTGGCATCTCAGACAAGCTTGGTCAATCTGTTCTTCCTGTAATACTTCTGATCACATTAAAAAGCATGATTTAAGGGAATAGTGTCTACTCAGAAGCATAGTGAACATTTTCTAATTGTTCTTCCATGTCTGCTATTGAACTGTGGTACACCCATCATTGTTCTTCATTTATTAGGCCAAAAATTTCTTGTGGTGAGGAGAGGCTAACCTGTTTTCGTTTAGTCTCAGCTGTGCTATTAGTCCAAAGAAAACTGAATGGAGGTGTTAACGTGGCTAAGCATGATTATGTCACCATTACCCGATTAAAAACAGCTCAGTTCATGCTTGGCTGAGCAGACCATATTATTCTTGGAATTTTTTTCAGCATGTTCAGAGAGATTTCATTTCTGTTTGGAGTATCCTCTCTGTTATCACAGAAATGACCTATCTGAATTGTCATGGTGTGTATTAACATACAGTATTTTAATGATTGCATATAACACATGTAGTTGTCCAAATAGGGTTTGTAGAAAGGGCTTTCAGTACACGTATGTATGTATGCTTTCCATAGAAAGTAGTTTTCCGGCCGGGTGTGGTGGCTCATACCTGTAATCCCAGCACTTTGGGAAGCCAAGGCAGGCGGATCACGAGGTCAGGAGATCGAGACCACCCTGGCCAACATGGTGAAACCCTGTCTTTACTAAAAATACAAAAATTAGCTGGGCGTGGTGGTGTGCTCCTGTAGTCCCAGCTACTCGGGAGGCTGAAGCAGGAGAATCGCTTGAACTTGGGAGGTGGAGGTTGCAGTGAGCTGAGATCGGGCCACTGCACTCCAGCCTGGTGACAGAGTGAGTCTCTGTCTCAAAAAAAAAAAAAAAAAAAAAAGGAAAATAGTTTTCCATGTTCTCTTAGCTCAGTGTTCTGGTAATCTCTTATTAGATGACAGTGGTTAAGTTGGAGACATCATGGCAGTTAACTAAAGATTAGCAAAAGGTCAGTGTCTTGTCTTTTGTAGAAAACTGTGGTTCTCCAATAAAGTTATCAATTGCCTCTTAGGGGAGAGAATGTAGAAGATGCCTTCCTTGAGGCTGCCAAGAAAATCTATCAGAACATTCAGGATGGAAGCTTGGATCTGAATGCTGCTGAGTCTGGTGTACAACACAAACCTTCAGCCCCGCAGGGAGGCCGGCTAACCAGTGAACCCCAACCCCAGAGAGAAGGCTGTGGCTGCTAGTGACCTCTTTGCTGTGGCCCCTCATTTGACCTTTCACCTCTGTCTGTTGGAAGCAGTACTTTTTACTGCCTCATTGTCTTCTGTACATCTTACTGGGTTTAATTAAAAAAAAAGAAAAAACTCTGTTGTAAAAACAGTTTAACACAATACTAAACTGCTAAACAACTAGATGTAATCAGGTTATCAAAGGCAAGTAGAGTAATAAATCTCTCCTGCATGGTAAATCTAGACTTTTTTTCCCCCTTGTCCTCGTGATAAGTATGTCACCAATATATGATTTAAACCGAGCACTGATGCTGGACTTCATGATTTTTACCCTCCCTTTGGCAAGGCTTTGTCTCACTGTACGGTTTAATTTGGTGATATCTTAAGCCTTTCTTCCCATCCTTAACTGTTCAAGTATGTCTGTTGTAACCAATAAGTTTATTGCTGTGAAATTACTTCTGATGGTAGAGAAGGGGTTCTATAACTGCTTTTGTTTTGTTTTGGATAAATTTCCTGTTGTGTGGGTGGCATTTTTCTTAACGAGATTTGCTTCTGTCTTAGCCTCACACAGGGAAAATATCCATTTATCTTCTCTCTCGTGCTTAATTAATAGCTTTATCTTTTTTTATACCATTTTATCCTTTTCTCTTTAACAGAAAGTAAATATGTATAAAATTTGAAGGAATCGAACTAACAATACATTCTGTGTATATTATTTTAATGAAGAAAATAAATTGATTACTGGCATTGGAACAGTATAAAATACCAGTTTGTACAGTATGACCTATATGTGACCATGTTACTCCCTTCCATTTCACACAAAGAAATAGACACAACTGCAGTTCACAAGTAGTACTGGCTCCACCCCTTGGTGCTGGCAGTGTTTGGGGACATTATGCTGGAAAGAGCTCCTAGCATCAGAGGATTAACACTAGCAGATTCTGTTCCATCTTTGCACTGTTGCTTACCTGCTGATTTTCTTAACTGTTCTTGTGCAATCGACAATGTGCTAACCTGCTTTTCTCTTTTTGTAAACGTTTTTGCATTACAGGCTGCATTCTTGCCTTACTGTATAGAAAAAGAAAAAAGGCTGGGTTTACTATTGCACATTTTAAGCTTTTATACCTTTATCTTCTTGGAATGGTCAGATTCTGAACTGGACAGTCAGAACCACAGGTCTGCTGTTAAGGGATTTTAAATTGTGCATTTTTAACCCTACAGTGAAATAACTTAAGATATCCCTGTGTTCACAGTGTGAGGGGCTGTTTTATGTCATGTTGGCATAAATTGTTTTGTAAAAGGGAAAGTGTTTCTAAAGGTGTTTCAGCGCTTGTGCTGATACAAAGTAAGTTATTACTTTGCACCAGGTGGTTTGGCCACTGAATTAATACTGTATAGCAAGAGAAACAATCTTATTTTTTTGGACAACATGTTTTATTAAGTTCTTCATTTCTGTTGATTTTTTTTATTGCATTTATGATTCAGTGGCTGGGAATTGAGAATTTATTTGAAATAGAATAGGTAACACCTCAGCGTACTATAGAAAATGCACTCAGCTCAACTGCTGTGTTTAAAATACACATTTTAAATCCCTCTTTACAGACACTAACATAAAAGTACATCTTTCTGGGTTGTAAACATGTGGTAGTACCAGAGTATTGTATAGTCAATGTTAAATAAAAGCCAAAACTGGAATGTGCAGAAAGTAGGCTTTGGTTAATTTGTGGATTCATTTTTATTTTTGTCTTTGTTTAACTTTTTAAAAAATAAGATTTCTGGAGTAGATTGGTATATTCTGTTAAAGACTTACAGTGATCCATTTTGCTTACACTGTTGCATCACAAGGGACTCACCCAGGGACCATGACCTGCTGGTGTGTGTGTATATTTACAAAAACAAAACAAACAAACCACCCATTGGGATATAAGGTAGCAATCACAAACTAAAGACTGCGGCTTGTTGAGGTGCAATACCCTGACTCCCAAAGTTAGTTACAGTGGGTTTTATTGTTTTTGTGACTGAAGGATTTATTCAGACTGCTGTACTCTTCATTTGATGTAACAAAATGCTATTAATCTAAATATTTGTAAATAAAGTACCTGTATCTAGATTAAATTAAAATTGGTTGCATTATTTTCTGAACTATAATAGGGTTTTTCTTCAGGTGAACAATTTGACGTGTCATCAGTTTTTATTGCAGCACTGTCCATATTCATTGTATAAAGAGAGGTCTACGTATGTAGCATATAAAACCACATCACTAAGTAATAGACCCACAGCTTTATTCTTGTGTTTACATTACCCTTGAAATGTTTTCAGTCAACCCTTTTCAGTGTAAGATCAGCACATTTGGTGGCTGATGCTGTTCTCCTTTGACTGTACCGGGAGCCAGATTCTATCATATGCATGTGTAATCCCCTGTAATACACTCAGGTGCTCACAAATAGAGCAGATTGTCATATTGTAACATGCGTGTGCCAGACACCGGGCAGTACACTTTGGAAAGAATGTGAAATCCTTTTAATTTTTAATCCATAGCTTACTGCTTGTGCAGTCACCTGCCTCTTGAGGTTGCTCATTGCCCTTGGACCTGTGAGGAGGCCTTCAGATTAGTAATTGGTGCTTAGTACTATTTATGCTTAAATAGATCTTCCAGTACAATGTTGAAGTCTTTTTTATGGATAATAACGTGTTTGATGGAGTAACTTATTATTTTTTTTTGGTTGGTGGTTTACACGTTAATAGAGGTAGTACAATTTCTTTGGAAAGGTGTCTTTTGAAGCCAGCTGTTAAGCTTCATACATTACCTCCCTTCTCAAATTCGGTAAGACAGTAGTTTTGGGGAACTTTTTTGCCCATGTGTCTTTTAAGTGTGATTTTAAAAAAATGAGTGGTTCAGTTCATTCCCCTAAACAGAAGAAAAGACCAAATAATTACCTTCCATTCCTCTTCATGTGGGAATATAGAGAGGGTTCATGTGGCATTTTAGAGAAAAGATAATTTATCCTCATTCAACACAGGCCCAGAAAATTGTGTCCCAGAAGGATGTCAGTAATTGTGACTAGGCCAGGCCTTTTAGCATTTTGCTAAGACTTGAAACAAAAAATGTAAATACAAAAGAAATCAAGTTTTGTTTTGAAAGATGCCTTCTAGAACTTACTGTGTATTAATAAATTGTCACTTTCATTGTCTTTATTGTAACTCCATTGATCCCGTATCTTAACGGTTCACGTCTAGCCAAATAACTGTTTTGGAATAAAAACCTTGGTGGTGAGGGATGACTGCACTGTGCTGCTCTGTATTATTAGTAACAGGGTAACATACCTGTTGTGACTCAAAAGCTGTCTAGTAGTGATCTAGAAAAGAGTTCCCGAGAATATTTTAAAACTTCTTATTACATATTTCCCCCTTGGGAATAATTATGCCAGACTGTGAGAGCAGTTGCTATTCTAGTTTTTAAAGAAATGTATACATCATGGAGTTGAGCTGTTAATTATGGTAGTTCAAAATCTGAAAGGCAACACAATTTGAATTTATCACTGGGTCACATTCTCCAAGGTACAAAGTTTTCCTGATTTTCCACCAAAGAATATGTTGGCTAAGGAAAGGCATCTGAAGCATAATAGTTTTATAATTGATGTATTTCCAAATGATGAAATCTTCATTGATAAGTATAATGTACTTCAGCCTCCAGGTAAAAGAAAACCACCTGAAAGATTACTTACTTGGAATAAGGTAAAAATTTGACGGCTTTTCCATAGAATGACCTGTGAAGTGTAAAGTCAGAGGACAGACCCAAGTTGATTGTTATCTTTTATTTTCATATGAAAAATAGATTTTAAGCAAAATTCAAAAATAACTCGACACTATAAATAAAGAGGGCCTTAAGTACATTCTTTTTGTTAATAAGATTTACCAGTTTGTAGGTTCAAATATGCAGTTAAAATCACTGTTTTTTTTTAAACATGTTACGAAGATTAAAAAAAAAAAGGCTCAGCCACATGTTGGTTTAAATTCCCATATGCAACTATTCCCATATGTACTATGTACAAGTGATTTATAAAAACATTGGCATTAATGGTACAGGCAAAGTAAACTACAGTGGAGTTTCAGAATCTCAGTTCACTGCATCTTGATTAAAAAAACCATGTGACATTCCAATTATGAAGTCAGTGAGGTAGTGGAGGTGTTTTCCTTGAATATATTTACACAAGACAGTATTCCTCATCTGGCTGAGGCATTCTTTTCCTACAGTAAGACAAAAGGAAGGATAAATCAAATTCTTGAAACAGTAAAAACAGTCTTAACTAAGTGATGGCATGATGGCTTATAGGTAAATGACATATTTGAGTACCTCTTTGGAAAAATGTTTTAAGATGAACCAGTGTACAAAATTCTGAGAGAAAAAATTAAACGGTTATTCTTAAAACTGCTAAAATTCAAGATCCTCCAATTAAAAGTTCTAGTTTAAAAAAAAATCTGTAACATCTATCCTGTGAGCAGGGATGGCATCAGTGTCAGTAACTGTCTAGTGGTTCTGATGGACCTTGCAGAACTTGCTGGAAGGAGCTCTCAGCCTTTTGACTAAGATCAAGTGTAGTATCTGTTCTTACCAGAAAAAAAGGGAAATAAAATGTTACGCTCAGAAGCCAGCCCCCTAACTTTTAACTAGTTCAGGCTTTTATCCCATATAGGCCTGGATTACAACCCCAGACTTCTAAATAATTCTACCAATCTCGCCCCTACCCACTGTGCGTTGGTTGCCTTTAAAGCAACTAAATAACTCTGGCTGCCACCTTGAGCTGGTAATTGAAGCTGGCTTTTAAGCCCTTGTGCACTCTACTCTTCTCTCACTACTCTGGGCTGTCTCATCCCCAAAGCTTCCCTATTCAATGCCCAGTGCCTCTCACACTCCTCCTCGAACCCTGCCCTAAGGCCCATGATGATTTTGGCCTTTACCTGACTGGGTCCACCACAGATGGTGTTAAGATAATCATATTCAGATGGCCCTGCTGCTAATGGCCCTGCTGCTAATTAGCTGTGTGAACTAGGTAAGTCACTTGCCCACCTTGGGCACATTAAAGAGGCAACTGTCCTTGAAAGCTCCTTGTGGCTCCACCATTAAAATATACTGCTCTGTGGTAAAGATAGATTAGCCCGCAAGTCCTGCTGTTGTCCTTTGCTATGTCCTTGACCAAATCATTTATCATTTTGTACAGATTCCTTATCTATATAAAAGGATAAGTCCTACCTCCAAGGATGTAAAAATTAGATGATATATATAAAGTTTTGTATGTGCACACAATAGGCACTGGAAAATGGAAGCTGTTACCTATCTCTGACAGTTGTGTGTGCTACTACTTACCAGTTCCATGAGTATATTTCATGTTCCTCTTAAATGCTTATTAACCTTATCTAAGCTCACACAGAAAACCTTTGTGAAATTCAGGGTTTTTATAGACCTTAGGTTAAGAGGTCTGAATTCCAACTCTGTAAATGTAAGTTACAAAATGCAGGGAGACATACTAAACTAGGACTCATATTGGCCTCACAGGTCTAAGCTCTTTATATTGACAGAGTAGGAAATAAATAAATCCAGAAGTGGAGGACATGAATAGTAGAATTAACTATATCCCTGCCAGGTCATCCAATCTGCAGTCGTAGTCTGTTTCCTAAGCCATCAGCTTATCTACCTCTACCAAGTCTTTGCTAAGACAAGTTTTTCAGAGAGTTGAAGGCGGCATAATCTATATTTTTCTGAATCTCCTCTAGATTATACACCCCACGGCTTTTAAGTACTTTCTATGTAATATATTAAATCCTATCTTACGAGTTTCCTCTTGGCTCAGCGTGGTGGCTCACGCCTGTAATCCCAGCATTTTGGGAGGCCGAGGCAGGAGGATCGCTTGAGCCCAGGAGTTTGAGACCAGCCCTGGCAACCCAGCAAGACCTCCATCTCTACAAAAAATTTTAAAAAGTGGCCAAGCCAAGTGGTGTGTGCCTGTAGTCCCAGCTACATGGGAGGCTGAGGTGGGAGGATCACTTGAGCCTGGGAGGTCAAGGCTGCAGTGAGCTGTGATGGTACCAATGCACTCCAGCCTGGGCGGTAGGGCAAGACCTTGTCTCAAAAAAGACAAAAAACAACCTCAGGCTATTGTTTTGTTTTTAAAAAGAGCTGCTGCTTACCTGATTTTGTCCAAGTTGAGAGTCCTCTGTGAGGGAAGACTCCAGCTGAGACAGACTGGGTGATGACGCTGAATCTGCAGAGGTGCTGGTGACCAATTCCCCTAAAGCATCTACTTGTCTCCTCAAACTGTGTAAAGTGCCCTCTGTCTGCCGCTTTCCTTTAATTAATACTTCTGCTTGCTTGGACATACAGTGTCGGAGTTGGGCCTGAAAAGTGTGATAAGACTTAGGGTTTTACACAGAAGAAATGTACCAGAACTGCCGCTCAGCTTCCTCACATACATTTGATAGGCAAATCTGGCTAACAGTAGGAATGGCTGTCAAAAATGCTCATCTTTAAAAAGAATTGTAGGAGGTGCCAGGTGGATACTTAGTGTGCATAAACCTTTACTTTTCTGTGTTGTCATTAACGGGGTCTTTCACTTGGCCCAGTTTTTCCATGCTAGCAGTGCTTAGGATTTCTGTATCCCTTGCTTCTCCATTAAATTATTGCCTCATCTCTTTTTTCCTTTTCTGTTATGACTGAGAAGATCAGTTTATACTTGACAACTGGAGTGTCTCCTGATTATGTATTTTTTCCTAAGTCTTAGTTTCTTGTCTATAAATGATTAGGTATTTAATCCTCAACTTCATACTACTTTTTGGCTTTTGCCCCTGCTATAATCAAATTATTCTCTCAAAGTCTATAGCAGCGCTGTCCAACAGAACTTTCTGCAATGATGGGAATGTTCTACCTCTGGCTATAAATATAGAAGCCACTAGACACATGTGGCTATTAAGCACTTGAAATGTGGCAAATGAATAACTGAATTTTTAACTTAATTATAATTTATTAAAATTTAAATAACCACACATGGCTGGAGACTATTGTTGGACATCACAGGGCTCCACTCAATACTATAGCACTGCACTCTCTCATCCCATGCTGTCTACATAGCCATTCCCCCCACATAAATGTAACCTCCCACCTATACTCTTAACTCTCAAATCTTTAGGTCAACACTGATCAGTAATCCTAGACTCCTATTTTTGGCTGCCTACAGACAGATATCCTTCCCTGGATATCTCACAAGGCCTTCAAAGTCAACATGTTCTGAGCCAAACAATTCCTTACCTGACATTCAGCCTACTTTTCCAGTATCCCAAATCTTTCCTGCCACCACTGGCCTATGATAACCTTACAGTTCATCACTGTGTTTCTACTTCCTCTCCCAAATACTTAGATTCTATCGGTTCTAGCTGAGGTAAAGCAGCATTACATAGGTTAAAGAACACTGGAGTCAACACAAGAAGTCATGGTTTTGAACACTGATTGCCATTTACTGTGTGACACCAACTCCTCGAAGCTTCAGACATGCCATCCCTGACACTGCTGGCAGGGCTGCAACAGCATGGATGTGAAAGCATCAGGTAAATGTAACTTTCCCCTCCCCTCCCCAATGTGCCCAGTATCTCATACTGATTTTTTGTTTGTTTTAAAGGGCAACCTTGAGTCGGTCTTCCCGGTGACGCAGTTTCTCCCGGAGTGCTTCTCCACGCCAGTGTTCATCCTTTCTCAGAGGGAAAATAGAGATATCATGAATCATCTGCTGCTACAAATGGAAGCCAACCAGCCTTTCCCTCCCCTACCCCAGCACCCCCACATCTGTGTTTTAGCTTAGCTGGGGGAGGTGGTCAATCCTACGAACCCAGAGAATAGCAGGATAAACCCTTACCATTATGTGAACTTGGGAAAAGTTCAGTTTTTCTTCAAAAGGTCCCTCATTCATGGTAAATGGAAGGTTCTCTTTCAAGCTTTCCAATTCTCCTTCTAGGTTTTCGTTTCTTTCCAAAATAGCTTCTAGATCTGCTGGTAGTTCTGGAAGAAACTGATTAAGATTCTTCAAGCTGGTTCTGATTTCATCCTTCACCTCAGATTTAAGTGTCCTCATTGCATCACTGATTTCCATTTGTCTTCTCTCCAAATCTTTTTGGTTTGCCATCTAAACAGTGAGTTGGTGTCAAATATCATTGTATAAAATTTCAGACTTACTTGGAATTGAGCTGTATGATGTGCCATGTATTTAAAGATCTATAAATATCAACTACTATGATTACTAGAACTGTAAAAACTTGTGATTTTTCAGATACTCAAGACTCTATAAGCTACTGAATAAATTATTTTATTGGCATTTTAACTGGAACAACTTTCATTTAGAAAAGCCATGTGCATAAAGTTCCTTGAAGGTGAATTACTCTATAGAAGACAATCTCTTTGGAGTCAGACAAAGCTAGTTACCAATCTGATTTCCAGTATTACCAGTATGACAGGGCAAGTTGGCTAACATCTGATCCTCCATTACCTCATTTATACATGGAGATAAATACCTTCTGCTCAGAAATGTAAAAACTAAGTGAGAATTTACATGAAGCACCTCAGTGGCACCCAACTGGCAACTAGAGTAAATAAGCCACAAATGAGAAAAGGGCCATTTACTGAAATAAGTCATAAGTGATCTGGATTATAAATGCTAATGCTGGAATTTTATAAGTGAAGAATCTGGTGGCTTGGCAATATACATTTTTGTTTTGTTTTGTTTTTTTAAAGACAGGGTCTTGCTCTGTCACCCAGGCTGGAGGGCGGTGGCACAATCTTGGCTCACTGCAGTCTCAACCTCCCAGGCTCAAGCAATCCTCCCCCCTCAGCCTCCCGAATAGCTGGGACTACAGGTGTACACCACCACACCTAGCTACTTTTTGTATTTTTAGTAGAGACGGGGTCTCGGCATGTTTCCCAGGCTGGTCTTGAACTCCTGAGCTCAAGCGATCCACCTATCTTGGCCTCCTAAAGTGCTGGGATTACAGGAATGCAGCACCGCACCCAGCCTAGAGGTTTCTTAAAGTGTTACCAACTGCATTTGATGCCTGAGACTACTCTATGTGGCTCTACCCCATATAGAGCTTAGTGAAATATGAAATTTATACCTACTGCTAATTGCCTTACCAAATTTGCAAAGGCAAAATCACTAAGGGCTTGTGGTCTTTAAATAATTTTTTTTTGGTTATTTTTTCTTGAATTAAATGGTGGGTATATGTGGGGCATCAGGGGATTGGAAGCACAGATGAAACTAGAATGGCCACGTGGGGTCACCCAAAAGACTAAGTATAGCAGGGCCAAATGAGTGGCTACAGCAGCCCGACTAGAGTTCAGGGATGGCCCAGATGCTCTAAAGGACACCAGAGATATCAAGGATTAGAGACTCTACCAGTCCAGGCATGAACTGGTTTAATACTCTCTGCCTGGCTACATTATGTGATATCAAAGGTTTCCCCCGGACCATCTTTTCTTGCTCAAGGGGTAGGGGAGGTTTTGGCTCCTATAGACTTGTTTATGGCATAAAATCTAGCATTTCAACATAGTTCTTTGGGACATGAAATATGATGCTCAAGAATTACCTTTTTTCCTTGAAAAACTAACATTTTAAGAGCTTGTCAAATTTAAGAGAAATTTATATTTTTAATAGTCAAGGTGTGTTTCTAAATTTTAAGGCTAAAAAACCAGATTTGACTTAAAGAACATTCTTATAATCAGCTTTTCTATACTACTATAGAAGGGATATTAAAAACAATACAATCTGCCTGAGCCCAGTGAGTCCTCTCTCCCCAGGCTGGCCAGCTGGGCTTTCTGGGCACACACCTGTTTCTTGAGCTCCGTGTACTCATACTGCATCTGGTTGAGCTCCTTCATCAGGCGCCTGGCCCGCTCATGGTTGTCCTGGGCTACCAGTTCAATTGTTGCCATTTCCTTTTGTATGCAGCTGTTCTCCTGTTTTTGCTCCTAGCACAGGAGGAAGAAAATAACTCTGCGATCTAACACATGGAGGTGTGGTTTGCTGGCTTACACACTCACTAGCTCTATAACTTCATTCCCCTTCTGGGCCTCAGCTTCTCTAGCTGTCAAATGGGGATAATTCTATCGGCCTTTCATGGGCAGATCAAATACAGCTGGGCGTATATACACGTCAGAGTCTGTTAGCATTACCTTTGATAATAAGCTACTATCCCTTTCTGAGTCTTCATTAATTGTCTGTAAAATGAGAATAATAATACCCATCATCACAGGGTTACTGGTAGGATTAAATTTTAGACATCTATATTCCATCTTTATGACGATCTGCCTATCACTAGTTATCAGCGTATCCCCTTTGAGAGACACACATGGTTTAAAAGTTCCTTTCATACAACAGGGCTCCACTAACCCCTCCAGAGGGTAGTGGAAAAATCCTCCCCCTTGACAGTTCCATTGCTGCTCACCTGTCTCCATCCACCATAAATTATTCTGACCTGAGTGTCACTTCCCAAATTTATTTCAAGGATGAAAGCATGGTAGATTGAGCTTCCTGGTTTTAGGATAATGATTAAAGCTAATGTTGGCCAAAAAGGGCAGGATGAGAAAAATTTGTAGGCACTGACTACAGCAGTGTAATAAAACTGGCTAGGCGCGGTGGCTTATGCCTGTAATCCCAGCACTTTGGGAGGCCAAGTCGTGTGGATCACAAGGTCAGGAGTGCAAGACCAGCCTGGCCAACATGGTGAACCCCGTCTCTACTAAAAATACAAAAATTATCCAGGCATGGTGGCACACGCCTGTAATTCCAGATACTCAGGAGGCTGAGACAGGAGAATTGCTTGAACCTGGGAGGTGGAGGTTGCAGTGAACTGAGATCATGCCACTGCACTCCAGACTGGGCGACAGAGCAAGACTCTGTCTTGAAAATAAAAATAAAAATAAACTCTCTATGAGCCAGGCACGGTAGCTCATGCCTGTAATCCCAGCACCTTGGGAGGCTGAGGCAGGTGGATCACCTGAGGTCAGGAGTTCAGGACTAGCCTGGTCAACCTGGTGAAACCCCATCTCTACTAAAAATACAAAAATTAGTCGGGCGTGGTGGCGCACACCTGTAGTCCCAGCTACTCAGGAGGCTGAGGCATGAGAATCGCTTGAACCCAGGAAGCAGAGGCTGCAGTGAGCTGAGATTGCGCCACTCAATCTAGCATGGGAGACAAAGCAAGATGCCATCTTAAAAAACAACCGTCTAGAGAAGGCTTCTTCAACACCCCCTCCTCCCTGCCAGTGGAGGTGTAAACTGAGGCTTGCTGGCAGAACATGCTGTCTACTTTGTGCTGATAATGGCTGTTCACACCAACAGTCTCCCCAGCCAGCCAGAGCTCCATTGAGGCTGCACCCGTCCCAGGTAAAACTTACCATCAACTTCAAGGACAAATGATGCATAAATACATCAATAACAACAGCTGGGTTCAGGACTGGGTTGATGGGTAATTTATTTTCTCTGTGTTGAAGTGGTGTTGCAGTTTAAAATTTTAAATTTATCATTTCCTCACAAACTGCCACGGCAGCAGGTACTCACAAGAAGGTTTTTCTCCAGCTGGCTCCGCTGGATCTTAAGTGCTTCCTTCAGGCTGGCCACCTGCTTCTCAGCTTTCTTTCTTTCTGTCAAGAACTGGTTCCGCAGAAGGCTGAAGTCTGCCCTCATAGAATCTGCCTCTTTCTGGAGGGCCAACAGCTCACCTGATTTCTCCACCAATTGCTGCTCCCTTTCTGAAAGCTGCCGTTCTGAAATGAGCATTTTCAGTAGGTTTAGCCAAAGACCCCGAGCCAGCTGTGGGCAGAGCTCCCCTTCCCTTGTGGCAGATGCATAATGGTGATATGCTACCCATGCAGGTGCTTTCCTCCATTACAAAGTCGTACAAGCCTACCCTGACCCACACCAAAGGCCCAGAAAAAACCCAGATAAGGGTGCCTTTTGAAGTAATTGGTTCCTGGAGGGCCTGATCCCAGAGTGACAGATAGCTACTATCTTCTCTTTCAAGTCTTTGAGACCAGTGAGAGGAAACCCAGCACCAATCCTGAAGTGTGTGGAACAGCTGAAATGTTTTTTATAAACATTGATTTTCATAAAGGGAGACACACCAGTACTACTTCCTTCCACAGGAGGCAGTGCAGTGGAAAGTGCACAGGATTTGGAGCTGGCTCCTACACTGGCATGAGCCCCATTTTATAGAAGAGGAAAACATTTCCTGATGTTCAATTGGAATAATGTGTGCAAACGCCTGGTACATAGTGAGTACTCGACAGATAATGCTTACGAAATAAAAGTGACATTTAAAAAATATTTTTCTTATCACCCTAGAGGAGCACCCTGCCCAGATTTTACTTTTCAACAACTCTGGCATGATCAGAACTCGACATATTTTTTTAAGTTTCATTTTCATAATGAAATGATTGGGTCTGGGTATATCAAGAGTTCCCAGGGAAAAAGGAATAACAACCCTTTCAGATCCCCAAGCCCACAACATTTTCCAAGCATTATTAAACCCTGGAGCCTAAGAAAGAGAAAAACCATTTACTGATGTGAGAACAATCATTTACCCTGGATTCCCACGTCAACTTCATTTATATATGGTTCAAGAGAGAACAAACTGACCTAAAAGCAAACACCTGTATTCTGGTACCATTCACTATGCCAAATCTGGACAAAAGAACTGTTAATATGATTTTTTTGACACTTGAGATGAAGTAGATCATTATTCCCAAAGCTCATAGGTAATATACTTTAAGAGTATCTTTTGGCAATTATTCACGTGAATGTTCCACTTTCTTGAGATGGCATTCTCAAAGGAGACAATATGAGCAAGGAAGGACTTGCTGGTCAGTCTCAGGATTGTATCTCCTCTGAACCTGCTTCCTCATCTTTCACAGGGCTATCATACCTCCTGCTTTACTTCTCCTGCCTCCTCTCCTGGGCTCTGGCTGGGGTCCGGATCTCTTTAAATACTTTTGCAAGACAACCAGCAGAGCCAATCCATACCCCATCTCCCAGTGAGAAGTTCCAGAATACATACTAGTTTGGGAGAGTGTCTTCTCCAGGCTCTCACACCACCTCTCCTCTTCCTGCAGAGTCCTAACACGCTCTTCAGCTGCCAGCACCTTTGAGAGCACTTGGTCCAGTTTGCTTTTCTGGTCTGTTAATTCCTTTTCCAGCTGGTGCTGTTGCTCCTTCAGTGTCACTTTACTGGTTTCTAATTTGCTTTCTTCACTTTCTCTCTCTTTCTGGAGTCTCTGAAACATCTTAATAAAGAATAATCTTGATTAGTCATTAAACAACAAATAGTGTCCCAGAGAACCTGCATGGACATGAGACAGATTCCAGGTCAAAAGAAAGTAGAAGACAGCCCACAGGGACAATTCCATTACAGAGGTGATCAAGAGGGCTTGGGAAGCTATCTGGCCAGCATGTGAGGAGGGGATTCAAGCAGCAAATGGCACGTGGCTGTTAAGTATCTTTACAGGACTGATGTTCTATGATCGTTAAAGGTCTGTAAGAGAGTCACACAGTTGGTATAAATGCCACCCATGGCTACACAGGGCAGTTAAGGGACACATAGTCCCATTGGGGATATTTCTCAGCAGCTTTCTGCCAGGGGAAAAATAGGCTCACATGAGCCACAAAATGCTTTTTTTATGTAAAATCATAAATGTGTAGTACCATTTCTTGTTGGACTAGTTTGAGCTTGTTTTCTTCAATCTCATTCTGAAGCACTTGAAGTTGTTGTTGTTTTGTCTCCTCTTCTTTCTGACAGTCTTCAAACCTATTTGCCCATTCACTGATGTCCTTCTGGAGTCGGGTCTGCTCACTGAGCAACACATCCTGATGCTTGGTGGTGTGAAGCAGGTCCTTTAGGTGAAAGAACAAGTGGAAACTACTAATAAAGCCATCTTTACTAGAGGTGGTCAGTGCCAATCCAGTATCTACTAAGTCTGACAGAACGAGAGGCATAAAAGTTTATTTCCTTTATTATCTCAATAAACTTACAGGTACAAGAGAATTTAGATGTCTAATCCAACTTTTTTTTTTTTGACAGTCTTGCTCTGTTGCCAAGGCTGGAGTGCAGTGGCATGATCTCGGCTCACTGCAACCTCTGCCTCCCAGGTTCAAGCAATCCTCCCGTCTCAGCCTCTCGAGTAGCTGGGACTACAGGCACATGCCACCATACCCAGCTAATTTTTTGTCTTTTTCGTAGAGACGGGGTTTCACCATGTTGGCCAGGCTGATCTCGAACTCCTGGGCTCAAGTGATCCACCTGCCTTGGCCTCCCAAAGTGCTGGGATGGCCTGTGTCTAATGTTAACTTTTTTTTTTTTTGAGACAGAGCTTCACTCTTGTTGCCCAGGCTGGAGTACAATGGTGCAATCTCAGCTCACGGCAACCTCCGCCTCTCGGGTTCAAGCGATTCTCCTGCCTCAGCCTCCCGAGTAGCTGGGATTACAGGCATGTGCCACCACGCCTGGCTAATTTTGTATTTTTAGTAGAGATGGGGTTTCTCCATGTTGGTCAGGCTGGTCTTGAACTCCCGACTTCAGGTGATCTGCCCGCCTTGGCCTCCCAAAGTGCTGGGATTACAGGTGTGAGCCACTGCACCTGGCATAACTCTTAATTTACATAATAGAAACTGAAGTCTAGAACTTGTTTGAAGTGCTTTGAATTACAGCACTAGTCTCACAGGACAACACTGAATTACCTTTAAGAAAATCATTAGAAGTATGAGGGTCAAAAATCTGCTATATTCAATATCTGACAAGATAGAGGCCCAGATTTGGCGGGTACTCTATGGCTCAAGGAGTAATCAAATCTAAGCCCAGCCTTTAGAGGCCTCATCTGTGTCATGGATGAGAGATGGCCCATCTGGTCCCTGAAACCCCAAGAAGGGCTGCTGAGAGACTGCTGCTGGGCTCTGGTCTAGCCACCACCCTACTTACTAGCTTTGAGTAAAACTGTTTGTATCAAGAGTTCTAAGGCTAAAATAAATTAGCAAACCACTGCTCTCCATCAAAACTTTTATTTATGTGATGGTTATGTTACATAAATGGCCCTACGGTATCTGCTGTTGTGAAGAGGAACCAGCCTACTTGATTTCTTTGTTATTTAAACCAATGGTCTGCATACCCTCAGTATACTACTAGAATATTACATTTGTTAACCTTACCTGTTTTGCTAGGTTCAAATGGTCTTGGACATTAGCTAGTTCCTCCTGCAGTGAGTTTACTGCTTCTCGTTTTTCTAAAGAAATGACATTCTCATGAAATAAGAAATACATACGTATTTACTGTACAGATTCCCATTAGCATTCCCAAAAAGTAGAGAAGTTGTTTTAAGCTTACTCCTGTTACATGTATGACTATGCCACACTATCTCATTAAAGGCCAAAAGAGAGTTACATGCACAATCCAGATTTGGGCTTGGAGCTCAGGTTTTTAAAGATTTTCATGTTCAAAATCTCACAACGAAAAAATTACAGATAATACTTAATGTTAGGTGTTTAAAAACAGCTACCTTCTGCATTGCTGGTAGAAATAGAAACTTAACCTTTCAGGAAGGCAATTTGGGAATAAATTTTTTATCTATATTGGCTTTGTCAATTACTAGCTGTGTGACCTCTAGCAAGTCACTTCTCATTTAAGCAGTCACAAGAAAACTAAGCTTCAGTTTCCTTATTTACAAATGAGTAAAATAATTTTTATCTCATAAAAATGTTATGAGGATTAAGTGAGAAAATGAAATACCAAGGATATAAAAAATGTTCAACAAGTATATTATTAGCTAGAATTACTCAGCAATTTCTTCTAAATAAATTATCATATTTATAAACATTTGGTAATTTTAAAATCTTCATTATTTACATCTTTGTTTTTGTTTTTCAAACTAGACACACCCCTAGGAAAAATCTGGAAGGATATTCACCAAACTGTTACTAGGAATCTATGAGGAGTGAGGTCAACAGCAATTTTTATTTCTTTTTGCTGTTTTAAAATTGTTCTCTAAGGAACATGAATTAGGTTTTTTTTTTTAACTGACTTTATTGAGATAAAATTCACATATCATGTCCTATTTAAAGTGTACAATTCAAAGGCTTTTAGTATATTCCAAGTTGTGCAAACATTACCACAATCTAATTTTAGAAAGAAACACCATGCTCATTAGCAGGAATTACTTGTCGTAAGAAAAATCAAAGAATCTAACGAAGGGCAAGGAAATCACACACTTTCACTGTTTTGCTGCCTTATACCTTGGAGCTGCTGTTGCATTGCTGAAATGTCGTTATGCAGTGACAACTTGTCTCTGTTTAGTTGGTCTAGTTCCTGCTGCAGTTTTCTGACATTCAATTCCAACTTTTCTAAGTTTGATTGCTCCATTTTGCTATTTTCTTCTGCTGCTGCTAAAACCCTACCACAGAGAGTAAGTCAGACTGTCAAATATACAAGCACACACAGGAGATGACTGAGGAACAGTGTTATCCTTTCACAACATACAGTTATGGAAAGTATAAATGATTATAAATCTTCACAAAATTTAAGACTCAACTCATTTTCAGAATCTTATTATCAGCTTTCTAAGTGGAGACTTTTTTCAAAAACTGACTCACTAAATTGAAGTTTTATAAAAATCATGGATTAAAAACATGGATAACATTCAGAATTCCAAAAATCTGATAAAAATGGAGCTGTGACAATCGAAAGAGTAGAAAACAATTGTGTGTACAGTAGGATCTGTCCATATAGCAGACATGCATGAGCATGTATTGTAGTACATAAAGGGAGTCATACAGTTTGGACTTGCTTTTGGTCTGGCTTCTTTCACTCAACGTAGTTACTTTGAGATTCATCCATGTTGTGTATATCAATACTTCATTCCCTTCTTATTGCTGAGTAGTATTCTACAGTGTGGATATACCACAATTTGTTTATCTATTTACCAGGTGATAGACAATTTGGGTCATTTCTAGTTTTTGGCTATTACAAATAAGGCTGTCATGAACATTAGCATATATACTGTGTAGAAATATGCTTTCATTTCTCTTGAATAAATATAATACCTAGGAGTGGAATGGCTAGATCTTCCGATTGGCGTATGTTTGATTTTTAAGTAACTGTTAAACTGTCTTCCAAAGTTTAACAGTTACTTAATACCATTTTACATGCCCCTCAATCATATATGAAAGTTCCGGCCAGATGCGGTGGCTCATGCCTGCAATCCCAGCACTTTGGGAGGCCGAGGCAGGTGGATCACGAGGTCAGGGGATGGAGACCATCCTGGCTAACATGGTGAAACCCCGTCTCTACTAAAAATACAAAAAATTAGCCAGGCGTGGTGACGGGTGCCTGTAGTCCCAGCTACTCAAGAGGCTGAGGCAGGAGAATGCCGTGAACCCGGAAGGTGGAGCTTGCAGTGAGCCAAGATAGCGCCACTGCACTCCAGCCTGGGCAACAGAGCGAGGCTCCATCTCAAAAAAAAAAAAAAAAAGTTCCTGGTTAATATTAACATTTGGTATGGCTGTTGTTCTAATAGGTGTGTAGTGATATCTCACTGTGGTTTTAATTTGCATTTCTCTAATGATTAATTATCCTGCGTATCTTTTCATGTGTTTATTTGCCATCCATTTATCTTCTGTAATGAAATGTCTATTCAAATCTTTTGCCCATTTAAATAACTGGGTTGTCTTCTTATTGAGTTTTGAGAGTTCTTTATACATGTATTCTGAATACAAGTCCTTTATCAGATACATGGGTTGCAAATATTTTTTTCCCAACCTGTGACATATCTTTTCATTACCTTGTGTCTTTTGAGGAGATGTTTTAAATTTTGAAGTCTAATTTTATCAATTTATTATTTTATGGATCATGCTTTTGGTGTCATACCAAGAATTTTTGCCCACTCCAAGGTCACAAAAGTTTTCTGCTATGTTTTATGTTTTCTTCTAGAAGTTTTATATTTAGGTTTTACATATATGTTTATGGTCCTATATATAAATATAAAATAAATATGTATATATATATATATTTTTTTTTTGAAACAGGGTCTCACTCTGTCACCCTGGCTGGAGTGCAATGGTATCATTATGGCTCACTGCAGCCTCAATCTCCCTGGCTCAAACAATTCTCCCACCTCAGCTTCCCAACCTGGCTATTTTTATTATTATTTTTTTTTTTTTGGCAGAGACAGGGTCTTTCTATGTTGCCTAGGCTGGTCTCAAACTCCTGGGCTCAAGTGATCCTCCTGCCTCGGCCTCCCAAAATGCTGGGATTACTGGCATGAGCCAACGTGCCTGGCCTCATTTTAAATTCATATTTATATATTATACATAGTGAGGTATGAATTGAGATTCTTTTTTTGGTTTTGTATATCCAATTGTTTCAGCCAACATTTTTCTAAAAGACCATCTTTTCTCTACTGAAAAAGATGCCTTTTTATCTTTATCAAAATCAGTTGTTCACATATATGTCAGTTTATTTCTAGACTTTCTATTCTGTTCCATTGATCTATGTGTTTATCTTTACACTAATACCACAGTGTTTTGATTACTACAGGTTTATAAAAGTGTTACAAATCAGGTAGTGTTAGTCCTAAATTTTTGTTCTACTTTCTAAAAGTTGTTTTGGTGTCATACCTAAAAAATTGTATAAATTCTATTCTAGGTCTTAGAATAATTCGATTCTAGGTTCATATAATTTTAGAACCAGCTTGTCAATTTCCACAAGGAAAGGCTATTGAGATTTTAATTGTTAACTGTTTTGAATCTAGAGATCAATTTGAACAGAACTAAATCTTTAACAATGTTGTCTTTTGGTCCATGAACAAGATATATATCTCCATTTATTTCCAGCATGTATCATTTTACTTAAAAAAAACAAAATAGATTTTAAAAAAATGCTTTTGAGCAAAAAAAAAAAAAGCTAGAAGGAAATTCTCCAAAAAAATGCAACTGGCAAAATGTATTATGATACCAAGTTTGTGGTGTATTTTATCTTTTTCTCTATTTTCCAAATTTTTTATAGTGTGTTTATAATGCTTTGGCCTGAAGAAGTGATCCTGCAAGCTTATTTGTTCTTGCTCTCACCTTTTGGTTTGTGCCAACTTTTTTTCCCAAATGTCACATTTCTCTTGGAGATCTTCCTTTTCTTTGCTCAAACACTCAACACACGATTGTAAAGCTCGGGACTCAGCAGTCATTCGTTCTATTTCTCGTTTATCCCTCTCAAGGAGCTGCTTCTGCCACTCTATTTCCCCTTTCTGCTGCTGGGATATCTGCTGCAAATTCTCTAACTCCAGTTTCTCCTAAATCAGATAAAAGAGGACTCAAACATCTTAAATGAGAAAGACTTCAGTTTCTTAAGGGTACACTGGCTTTGTTCATTACCTCTAGCACTGCCACCTGAGTCTTCTCTAATTCAGATACCCTTTGGTCATGTTGTAGCTTCAAACCTTGTAGCTCATGGTTTTCAAGTTGCAACATGTCCAGAATATTCTTTAGTTCTAAGGGATAGAAACAAAGCATGGTCCATGATATTAAATGAACTTGGAAAACATTTACAAAATGAAACAGAAAACAATGCTATTGACTAATACAAGACAATTTTAAAAATTTTGTTGAGCTGAATTAATGGTGCTAATTTTATTTTTAATAAAAAATTCTCTAAAAGTATCGCTAAATACTATTTAATTTGTTAAAAACATTTTAACAAGCCAGGTGCAGCAGCACGCACCTGTAATCCCAGCCATTTGGCAGGCTGAGGTGTAAGGACTGCTTGAGCCCAGGGGTTTGAGACTAGCCTGGTTGACAGAGCAAGATCCCATCTCTATATAAATAAATAAACAGACAAACATTTTAACAAAAACATTTAATTAACAAAGATCTGGTTCCAAAGCATTTGCTTCTACATAAAAGAATCAACTAAAAGCATTTTATATAAAATTGATCAAAATAAATTAAAAATACTTTGAAATACAGACTGAGATTTATATAACAATTTTTTGGCCTTTGAAATACAGATATTTAAATATTAACTTTTTTTCTGATCATAGAGATACTTGCTTACTGTAGAAAAGCTGGAAAATACAAAAAAAAAGCATAAGAGAAAAAAATGAAAACCCACCATTATTTCACCACCCCAAATCACTTTTACAATAGCATTTTGATGTATTTCCTTCTAAGAATGCATGTGTGTGCGCGTGAGCACGCGCGCACACACACACACTCTCACACATTTTAAAATAAACTGGGACTATACTCCATATTCATTTTTTACCTACTTTTTTTCATTCTTCTCATGGTCATGTTTGCATGTCATTAAAGGTTAAAAATATGGCTTTTAAATTGGTCATCTGTTTCCAATTTTTTGGGGGGTGTGGTGGAACAGGGTCTTCCTCTGTTTCCCAGGCTGAAGCATAGTGGCATAATCATAGCTCACTGCAGCCTTGATCTCCTGAGCTCAAGGGATCCTCCCTGCTTGGCCTTCTGAATAGCTGGGACTATAGGTGCACATCAATGTGCATCGCTAATTTTTGAATATTTTTGTAGAGATGGGGTCTCATACATTGCCCAGGTAGTTTTGAACTCCTGGGCTCAAGCAATCCTCTTGCCTCAGCCTCCCAAAGAGCTGGGATTATAGGCATGAACCACCACACCCAGCCTGTTTCCAAATTTTGTCATTATAAATATTGCTGCGATGTACATACTTGCCCTTTCTGGAGGAGTAGAAATGGGCTGACTAGTTCAACAGGTGTGAATTTTAAGAGCCTTGAAACACTGGGAGATTGTTCCAGTTTATACCTCAATTGATAGACTGTGAGTGCTCTTCTTTCAGCACACTCTGATCAGCAATGAGCATGATTATTTTGCTTTTAAATAAAGTTTATCAATTAAAATGGCAGAAAATATCATATTCCTTTTATAACCTGCTTGCTTTGCTTATTAGCAGTAAGGTTAAACTTTAAAGTTTTTTTGGCCATTTGTTATTTTTTCTGTGACTTGTAATACAGACATTTCCAACCTCAAACTTTGTATGATTGTTTTCCTTTAAACTTACCGGTTTTATGTTTAGACATCTGCCTTAAAACAACCTGAAGATTTTCTTCCTCTTTTTCAATTTCCTGCTTTATAAGTGTAAGTTGAGTTTTTCTTTCACTAATCTGAACATTTAGTTCTCCTTTCTGAAAACTCAGTTCTTCCAGAAGAGATTTTACTTCCTGTGTTTGAAAAAAAAAAAGTTATTCCCTCCTGTGACTGTAAATGAAAATTACTTCAAAATAAGTTCTGTTATTTATTGTTTTATATCATAGAAATTCTAATTTGGAAACAAGCTCATTTTTGCCTTTTATGTCAAGAACAGCATTATATTTTACAGAAACCTATTTCTATATAATAGAAGAAAGTAACATATTCTCTTCATCTAAATATATTTGCAACATTACTGTAAGCAAGGCAACGTCTATAGAGAGAAAAGCCTGACTGAGACATGGCTCCTGCTCTGGAGGGGCTTAGTACCTTGTTGAGTGGTAAGGCAGGGAAGATAAACATGATCACAAAAGGCTAGGCCTTCATGCCCTAGGAAACATGCAGATAGAGTGTTTCTAAACTCAAAAGAAGGAAACTCCTTCTTCCAGAAGAAAGAAAAAGGTCAGAGAAGTTTTCTTTTTTTTTTTTTTTGAAATTGAGTCTCACTCTGTCACCAGCCAGGGTGCAGTGGCACGATCTCGGCTCACTGCAACCTCCGCCTCCCGGGTTCAAGAGTGCCGTGGTGCAATCTCGGCTCACTGCAACCAACCACCTCCCAATTTCAAGCAATTCTCCTATCTCAGTCTCCCGAGTAGCTAGGATTACAGGCGCATGCCACCATGCCTGGCTAATTTTTGTATTTTTAGTAGAGATGGGGTTTCACCATGTTGGCCAGGATGGTCTCAATCTCTTAACCTCGTGATCTGCCTGCCTTGGCCTCCCAAAGTGCTGGGATTACAGATGTGAGCCACTGTACCCGGCCAGAAGTTTTCTAAGAGGAGGTGGCATGAAGCTGCGCCATGAGAAACAGGTGGGATCTGGCTAGTGATAGGGGAGAAAGGGAATTCCTGGAGAAGAAATGGTATGAGAAAGGTACAGGGGCAGGAGAACTTTGAGCATATCCAGAAAACAACAGAGGGGGAACTACACATGACAGCCACTGCATGGATATGTAACAACACCAAACTGATTTTACAGAGGAGGCAAGATTTCAGGAATTTATATTTTCATTTGGGGAGAAGCAATGAAAATACATCAAAGTAAACCTATAGCACTGTCCTACGACTCTTCAGAAAACCCTAATAAAAAACACACCCTAATGTGATTGCACTTCTCAGTTACTTCAGTCTCTCCCAGTCTCAGAGCTTCCTGGAGGTCAGCTTTTGCCTGGACCATGCTTCCTTGGAGTAGATGCAGCTCCTCCTTTTTATGCCCTAACTGCCTGTCCAAGACAGCCATCTCCTGCTGCTGACTTGTCACCTGTATTAAAGAAAAGGGAAGAGTAAGTTTGACAAAGGCCATACAGCCCTCAGTGCTAACCTGGAGATAATTTAGTTGTGAGGTAAAATCAGGAGCTAATATCCTAGCCCCCAAGAGTCAGAAAAGCCAGGCAAGGAGTGCAAGGGTGAAATGCCTAATGAAAACCTTGAGCTCACATACTTAAAACCACTCAAATCACAGTGATCACAGTAAGAACAACAATATGATAATCATGATCATCCCTCAGGTTACAGTTTTCCAAGAACTTTTATTTTTATACCCTAATTCCATTTTGACATCCTTGGTGATGGAAGTTAGTCAGAGATTTTTAAAATGTATTCATTTTTAAAATTAAAAATTCGTTGCAATTTTAAAGACAATACGTATTTGTTTACAAAAAAAAAAGAAGACCATGCAGATATGCAAAAGGAAGACAACAGAAAATACTCAAAATCCCCCCTTATCAGATGACCACTTTTGTACTTTGGTATTGACTAAAAATACAACCATAAGTGTTGATAAAGGCATTTAACAGAAATGATCTCATAGAGTATACCATGTTTTGAGACCCACTTTTTTTATTCAGAAGTATTGTATTGAGTTGGGATTCAAATTTAGTTCAGACTTCATGCTTAACAACTATAATACATAGCCGCATTTATTCTTTTCTACAATTAAACATGTATTACTTTTATAATCATAAAGTGCTGTGTCAGTTGTTTTTTCAAGGTGTCTATTGCCATACCTGGCTTTTCAGCTTTTCCAGCTCGGCTCTTTTGGCCTGAAGAAGCACCTCAGATTCTTTAAGGACCTGCAGGTGGTGATCCTCATTGCGTTCTGCCATCTCTATGTCTTTCTGTAGTTTCTGAAGCCTACAAAGCACCAGCAACACTAGAGCAGATCCTAAGGGACTCGGAACCCCAGAGCTGTCTTCCAGCACAAACCCCTTGTAGCCCTACAGAGGCCTTACTTACTCTTCTGTCAGTTTTTCCTTCTTCTTGCTTAAACATTGGAAGTCTGAGTCTTTTGCTGCTACAATTTTGTTTATTTCTTTCAAGATTTCTTCTTGCTTGATTTTGTGCTGCTCCAAATCCTTTGCATCAGCCTGGAGCGATCTAAAGCACATTGCTTTATTCCCCCCAGGTCCTGTAGACTTACCATGCATTATTTATCATAAACCAATTATTATCCCCTTAGAAGCAAACTTTTCATTCATCTCAATGTATACATCAACGGCTTAGGGAATCCACCTACCTTAGCTGCTGATCAGCTTTGACGAGGTTAACAGCAGTTTCCTGAGCTCTCCTTTCTAATTCCTCAGCATCTGACTCAGTTTGCAATAAACTTCTCTTGGCATCAGTGAACTTTTCAACAGCATTTTTTGTCTAGAAAAGAAACTGTCATTAAAAGCCATTCAGTTACAATACTCACTCACAGCTACTGGCCATGTAAACCAGTACAGCTCTTTTGGAAAACAAGATGGTACAGAAAGACATAAAAATGTCCATTCACTGTAACTCTAATTCTCGGTAAATAATTCAGAAGCAAAGAACTACTATATAAAAATGCTCAATGTATAATAATATAAGACCTGACAAATAATAATAGGCTAAGTGATAATGCATTAACAAAGTGGAATACTGTGTAGCCTTTCAAATGATCAGATGACAATGTAGCAACACGGAAGAATGTTAATATTATGTTGGCTGAGAAAAATAAATTTAAAATGGTATAAGCACTGTGAGAGCAACTGTGTAAAACTACATGTGTCAACAAAGACAGAAAGACTATATAAAAATAAATACAGTCATTTGAAAGTAGTGGAACTAAAGATGCTTTTTATTTCAAAATAATCTGTAATACTATTATATCATTTTAAATATTAAAACTATCTACCCAACTAAGTGGGAAGGAAGTGATTTTACCAAGATTTCCTCCACACAGAAATTCTTGCTGCACTCTATAGTTATTATCAAGCGAAGTAAAAATGCATTGATCTGGTGATAATGTAATTACGGCTGACAAACACAAACATTAAATACTTTGCAAATGTTTAAAATCTTCCTATATAAGATTTGGTAAAAACACATTTGTTTTAATCAACTTGGTTTCTTTTTCTGCCTAACATAAGATGCTTAAAACAATGACATCAAAAGTTCCAAAAATAAATAGAGTGTGGTTTGCACTTGGTTGAGCAGTGACTCACCTTCAGCCAAAAAAAACTGAAGTCTGCCATTGTACTAAAGCCAGAGGAGTCCGTATGTTAAATTTGCCTATTAAATATCTGTGTGGATGCAAAAGGGTTGGCAAGCTCCCAGAGAGCTACATATTTTACCATACGTCTTTCCATTTCAGATAGCTTGTTTCTGTCAGTTTCACCAGCAAAGCACTGGATAAAACTGGCTATGCATTCCAGAAAAGCCACCAAATAGTTTTTTGTCTCCTTCTATGTCAGGTTTTAACATGTCTGGCACACTCCTTCCAAAACACCACTACTTTCTCTCTCCTCCTCCTTCTTACCAAGCTGCCTCCCTGAGTCATTTTGGGAGGATGAAGGTGAAAGAACTTACCAGCCTTGGTTGACTTACTACCTCTGCCTACTACCACTGCCATCAATTTTCTTTTGATGATTTTATATATCTATACCTATATATATTAATATATAACCAAAATATACCAAAATTTATAATCAAAATATACCAGTGATATTTTGATATATTATCAAAATATCTTATTATATATTATTATACCAGTGATTTTTTTTCCTCTAGTTCTGCTCACATCTATTTTCTCTCACAGTAATCCAACATATGACAACAGAAGGAACAGCTCATCTGAAAAGGACTTTTTCCATTCTTAATTACTCACAGAATTTCTTTAATAAATAATTTAGTTCCTAGGTAATAGACTGCTTTTAATTTAAATAGATTCATGTTGAAATAGCAAAATACAAATAATAGTTCCTGAGGTGTTTCATGTGGGTAAGGAACTCTTTTCATCCTGGAATTCTCATCTAACTAAAAGAGCCCTTGGCTATGTGACTCTGGGCCAGTAATGAGCCTCTCTGAGCTACATCAGTAAACCAAGCTAACATCATCTACACAGGGCTGCCAGGAAGGTTAAATGAAACATTTACAAAATGGCCATGTGTAGCCACAGCAGTGGCTCAATAAAAGGTAACTCCTTTTTCTCCCCAACTTCCCTCTGTGTTGTGGTCTAAAGAATATTATCGGGCCAGGCGCAGTGGCTCACGCCTGTAATCCCAGAACTTTGGGAAGCTGAGGCAGGATCACAAGGTTAGGAGTTCAAAACCAGCCTGACCAACATGGTGAAACCCCGTCTCTACTCAGGAGGCTGAGGCAGGAGAATCGCTTGAACCCGGGAGGCGGAGGTTGCAGTGAGCCAAGATTGCGCCACTCCACTCCAGCCTGGGTGACAGAGCGAGACACCATCTCAAACAAAAAAAAGAAAATTATCTCTGACCAAAAAATATTTTGTATCATTATCAACCTGAAGACCAAAGTAATACTTGTGAGGTCCATTGTAGCTTAATAAGAATATAAAGATTGACCTATTTAAAAAAACACAGGTAGCAGAACCCAAATAATTAAATATAAAAGATACACACAGGATAAGGACGTGGGGTGTGCTAGGAACTAAGTAACTTCAGGAATTTTAAATACGCTGTTTTATTTAATCCATGCCGAAAAGCCTACGTATTCTTAGCCTGAATTTATAGATAAGAAAAGCAAAGCCAGGGGACTTATATGACTTGCATAAATTCTCACATCTTCTTAACTAGCAGAGTCCAGCCTGGAACCTGGCTGTCTGACTTGGACAACTGTCCTCTTATCACACACATTCTCTTTCTAATCCTTCAGGTGGACAGTAAGCTGACTCACCCACACTGAGCTCACACCCCAAACCACAAGAAGACAAACCTTTTCTTTAGTGCATGAAAGTTCACTCTCAGCCTCTGCCAGGAGTCGGTCAGCTTCCCTGAGCTCTGAGCGACGTTTCAGAAGAGTCTTCTCAATGCACTCAATTTCATCTACAATATCTTCATGATGTTTGAGTGATTTTTCTATTTCTAGTTCAGTCATAAGACTCTCAACATTTCCATCAATGAAGTCCCTAAAAAATAATATATACACCCATTAAAAAATGTTAAATGTAGACAATACAGATACTTGTAGCCTAACTACTAAAAAGATCTACAATGATTTTCTAATTTTATATGAGAATAGGTAAGAAAGACTGCTACATTTGATTTTGTTCAAGGTCTAGGTTTACCATCTTATTAAACATGGAATTCCTATTGGCAATAAATGCATAATATGTAAAATGCATGACATGGAATTGTTTGCCCTTTTAAATATAACAACAAAGATTATTGTGTTGTCAGCACTTGACCAAGAAAATGTTGATACTTCTATTCTTTTGAGGTATAAAAATAAAGCAAACCACTACCACAATATTCATCCATTCCCTCAAAACTATCCTTCAAGGGCAGTTCATAGGCTGCCCTTGAAGACTACCTGATTTTGTGATTTATTCCATTCGGCTGAAGTAAAACTCTGGTGACAACATTTGACACATCAAAAACTGTGACACACAATTCAATATCTTAAGGCTAACATGATGAAATTATTTGAAAATTAGATTAGCTATGTATGACTGCATGACAGAAAAATATGAAAATAAATTCAACATTTAACAGATTATCTTTAAATGAAGGCATACATATGATTTTTACTTTCTTCTTGGGACATTTTTGTGTTATCCAAACTTCCTAGAATAGTATTTATTACACTTTTATAACTATGAAAAGAAGTGGCAATCCTACCACCCTATCATCTCCCTCCAAAATACCTCAAAGTAAAAAAATTCCATTCCCCAATGTGTATACCCACAAAAATAACAGACATAACCATCTGCCTAACCTTCAAACATCTAGCCCCTATCTTTTAGGTGTGGCCCTTGCTTTCACTTGCCAGGACTATTAGTCAGATGTCTGCTGCTAGATGGCAGTGACCACGTCTTACTTACTTGTGTCCTCTGCAGGCCTCCCTACCACCCTGGGGTCTGGGCCAGTCTGGGTTAAATGACAAAAACTGGGGAACTGTCATAATTCATGGACTACTGCAAAAGATAGGCTTTTGCATAATTAACCCAATCAACAGATGCTGCATTCACTAAGTGACCCTATGACAGGTGCTGGGACACAGAGATGGAGGTCCAGCTACTGCCTTCAAGGAGCTCCTGGGCTCCCCAGAACATTGTGTGAACAGTGCTATGACCAAGGTTGCTAACCTTGAATTGTGGGCACCTGAGAAGAAATAGGCTTTTAATGAGAAAAAAAAGAGAGGGGATCTCTGACCTTTATTTTGAAGACAAGTTGGAGTTAGGTAAGGGGGTCAGCAGGGAGAAGACAGTACATGCAAAGGTGTAGAGGCAGGAGAAAACGTGGTGTTTGAGGAAACCACAGGAAAGTAGTGAGCCAGACCAAATACTGTGATAAAAGAAAAAGACGGGTGGATTTCAGATGGAGAAGGGTCGTGTATATTCTGATGGGACTGAGAATCACATGGGAAAGTGGAACAGTCAGATTTGCAGTGTGTCAAGATACAGCGTAGACCAAGAGAGAAGACATGGAAGGCCAGTGTGGAAACTATTACAATCGCTAGGATGAGACTAATTAAAAGCTAGAGAAGGGGAGATGACAGAAAGGGACCAGTTTGAGAGCTCTCTGGATGCAGTCAGCAGGATTTAGAGACCAACTGGAAGCACAGGAGAGTAATGGAAAAGAAAGAGTTGAGAACCCCTGCTGTATTTTTAGCTAGGGTAACTGGAGAGGGGAAATGGTTATACCACTCTCCAAGAGGGACTACAATAAGAGCTGATTTGTATTATTGGCCAAAAGAACTCAGACCTGTATTGCTCAATATGGTACTCAATATGTGGCTATTAAATTAATTGAAATTAAATTCTGTTCCTCAGCTCCATCAGCCACATTTCAAGTGCTCAACAGCCACACTGAGCTAGTGGTTACTGTTTTGGACAGAAGATCAAGAACATTCCAAGATTATAGAAAGTTCTGTTCGACAGCATTAATGAACTAATATCGTATTTGTCTGAATTATAAAAAATATATTAATTACTTTTGCTGTTGACGTTTCTGGACAGTTCTATGTAATTCTTCTACTTCACACTCTAAGCTTTTCTTCTCTTGCAAAAGATCATCAATATTATGATGCAGTTCTTCCATTTCTTTCTCCGACTGCCGCTTGGATGCTCTCATCCACCTTTCTTCCCGCTTCTTTGATTTTAAATGCTGCATTATGTCTTCTAATCTAGAAACTTCATTCTCCTGAATGAGATGGGGAAAAAAATGCAGTGCTGAAACATCACAGGATGTTTCCTCTCTTTCCTGCCAAAAGCTGAAATTAACTGTGGTTAAAGTGGTATCAATGGCCCAAAAAATGATGGTAGATTCTAAGACTTTGGTATAAAAAGTTAAATGTCACGGATGAAACTGACAGACAAATAGAACCTTTAATTTTTCAAACAGTCCAACTATGACTGAGAAACATTTGCCAAGCCTCTTGTGGATAACCTCTGCCTCCAAAGAGTTCGGGGTCTAGCAGAAGAGATAGACAGAAGTCTCTCCTTCCTCTGGCCACATGGGAGAAAAGTTCTGAGAAGGCTGCTCAGAGGAAGAGGTGTTTTGCCTGGGTTTTGAAGAACGAACGGAAGGGGAAAGACCTAGGCTGAAGAAGTAACACATGCAAACGAAGGGAAGTATAAAAGTGCACCTGAGAAACTATATAAACAGCCAGGTAAGTTTGGAGAGTAAAAGAACCCGTTTAAGAGATTATAGAAAAATGCTGAATAGAAAGAAATTGTTACAAATTACAATGTGCAAGAAAAACTGCAAAAGAATGTGAGTGACTACTACAGTTAAACTTGTAAATGCACACAGACCCTCTAAAACTAGTCTGACCTATTACAATGGGACTGGTGACTTGACATGTGCCCTAGTTTATCTTCCACTCAATCTGCCAAGACAGGAAGGAAAAAACTCCAGGTGTTCTGAGTCTGAAGGAGGAGCTTAGATTCCATTTTATTTCTTTAGAACCAAAAAGTCAGAAAGTAATCTAATGAGGCTGGGCGCAGTGACTCATGCCTGTAATCCCAGCACTTTGGGAGGTCCAGGCAGGCGATCACTCAAGGTCAGGAGTTCGAGACCAGCCTGGCCAACATGGTGAAACCCCCATCTATACTAAAAATATAAAAATTAGCCAGGCGTGGTGGCGTATGCCTCTAATCCCAGCTACTTGGGAGGCTGAGGCAGGAGAATTGCCTGAACCCGGGAGGCGGAGGTTGCAGTGAGCCAAGATCACGCCACCGCACTCCAGCCTGGGCGAAAGAGAACAAGTCCGTCTCAAAAAAAAAAAAAAAAAAAAAGAAGAAGAAAAAAGAAAAAGGAAGTAATCTAGTAATTAGGAAATAATTATTTCTTAGAATCTAGCCTAAGAGATACAGTAAGAATTTACAGTCAGCTACAGTACCTACAAATATAGAAATGTTGTACAGTCATTAAAATATTGTTTAAAGACATTTGTAAAACCATGGACAAATGCTTATAACATTAAGTAGGAAAAACAGAATACAAAATATTGTGTACAATAAAATATAAACTATGAAAATAATAAATAAATCCCACCACCTAGAGATAATCCCCAAAACCTTATCCCCACCGAAATATAAACTATGAAAATAAATAATAAATAAATCCTACCTAGAGATAATCCCCACCAAAACCTTACTGTATGCTGTCCATACCTGTGTGCATACACGTGCACATACATGTGTATACACTCATATTATACATATATGTATGTGTACAAGTACAGGCACTAGTAAGTGAATATATACATACACATTAATATAACACTTGTCAATAGAAAAATACATAAGCTTTGTAAAAACGGTAAATTTCTGGACTGAAAACATTTGTTATTAAATGGCTAACCCAGGTTTGTAGACTGGCCTGAGACCCTAACTCCTGTACATGGTATTTTTGTTTTTTTGGTTTTTGTTTTTTGCTGTTACCGGGGCTGGCCTTGAATTCCTAGGCTCAAGCAATCCTCTTGTCTCAGTCTCCTGAGTAGCTCGGATTATAGGCACATGCCACTGCTTTTATAAGAGAATTTTAATAAGAGAATGCTTGCACAGTTCTAAACATCAGCCTTACAAACACACTTTGCCATATAATCCAGTCATAAATAGGTCAACTCATTAAGTATATAACCTTATCAGTCACCCATGGAAGCAGTGTGGAAAGAGAGTTGTATGTCTTTCCACTTACTAAGTTATGGTGTTCAGGGACGTTGCAATGCAGCACACCCATAGGGATGAAGGGGATGGAGAAGTTGGGGGGTGGAGGCCCATACACCATGGGGGCCCCAGCAGGAGGTGGGCCATAAACAACAGTGCCAGGGGTGAGAGGTCGGCTATTGTTTGGCAAGGGAGGAGGTGGTGCATACAGGGCCATGCCCTGGGGTACAGGAGAACCATCAGGAAGCACAGTATACATCATGTATCCAGGAGGAGGCACAAATGGGGGTTCTTCTTGGTCATCCAGCTCACTCTCTTCCTGACTATCTCCTCCACTGTCTGCATCTTCAAAGAAATAAACAGAAGAGTTTATTCAACAAAAGAGTGTTTTACCCCCATGGTTTACCAGGTAAACAAATTTAGTAGAGAACAGCAGCATTTAAGCCAAGATACTGCAGATGTGAGAATAAAACTCTGAAAAAAAGGTCAAAACTATTTTTGAAAAGCAGCTCAAAACATGGATTCAAAGTATTTTCTATGGCTGATACTTGAGTTTTTCTTATGTTTATCTGTTGGTTTGTTTCTGCATTTGCTAATTTATTCATTAATTTATTAAGTGACCATCTGGGTATCTAATTCATGCTACATACAAGATCTTACAGCACTCAGTGTTTACCACTGTCATGACATGTAACACTCTCCAACGTGATAGCTTACTAACTTATCTGCCCTAAAACCAGGAAATATGTTTGCTGATCACTGACAACAGAGAACCTAGCACACAGCAGGCAGTCAATAAGCACTTCCTGGACACATACGGTGGCTCACGCCTGTAATCCCAGCACTTTGGGAGGCCGAGGCAGGCAGATCACTTGAGGTCAGGAGTTCGAGACCAGCCTGTCTAATATGGTGAAACCCTCATCTCTACTAAAAATATAAAAATTAGCCAGGCATGGTGGTGCACGCCTGTAATCCCAGCTACTCGGGAGGCTGAAACAGGAGAGAGAATTGCTTGATTCCAGGAGGCGGAGGTTGCAGTAAGCCAAGATTGTGCCACTGCACTCTAGCCTGGGTGACAGAGCGAGACTCCCTCTCAAAAAAAAAAACAAAAAACAAAAAAAAGTTTCTGAATGAACAAATTCTCAGAAGGTAGTATTCACATTTTACAGATTAACAGTTTCACAGCAGCTAAATAATTAGCCTAAGACCACACAGCTAATAAGTGAAAAAGATTTACTCAGGTCTGACTCTTCCTCTGGAGCTTTGGAAGACAGACCCGTAACACTTCATTTTAGGAGGATGAGATTAATGCCGTGATGCAAGGACACAAGACACCATGCTCCAGTACAGTCAAAGAGGCTGCTTAGTCAGCCTGGGTGAAGCAGGGTGGAAGAAGGCTCCATTTAGGAGCATTGTTTGAGGACCTAGGTCTCACTGAAGGATGAGTAGGCATCACCATGGGAAGGGAAGGAGGAAGGACATTCCAGACAGGGTTTAAAACAACGACAAGAGGTCGCTGGCCAAGACCAGATCACAGAAGACCTCATGGAGCTAGCTAAGGAGTCTGGATTGTGTCTTAGGGGTTTCAGAGAATCAGTAAAAGGTTATTAAACGGGCAAGAGAAATGCAACTTTCCTATGTGATTTGACTTACCTCTACTTGGAAACAGTTTATGTAACCCACTCCTGATGGGAGAATAAACCCAGTATCCTGAGGCAGGGGGAGGTTGACTGCCTTCCTTCCCATCCTGCTGCCCAGGGCGTGGTTTTCTAACAGGAGTTGAGGCTGAGTACTTAAGGCCAACACCAGAGTCCTTGGTGGCCTGGGAACTATGGCTGGAAACCTAAAACAAATGACAGCAGAGCACACTATCTATTATAAATGGAAAGGCTGATTTTAAGAAACGTCAAAGTCTACAGCAAAGTTGAGATGTAGCAAGGTTGAGAAAGAACTTGGCTTCTTTTCATTATCCTTATTTTTCACAGAAGTGAGGTGATTACATGGTCACATAAACTGCAGTTCCATACACAATTCAGCTTATTAACATCCCTCTGGACTTGATCGACATGGCAGGGTCAGGGAAGCCATGCAGAAAGGAGGGCTATGTGGGTAATGGCTGGGGTCACATCAGACTGGTCTGTGAAAGTGAAGGGCTCAAAGTGTGGTGAAAGCAAACAAATTAATGTCTATTTATCCTTTCAAAAGCCATTTTAAAACATCCATCTCCTATCCTCTCTTTTGGTACAATTTTCTAGAACTCACAAGTCCTTGGCCATACCAAAATGGAAAAAGCATGTTATCTAGCTGTTTGACTGGGTTAATTTTATGCAGCAACTCCCCAAGAGAGAAATGAAAATAAGTTCTCCATAGTGATGAGACTCCCGGGTGTCAGCCTCTGTTCTCTCTGTAGTCATTTTTCCTAGTGGTTTTTTGTTTTGTTTTGTTTTTAACCTCATCCTTGATGGCCCAGTGACTGAGGCAAAGGAAACCAGTGAACTTCGAAGAAATCTGGGGTCACCAGTCTTCTGTGGTCCTGGGAGCTTGGCATGGCTTTAAAGCTCTACTCTGCTACCCTCCTTCTCCTTCTCAGTCTGTAGGTACATCCTCTAAACCCTCACCCAGCTCAGGCTTATATGTTTTGCTCTAATTTATACTGCTTCCACCTCCAGCTCTGGTTGTACCAAGGAGTTGGCTTCCTTTAGGATTGCTGGGAGAATCTAAGATTCTGCTCTTCAGGGGTCTGGTTAAGTCTACACAGCCCTGAGAACCTAGTGTGTCTGAGCTGCTTCTCCCTGACTATTGCTCATCGGCTGATTCTAGCAGGATAGCACCAGGCCCCTCTGCTTTGGATGAATACAGCCTATAGTCTTCTCCTCACTTTCAACATTCAGGCCCCAGTCTTCTCCTCACTTCCCACATTCAGGCCCCAGGCCCTAACCATTTCTCTTTAACATCCTTTAATCTCATCTCCTCTTTCCCAGCTCCACTGATCTAGCTCTGGCTTCTACTCTTTACCTGAATCAGTTTAAAGAGCCCCACCGAAAGCTCACCCTACCATAAGTATAGACTCTATACTAGCCAGAATATTATTCCTAAACTACAGCTCTGATCATTTTAGTACACAACCCATTTCTCATGGCCTACATAATTATGGCCTACATAATTAAGTGTAAGAGATTCTAAGGCCCTTTTAAAAAAGCATGACTCCAGGCTGGGCACGGTGATGGCTCACGCCTGTAATCCCAGAACTTTGGGAGGCCAAGGTGGGCAGATCACCTGAGGTCAGGAGTTTGAGACCAGCCTGGCCAACATGGCAAAACCCCATCTCTACTAAAAATCTAAAAATTAGCCAGGCGTGGTGGCGCATGCCTATAATCCCAGCTACTCAGGAGGCAGAAACCGGAGAATCGCTTGAACCCCGGAGGCAGCAGTTGCAAGGAGCCAAGATCACACCACTGCACTCCAGCCTGGGGGACACAGCAAGACTCCGTCTCAAAAAACAAAAAGAAAAACAAAAGCATGACCCCAATCTACTTTTCAGCTTCATCTGACACTGTTCCTATAAACCCTCTAGCCCCACAAAGCTATTTGTCTTTGCTAAGCCAATAACTCTCCTCTTCCATACGAGCTGTTTCCTCCCTCCTAAAAGCCCAACGCTCACTGCTTGCTAAGTGCTGACTTCACATCCCTGCTTGTGAAGCATTCCTTCCTGAACTTCCCATCAGATGAATCCTTAATACCTCTCTGCAACTAGAGAATACAGGTCAGGTCTGTTGTCATAGGTATGTCACCATTTTGCAATTATGCTGGCATGGCCAATGAACTCTTTGAGAGCAGGGGCTTTACCATTCATTGTGATGCCCCACCACTACCTAGCACTTGGCCTAGGCTTCAGTAAACACTGAATGAATGTTCGTTAAAAGGACATGAAATCCAGGTGCCTTTTTTTCTGTCGGAGGCTCTGCACAATTCTATGTCCATTTCAGCAGGCTCTCTGGGCTCAAATCACCTTTTCTCCTTAGAGCATCCACATTCAAGGACCCTAACACATACCGCCCGAGTATGAACAGTCAACTGTCACCTTCCCCAAGAAGGCCCTATTTTCATCTCAAATATTAAAAACGCTACAGAACCTCAATGCACGGCTTAGCATAGAAATGTTGTTTTTGGTACCTGTTCATAAATTTGGGGAAGGGGACAATGTCACACTTTCTTCAAGAAAATTCAGTATACATTCCCAACACCACAGAATTCCTACTTTTGATGATGGTGGTGGTGGCATAAAGTACCAATAGCCTCGTCTTTTGAAAGGATCTGCCATGCTGCTTATGTAATCATTCTGATAAGAAACTTCACGTCGAAGTTCAGCAATTTCTTCTAAAACATTTTCAAAGCCTCCTTTGTTGTCTGTAAAGAAAAGTCATTCTATGAAATTGATATGAAATCACTTACTTCCTTTCTCAAAATATAAAAGAGATTCTAAGAGAGCCAATTAATTTTATCAGTTCCTCAAAGCTGACTTTCAGTCTGCCCTTTGGTAAGTCAAAAAAAGGCAAACTGATTTGTAAACATTATTTATTTTGAAATTACAAATACAAAACTCTTTTTTTCTTTTTTTGAGACAGAGTCTCACTCCGTCATCCAGTCTGGAGTGCAGCGGCCCAATCTCGGCTCACTGCCAACCTCTGCCTCCCAGGTTCAAGTGATTCTCCTGCCTCACCTTCCCGAGTAGCTGGGTTTACAGGTGCCCACCTCCATGCCCAGCTAATTTTTGTATTTTTTAGTAGAGACAGGGTGTCACCATGTTGGCCAGGCTGGTCTCGAACTCCTGACCTCAAGCGATCCACCCACCTCAGCCTCCCAAAGTGCTATGATCACAGGCATGAGCCACTGTGCTCGCCCACAAATACGAAACTCTTATCTTGGCAACCAAGTCCCCCAGTAACACACTTACAGAAAATACTCTTAAAATTATCTGATTTATTTTATTTTACTTATTAAGCTAATTACCACAGCTCTCTGAATCAAGCATGGACTTGATTTGTAACAGTTAAAGGTAAAAAACAAATGAGATGATTTAATTTTATGACTACAAAACCACTGCCAAAAATCAAAGCCCAATACTTTACCACTTCCAGTGAGGTCTAGTACATTCTGCAGCCTTGCAATCTCTGTCCTTTGTCGTTCCATTGTCTCATTCAGTTTCTCAATTTCTAGGACCTGTGAGTTTGCTCCAGTACCTACACCTGTTTTCTCCATCTCAAGTCGAAACTATTTAAAAAAATTACACATACAAAGTTGCCAATGAATTCATTCTTTCCCAAACACATTTATCCTTTCAACTTGATTATGATTCTATATTTATTTACACTTTCCCAGTGAGGAAACTGCATTACTTGGAAACTGCACCAAGCCTGGCACACAGTAGAGGATAAAGTACTTATTAACTATTGATTGCACTTCAGAATTCTTTGAGACATCACCTACAGTAATTTTGTCTTTTAGGAACTGATAAGAATCTGAGAAAGAGGAGGTCTCTGGGTACCAACACTGACCTGCTCCCCCTTCTGCCTGAGGAGATTCTGCAGGAGTTCGATCTCAGCTTCTGCTCGGGTGAGATCTCTGGCTGCTTGTGCTGCCTTTCTGCTGAACCTCTCTGCTTCCTGCAACTCCTACTGGGACAGAAGTATGAGAAAGGCACCACTGCTATCACAGGTTGTCTTCTTCATTTCTTCCTCTTGGATTGATTCTTCTGCTTTCATCACATTGCCTACCAGGCTGTCCATGAAAAGGGACATCCAAGCCCCACCTTCTCCTGTGTTGTTCCCATTGTTGGGCAGCCTGCCCAGCTCCCAACCCCAAGGTGCGGCATCAGAAAGAACAAAGGCTAATTTTTTTACTTTTTTACTTTTACTACCGTCTTCCATGATTATGTCTCTCTGGGCTCTCATCATTAGATTTTTGTCTCCTATGATCTGCTATCTTAATCTCATTAGCATTTGCATCCTATAAAGCACAGTAACAGACATTAGCTCAGTAAGGAGTCATACTATGAAGTAACATTTTCACATGACTGCACGAGATGAAAAATTTGAGATTCAGAGGGATTATATAACAATCCTTCAGGAACCCTTGTCCAGGTAGATATTGACAGCTACCTCCCTAAGCATCCTTACACTTAAAGGTAGGGATAGCATGTTTATTTGATGATTCCTTTCAGGGCTCAGTAGAACGCAGTATCCATGGCAGCACAAAATAAATTATTGGGGGTTGTGATGGGGGGAATATAATCTTTAGGTCTTAAGAAAAACAGACAACTTTACAGTGGTTTATAAAATAACCAATGTCTATAGCAAGATCAATAATACAAGTTGCCATGTTTTTTGACAGCAGCATCATTGATGGAAACCTGTTCTGTACATGTGAACTCACCTCTGCTCGCTCCTGGTTAATTTTCATAACAGTTCCATGAAGGGACTTCAGCTGGTCTTTGGCAATGGTGAGCTCAGCTGTGGCTAGCTTATCAGAGGTGGCCACGGCTTTCTTTAGTTTCTTCAGTTCTTTATCTAAACCAAAAACTTGCTCCTGAGATTTGGCATCTTCAAGTTTCTTCTAAAATAAAAGAAATATTAATTAAACAGATGAATCATTTGGCAGGAATGAATTCAGATGTAAGCTCCAGGAGGGTAGGGACTCTGTTCACTGCTGCCTAGAACAATACTTGATACACAGGAGGTACTCCACATATATCCAATGAATAAATAATAGATCTCAAAACTGTGAGAAACTTGTACTAGGTCTTCTTAGTCAAGAATCTTAGTGGTCATAACTTCATCCATTCATTGGAAAAACATTTCCTAGCACTACCACCACGGCATGGATGAACCTGCCTTTGAAATCACTGAATCAGGCCCTGGGCATAGGATGGTGGCACAAGAATTTGGCATTTTTGAGAAAATGATAGGAGGAGCACAGTGAGAAATGGAGAGATCTAAACAGAGGCAAATCATGTAGGCCTCGTAGGCTTAAGAATTTTGGTCTTACTCCTAAGAACAAAGGAAGCTACAGGAGGGGAGACTGATTACAGCCACTTGACATTTCAGAAAGAGCATCTTGGCTGCTCTGGGGAGCAGGGTCATGAGTAGAAGTGACAGATCGATCAGACAGCCACAGTAGTCATCCAGAAGAGAGATGATGACAGCACAAGGGTCTAGCATCAGAGAAGGAAAAAGGACATATATTCCAGATACATTTTAGAGATGGATTCAATAGGACTTGGAAACTGAAGAGTTCTCAGGGAAGGATGAAGCAAGGCATTCACTGAGGCTGGGAGAAAGCAGACAGCAGGTGTGAGGAATGAGAAGGTGTGAAACAGTGAGGCATGGGAGAGGAAGCTCACCACAGAAAAGGGTCATATTGTCTATTTGAGATTGGTAACTATGAGTTTATAATGACACCACAATACTGGATGGTGACTTTTTTCTCCAGGAACAACCAGTGGAAGTGCTGGCCCAAAGAAAGCAGAGAGCTTCAGTTTTGTCAGGGAAATAAAACAGTAGAAAAGGGCAAGGAACTTGAGGATATTTGTTAAAAAAAAAAAAGTTATAGTTGGTAGACCACAAAATTTAAGTTGGACAAGTAAGAAAGTAAAGACAAGGGCTTAACAGATAGCAAAGGTGGGGGTGAGGCTAATGAACTGGAAGCTCAATAAGGCTGACAAATTTTAAGTGTGTGGATACCAGCAAGATAAGCGGTTATGATCAGAGCAAGACACTTCAGTTTGTGATTTCAGAGGTGGGTGCAATTTTTAAACTTGACAAAGTCCAGAATGTGACAATGGGAGTAGATGGTTGAGGTGGAATGGAGAAAAGCCATTAAAGAGAGGCAGGGGTATTAGAAAGGATGATGAGGAGTTTAAAAGTAATTTCCCATGGATGTATCCAACTGGACAAGAGGTTTCAAAGGAGTCAAACTCCTCCCAATATCATTTGTTAAGTACCACCTAATTAACTTGAAAGTCACTCCTTACATTCTCAATTCTCGTTTCCATCTACCACAACACATGGTCTTAGCTTCTTGATTCAATGACATGCATCCAGGTCCCACCTAGGTCAGGTTCAGCACTGTGCCAGCAATGCAGCCAGAGGTGACTACAGATCACACCCATCTCAGCTGACCTAGTTGCCAGTGGGCAGGACACTGGCAGCAGGTACTTATGTGTCTCATTTTCTAAGTCTCCCCTACCTTTTTCTCTAACTCTCGGAGTTGGGCCAGAATTCTCTCCTTCTCTTCATCAGCTTCCTGAAGTTGGAGATCTGTAAGGCCTTGGATTTCCTCCATACTTTTTAGATTTTCTTGCAAATAGTGAATTTCATTCTCCATTTGCTGGATTCTTGCTTCATGTTGCCTCTTATCAAAATTCATCTGTGAAGAAATACAATTTCAAGAATGATTTTTAGGCAAAATATGTTTTAAGCAAAATAAAAACTTTTTATAGAATTATCACCCATTTTACAACAGGCTGTAACTTAATTTTTTACTAATGAGTTGTCAGGAATGGTTTTATCTTGAACGATCTCTAGGAGTCATTGGAATGTTTGCCTCTTCATTAAAATCATCACATCAAAAAATACCAGATTCTGGCAACACACCATACTCTAGGAATGTGGCATTATTTACCTGCCTGTTATAAAATAACTTGCCTTTGCTTCTAAATCAAGGAAAACACAATGTCACAAACAAGCCTGACTTTGACATTATAACCACATTCAGGGTTGAGTTTTAGTCACACCCAGCTTGACTTGTTATAAGTGAAAATAACAACAATTATGTTGTATTTACATGACAAAGGAAGCATTGTAATTTGCTGAAAAACATTAATATTTGCCAAACACTTCCCTCCAGGTGCCTCTTGCCCTTGTCTTACTCTTGCTTCCAGGGCTCTCTCACAGGCCTGCCTGAACTCTTCTTGTCCAGTTGCCAGTTTCTCTTGCTGCAGAGCCATTTCTTCTTGGAGTTTTCTCTCTCTAACTTGTGCTTCATCTCTTTCCCACTTGGAGCGTGCAAGAATTTCACTGAATTGTTTCTGTAAATCAGCAAGACTTTTCCCTAAGACATCTGAAGGACTATGGATGCTAGTAAGGAGGGGGAAAAATGGTATAAATGTGACATTTAATTTTTGATGCTGGCTGCAAACATGCTATTAACTTTAGCTCCAGAGTAAAAAGCTGTGTGCAGGGACTGGTGTCAATCTATAGCAATTTACTGACCATCTCCTAAGCGCAAATTATTGCTTTATCAAATGACTGCTGCCACTCTGAAAACATAGGCTCATATCAGGCTAACAATATTTGCTCCAAGAATAAATGTCCATTTCATATATTTGAAATAATTATGTTTTCTTTTGATGTTTCTTCTCTATTTAAAATGTATAATGTGGCTCTACTTCCTGACCATATATAATTAACTTTCAAGAAACAATAACTCTTAAATACCAAATATTACTCTTAAATACCAAAAAAAAGATCCAAAATGTAAAAACAATCAGTGGCAGACAAATAAATTAAACAATCTTTTGTCTCAGTCATGAAAACTTCATAAGGAGAACCTTACAAAAGAAATTTGCCATTAACAGAACTTAGAAAGGTGAGTTTATCATTGAACCTCACACTCACAACTCTCAAGTTGTGAGGCCCACTCTAGACTTGGAGGTCTTGCTTTTTCCTTACTTCATTTCCCCAGTTCCTAATTTCAGTTTTCTTCTTAGCTCATCCACACGAGCTGCCACTTCTTCTGGACGAACCAAACCATCAACCACATGGTTAAGGTGATTCTGGAAATCTTTAAGTTGCTGTTTTAACAGATTATTGTCATCCTATGGAGGGGGATGAAATAGGGATTATCTATTACATGCCAGCATATTTTCACTACTAACGAACTAACAAACATATCTAGACCACAGAACTAAATTCAGACAATGCCTCTTTCAAGTAAAAAGAAATTTCTAAAATTTCCGTATGATTAATCTACTTCAAACTCAGTGTAACAATGTTAACTGAAATGAAGAATTTAGAATGCAATTAACATGTTTTCAAGTGCCTGTTCCATCTGGAGTCCTCTTTATCTGTAAACTGTCCATGCCCATTGCCCCAAGGCAGCCCTTTCTGTAGTACTATCTAATCCTGGCCATAGATCATCTGACTAGAGGCCAGTCAACACATCAACTAGCCAGAAAATAGGTTCTCATTCTCTCCATAATTTGAAGCAAGATTCAGTACAGCAAGCCTATATAAATGCTGGACCTGAAAATATGTTAAATCAGGGCTGGGGTCTATGCTGGGCCACATACAATGCTCGGAGAGATGGAAAAAGAGAAATGAGAGAGCCCCTATATCAACATGAAAGGCAGAGCAGCTCTGGTTCCTAGCAAGCTGTCTCCTTTCTTGAGCTAGTGTGAGTAGGTTTTGGTTCATTGCAACTAAATGATTTCTGACAAAGACATGTAGAGTGGGTTTAACTTGTACTCAGGAGGTTAGTTGGCCAAGTAATCAAAGAATCTAGTTCTAACTAAGGTAGTCCCACAACACGTGTCAGCATTCTAGAAAGTTGACTTCACTTTCTACTTTGGAGAAGCCCCCTGAAGAATATTATATTAGTCCTTTTCTGCAAGAGATGTACACTTAAGTATTTGCAGGTGAAAGAAAGATGTATGAAATTTTTCTTTAAAATATTCCAGCAACAAAAGAGGTGGACAAAATGAAACAATGAATGTTGACAACTGTTTAGGTTGGGCAATGGGTAAATAAGGGTCATAAGCTATTCTGTTTTTGTGTTATATGCAAATTTCTATACTAAAAATGGAAAATGATAACTCAAGTAAGACCCAACATACACACACACCTCACATAGTAATGGAAAACATGTATATCTTTTATGATATTTGCTTCAGAAGTGGAACTGAGAGCAGTAAAAATTAAATTCCAGGTTATTAGATTTCTTTAAACTTCAAGGAACAAATATTTGAAGTGTTAGAAGAAGAGAACATTTGGGTGAGTTTAGTCTTATTTCTCTCAAATCCCCCTACGTAGTTTTTTTTGGAACCCTTCCTCCAAGCCACATAAACTCTGCCCTTTTATTTCTGGTGATAACAGCTACCATCTCAGCCAGCCAAGAGGCCCGCAACCTCACAGATTTGGAGAACTGAGTGATGATTCAGGTACTTGTTTGTTCAGACATCTGTCTTCTTCGAGAGTTTAATTATCTGAAAAATCCTATCCACCTGTTTTTCCTGCAGTTTGTTCAGCAGATTACTGTGAGAACAGCTATAAAAATATTGACATACATTCCCACAAATAAAAAATGATGACATTTTTAATAGCATCCTTTCCGAGAAGAGGGTAGTGAAAACTATTTACAGATAAGAAATCCCACTGCAACTCACTCTAGTTAAATTCCTGGATAATTACAAAGACATTTCAGTGGAAGAGGATGCACCAATCTGATCCTTTTAGTTTGGTCTGGTGACAAATCTGCTTTTAGAAGAAAAGCAAGATACTGCTTTTGCCCATGAGTTTACACAGTATATTGTTTACTACTGACACTGCCTCTATCTCTTTGCACCATCATAAAAACAAAAGGAGATTCACAAATAATAATCTTAAAACAATGGTCACAAGAGAACAGGAGCTATGGTGCTGCTCCACCCAGAATTCCCTTTTTTCTAGTAATTCAAATTGCTTACTACATGTTAGAGCAGGTTGCTAAGTGCCTGACTAAAGATATCATCATCTTTGGGTGTTCTGTGTAAGAATGTATTCTAAAACAACAAATCTCTACCTGCAAGTGTTTAAGTTTTGCATGGAGCTCACTGTTCTCTTGCTCCTTTTCTTCTGAGAACTGGGCTTTTCCAAGGGCATTCTTGAGGGCTTGCCTTTCCTTCTCAAGTTCTGCTTGAAGGGCTGATTGTTCTAACTGTCACCATAGGAAGCAATGACATGAAAGTGTAAAACAGCAATAATTTATGATTTTAAAAGGCACAAATAAATTTACATATACACACAATCCCTTGCTAGCTATAGTTTTACAACTCAATTTTATGTTTGTACTCCCAAATTTAAAAACCAAAGATAATTTTTTCACACAATCCTTAAACTATTATTAACACTTAAGAAGGAGTAAGCATCAGAATCAGCTCAGCCCAAATACACCAAATCAGAATCTTCAGGGGTGGGCCGAGGCACCTACCTTTAAAAGTTCTGCAAGTGATCCAACAATTATTGCTCTCCTTTCCCTTAGACTAGTATTTCTCAAACTGTGGTCCTCAAAAAAACTGTATCAACACTAGGTATGTCTGTTAAAAATGCAGACACCTAAACTCTATCTCAGAAAAGAGATTCTGGATCAGAATCTCTAGAGTGGGTGGGGCCAAGGAATCTGTATTTATCAAGCATCACAAGTGAGTTCATGCAACTAAAGTTTACCAATCAGAGATCTGTAGATCTTCAGATCAGAGACAGGAGATCTGTTATGCTTCATATTCTCAATGTGTGGTTTGAAGACCAATCCTGGCAGTCTTGGTGCTGAGGGAGGGGGAATGTCCCTTTCAATACCAAGTGAATTGGTGAAAAGGCCAGGCTCTTAAAATAATTTTGTCAAGACTTATGAGAAGAAAATAAAAGCCAATCAAAGTACAAAGGACAGTGTATTTCAAGCTAGTACAGTCTGGCTTGAAAAGAGGAGAATTTATTAAGGAAAATGCCATCTAGAAATTTTATTTATTATTATTTTAAAATATTTACTGTTATTTTAATTGTTTTCCTAAAACCTCCTGATTTCTGAGACTCTGATCTTGTCAACTATACTTCTACAAAACTCGGTACTCGAGAAATACAATCCTGACAACTGTCAAGTGATGATCTGATATCTCATAAGTAAAGAAATATACATAATTACTATAATAAACCAGATATATTTCTAGTTCCTTTTCTAACCATATGAATTATTTTTACATGCATTCCTGAGATTCAAAATATCTTATTTATTTCATTTTCATCAAATAGGCACATATTGACGCTTCTCATATGCCAGGCACAGAAAAAGCAGAAACAAACAGATACAATTTGGGCATTCACTGAGCTCTGAGTCTAGCTGGGGTAAAACAAACAGATCATCTAGGAGCATCTAAACAGATGATCATCATATGCATGATAAATACCTTTACTGTGCACAGGTTATAGGAAAACCAAAGTAGAGTCCTGAACCCAGATTTTCAGCAGGCAGAAAGGAAAGGTTGAGGTGGGCTTCCTGAAAGAAGATGCAGCTCATCTGGCTAATAAATTGTATTTTTAATCTGATAAAGAATATATTACAACTGGCCTCTGCCTGCCTCTCTGCCTTTACCTCTCATTCTCTTTCCTCACTCCTCTCCCTGCTCCTGGCATCCTGGAGGCATACGTTCAGCACTTCAAATGTACTATATGCTCTCTCTCCTCACCTCTCTGCCTAGAATACAAATACCTTACCTTTACTCCTTTCACCCTGTCCCCTCTGCGTGGCCAAATCCTACTCATCCATCAGCCATCAGCTGAAACATCATTTCTGTAGGGTGGTCTTCCCTGACTACTTCCTCCTTGGCCAAAGAATCCTGTCCCTTTCTTTCTTCCATACCTGTTTCACTTGCTGGACTAAAGTTTACCAATCAGAGATCTGTCAGCTCCACAGGATGGTGACCATGTCTGTGCTTTCCCTAGAGAATCCACAGTACCTGGCCCTCAATGGCCAATCAATAAATATTTATTGGATATGTTTTCTGTAACTTGCAAGTATAATTTAAACTAGTGGATCTTTCAACCAACCCTAAAAGGAGACAGCAAACTACAACTTATCATCAACCTAAAAGAGGTCTCGGCCAGGCACGGTGGCCCATGCCTGTAATCCCAGCACTTTGGGAGGCTGAGGTGGGTGGATCGCCTGAGGTCGGGAGTTTGTAGACCAGCCTGACCAACATGGTGAAACCCCATCTCTACTAACATACAAAAAATTGGCCAGGCATGGTGGCGCGCACCTGTAGTCCCAGCTACTCAGGAGGCTGAGGCAGGAAAATCACTTGAACCCAGGAGGCGGAGGTTGCAGTGAGCCGTCATCATGCCACTGTACTCCAGCCTAGCAACAGAGCAAGACTCTGTCTCAAAAAAAAAAGTCCTTAAACCTGTTCTAAGAAGGAAAAACTAGCATTTATTGAGTATCAACTGTCAGGTGCTTTCATGTCCATTATCTCATTTATCTTCCCCATAAGCCATTTTACACAGGAGGAAAAGGCTGGGAGGCTCAGAGCTATGAACTGATTTGCCCGTGTTCACACAGGGGTAGTTATTAGCACTCACAATGTCTGACTCCAAAATTCTGCCTTTCCCATCACTCCATATATATTGTATGAAAAAACGCTTAATTTTAAATTAAGACATAAATAAAAGAAGGATGATATCTTAAGGCACAGGGTCCTTAGTTTGCAGTTGGCTTCATGCTCCTACTTACCTGGGTAAGTCTTGTTACTTTTTCCAACTCTTCCTTGAGCTGGTTGGCTTCAGCATCCCTTAGGTTTAGCCGAGCCTCTAGCTCAGCTTCATAGGCACTGAGATCTCCCTGGGTCTGCTGCAAAGATGCATTCACCTCATGCTGCTCTTGGAGGGCACTTTCTAGCTCTGCAAGCTCCTAGAAAGATTCAGTGGGTTTAACTATGGAACCCTCACTGTGCTGCTTAAGCATTTGCAAGGCATTATAAGTAACTTGAGCACTGTAAACCAAATGCTGGCCAGCTACTGATGCCTGCCACAAAGTTTTCAGTAGCAATATGACGAAGCCTCAGGTTGTGCATATCCTGGTTGGAAAACAAAACCCTGGCTAAATGTAATCAAGAAAGTCAGTAAGCTCCCAACATATTGTTTTTCAAAGGGACCAGTTCTGTGATACTTATGAGTCTAAAAACATAAGGAGGAAGAAAGGAAGGAAAAAAAGAGTAGGATAAGATTTAATGCTTATTTTTCATCTGATGTTGGACAAAATGTTTTCATATTCATTATTTCATTGTATCTTCACAATAACTGTATAAGGCAACTTGCGGTTTTACAGATGAGGAATTGTAGAATGAATATCTAAGTAAATTGCACAGGGCTATGTAGCTAGAAAAAGGATAGTCAGCATACAAATGTAGATCTCCGACTCCAAAGCCCATACTCTCTCTATTAAACCATAGCATGTTCATTTATCAGAAGAACAAAATGGGACCGGCACTCTCTAATATTAAGGATGATAAGAGTACCTTAAATGAGTGCTAACAAGAATATAAGTACATATTTATTAGCATACCATGGTTCTGATTCATTTTAGTCCATTTGTGTTTTGTGATTAAACCTTATCTCTTTCATCTATTTACTTGGGATCAAACTATTACAGATTAAAGAGGAGGATTCTACGATGAGAACTTCTACAAAAGAATTGTCCAAAAACCACTTGGCAATTCAATCATTTGGGCTGCTTGTTTAAAATATAGATACTACATATAACCAACCAAAGATTATTATCCAGAATATGTAAAGAATTCCTACAAATCTTTAAGAAAAGGCAGAGACAGTTCAACAAAAAATAGAATAGGGAATTCACTCAAGAGGAAACTTGAACAGCAAATGAAAGGTGATCAGCCTCTCCAGTAACCAGGGGAAAATGCAGTTAACTTAAGATACTATTTTACATAGAACATAGAGATACAAGTTAAACACACCATGAGGAAACAATCAGTCAAACCCAGAACGTGGTTCAATCTACAGAATACCAGCCTGGATTTCACACACGCATGTGCACACACACACACATTCTTGGGACAATCAAGAAAATCTGAATATGGTTCAGATATTAGAGGACCTTAGGGCCGGGTACAGTGGCTCATGCCTGTAATCCCAGCACTTTGGGAGGCCAAGGCGGGTGGATCACGAAGTCAGGAGATTGAGACCATCCTGGCCAACATGGTGAAACCTATCTCTACCAAAACACACACACAAAAAAATTAGCCAGGCGTGGTGGCACACGCCTGTAGTCCCAGCTACTTAGGAGGCTGAGGCAGCGGAATCACTTGAACCTGGGAGGCGGAGGTTGCAGTGAGCGAAGATCATGCCACTGCATTCCCAGCCTGGTGACAGAGCAAGACTCCATCTCAAAAAAAAAAAAAAATAATAATGATATTAGAGGACATTAGGGAATTACCGTCATTTTTCTTAGGTGTAATAATGATATCGTAGTGATGCAGGAAAATGCTCTTAAAAAAATGTGTGTTGAAGGGATGATGTTATGATATCTACAACTTTCTAATGAGCAAAGGAAAAAAGTATGTGTCTATGAGAAAGAGAAAATAAATAAATCAAAATATTTATTGAATCCAAGAGGTTCACAGATGTTCACCAAACTATTTGTTCAACTTTCTTGTAACTGTAAACATCTTCACAATAGAAAGATGGAAAGAAGTCCTTTAAAGCTCAGCAGACTGGCAAACATGAAGTCTGATAAAATACTGAATTTCCTAAATTTGATAATTATTCTGTGTTTATGTTAGAAAATGTCCTTGTTCATAGGAAATACATACTGAAATATTTAGAAGCAAAGGAGCATGATGTCTACAACTGATTTCCAAATGGTTCAGGAAAAAAAATCTGTATAAAAATATATATAAAATTGAATCCCGTTCCGAGATGGCCAAATAGGAACAGCTTGGTCTGCAGCTCCCAGCGTGATCGACGCAGACGACGGGTGATTTCTGCATTTCCAACTGAGGTACCTGGTTTATCTCATTGGCACTGATTGGACAGTGGGTGCAGCCCATGGAGGGCGACCCGAAGCAGGGCAGGGCATCGCCTCACCCAGGAAATGCAAGGCGTCGGGGGATTTCCCTTTCCTAGCCAAGGGAAGCCGTACATTCACAGAAGACAGTACCTGGAAAAACAGGACACTCTCACCCAAATACTGTGCTTTTCCAATGGTCTTAGCAAACAGCACACCAGGAGATCATATCCCACACCTGGCTCAGCAGGTCCCATGCTCACAGAGCCTTGCTCACTGCTAGTGTAGCAGTCTGAGATAGACCTTGGAGGCAGCAGCCTGGCAGGGGGAGGGGCGTTCACCATTGCTGAGGCTTGAGTAGGTAAACACAGCAGCCAGGAAGCTCGAACTGGGCGGAGCCCACCGCAGCTCAGCAAGACCTCTGCCTCTACATGTAGACTCCACCTTTAGGAGCAGGGCATAGCTGAACAAAAGGCAGCAGAAACTTCTGCAGACTCAAACGTCCCTGTAGGACAGCTCTGAAGAGAGCAGTGGTTCTCCCAGCACAGTGTTTGAGCTCAGAGAACGGACAGACTGCCTCCTCAAGTGGGTCCCTGACCCCCGTGTAGCCTAACTGGGAGACACCTCCCAGTAGGGGCCAACTGACACATCATACAGGCGGGTGCCCCTCTGGGAAGAAGCTTCCAGAGGAAGGATTAGGCAGCAATATTTGCTGTTCTGCAGCCTCTACTTGTGATACCGAGGCAAACAGGGTCTGGAGTGGACCTCTAGCAAACTCCAACAGACCAGCAGCTGAGGGACCTGACTGTTAGAAGGAAAACTAACAAACAGAAAGGAATAGCCTTAACATCAACAAAAAGGACATCCACACCAAAACCCCATCTGGAGGTAGACCAAAGACCAAAGGCCAAAGGTAGATAAAACCACAAAGATGGGGAGAAACCACAGCAGAAAAGCTGAAAATTCTAAAAACCGAGCGCCTCTTCTCCTCCAAAGGATGGCAGCTTCTCACCAGCAACAGAACAAAGCTGGATGGAGAATGACTCTGATGAGCTGACAGAAGTAGGCTTCAGAAGGTCAGTAATAACAAACTTCTTCAAGCTAAAGGACGATGTTTGAACCCATTGAAAGGAAGCTAAAAACCTTGAAAAAAGATTAGACGAATGGCTAATTAGAATAAAGAGTGTAGAGAAGACCTTAAATGACCTGATGGAGCTGAAAACCATGGCATGAGAACTACGTAACACATGCACAAGCTTCAGTAGCCAATTTGATCAAGTGGAAGAAAGGGTATCAGTGACTGAAGATCAAATTAACGAAATAAAGCAAGAAGAGAAGTTTAGAGAAAAAAGAGTAAAAAGAAATGAACAAAGCCTCCAAGAAATATGGGACTATGTGAAAAGACCAAATCTACGTTTGAATGGTGTACCTGAAAAGTGACAGGGAGAATGGAACTAAGTTGGAAAACACTCTTCAGGATATTATCCAGGAGAACTTCCCTAACCTAGCAAGGCAGGCCAACATTCAAATTCAGGAAATACAGAGAACACCACAAAGATACTCCTCGAGAAGAGCAACTCCAAGACACATAATTGTCAGATTCCCTAAGGTTGACATGAAGGAAAAAATGTAAGGGCAGCCAGAGAGAAAGGCTGGGTTACCCACAAAGGGAAGCCCATCAGACTAACAGCAGATCTCTCAGAAACTCTACAAGCCAGAAGAGAGTAGAGGCCAATATTCAACATTCTTAAAAGAAAATAATTTTCAACCCAGAATCTCATATTCAACCAAACTAAGCTTCATGAGTGAAGGAGAAATAAAATCCTTTACAGACAAGCAAATGCTGAGAGATTTTGTCACCACCAGGCCTGCCTTACAAGAGCTCCTGAAGGAAGCACTAAACATGGAAAGGAACAACCCGTACCAGCCACTGCAAAAACATGCCAAATTGTAAAGACCATCAATGCCAGGAAGAAACTGCATCAACTAACGGACAAAATAACCAGCTAGCATCATAACAACAGGATCAAATCCACACATAACAATATTAACCTTAAATGTAAATGGGCTAAATGCCCCCAATTAAAAGACACAGACTGGCAAATTGGATAAAGAGTCAAGACCCATCAGTGTGCTATATTCAGGAGACCCATCTCATGTGCAGAGACACACATAGGTTCAAAATAAAGGAATGGAGGAAGATCTACCAAGCAAATGGAAAGCAAAAAAAAGCAGGGCCTGCAATCCTAGTCTCTGATAAAACAGACTTTAAACCAACAAAGATCAAAAGCGACAAAGAAGGGTATTACATAATGGTGAAGGGATCAATTCAACAAGAAGGGCTGACTATCCTAAACATATATGCACCCAATACAGGAGAACCCAGATTCATAAAGCAAGTCCTTAGAGACCTACAAAGAGACTTAGACTCCTACACAATAATAATGGGAGACTTTAACACCCCACTGTCAATATTAGACAGATCAACAAGACAGAAGGTTAACAAGGATATCCAGGAATTGAACTCAGCTCTGCACCAAGCAGACCTAATAGATATCTACAGAATTCTCCACCCCAAATCAACAGAATATACATTCTTCTCAGCACCACATCTCACTTATTCCAAAATTGACCACATAGTTGGAAGTAAAGCACTCCTCAAAAAATGTAAAAGAACAGAAATCACAACAAACTGTCTCTCAGACCACAGTGCAATCAAATTAGAACTCAGGATTAAGAAACTCACTCAAAACCACTCAACCACATGGAAACTAAACGACCTGCTCCTAATGACTACTGGATACACAATGAAATGAAGGCAGAAATAAAGATGTTCTTTGAAACCAATGAGAACAAAGACACAACATACCAGAATCTCTAGGACACATTTAAAGCAGTGTGTAAAGGGAAATGTATAGCACTAAATGCCCACAAGAGAAAGCAGGAAAGATCTAAAATCAATACCCTAACAACACAACTAAAAGAACTAGAGAAGCAAGAGCAAACACATTCAAAAGCTAGCAGAAGGCAAGAAACAACTAAGATCAGAGCCAAACTAAAGGGGATAGAGACACAAAAAACCCTTCAAAAGAATCAGTGAATCCAGGAGCTGGTTTTTTGAAAAGATCAACAAAATAGATAGACCGCTAGCAAGACTAACAAAGAAGAAAAGAGGGTAGAATCAAATAGATGCAATAAAAAATGATAAAGAGGGTATCACCACCAATCCCACAGAGATACAAACTACCATCAGAGAATACTATAAACACCTTTATGCAAATAAACTAGAAAATCTAGAAGAAATGGATAAATTCCTGGACACATACACCCTCCCAAGACTAAACCAGGAAGAAGTTGAATCTCTGAATAGACCAATAACAGGATCTGAAATTGAGGCAATAATTAATAGCCTACCAACCAAAAAAACTCCAGGACCAGATGGATTCACAGCTGAATTCTACCAGAGGTACAAAGAGGAGCTGGTACCATTCCTTCTGAAACTCTTCCAATGAATAGAAAAAGAGGGAATCCTAACTCATTTTATGAGGCCAGCATCATCCTGATACCAAAGCCTGGCAGAGACACAACAAAAAAAGAGAATTTTAGACCAATATCCCTGATGAATATCGATGTGAAAATCCTCAATAAAATACTGGCAAACCGAATCCAGCAGCACATCAAAAAGCTTATCCACCACGATCAAGTCGGCTTCATCCCTGGGATGCAAGGCTGGTTCAACATACACAAATCAATAAACATAATCCATCACATAAACAGAACTAATGACAAAAACCACATGATATCTCAATAGATGCAGAAAAGGCCTTCAACAAACTTCAATTGCCCTTCATGCTAAAAACTGTCAATAAACTAGGTATTGATGGCACGTATCTCAAAATAATAAGAGCTATTTATGACAAACCCACAGCCAATATCATACTGAATGGGCAAAAACTGGAAGCATTCCCTTTGAAAACTGGCACAAGACAGGGATGCCCTCTCTCACCACTCCTATTCAACATAGTGTTGGAAGTTCCGGCCAGGGCAATCAGAAAAGAGAAAGAAATAAAGGGTATTCAATTAGGAAAAGAGGAAGTCAAATTGTCTCAGTTTGCAGATGACATGATTGTATATTTAGAAAACCCCATCGTCTCAGCCAAAATCTCCTTAAGCTGATATGCAACTTCAGCAAAGTCTCAGGATACAAAAATCAATGTGCAAAAATCACATGCATTCCTATACACCAATAATAGACAGAGAGCCAAATCGTGAGTGAACTCCCATTCACAATTGCTACAAAGAGAGTAAAATACCTAGGAATCCAACTTACAAGGGATGTGAAGGACGTCTTCAAGAACTACAAACCACAGCTCAACAAAATAAAAGAGGACACAAACAAATGGAAGAACATTCCATGCTCATGGGTAGGAAGAATCAATACCGTGAAAATGGCCATACTGCCCAAGGTAATTTATAGATTCAATGCCATTCCCATCAAGCTACCAATGACTTTCTTCACAGAGTTCGAAAAAACTACTTTAAAGTTCATATGGAACCAAAAAAGAGCCTGCATTGCCAAGACAATCCTAAGCAAAAAGAACAAAGCTGGAGGCATCACGCTACCTGACTTTAAACTATACTACAAGGCTACAGTAAACAAAACAACATGGTACTGGTACCAAAACAGATATATAGACCAATGGAACAGAACAGAGACTGCAGAAATAAATAACACCACACATCTACAACCATCTGATCTTTGACAAACCTGACAAAAACAAGAAATGGGGAAAGGATCACTAATAAATGGTGCTGGGAAAACTGGCTAGCCATATGTAGAAAGCTGAAACTGGATCTCTTCCTTACACCTTATACAAAAATTAATTCAAGATAGATTAAAGACTTACATGTTAGACCTAAAACCATAAAAATCCTAGAAGAAAACCTAGGCAATACTATTCAGGACATAGGCATGGGCAAGGACTTCATGACTAAAACACCAAAAGCAATGGCAACAAAAGCCAAAATAGACAAATGGGATCTAATTAAACCAAAGAGCTTCTGCACAGCAAAAGAAACTACCATCAGAGTGAACAGGCAACCTACAGAATGGGAGAAAATTTTTGCAATCTGCTCATCTGACAAAGGGCTAATATCCAGAATCTACAAAGAACTTAAACAAATTTACAAGAAAAAAACAACCCCATCAAAAAGGGGGCAAAGGATACGAATAGACATTTCTCAAAAGAAGACATTTATGCAGCCAACAGACACATGAAAAAATGCTCATCATCACTGGCCATCAGAGAAATGCAAATCAAAACCACAATGAGATACCATTTCACACCAGTTAGAATGGTGATCATTAAAAAGTCAGGAAACAACAGATGCTGGAGAGGATGTGGAGAAACAGGAATGCTTTTACACTGTTGGTGGGAGTGTAAACTAGTTCAACCTTTGTGGAAGACAATGTGGCGATTCCTCAAGGATCTAGAACTAGAAATACCATTTGACCCAGCGATCCCATTACTGGGTATATACCCAAAGGATTATAAATCATGCTACTATAAAGACACATGCACACATGTGTTTATTGCGGCACTATTCATAATAGCAAAAACTTGGAACCAACCCAAATGTCCATCAACGATAGACTGGATTAAGAAAATGCAGCACATATAAACCATGGAATACTATGCAGCCATAAAAAAGGATGAGTTCATGTCCTTTGCAGGGACATGGATGCAGCTGGAAACCATCATTCTTTGCAAACTATCACAAGGACAGAAAACCAAACACCGCATGTTCTCACTCATAGGTAGGAACTGAATAATGAGAACACTTGGACACAGGGCAGGGAACATCACACACCGGGGCCTGTCGTGGGGTGGGGGGAGGGGGGAGGGATAGCATTAGGAGATATACCTAATGTAAATGACGAGTTAATGGGTGCAGCAAACCAACGTGAAACATGTATACCTATGTAACAAATCTGCATGTACCCTAGAACTTAAAGTATAATAATAATTAAAAAGTATATAAAATCATGTAGAAATTACATATGAGGAGATAAAGCAAATGTGTTAAAATAGTAATTGGTGACTCTCGGTGAAAGGCAAATGTGAGTTATTTGTATTCCTCTTGCAACTTTCCTGCAAGTTTGGAGTTATTTCAAAATATAAGCTTTAAAAAAAAGTTGGACAACACTACAGCGTTGGCAAGGATGTGGCAAGAATGGTAGCCCCCACATTGCTGGTGGGAGTAGAAGCTGATAAACTCACTATGAAAAGTAATTTGACAATATCTACTGAACTTAATGAAGGATGGACATACTCTGACCCACAGTTCTGCTTCTGAGCATAGTCCCCATGTGTTCAAGATGTGTGCAGGAATGTTATGCTCAGCATTGTTTGCAATAGCATAACACTGGAAATCACCTAAATGCACCCCAAAAAGAGAAGGAATAAATAATAAATTTGTGGTATGTCCATAAAGCAGGATGGTACATATATCAGTAAAAATGAACAAAGTAGAACTACATCTATCAGTGTGCATAATTCTCGAAAACATAGGCCAGGCGCTGTGGCTCACACCTGTAATCCGAGCACTTTCAGAGGCCAAGGCAGGCGGATCACCTGAGGTCGGGAGTTCGAGACCAGCCTGACCAACATGGAGAAACCCCATCTCTACTAAAAATACAAAATTAGCCGGGCAGGTGGTGAATGCCTGTACTCCCAGCTACTCGGGAGGCTGAGGCAGGAGAATCGCTTCAACCCAGGAGGCGGAGGATGCAGTGAGCCGAGATTGCGCCACTGCACTCCAGCCTGGGCAACAAGAGCGAAAATTCATCTCAAAAAAAAACCAAAACAAACAAACAAAAACATAAACATGAAGGAAGAAAGAAAGTGGCCAAATATGTACACTATGATACATTTTGTATAAGTCTTAAAATCAAGGAAAATACTATATATTGCTTATGGATGTTTACATATATAATAAAAGAATAGAGGTGCAGGGAAATAATAACCATATTCAGAACTTTGTTACTTCTGGAAAGGAGTAGACAGAGGATTTCAAATGTACCTATAATGTTTTATTTCTTAAGCTGGGTTGTCAGTACATGATGTTAAATATTATTTGTGATTTTTTAAATATGCCTGAGATATTTCATAATATTAAAATATATTAATTCAATTTCTGGAGCCAGCTCTACTGAACAAGAAGTTTGGAAATCTCTAGTTCTCATGTATGATAACATTTTCCAAACAACTAAAATAGAGCAAGGGAAATCTCCAAACGAATGTGCAACAAATCAGGTTCATAAGGATATAATTTAAAACAATATGTCTGTTTTGTTAGCTATAAAATAATGTTAAAATTATCCAGTAACAACAAGACTAAGAAAAACCATTCTGTGCTCAATTTTTCAGCACAAATAAAATATGAGCATTTAATACAATATTTGTAATAGCTACCATTTCATATTCTTTAGAGTTATTTGGCAACAATACCTTTCAGGGATAGAAATGCAGCTTAAATAATCTTCCTTTTCTGAGCAAAGAAAAAATAATAATTCCAAATGTATCACAGCTAAAGAAGAAAAAAAAAAGCCCAACTGTTAAAAGAAAAAAATCACCATATAGCCACTAATACTTTTTCCCACTTAAAAATGTACTGTTACCTCCTCCAACTAACTTAATTTGGACATTATCTACTTATGAAGCTACGGAAAATAGGCAGGAAAAAAATCATACCTTCCTCATATTTTCTGCATCCATGGCAACTATTTCCAGCTGGTCTCTCTCCTGCTCGACTTCTGTCAATCTCTGCAACAATGTCTCTTTCTCATCCCGCAGCTTCCTGCACTCATTCTGGGCCTGAGTTGCCTGGCCTTTAATGGTCCCCAGGTATTCTTGCAACCCACTGATAACACCTTCTAAATCCTTCTTCAGGGCTTCATTTGCTGCTATCTGGCCTAAGCAAGATGCAAAAAGGGTAATAATATATCTTTTTAAAGTACTGCATTGTCTGCTCAGCATTTTGTTATAAGCCAAGAGTGAAATTCTAAGCTTTCAATTCTTTCCTATCATTTTTCTTTTTCAAAACATAATGTTAAATTTTCTTCCTATTATAGATAGCAAAGGAGTATTAAGCAGGTATAAAATAAAAATAGTACATTTAGGGGGCAATGCTTATAAAATGCCTGATTCATGCTGTAAAAAGTTTAATTTCGGCCGGGTGTGGTGGTTCAAGCCTGTAATCCCAGCACTTTGGGAGGCCAAGGCAGGCGGATCATGAGGTCAGGAGATCGAGACCATCCTGGCTAACACAGTGAAACCCCGTCTCTATTAAAAATACAAAAAATTAGCCGGGCATGTGCCTGTAGTCCCTGCTACTCACGAGGCTGAGGCAGGAGGATCACTTGAACCCAGGAGGCAGAGGTTGCAGTGAGCCAAGATCACGCCACTGCACTCCAGCCTGGGTGACAGAGCGAGGCTCCGTCTCAAAAAAAAAAAAAAAGTTTAATTTACAAATAAAATAAAAAATATGTACCAAAACTGTGAGTTCTTGCTGCTAAATACAAAGAACAAGACCACCTAGTATATAAGATGAATCCAAGACTGGCAACATAAATGTGTAACCTAAACACTTAGAACACAAACACACACATCCCATGTACAGTACTGGATACGCACTATGTGCCAGGAACTTTATGAACACTATCTCTCTCTTTTTTTTTTTTTTTCAGACAAAGTTTCACTCTGTCACCTAGGCTGGAGTGCAGTGGCACAATCACGGTTCACTGTAGCCTCAACCTCCCTGAGCTCAGGTGATCCTCCACCCTCAGTCTCCCAAGCAGATGGTGCCACAAGCACACATACCACTACGCCTGGCTAATTTTTTTTTTTTTTTTTTGTAGAGACGGGGTTTCGCCATGTTGCCCATGCTGATCTCGAACTCCTGGGCTCAAATGATATGCCCGCCTCAGCCTCCCAAAGTGCTAGGATTACAGGCGTGAGCCACCACTCCTGGCCTATGAATACTAGCTCATTTAATTCTCCCAACAACTAATGATTGAGATAAAAACAACTTGTCCAAGGCGACACAGCTGACAGTAGCAAAACAGAGAGCAGGATCTTTTTACACTGAGCCCTATGTGTAAAAACCACTATGGCCTATTGTCTTCCTTTTCCACTATTATGGATATGTCGCAGTTTAAATCAGCATTGCAAAACTAGATCCTAAAACTCTTTCTTCTTATAACCAGACACTGAATTCCCTGATGCCAATGGGTGCTTTGCTCCTGAATGGATTTTATGTCATAGACAATCACATGCCAGAGCTTATCATGATCACGTATTGACTTCTGGCCTACTGACTGGAATGACCTGACTCACTAGGCATCAATGCCACAAAACAAAACAAAAACAAAACTCTTAAAATTGCATTAACTACTTTTGGGTATCCTGTAAATATTTCCCTATCAAATACTAGTACTAATAGGTGAACTGTATTTAGCTACTATCTGGATTAATGCTTGTCTTTATAATGTTTCTTTTACCAGCAATAACACTGATTTACCTTAAATCATACTGAAAGTCTTACCTTCAGTAAGCTGTTCTTCAAGGTCCTTAATCTCTTCCGTTTCCTTAGCAATTCTAGAAAGTATCTCATCCAAACGACTTTCAAGTTGTTGGTACTGCTTGTTCATAATGTCAAGCTGTTGTTCTTTACCGCTCTTTTGAGCCTTCATATGGGACTGAATTAAAAAAAAAAATCAACAAAACTCCAAGTTCCTTAAACTCCTTTAAAAGTAATAACCCTTAACAACATTTTTAAAGGAAGAATAGAAAATAAATATAATAATTTGCATCTATTTGTGTCAGGCCCTATATTGTTTTCACATGGGTAGTTTTCATTTAAATTTCAGGATAACTTGATACGGAAATCATTTCCACTTTACAGGTGAGAAAACTGAGGATCAAAGAGGTTAAGTGGTTTTTCCAAGGGCACAGCTAGGTAGGTCAGTGTTATTTGCGTTGCATTAAATTGTCTCTCTCTCTCTTTTTTATTTATTTATTTATTTATTTTGAGATGGAGTCTGACTCCATCACCCAGGCTAGAGTGCAGAGGCACGATCTCAGCTCACTGCAACCTCCGCCTCCTGGGTTCAAGCAATTCTCCTGCCTCAGCCTCCCAAGTACCTGGGACTACAGGTGCGGGCCACCACACCCAGGTTGTTGTTTGTTTTTACTTTTTGTTGTTTTTTTTAGTACAGACGGGAGTTTCACCATGTTGGCCAGGCTGATCTGGAACTCCTGACCTCAAGTGATCTGCCGGCCTTGGCCTCCCAAATCGCTGGGATTACAGGCATGAGCCACCGTGCCCAGCCTAAAATGTGTCTTTTAAAAAAGGTTTCCAAAATTAGTTGGTTATGGCATATATCTATAGAAAAAGACTTAAAAACTATATCCCAAAATGCTAACAAGAATTATACCTGGGTGGAAGGATTACATGGGGATTTTTTCCTTTTGTAATGAGTATTTTTATATTTAAAAAACTTTTATAGTAGATAAGTAATGCCTTTTTAATAAAAAAATTAAATCTACTTTTTAAAAAAGGTTTCTTAGAAGAAAATAGAGGTATGAAATAGATAAAATACTTGAAATTCAAATTCACTTTCAATCTCTTACACAAACAAACATTTGGCTTTTCAATAAACTGAGAGCTGACAGGGACCTCAAAGACCACTTAGCCCGGTGAGTCTCAAAATGGAGGGCCCTAAGGAGGTATACCCCTCTACAACTACACTTAACCCATGGTGGAAAACAGAGCTTTCACACACCCACACACCCTCCCGCACCCTGAAGTCATGGCATCAGGGAACTACTGTTAACTGAAAAGAATGGATTGTATTTCTCAGGTGTGCTAGGGAAAGCAAATCGAGAGCCAATGATCTAGTCTAACCCTTCCTTTTAAACATGAGAAAACTGAATTTCAGATCCATCAAATGACTTGCATGTCTCCTGAGGCAACTGTTCATATGGAGACAAAATAATTCCCCAGAGAACCTTTGCCCTCCCACTCACACCTTCATGACTCTTAAGTTGGTACCCACAGGATCAGAGGAATACAACAATAAATGAAGAGAAAGTTATCGAAAGAGGGAACTGTATCAGTCAGAAAAATGAACACCAATGATCTCAAGTCTAAGACCCATGTGATTATAAAAGAATATTACTCAATTTTATGTATTTGCTTACCCCAAATACAAGAAAGAAACGTCTCTTCATTTCTGATGAACAAAAGAGTGGCAGCTTAACTGGAAGGTTTTTAATTTACTACTGGTAAAGCTTTATGGTATTTTGCAAACTCTTTTCCCTACACTCCCAAAATACCCATTTGAAATCTTTCTGAAAAGTTAACTACATATAACAGCTTACATTCTAAGTAAATTTCGGGTTTTTATGGCTCAAGAAATAATTTCTTAAAAGACTGCACTCATATCAATAAATCTTTAAAATTCACCATTAAAAATTCCACCAAAACCTTTATACGCAGGATAAAAATCTGGTTCAATATGCCAATGGTGTACATTAAATACATGGGAACAAAAGTAGATTCTGCGATTTACACCACGGTGGAGCTCACAAAAGAGTTATTGTAAAAACAGGAACTTACATCTCTGACTCCTCCTCCTTTTAAGTCCTTTGTACAGAGAGAGAAAAAATATCATACCTTAACTTAAAATTTATCCTGTTAAAACTGAGCCGTTGAGAACAGAGAAACTGTGGGCGGAACGCTTTCTAATGCTGTCTTCAAATTCATGTGCACTTCCCTCTCTGACAGCCACATTTTTGCAAGCGCCTCCGAGCCTCTGTAACTTCGCAGAGCCTCAAACCACATTCTTGGCCAAGAGTGAGCGGCGGCCCCGCCCATCCAATCACCAGCAGCCTCTGCGGGCAGGCCCCACCCTCCGCGAGTTAAATCATAACACAGGAAGCTCCCAGGGGCCAATCACGCCCAAACTTTGCAACAGATCACTACAGCTCGTTCCCTCTAGCGAACAGTTACCTTTTGCTTCCAATAGGACATTTCCCAATAGAGAAAAGCAATACAAATCTTCATTATGTTTGCTCCGGTGATAATTTGTGCTTCTATGAATAATTTTATAACTAAAATAGTCTGTGAATTTGAAACCTAGTTAAATGCTTATATTTGCTGAAAACCTGCCTAGGCTTAGTTCTGAGCTAATTTTAAAATAATCTCTTTAGACCTTTAATTGCTTTGTGAAGAGAGGGTCATTGTGGTAGCATAAGCAAGGGCTCCACCTCTTTCTAAAACAATAACTTAGGGGCAATTCACTTAATATTTCTATATCACATTTTCATCCTCTGCAAATTGAAAGAAAAATGGATAGATGTTAATAAAAGTTCCTCACCAGAACATGGAAAATACAGCACAATGTATGACACATTGTGGGCACTTAATATGTTGCTTTCTATAATATCTCATCAAAGTGAAGCTTTTACTTTTAAATTCTATTGGCTATTCAGAAAGATACTTCATCTGATTACATAAAAATTAATTAAATAAAAGTCTACCTATATCTATAGAAAAATATGCAGGCATCTCACTCTTGATTATTTCTCTTCTGCTTAAAGGCTCACATTTTGTAGCCTAAAATGGGATGCCAAACACTAGCCAATATGAAACTTTGTGAATCAGAAAAAGATGTTCCCGCTGGATAAACTTAAAAGAGATGTCCTCTGATGCTAGGACTAAGGCTGCAAACTTAAGAACTATTAGTAATTTTAATAAAATTAAAAAGGAAATTCAAATCTGGTTTGTATGTTTCATCCCCACTGCACAGGTTGATTTTAGCTAACTTCAAAACTTGGATGCCATTCCCATGTCTCATTTACCTCCTTTCCATGTATAATTCTCTACAGAAATCCAGTGGGAATTGAACTCTCTGTCCGCCAGAAATATAACAGTCATTTGTTGAAAGCAAACACATAATCCAGCTACTAATTAGACTCATAGATCACAGAACTGGAAGGGGAAGCAAAGGAGTTTTGGGTAGGATCTATAAGCTGCTTCCTTCCTCCCTTCCACAATGCAAGCATTCATAAACATAGGGCTGGTTGGTCCCTGGGGATACGGATACCAGTAGGATAGAGTTCATGTCTTCAGGGACCTTACATGGGTGGGAGATTGAACAAACATATGCAATAAAGTAAGATATTATTGACCACATTATACATTACTTAAAATACCCCATTTTTCCTCAAAATTATTTAAAATAATCAAGACTACTTTTGGTTTCAATATTAATACCTTGGTTTCAATTTTTAGGCTTTTGTTAGAAAAGACCTTATATCTGTCATAAGGTTATCCTTTATTGAAATTAGCTGGCCCACAAAAAAATATATATGATATGTACTAAAATGCTTAAAGGAACAGTTAAACAACTTGTCAAGTACTTAAAGCAATTACAATATCCTTACTATGTTAAATTCTATGATTTCTATTAATCCAGAGATCTTAAAGTTCTTTAAAAAAAAAACCCCTATTATTCAAGGTATACCAGGAGAATATGTAGAAGATATTTTTCCTTGTATTTTAGGAATATTAGCTAAAATATAAGCAATTAGTACAACTTCTTAGAGTAGAGACAGAGACAAGAGCCTGGCTGTATCCAGCCACCTGACCATATCTAGCCATATCTCAGGAAGAAACATTCCAGAGAATGTTTCCTTTTTTAAGGACAAAACAAAACAGTATGAAAAAACAAATACGTTCAGTGGAAAATTTGCAAAAAGGATTAAATAGAAGAGGTAGAAAAAGGACTCGCAACCCCCTTCAGCTTTTTCTGCTCTTAAGAAAGATGAAGGGCTGGGCATGGTGGCTCATGACTGTAATCCCAGCACTTTGGGAGGCCAAGGTAGGCAGATCAGGAGGTCAGGAGTTTGAGACCAGCCTGAGCAACATGGAGAAACCCCATCTCTACCAAAAATACAAAAATTAGCTGGGTGTGGTGGTGCGCGCCTGTAATCCCAGCTACTCAGGAGGCTGAGGCAGGAGAATCGCTTCGGCAGGGCATGGTGGCTCACGCCTGTAATCCCAGCACTTTGGGAGGTTGAGGTGGGTGGATCACAAGGTCAGGAGATCAAGACCATCCTCGCCAACATGGTGAGACCTTGTCTCTACTAAAAATACAAAAATCAGCCAGGCGTGGTGGTGGGTGCCTGTAGTCCCAGCTACTCGGGAGGCTGAGGCAGGAGAATCGCTTGAACCTGGGAGGCGGAGGTTGCAGTGAGCGGAGATTGCGCCACTGCACTCCAGCCTGGCGACAGAGCAAAAAAAAAAAAAAGAGAGAGAGAGAGAGAAAGAAAGATGAAAAAAAGGCAAGGAGAGAGAAAGGTAAGGAGCAAATCTCCCTTGCTCTGCAATACAATGAAATTCAACCACTTAAAAAAAAATAAATATACCATGCGGCCATCATTTACTGAAAGCTACCTTCTTCAAGCCCTAGGTTGTTTTGTTTTAGACATACACATTCCATATATGTGTGTGTATACACACACACACACACACACACACACATATATTTATGTATAATACACATATATATACACATACATACATTATATATACACACATATATGTACAGTTTTCCTTCAGTATCCATGGGGGATTCATCCCAGGATTCCCTGCAGATACCAAGATCCACTGATGCTCAAGTCCCTTCTATAAAATAGCATAATATTTGTATTTAACCTATGGACATCCTCTTATATATTAAAATCATCTCTAGATTACTTATAATACCTAATACAGTATAAATGCTATGTGAATAGTTGTTATACTGTCTTGTTTAGGGAATAATGACAAATGAAAAAAAGTCTGTACATGTTCAGTACAGACACAACCATCCTTTTTTTTCCTAATATATGTGATCTGCAGTTGGTTAAATCCACAGATGCAGAACCCATGGATATGGAGGGCTGACTGTATGTATATATCACTTAAATTTGTACATCAAACTAAAACAGACTTTCAGAAAGGACTCTGGACTCTGATGCTAACAATGATGAGACATGTAATATGTAGACAGAACAAGTCAAAATTTCTTAATTTACTCACATGTTTTGGGTCTTTGGAATCCAGGCTATCTATGGCTATTTGCAGGTCCTTAATCTCCTTCTGCTTTCCGGCAATTTCCTGCTTTTGCTTTTCCATCTGCAGTTCTAGATCCAGAGCTTCCTGGCGTAATTTATTTACAAGTTGTAGTCTACCACTCAACTGCTTGTAAAGAAGGTCTTTCCCTGCTTCTGAAATCTAATCTCCCCAAACCCCAATATATAATTAACAGAGAAGAACAACACTGATTTATTAAGACAATGTCTATAATTTTAATAAGTATTCTATATTCTATCAGTTTTTTAAAAATAAAAGTGAAATGTGGGAGTTATCTAAGCACTCCATGCATATTTTATATTTTTATGCTTATATGTAGAAAATCATACTTTATAAAAGTTTATGAAAACTAATAATAGCAAGCACAAATAAGCTGTCATTCTATAATAGTATAGGCAACTTGTAAATTATTAATAATAAACATAGTATTAATAATAGCCAACTTTATATAGCACTTACTATGGGCCATGCACTGTTCTAAACTCTTTATATACTTTTTTTTTTTTTTGAGACGGAGTCTTGCTCTGTCGCCCAGGGTGGAGTGCAGTGGCGCGATCTCGGCTCACCGCAAGCTCTGCATCCCGGGTTCACGCCATTCTCCTGCCTCAGCCTCCCGAGTAGCTGGGACTATAGGCGCCCACTACCACGCCCAGCTAATTTTTTGTATTTTTAGTAGAGATGGGGTTTCACCATGTTAGCCAGGATGGTCTCAATCTCCTGACCTCATGATCCACCCGTCTCGGCCTCCCAAAGTGCTGGGATTACAGGCATGAGCCACCATGCCCAGCCTCTTTATATCCTTTAATCTAATCCTCAAAACATATAAAGTAAAAAGTATAATTATCCCAATTTTATAGATAAAGAAACTGAATCATGGAAAATTTAAATATCTCGCCCAAGGTCATACTAGGAGTTTGTGGAAGCAAGACTTTGTGTGACTCTAGACAATTTCACTGACTACTACGCTACAGTTACCTAATTAGTTTTAATATGAAGATAGTCAACCAATAAATTGAGTATTGACATAGAAGTAATAACTTAATACTCTATCTCTTATTTCTAACAGTTTTTAGCATAGAGATTTAAACAAATATAAAAATTTCTCAAGAGTCTGTATAGAAGTGTAAAAAAGATGAAGATAAAAGACTGAAAAGAAATAAAATATGGACGATTATTATGTAATTCCCCATAACTGCAATACCTTTATAATCAGGAAAAAATTTTAGAATTCCGTGTTCACTGGACAATCATCTCATACTAAATAATTTCAAAATACAGCAAACTCTTATTAAATTGAGATTTTTATTTCACTGAATCAGAACCCAGCTGAAGCTTACCTTTGTTAGCATGTCAAGTAAGTGAACAGTATAAACAAAAATTTAGGCTATTAACTTTATTATTAATTATTAACTGTTAATGTTAACTCATTTAAATAACTATTTTCCAAGCATATTTTGGAAGTATCTATTTCTTTTAAAATTAAGTACATTATTTACATCTATCAATCTATGTAAAGCTTTGGCCAGTACTATTATAAAAAATTCTTTTTAAATTAGTAAAACCGTCTTGATAGCTCCCTCTACCTCATCTCCTACTTTCAACCCATCATTAAGTCCTGTCAGTTCTACTGTCCAGTGTTTCCTGGAATCAGCTGGCTTTCTCTCCACATCCACCAGCACCTTCCTGGTTGGTGCTAGTATCATCTCTTGCCTGTACTGAACAACAGCCTCCTGACAGATACAGATGCACACATCCCTTCCATCTCACTCAGTCCATTTCACTCTTCATGAAGTAAGGCAAAGTGACAAATAGGATCAGCCACTCAACTATCTAAAGCCCTTCAAAGATTTCCCATTGCATGCAAAATAAAATTCAAACTTCTTAAGATGGCTTATGAACAATTTAGGAGGCCAAGACGGGCAGATCGCTTGAGCCTAAGAGTTCAAGACCAGCCTGGTCAATATGGTGAGACTCCATCTCTACAAAAAAATATAAAAAATTAGCCGGGAGTGATGGCACATGCCTGTAGTCCCAGCTATTCTGGAAGCTAAGGTGGGAGAATCACCTGAGCCCAGGAGTCAAGGCCCTGTCTCAAAAAAATAAAAATAAAAAATAAAAAAATGCCTATGAAGCCTGGCATGATCTTTAACCTCAAGACTCTTTATCTTCCTCTACACTCTCCCTTATTCTGCAGAGAAATCTCTAGTCTGAAGGCCTTTGTGCACACTGTCACCTCTGCATGGAATACTTTCCGCCAGCTCTGCCTCACTGGCTCCTTCTCATCCTTTGTATCTTAGCCTGTCACCTCTTCAGAGAGGCCTTTGTGAATCCCCACAATCTAAAGTATATCTCTTTTAACATCTCCCCTAGTTTTCTATTTTTTTCTTACAACACTGATGCTTTTTAACTTCTTTCCTTTTTTTTAAATAAATATTTTTTTTCCTTTTTGTTTATTGCCTTATTTCCCCCACAAGTCTGTCCATGAGAGGGACACATGTCTATTTTGTTCATTAATCAGCGCCCAGCCCAGTGACTGACATATAGTAAGGTTCCAATAAACTTGAGTCAATTTCTAGTTAGTATAAAATCTGAAAGTAACAATACAGTGTATCTTTTAAAAGAATCTACAATTTGGACTTCACATTGTTGTTCTACCTACTGTGGTATGAATGTAGTTACCATCATAATTTTTAAATACTGATTTTTAAAAGTTACAAATAACTAAAACCTTTTTACCCATTTAAAAACTAAAATGTCAAGCAACTTCCTTTTCTTGAATTTTTGCCCCTATGCAATTACATCATGGATTTGAGCTGCTTACTCGCTTACTTTACAACACACTTTGGTAATTTTTGAGAATATGTTACATCAATCTTTTTGTATACCACATATCTCTTTTTTTTTTTGGCTTGTGTTTGATGACAATGTTCATGCTATAGCAGAGATATCTCCTGGTTCTTAATCTAAGTCCCAGGATCTTAAAGGTGGAGAGTGCTTAATTAAAATAGAAGAGATAGATCAGGAAGCAACTTCTCAAGACTACACCTTTTTACATAAAATTAAGTAATTTATTTCTATACATGTTATAAAATGCTAATTGGATGTCATCATAAATGGAAGAAAATTACAATTGGCAAATTCTAGAACCATATTTGACTCTGAAATTTATCATTCCATAATTAACTAGGCAGCTAACTGCTTTTTAAATTGTTTTATATGGTTATGAAGGGAAAAACACATTTCATTTTTCATTTCCTCTTAGCATTGCTGCTTTGCTTTTACATACCTTTTTTAGTTGTATAGCTTCTTCCAGTTGTTTAAATTCTTCAGTAGCTCTCAAAATTTGTTGTTCTGCCTTTTCTATTTCATCATGCAGTTCTGATAGTCGAGTTTGTGCTGCAAATTTAAAAACCATGCTCACATAATATGAAACAAGAAAAATCTTGAATTCTGAAATTTCAACCAGGTATTCTTTCTTTGTAATAACCTTCTCCCTGCTCTATTAAACTGTCATTATATCTCACAAAAAAATTTTAAAGTAATTACTTATGATCGCTTTTGTCTATTTATTAATCTCTAGAATAAACTGTTTCATTATATGGTATAGAACTATAATTGATCCTTTTATTTGTAAAATTCTCAACATGAAAGGGGCTATTCCCAACACTAGTAAACCCTTTTGAGAGAATAAGACTTTTATTGGGAAATATGCACTTTACATGTTACTAAGTTATAATTAGGTTCAGGATATTAAAAATAACCCATAAAACCTTGTGTTAGAGGCAAATGCTTTATGATGGAATTCAATATCAAGAAATTCACTACTGAGCTCTCTCTCCCAGCTGTTGATGATCTCAAATCAATTATTTTCAACCTCAAATTTAAGATTTCTCTCTCCCTCTGTCCTATAAAACTATGAGCCAGCCCCTTTAAAGCTAGTCTGCATAAAAATCTGATTTATTTTTGCTTTCCCCCAGAGCCTTGCATATAGTATACGCAGACATAAATAACTCAGTTTCTTTTCTTCCTTCACCAAGTCAACCTCTATTTGCCTTCCATGCCTTCCACTTAGCTACCAGTCAAGGAAAGATAAGCCGCTGGTCTGACTGAGAGCACCACAGTGGGCCATAATGCTGGGGGGATGCACAAACCCTGGTCAGAGTTCTCTTTCTTCCATATCCATGCAGCTGAGTGGGTAAATAGATTCAAAGTCTGTCATTGGCAGGGTCTCTAAAGTGTCCCCCTGCCTTGACTTATTCCTTTATGTGACTTGCCAGAAGGTATTAAGATCCCTTGAATTAGATTGTGGGGCATGGGGCATGTCAGGAAAAGTCAGAGGCTAGCCTTCGGCCCAGGCCTGAGGAGAATGCTCTGTTGCAGCTTATACAAAGCATTGCTTTAGGTTTTTGCTACATGCATAGTAATCAATCAAGTGGTTCTTTACTTGCTTCAGTTATTACTAATTGTGACTTCGAATATATAGTTCCAGTGCTTATTTGAAGGAGGGGATTTACTCATTCTTGAATCCCCTGGACATGCTGCCATCAAATTACTGCCAAAAACTCCATTCTTAACCATAACAGGAATCATTACAAAATAAATGCTCGATAAATCTGCTTGATAATCACTACTTTTGTTTTAGACTTTTCATGGAAACAATACCATCAACATGTTCAATTAAAAGACTTATAAAACAAAATTGGCCTACATATTCAATGTTTTCATATTTTTTTTTAAAGAATTTAAAATAACTTTTTTTAACCTGCACTTATTTTTTTTTCTTTGTCTTCCAGTTGCGTGTCCAGTGGTGTGTGGCCTCTCAAGTTCATGTGATCATTTCTAAGTTGTTCATCTGGCTCCATCTTCTTGATCTGTACTGCCTGAGCACTGTCAATAATATAACTCTCTGTGGCAAACATATTTCTCTTGTATCTGGATTTGCCAATGTAAGGGCTTTCATCTGGGGCTTTATCAATTTCAGCATACTAAAAGCAAAATAATAGATTTATGGTTTAATAAGTGATCTCCAAGCAGTCAAATGACATTATTCATTTTATTAGTGGCAAACATATCACAGAATTGCTCAAGTTTATATAAATTCTACATGCCTAGGAGCTGAAAGATATATATTATTCTTTTATCTTCTTCTTAATATACCAAAAAAGGAAATTAGAACTAAAAATGGTCTCAAAAGAATTCTTCCTCTTACCACAGAAGAGTGAAAGTTTGGACTGATTGATTAAAGAACTGCCTACAGTTATGTGATTTTTAGCACTGCTTGATCTCTCAAATTAGAAATATGGGTGTTTTATTTTGGTTTCTTGGCTCATATAAATAAAATCTCAGTCTAATATTTTTTTCAGATACATGGTGTGTAGCCATCAGTATAATATATTTTAATAATTGAATTTTTAAAAATGAAATATCATATGATATTGGTTGGAATCACTGGGTCTTAGAAGTTTGGCATTTCCTCACTTGCAGTGACATTTATGGCATTTGTACCAGTCATGATTGATTAATACTGAACCCAGTAATTACTGAACAAACCATGTAAGGGGATGACTATTCCATGGTACTGAAGCACTTTTCCCAGAAGTCTGGATTTAAAGGAGCTGATCAACCCATACACCTGGGAAAGATAGCTGCGAGTTAGACGACTGCTTTTGGTAATGGATATGGCTATGGGCAAAGATTCTTTTGAAGTTTTTTACCTCTTTAGGATTCTGTTCTAACTCCCGGAGCCAAATAAGTCATAGATTGAACCAAAATACAGTTTAATCCTCTCATAACAAGAAAGTGGAGTGATATCTGATCAAATCCCTTACATGTCCTCACCACCTGCCCTCCCCCATTCCATCCCATGTGGGCTTTAACTTTGGATTACTAAAAAATTAAAATAACTCACCTCTGATGGATAATAATTTAGTGGCTCAAATTTAGCATCAATTTTATAAAAGGCCAATTCCTGTTCCAGCTCATATTGCTTCTGACATGCTCGTGTTAATTCTATGGTCTTCTGTTTTAGCTATTGGCCCAATTTGATATGAGACAACATACAGGATCAGTAAGTTAGTATAAAGGTGTGATGATATGGTAAGTTCTCATCGTAAGTTATAATCATATATGTTTAAAAACTTCACAGTAAGCTGCACAACACTCAGAACATTTTATCTTACTTCTAAATTATAAAAAATGAAATACAAAATTATTATTTCATCAGAGATCATGTAAAAGACCTTTGAAGTTTATCTGCTGCTTCACGATATAATGAATAATGATTTTAAAAATCACTTAAATTTGTTAAACATGAAAATATTTTTGTATCAATTATTTTTGTGTAACTGGCCTAATAAATACCTGCTTCCTGATTTTCCAATAATTAGCACTAATTTCTTAAACTGACTTTCCGACTTTAACAATAGTTTCAAATTACAAGGGAAAATGATAACTGACATTAACTGCAGAGAAATAAAGAGGAATGAGAAGGATGAAAAGAAGAGCTTGGTTTTAATTGTCATACTGTTGTTGCTGTAGTATTAAGTGTTCAGAATATTATTCTTTGTAATAAAGAATAAGGGATGTGAATAAGCTCAACCAGATCCAAATATGTAATATTCAATTTTAATAAAGTAATTCTACTATAACTTTTTATTCTTAGAAATTTTTGGAGCTTGGAGAAGACAAATGATCCAATCTAATTCTCTGAATTTATAAATACAGAAATTAAGTCTCAGATTGATGAACTGACTTGTCTAAAGTTACATATTAGATCAGTGTCAGAAACTAAATATTTTATTAACTAACTACTAGTACTAGCTCCTTTCTACTAAACCAAACTTTGAGTTTATTTCAAAGATCCACTAAGTGATTTTTGTCTTTTTTTGGCCAGTATCTGATGGTAGATATCAAAGAAAAAACATGCAGAAAAATTTCATTAATATAAAAGTGCAAGCTGAAGAGAATAAAACATAAACAAACACAAACATTTTACAAGGCCCAGGAAATCAAAGTCGTGCATGATTTAGCTCACAGTCACCTCCTGATTATCCATCAAAATGGAAGTAATAGCCTAGATAATGGGTAACATTGAGCCAAATACTCAATGTGTGCCAGACATTGTGCTAAGCATTTTACATATGTTATTGCACTAAATCTTCACAACCACCCAATAAGATGATAAAAGCTGCACAGAGAAGTTAAATAACTTGCCCAATTTCACAGCTGGTAGTGGAAGAGGCAGAATTCAATTCCAAGTCTCCTGATTTCAAATCCAATACTGCCTATTCTTCCATGCTGCCTTCGATGTACTGCTGCAGGGTGTCCAGCACATTACCCACATTGATATTTTCACTGAATGATCATAAGTCTCCGAGTCTCAAGAAAGCAACTCACAATCAACACTGTCAACTAATCTTGGGTTCTCTCCTCAAAACTCATTGGCAATAGTGGCAAACAACAGGCAAATGTGACTGGAATCACAGAGAATACATGAACTGGTCTCTGCAGGCAAATAATAATAAATAGGCTGTGCATTTCAAAGTACTTTTGTGACTTTTATAAGCCCCAGGCTTAGCATATTGTAAGCACTCAATAAATATCTGTTGAAGAAATGCATGAATAAAAGCAAAATAGATGTCAAATGAACTGGAAAGTAGGCTAGTCACAGTATTAGCTTTGGATAATCAAGAGTTGACTGAAGGTAACATATTTACCAATCAGAAAAATAATTCTTTCCCCCACATTCAAATTTGCTCTCCTATATAAACATCCATTAAAAAAAAATAATACATACGCACACAACCACATTTCCCAAGAAGACAAGCCAGTTTCAAAACTTAAAATGTAAGCAAGCATATTAATGCAAGTTATCATGCAAACCCTGAAAAACACAGTTCAGGCCTGGAAGAACTACCTTTAAGGAAGAATAAAGAATCAGCAGAAAAGGGCCTGCAAGAAACCAAGACAAGGGCTAAAAGAAGAAGCAAACAGATACCGTCACTTGGAGAGTTAAACTGTAATAATACAAGTTGCTCTTTACTGACAACTTACCATAGGAAGACATGGCTTTTAGTATTGGCATTATTCTTACATGGATGTATTTTATTGTCATTCTGAGTTATAGATTTACTACCTTCCATTACTTAGCTTGATTCATTTCAAATTATTTTCATTATTAGCTCATTAAATCCTCACAATTCTGTGAGGCTAGCAGGACAGGTAAATAATCCTCATTTTAAATATAACTAAACTGAAGCACAGGAATTAAATAATTTGCAAAAGGACAAAGAGTAAATTTGGTTAATATTTGTTGGTGGCAGGACAGGACTACTACGGTTTAAATGGCCACCAGAAGACTTACTTCAGTGCTACTTTTCTTTTATACATTAATTGGCCTAATGCACAAGCAACTACTTTTTTAAAATGGAAAACTTCACATAATCACAGATGATATTATCATTAGATATTCTGCAAAAGATAATAAAAATGTTTTTCAAATATAAGCTCTTAGAATAAGACCCAGAATTATTTTAGGCATCTAATAGTCCTTGGGACTAACAGATAATAGGCAAAACCAATATGAACTGGCAATTTAAAGAGGAAATACAAAATAGCCAATAAATATATATGCAATACTCAACTGTCCAACAACTATAAAAATTCAAAATTAAAACAAGATTCCATTTTTTTCTACCATATGTACAAATTCAAAATAATAGTACCTAGTTGGAAATTGGGTATTTTCTTCCCTTCTGAAATATAAATTGGTTAGAAGCTTTTTGAAGTGTACATTAACACTTATCAAAATTTTAAATGCAAATTACACGGTAATTCCACTTCTAGTGGTTTATGCTAAAGAAATACTAGTATGAATGCATAAGGTATATATAGACACACACACACACACAGATTTTCTCTGTAGTACTGTCTCTAATAGCAAAAATTGTGAAAGCAACCTAAATATCCATCAATAGGAATAGGCTAACTAAATTATGAAGAATACATTTAATGGAACACAACATAGACTTTAAAAAGAGTAAGAAGGCTTTATACATGCATGTACACATATTTTTTAACTTGGAGAGTTGTCCACGTATGCTGTTTTGTGAAAGTTAAGATGCTGAATAATAATATACAGTCTACTCTCCATATCTGAGTTCTGCATCTGTGGATTCAACCAACCACGGATTAAAAATATTTTTTTAAAAGGATGGTTGCATCTGTATTGAACATGTACAGATATTTTTTCTTAATTATTATTTCCTAAACAATATAATATTTATTAGCATTGACAATGTCTTAGGTATTATAAGTAATCTAGCAATGATTTTAAAGTATACTAGAGGATGTACGAAAGTCACTTGCAAATACTACACCATTTTACATAAAGGACTTGAGCATCCATGGATTTTGGTATCCATGGGGGTGTCCTGGAACCAATCCCCCACAGATACAGAGGAATAACTGTATACAGTAACATTCCTTTTTTCATTACAAAAATATTCAAAGGTATAACATGCTTAATTATATATACATTATGTAATTACATGTATACTGTATAAGAAGCATGGAAAACAAAGTATTAATATCTGGGGAATGGGGTAGGGAAGAGTGGACTTTCATTTCTGCTAAATACAGTTGTGTTGTCTAAATTTGTTACAATGAACATACATTAATTTTGTATATAAATGTGTTTTTATTTTATTTTTATTTTTGTAGAGACAGGGTCTCATTATGTTGCCCAGGCTGATGTTGAATTTCTGACCTCAAGTGATCCTTGCACCTCAGCATCCCAAAGTGTTGGGATTAAAGGCATGAGCGATGGCGCCTGGCATAAACATGTTTTTAAATGGTTAATGATAAAAATAACATAATGACATAGAGAAGAGCACAGTCTGACTTCTAACAAAAATAGGTATAGAAAAAAAAAGCAAAAACTTCTGACAGTTTACAAAACATTTATTGACAGCACAAACATATCAATAACATTATAAATAAGCAAAAGAGAAAACTAGGCAACTACAGTTCATAGTTTTGGGATAGTGGAAAGTCTTAAGGTCTGACATTTTGCCAAGGTTTTCAATGGGCTGAGTAACGTGCACCAGGGAATCAGCATAAAGATATTATATTTTATCTTAGTAATAAAAGATGGATTCCATGTCCAAAAAGACCTATAACTCACAAAATTTTGGATAATTTTGCCAGATCGCCTTCTAAATGTTTTTGCCAATGAACAGCCTCACCTACAATGTTGTTTTTAAAAAATACAAATATCTAGGAGTACATAATGCAGCTCAAGACAGCATTAGTCTTTTGGGAAGCCATATCATCTAGCACACAGTCAACTACAATTCATAAGCCTTTCCACATATTTCTGTTAAACCACATCTTCCCCATTATATGGTCAGGAAGTTGTATTTTTAGACCCAAGGGCAAAGAATTATCTGTCTTATGAGAATACAGCCAAAGCAATGTAAAATATGAACTTACCAATTCATTTTTTGTGTTTAAGTCACTCTTGAGTTCCTCACAGCTCTGTTTCTGTAACATGGCCTCCTCTTTTAATGATTTATTCAATTTATCTTGATTTTTAATTTCCTCAAGGAACCTTGTTTGTTTGCTCTTAAGCTCTTCAGTTTCTATCATCTTTTTTTCTAGGTCTCTTTCCAGTCTTTCTACCTCTTCTGCCAATGAAAATTTAATAGTTTATTTATCATTATATTTCCTATTTTTAAAAAGGTAAGAATATTTCTCAAACAATAGTGAAAAAAGTCTAAAAATATTGTAAATACAATTCTACTTTTAAAATTAGCCACCATGGTTTTGGAAAAAAAGACTATCCTGATCTTGAAATTGAGGCAAGAAGGCATCATTTCAATGATATTTTTAAAAGATAATACTTTACTTCCAAGTATTTAATCCAATTAGTGTGCTGATAAATGAGTTCTTTTCTAGGTGACCTTTGAAAAACATGCAATATTTTATCAGACATTAGTAATTACATTTAAAAGGATGCTGCAAACATGTTTGCAAAATTCTGTATTATCTTAAAATCCTTCAACAGCTTCCTGTTACTCTTAGGATAAGATCCAAAAGGCTTGCGAAAAGCTGATAAAGTTCTTCATAATTTGGACTCAACCTCCCTCTTCTGCCTCATCTTCAAGCATACTCTACTGCAGCTTTCTTAAAGTTATCCCATTTCTTCAGATTTGTGATGCCTCTTCTCACCTATAGGCTTTTATTCACACACTTTCCCTAGAACTGTCTTCCTCTACCTCCTACTGGGCTATTTTGCATCCTACAGGTCTTAAGTTTTAAAAAAAAATTTTGAGAAGCCTGCCCAGGCCCTATCCTGTCACCAGGTTAGATGATTCTGAGGTATACTCCCATGCTACCCTGAAATTCTGCTTGGCCCTTGTCACACAGGGAGTAGTAAAATGTGATCAAATAGCTTAGCTGTCTGCCTTTCCCCACTAAAGCGTCACAAAAGCAGAAACTACATCTACCTGGCTCACCTAGACTAGATCTAATAGCCTAGCACATTAAAGTCTCCTAATTAATATCTGAAGGCATGAAGGAACCATAAGTAGTCTAACCATTTCACCCAAAAGTTATCTAGATGACTTTCCTTTGCATTATTAATATTTTTAATGATTCCAAAACATAAACTTCAGAATAATAAATATTGAGTTAGGGAGATTCCAAACTAATAAAAACTTGCCATGTTTCTCAAGTTGGATCAAACCATATGAAATTGCCATTTTTGGAGGTCAAAACAGACTAAAACTAATTTCAAATGAACAGACAGGCTCATTTCCCAACACTCTAAATTGGCTATTTGATACCTTCCTCTTTCTTCTCAAACTTCCCATACACTTTCTTCTATTTTCTCTCTCACCTGATTATCTCACCTTTAATTAAGAAAATGACCCCATCAATAAGAACTCCCTATTTTCCCACCACCACAGCAACAAAACTACCCACACCTGCACATATCTTTGCTCCTTTCTGAAGGAGAAAGTGTCACTCCTACCAAGGGATTTTTCCTTTTTTTCTCTAATCTCATTCTCATGTCTTCTCCAGAACCAAAAGAATTGAGCCATGTCTTGTTTCTCCACTTTGCTTTTAGGTTTTTTTTTTTTTTTTTTGGACGGAGTCTCGCTCTGTCGCCCAGGCTGAAGTGGAGTGGGATGACCTCGGCTCACTGCAGCCTCCGTCTACCAGGTTCAAGTGATTCTCTTCTCTCAGCTTCCCAAATAGCTGAGATTACAGGCGCCCAAAACCACACCCAGCTAATTTTTGTATTTTTAGTAGAGATGGGGTTTTGCCATGTTAGCCAGGCTGGTCTCAAACTCCTGACCTCAAGTGATCCATCTGCCTCGGCCTCCCAAAGTGCTGGGATTACAGGTGTGAACAGCTACACCCGGCCTCCACTCCACTTTTGAATATTCTGTTCATTTGTTTTTTTGTTTTCTGGCTTTGAAGTTTACTGCATTTGTTGTTTCTGCCCATTTCCTGGTCTGGAAGCCACTGGTGAATTTTTCAGTTTTAATTTTTGATCTTTTTAAAAAAATGATTTATTAAGTACTACAAGAGACATTATGGGAAAAAATTTCAAATCTCCAGCCAAATGTCTCTCTCCTATTCACTCTTCAAGCCATTATAATCTAGCATCTGTCCCCACTATTCCTTAACTACTCCTGTCAAGATCATTATCACCTGTTGCCAATCTAAAGCACTTCTCTGCTTCTCACTTCATATCTCAGCAACATTCAACAGAGTTGACCACTTCCTCTCTTGAAAACTTCTCTGGGCTATTTCCCACTATTTCCTGGTTTTCTCCTACCTTGCTGGCCTCTCTTTCTCAGCTTCCTTAGCGGACTGCTTTTCTTTCGTCTCCCAACCACTGCCTGAGTGAGCTGATTCCCATGCAATTTAATGTCATTTTTATGCTGATGTGACTGAGCATAAAATTTGTATGACTAGTCCAGATCTCTTTAAATTCCAGACTCACATTTCTGACTCTATGCCACCTCCACTTAGTTGTCTCACAGACATTTCAAACTGAATATGTCCTAAATAAAACTCTGAATTCTTCATTTTTATAAATGATATCACCATCTAGCCACTTACTTACTTGAGCCAAAAGCCTGGGAATTATCCAATCCATTAGAAAATGCTGCTGCTTCTACCTTCAAAACTGATCCATCTATCTTTCATTTCCACATCCAGCATGTTAACTACAGGCCATAAACGTTTCCAACCTGGATCACTCCTATCCAAGTGTTAACCAGGGCTGACTCTGCTTAGCTTTCAAGATCTTGTGAATGTATTCAGATGGTATGGCATAGACTCCAGCCTAGATTGCTACGCTAGCCTCCTAACAGGTCCCTTCATCTCCATTTTCCCTGCTCCAAATCATTCTCTGTATCAAAAATGATGTCCTATTGCTGCTTTTTAAAAAACTGTCAATGGCAGCCGGGCATGGTGGCTCACGCCTGTAATGCCAGCACTTTGGGAGGCCGAGGCAGGCGGATCACCTGCGGTTGGGAGTTCAAGACCAGCCTGACCCCGTAAGAGAAATCAGACAAACCCCGTCTCTACTAAAAATACAAAATTAGCCTGGTGTGGTGGTGCATGCCTGTAATCCCAGTTACTTGGAAGGCTGAGACAGGAGAACCACTTGAACCTGGGAGGCGGAGATTGCAGTGAGCTGAGATCGCACCATTGCACTCCAGCCTGGCCAACAAGAGCGAAACTCTGTCTCAAAAAAAAAAAAAAAAAAAAAAAATTGCCAGTGGCTTTCCAATGCACCTGAAATAAAATCAAAATTCCAAGGCCCTGTGCCATCTCACACCTACTTATGTCTACACACTTTTTATTGAGCTGTCCTCCAGTCTATCTGATTTTCTTTTTTTCTTTTCTTTTTGGATAGTTTTATTTATTTTTACTTTTCTTTTTTTTAATTATACTTTAAGTTCTAGGGTACATGTGCACAACGTGCAGGTTACATATGTATACACGTGCCATGTTGGTGTGCTGCACCCATTAACTCGTCATTTACATTAGGTATTTCTCCTAATGCTATCCCTCCCCTCTAGCCCCACCCCATGACAGGCCCCAGTGTGTGGTGTTACCCACCCTGTGTCCAAGTGTTCTCATTGTTCAGTTCCCACCTATGAGTGAGAACATGCGGTGTTTGGTTTTCTGTCCTTGTGACAGTTTGCAAAGAATGATGGTTTCCAGCTTCAACCATGTCCCTACAAAGGACATGAACTCATCCTTTTTTATGGCTGCATAGTATTCCATGGTGTATATGTGCCACATTTTCTTAATCCAGTCTATCATTGATGGACATTCAGGTTGGTTCCAAGTCTTCGCTATTGTGAATAGTGCCGCAATAAACATATGTGTGCGTGTGTCTTTATAGTGGCATGATTTACAATCCTTTGGGTATATACCCAGTAATGGGATGGCTGGGTCAAATGGTATTTCTAGTTCTAGATCCTTGAGGAATCACACACAGTCTTCCACAAAGGTTGAACTAGTTTACACTCCCACCAACAGTGTAAAAGTGTTCCTATTTCTCCACATCCTCTCCAGCACCTGTTGTTTCCTGGCTTTTTAATGATTGCCATTCTAACTGGTGTGAGATGGTATCTCATTGTGGTTTTGATTTGCATTTCTCTGATGGCCAGTGATGATGAGCATTTTTTCATAAATGTCTTCTTTTGAGATGTGTCTGTTCATATCCTTCGCCCACTTTTTGATGGGGCTGCTTTTTTTCTTGTAAATTTAAGTTCTTTGTAGATTCTGGATATTAGCCCTTTGTCAGATGGGTGCATTGCAAAAATTTTCTCCCATTCTGTAGGTTGCCTGTTCACTCTGATGGTAGTTTCTTTTGCTGTGCAGAAGCTCTTTAGTTTAATTAGATCCCATCTGTCAATTTTGGCTTTTGTTGCCATTGCTTTTGGTGTTTTAGACATGAAGTCCTTGCCCATGCCTATGTCCTGAATAGTATTGCCTAGGTTTTCTTCTAGGGTTTTTATGGTTTTAGGTCTGACATTTAAGTCTTTAATCCATCTTGAATTAATTTTTGTATAAGGTGTAAGGAAGAGATCCAGTTTCAGCTTTCTACATATGGCTAGCCAGTTTTCCCATCACCATTTATTAAATAGGGAATCCCTTCCCCATTGCTTGTTTTTGTCAGGTTTGTCAAAGATCAGATGGTTATAGATGTGTGGTGTTATTTCTGAGGGCTCTGTTCTGTTCCATTGGTCTATATCTCTGTTTTGGTACCAGTACCATGCTGTTTTGTTTACTGTAGCCTTGTAGTATAGTTTGAAGTCAGGTAGTGTGATGCCTCCAGCTTTGTTCTTTTTGCTTAGGATTGTCTTGGCAATGCAGGCTCTTTTTTGGTTCCATATGAACTTTAAAGTAGTTTTTTCGAATTCTGTGAAGAAAGTCATTGGTAGCTTGATGGGGATGGCATTGAATCTATAAATTACCTTGGGCAGTATGGCCATTTTCATGATATTGATTCTTCCTATCCACGAGCATGGAATGTTCCTCCATTTGTTTGTGTCCTCTTTTATTTCGTTGAGCAGTGGTTTGTAATTCTCCTTGAAGAGGTCCTTCACATCCCTTTTAAGCTGGATTCCTAGGTATTTTATTCTCTTTGAAGCAATTGTGAATGGGAGTTCACTCATGATTCTGCTCTCTGTCTGTCTATCATTGGTGTATAGGAATGCTTGTGATTTTTGCACATTGATTTTGTATCCTGAGAGTTTGCTGAAGTTGCGTATCAGCTTAAGGAGATTTTGGGCTGAGACAATGGGGTTTTCTAAATATACAATCACGTCATCTGCAAACAGGGACAATTTGACTTCCTCTTTTCCTAAGTGAACATCCTTTATTTCTTTCTCCTGCCTGATTGCCCTGGCCAGAATTTCCAACACTATGTTGAATAGGAGTGGTGAGAGAGGGCATCCCTGTCTTGTGCCAGTTTTCAAAGGGAATGCTTCCAGTTTTTGCCCATTCAGTATGATATTGGCTGTGGGTTTCTCATAAATAGCTCTTATTATTTTGAGATACATCCCATCAATACCTAATTTATTGAGTTTTTAGCATGAAGGGCTGTTGAAGTTTGTCAAAGGCCTTTTCTCCATCTATTGAGATAATAATATGGTTTTGTCTTTGGTTCTGTTTATACGATGGATTATGTTTATCAATTTGTGTATGTTGAACCAGCCTTGCATGCCAGGGATGAAGCCCACTTGATCATGGTGGATAAGCTTTTTGATGTGCTGCTGGATTCGGTTTGCCAGTATTTTATTGAGAATTTTCACATCGATGTTCATCAGGGATATTGGTCTAAAATTCTCTTTTTTTGTTGTGTCTCTGCCAGGCTTTGGTGTCAGGATGATGCTGGCCTCATAAAATGAGTTAGGGTGGATTCCCTCTTTTTCTATTCATTGAAGAGTTTCAGAAGGAATGGTACCAGCTCCTCTTTGTACCTCTGGTAGAATTCAGCTGTGACTCCGTCTGATCCTGGACTTTTTTGGGTTGGCAGGCTCTTAATTATTGCATCAATTTCAGAGCCTGTTATTGGTCTATTCAGAGATTCAACTTCTTCCTGGTTTAGTCTTGGGAGGGTGTATGTGTCCAGGAATTTATCCAATTCTTCTAGATTTTCTAGCTTATTTGCGTAGAGGTGTTTACAGTATTGTCTGATGATAGTTTGTATCTCTGTGGGATTGGTGGTGATATCTCCTTTATCATTTTTTATTGTGTCTATTTGATTCTTCTCTCTTTTCTTCTTTGTTAGTCTTGCTAGGGGTCTACCTATTTTGTTGATCTTTCAAAAAACCAGCTCCTGGATTCACTGATTTTTTTGAAGGGTTTTTTGTGGCTCTATCTCCTTCAGTTTGGCTCTGATTTTAGTTGTATCTTGCCTTCTGCTAGCTTTTGAATGTGTTTGCTCTTGCTTCTCTAGTTCTTTTAATTGTGATGTTAGGATGTCGATTTTAGATCTTTTCTGCTGTCTCTTGTGGGCATTTAGTGCTATACATTTCCCTCTACACACTGCTTTAAACGTGTCCTAGAGATTCTGGTATGTTGTGTCTTTGTTCTCATTGGTTTCAAAGAACATCTTTATTTCTGCCTTCATTTCATTAAGTACCCAGTAGTCATTCAAGAGCAGGTTGTTCAGTTTCCATGTAGTTGAGCGGTTTTGAGTGAGTTTCTTAATCCTGAGTTCTAGTTTGATTGCACTGGGGTCTGAGAGACAGTTTGTTATAATTTCTGTTCTTTTACATTTGCTGAGGAGAGCTTTACTTCCAACTATGTGGTCAATTTTGGAATAAGTGCAATGTGGTGCTGAGAAGAATGTATGTTCTGTTGATTTGGGGTGGAGAGTTCTGTATTAGGTCTGCTTGGTGCAGAGCTGAGTTCAATTCCTGGATATCCTTGTTAACTTTCTCTCTTGTGGATCTAACATTGACAGTGGGGGGTGTTAAAGTCTCCCATTATTATTGTGTGGGAGTCTAAGTCTCTTTGTAGGTCTCTAAGGACTTGCTTTATGAATCTGGATTCTCCTGTATTGGGTGCATATATATTTAGGATAGTTAGCTCTTCCTGTTGAATTGATCCCTTTACCATTATGTAATGGCCTTCTTTGTCTCTTTTGATCTTTGTTGGTTTAAAGTCTGTTTTATCAGAGACTAGGAATGCAACCCCTGCCTTTTTTTGCTTTCCATTTGCTTGGTAGATCTTCCTCCATCCCTTTATTTTGAGCCTATGTGTGTCTCTGCACATGAGATGGGTCTCCTGAATACAGCACACAGATGGGTCTTGACTCTTTATCCAATTTGCCAGTCTGCGTCTTTTAATTGGGGGCATTTAGCCCATTTACATTTAAGGTTAATATTGTTATGTGTGAATTTGGTCCTTTCATTATGATGTTAGCTGGTTATTTTGCTCATTACTTGATGCAGTTTCTTCCTTGCATTGATGGTCTTTACAATTTGGCATGTTTTTGCAGTGGCTGGTACCAGTTGTTCCTTTCCATGTTTAGTGCTTCCTTCAGGAGCTCTTGTAAGGCAGGCCTGGTGGTGACAAAATCTCTCAGCATTTGCTTGTCTGTAAAGGATTTTATTTCTCCTTCACTTATGAAGCTTAGTTTGGTTGGATATGAGATTCTGGGTTGAAAATTATTTTCTTTAAGAATGTTGAATATTGGCCCCTACTCTCTTCTGGCTTGCAGAGTTTCTGCCAAGAGATCGGCTGTTAGTCTGATGGGCTTCCCTTGTGGGTAACCCGACCTTTCTCTCTGCCTGCCCTTAACATTTTTTCCTTCATTTCAACTTTGATGAATCTGACAATTACGTGTCTTGGAGTTGCTATTCTCGAGGAGTATCTTCGTGGCATTCTCTGTATTTCCTGAATTTGAATGTTGGCCTGCCTTGCTAGGTTGGGGAAGTTCTCCTGGATAATATCCTGAAGAGTGTTTTCCAAATTGGTTCCATTCTCCCTGTCACTTTCAGGTACACCATTCAATCGTAGATTTGGTCTTTTCACATAGTCCCATATTTCTTAGAGGCTTTGTTCATTTTTTTTTACTCTTTTTTCTCTAAACTTCTCTTCTGGCTTCATTTCATTCACTTGATCTTCAATCACTGATATTCTTTCTTCCAGTTGATCGAATCAGCTACTGAAGCTTGTGCATGTGTCACGTAGTTCTCGTGCCACGGTTTTCAGCTCTGTCAGGTCATTTAAGGTCTTCTCTATGCTGTTTATTCTAGTTAGACATTCGTGCCATCTTTTTTCAAGGCTTTTACTTTCTTTGCGATGGGTTCAAACATCCTCCTTTAGCTCGGAGAAGTTTGTTATTACCGATCTTCTGAAGCCTTCTTCTTTCAACTCGTTAAAGTCATTCTCCATCCATCTTTGTTCCATTGCTGGTGAGGAGCTGCATTCCTTTGGAGGAGAACAGGCGCTCTGATTTTTAGAATTTTCAGCTTTTCTGCTCTGGTTTCTCCCCATCTTTGTGGTTTTATCTACCTTTGGTCTTTGATGATGGTGACGTACAGATAGGGTTTTGGTGTGGATATCCTTTCTGTTTGTTAGTTTTCCTTCTAACAGTCAGGACCCTGAGCTGCAGGTCTGTTGGAGTTCGCTGGAGGTCCACTCCAGACCCTGTTTGCCTGGGTATCACCAGTGGAGGCTGCAGAACGGCATATATTGCAGAACGGCAAATGTTGCTGCCTGATTGTTCCTCTGGAAGCTTCGTCTCAGAGGGGCACTATCAGCCAGCCCCTACTGGGAGATGCCTCCCAGTTAGGCTACTCGGGGGTCAGGGACCCACTTGAGGAGGCAGTCTGTCCATTCTCAGATCTCAAACTCCGTGCTGGGAGAACCACTACTCTCTTCAAAGCTGTCAGTCAGGGACGTTTAACTCTAATCTTCTTTCACTTCCTTAAACTCACAGGGTCTTTTGAGCCTCAAAGAACAAGCTGCTCCCTCCCCTTACTGCCATTCTTCACATGGCTAACCCTCTCTTCTCTTTGCTTTCGGGTTAAATGTCACTCCCTCAGAAAGCCATTCCTCTATGCCACAAAGAGGGTTCCCCTGTTACTTTGTTTTTGTTTTTTTTTTTGTCTGTCTTCTCTGCCAAAACATAAGCTGCATGGACAGCAGCACCATATGTCTTCCTTCCCATTGTATCCTTAGTGCCAAATCCAGTTGCCTGGTGCACAGTACACACTCAGTAAATATTTGTTGAATTGATTTATGCTGCCATTTCCCATGTACATTTTAATAGCATTATAAAGTTCATGATACATATTTCTAGATAACTTCTGAAAATAAATTCCTCCCTCACCCAAATTTATTATTTTTTAAATTTAATCTTACCTAAACTGAATCTCTCAAAAGCCTCCTGTCTATCCTGAGTGGTTACTGGCTGACCTTCCAAACTTTCCAATGAACGGAGGTGGAAAATGGTAAACTGGAGGTAATGAGGAAGGGTCACAACTGGATTTTCAACTAGGATCAGAGAAATCAAATCTTGAAGCGGTTTCAACTTGCTTATATCTTGGAGCTGAAATGATATAACATTAGTATTGGTATAATTTAATTTAAAAATCATAACATACTTAAAGGAAGTTACAAATCAAGGAAATTTAACATGGCAAGGAATCTATTCATGAAGCCAATTACCCAAAAGTAGTGGTGTCAGGAAAGGGAGTATATGAGTATTTATAGTGTATTTGGGCAGTATTAGGTATTTTCCATACACTATTTCATTTGTGACTCCTCACAACAACTTATCATGTAAGTATCATCTTAATTTTACAGATGAAGAAATTCAGGATCAAAGAAGTTAGGCGACTTGCCCAAAGCTCAAAGCCTTGTAAGTGAATGAAACAGGATTTGAATTCAAGTTTGTGTAACTCTCAACTTTGTCTTTTCATTATACTGATTTAACAAATCAAAAAAATGAATAGTTATAAAAAATATTTTGGTAAATCTTCAGATAACTGTGCTATAATTGACAGTTTATTCAGATAGTTTATTCTCAACCTAAAAAGGCTGAGAAACAGTACTCCAAATAGCTAGTACAAATAAATCTTCTCTCCCAAGTGAATGTGCAGCACTCTTCATAATGCCAATGTCAAATATCAATGGGGTGAGGACATCATACAAAATTAGAAATAAATATTTATTGATTTTCCTATTGCACAGCTGACACTAAGTTGACACTATCTAAGGATCAACTACTTCAGGAATATTTATGGCAAATTTTAGATCTATGGCTACCTCTTCCCATCATCCCATAGCATCAACAGCCCCAAGGTGATGCTGTACAACATGGGGTTGGGCTTGGGCTCTGAGGCTCTTGACTGTCACAGGATGAAATTAGAAAGCATAGGTATTGTTAACAACATGGCATTAAATGAATATTGCTTATTATTATTGGCCTCCACTGGTGAAGGCTTAAAGAATATAGCTTTAGACTTATTTAGTGTTTTAAAGTTTTTTTTAAAGCATTTTCACATCTATCATTTCATCTGAGCCCCCATAATACCCCTGTAAAGGAGGCAGTATAGGGATTGTTTTCCCCAAACAGTGGTTTTAGAGGGATTAAAGAATTCTCCAAGGTCATGGAAGGCAATTCTATAGAGGCCCATCTTTGAAGTCACATCTTTCATTTTCTATTCTACAACTGATGTTCATTAAATTATGGCACAATTTTCCCAATTTTAATACAAATTTAAATAAATTAACAAATTTACTAAGCAAATGCTTATTAAATACCTAGCTGTGAATAAATACCATAAGAAAATCATAAACTATATTCCAGAGAAAAATATACAACATCATCCAAATATGTAAATCATAACAAAGTTGCTCTATTATGAAAAGCTAGTGATCAACCTCCTATAACACCTAACATTATAATCAAAATAAACTGGTAAATTTGAAATTGGAAGTTAATACTGTCAAAAAAAAAAAAACCCAGAACTTTCTTCTAGGCATTCAGTGATCTGGATCCTGGCACAAAATGTGACTCTAGATAAGGGACTTAACCTGTCCTAGACCTTACTTGCTACTACCTAACTCATAGTGTTACAAAAATAATCCTTGTACTGCCTTCTTAACAAGAATGTTATGAGGCTTACATGAAATGATAAATGTAAAAATGCTAAGAGGTCAACCCTAGGTTGACCTAGGAACCCATGCAAAATGAGGACTGCTTGTATTTAATTAATCTAGAAAATCATGGGCTATGTCTGAATCTAGTGTTTAGTCAAAGGAGCAAAATCTTTAAAAGAAGAAATCCCATTTTTAAAAAACTTAGATATTTTTAATCTTTTATTTTTTAACAAGTCTAAAAATTCCTGCTATTTTGAATAACTTACCGATGATATCTTGTTGCCTTTCAAATTGAGGACTCGCAAAGATTTTAACTTCTTCCCTAACCATACTGGAATATGCTCAATTTCATTTCCTGCAAGGTTAAGCTTTTGCAGATTACACATATTTTCTATGCCTTCAATTTTGCTGGAAAGCAAAGGATAAAATAAAATTTAGTGAGTACAATTATAGAGTCTCTCCATTGTATTTTTAGAATAAACAGCTTTAGCTCCATGTTAGATTACTTTTCATAATGATAATTTATCAACTCTTTTCATAAATGAGAACAAAGAAAAGTGGCTAAAGCCAAATTTACCAGAACAGCTAAACTGCCAACTTTTTATTACTATGCCCAGGAATCCTATCAATCTTATTATTAGACTTTGCAACTCCATAACATAGAAAAGAAAAATGTGACCATGGCATTCTCACCGACTACTGTGAACAGTACTAGCAAACAGCCAGTGGAGACCTGGGAAACTCAATAGCACCCTGTCCTATCTGCTACATTCCTGTCCAAAAGATGTTCCTAATTATTGTCTTAAGTTATCATAAAAAGATTAGCTATGCCAGCAGGATATGGGAGCCCATAGATGATACTGTATTTAGGAATATAAGTAATTTAACCAGAACTTTTAAATAAAGCATTTATCACACATATTAATGAATTCTGATTGATGAAGGTTTTTCCCAAGTCACTTCTAATTTATTTGTCAATTTAATTCTTTGGTCAATTTTCTATACTGCACAAATACTTCAAAGCCTCTATCTACACTGGGTAAATATTTCTAAGCTTCTCTACTTTCAATTTTATTTTGCTGAAAATATTTTCATCAGAGTCAACTTTTTATACAAATTTTATAATAAGGGTTTGGTTCATTAATCATTTTTTTTCATTTCAGTTTTGTCATATCAGAACTTCTGCCATTGCTAGTCATTTTCTTGGCCATCATATTTACCAAGTCTAACTTGGGGGAAAAGCATGCAGATATTAAGAATTTCAAGATTTGATTCTTGTATCATTTTGTCTATAACAAGTTTTCTATATGAAGTTTTAGCCAGTGTCAGTTTTAGTATGTTTATTTCTCACAGTAATATATATTATGAATTGGAAACAGGATTGAGAGCATATTTCTTGTAGCAATAAGCAAAGAACATCAGAATCAAAACAGATTAGAACATCTTGGGGGTCAAAATGGCAGGGTTAAAACATTCTGCTTCATGTCAACATTCTTAATGTAATAAGGTAATAAATCACAGACAATATCTGGGAAAACTTCCTGTCAGAAATGAAATTAAGATACAATTTGGTGCTCAAAAATATATCTCTTTGATAATGCTAGATGTTATTCTGTACTTCAGTAATGCCAAAACATAAAGACAGTTACCTACCATATGTGAAGAGACAGACATTCATTTGATTGATGAATAAAGATAAAAATATCTTCTGTTTCTGTCAAATCATTCTTTCAGTAATGTGGATAACATTAATCTACCTCTCTAACAAAGCTATCTGCAATGCTGCCTAAAGATTTTGTTATATAACTCACCTGATTTTGTTATATGATAAGTTGAGTTCACGTAATTTTAACAGCTTGTCCAACTTTTCAATCTTCCCTATTAGATTATAGCTGAGATTCAGTACTTCAAGTTTAACACATTTTTCCAAATTCTCAATATACTAATTGGAAACAAATGAATGAATACTTTACACAACAGATGACTTGACATAAAGTACAACATTTACTTATGTGCATCAGGGTCTGTTTGATCAGTCATCAGAAAATAATATACCCTTACTGCTCTCCTGGAGAATCCCTTGATGCAGCTCTCCTTGACTAGGAGTAATAACTCTACTCAAGCTACCAAACTCTCTTTGCCCTTCAGTTGACAACAACATTGTCTATATACTAAGAAGCTCAAGACTATCCAACAAGATTTCCCTCACTGTCATTCCCTCTACCTCACTTTTGCCATACCTCTCCCTCTCATTCCCCTCCTTTCTTCCAAAAGATAGTGCTATGGTTTTAGTGTCCCCTCCAAAGCTCATGTTGAATTTAACTGCCATTGTGACAGTTCTGAGAGGCGAGACCTTCATGTGGTGATTAGGTTATGAGGGTTCTGCCCTCAGGAATGAATTAATGCCATTATCTTGGGAGTGGATTAATTATCACAGTTCAGTCTCCTTTTTCTCTCTGTGTCTCAGGATCTTTTGCTCTCTTGCTCTGCCTCACTATGGGATGCCTTCTACCATGTCATGACGCAGCAAGAAGGCCCTCCCTAGATGCAGCACCTCAATCTTGAACTTCCCAGCCTCCAGAACGGTGAGCCAAAGAAATCTTTACTCTTTATAAATTACCCAGTCTGTGGTAGTCTGTTACAGCAGCAGAAAATGGACTAAGAGACTAAGAGAGATAGCTTTCTTCTTTTTCTTTTTTTTTGCGGGGGTGGGGAGGGGGCGGGGACCGAGTCTCGCTGTTGGCCAGGCTGGAGTGCAGTGGCGCAATCTTGGCTCACTGCAACCTCTGCCTCTCGGGTTCAAGCGATTCTCCTGCCTCAGCCTCCCGAGTAGCTGGGACCACAGGCGCGTCCCACCTAGCCTGGTTAATTTTTTGTATTTTTAGTAGAGATGGGGTTTCACCATGTCAGCCACAATGTCTTCTTTTTCAAGTTAAATCAAGTACTTATGCTCTTGCATGATCTCACCTCCTCCCCCAATGCCCTTGCAAATTCAACCTCTTTCTCCCTCCTGGATCTTCCCCTCAAGTTTAAAAGCAGTCATTTTCCAACATATATTCATTACACACTTACTACATATGAGGCATTGCACCAGGTAATGGGAATATGGCGTGAACTAGATAATTCTTCCCTGCTGCCCAGAGTTTATATTCAATATGTTCAGATTTCTTCTATATAAATCACCTAGGACTAAACTTGTTTTACTATGAAGCTATCATCTTATCTTCCTTATCTACCACCAATGTTCTCACACGAATTGTCTACATTTGTTCATTCTGTCTTCCATTCATTCCTATTCTACAGGTTGACTATACCTTATTCAAAATGCTTGGGACCTAAAGAGTTTCAGATTTCAGATTTGTTTTGAAATATTTGCATTATACTTACTGGTTAAGCAACACAAATCAAAAAATCCAAAACCCAAAAATGCTCAAATGAGCATTTTCCTTGAGCATCAGGTCAGTGCTCAAAAAGTTTTGGATTTTGGAGCATTGCAGATTTTTGGATTTGGGATGCTCAACCTGTATTGGTAAGGCAATATATCTTCTACCACATCAAATGGTTCTCTCCAAGATTATAATTCATTCACCCATTCCACAAATATTTATCAAACATGGATTATGGGCCAGGAGCTGTTCTAGGTACTGGAAACAAAGTAGTGAATAAAGAAAACAAAGTTCTTGTTCTCAATCACAGAAACAGACAATAAACAAATAAATATATGGCAGGGCGCGGTGGCTCATGCCTGTAATCCCAACACTTTGGGAAGCCGAGGAGGGGAGATCACAAGGTCAGGAGATCGAGACCATCCTGGCCAACATGGTGAAACCCTGTCTCTACTAAAGATAAAAAAAAATTAGCTGGGCGTCGTAGCACGTGCCTGTAATCCCAGCTACTCAGGAGGCTAAGGCAGGAAAATCCCTTGAACCAGGGAGTAGGATGTTGCAGTGAGCCGAGATCACGCCATTGCACTCCAGCCTGGCAAGAGAGCGAGACTCCAAAAAAAAAAAAATATATATATATATAGATATATATATTACATATCTATATAGATATATATAATATATATAGATATATATTATATATAGATATATATTATATATATATAGATATATATTATATATATAGATATATATTATATATATAGATATATATTATATATATAGATATATATTATATATAGATATATATTATATATATAGATATATATAATATATATAGATATATATTATATATATAGATATATATTATATATATAGATATATATTATATATATAGATATATATAATATATATAGATATATATTATATATATAGATATATATTATATATATAGATATATATTATATATATAGATATATATTATATATATATAGATATATATTATCTATCTATCTATCTATATCTCACTCTGTCATCTAGGCTGATGCCTTCTCTTACCACCCAATCACAATTAGTCACCCTCTCCTCAGTCGCACTCTCATTCTTTTAGTCAACAAGTAAGTATTTATTTAGCACCAGGCAGTAATGCTAGAGTAGTGAACACAATGGGCAAAATCTGCCCTGTTGGTGCCTTGCATTCTGTCACAAGATGTCTTTATTTCCTTTTTAGCACTGTTTATTTTCTGAAGATCTTGTTTGCTATAAAATCTATAAAATATGTATATATTTATATATAAGCATATATAAATATATAAGCAATACATGTTTGCTATAAAAATCTATAAAATATGTATATATTTATATTTATATATAAATATATATATTTTGCCCGTTGTGTTTCACTACTCTAGCATTACTGCCTGGTGCTAAATAAATACTTGTTGACTAAAAGAATGAGAGTGCGACTGAGGAGAGGGTGACTAATTGTGATTGGGTGGTAAGAGAGGGCATCGGCCTAGATGACAGAGTGAGACCCTGTCTCAAAAAAAAAAAAAAAAAAAAAAGAGAAGACCTCACTAAGTTGAGACCTTAACAACAAGAAGCCAGCTGTATGAACATCTAGGTTGCCCAGGCTAGAGTACAATGGCGCGATCTTGGCTCACTGCAACCTCCACCTCCTGGGTTCAAGTGATTCTCCTATCTCAGCCTCCTGAGTAGCTGGGATTACAGGCGCCCGCCACTACGCCTGGCTAATTTTTGGTATTTTTAGTAGAGATGGGGTTTCATCATGTTGCCCAGGCTGGTCTCAAACTCCTGACCTCAGGTGATCTGCCCACCTCGGCCTCCCAAAGTGCTGGGATTACAGGTGTGAGCCACTGCGCCCGGCTGCTGCTTTTCTTTTAACTTATTAAAATACATCTTTCATTAAACACAATGTTTAAGTCTTATGCAGGCTAAATCTGTCAATATTTTTCCTTTGTGGTACTAGGGTTAGTATTTGCTTAGGGGGACCTTCACCACTCTAAGATTTTAAAAATATTCTCATATACTCTCTCTAATACTTTTATAGCATTTCTGTTACTTGGTGTTTTCATTTTGCTTTGTTTTCATTTAGTTCTTCACCCTTCTGGAAATACTTTTTGTGAATAATACGTGGTAGAAATCTAAGGTTTTTTTCTTCCAATTAAAGGAATTAAGTTGTCTATTATAATGTGTTCATGTTGTATAGTTTATGAATGAAGCTGTAAACACTCTAGAGCAGGAATTAGCAAACATTTTCTGTAAAAGGCTGATATGGTTTAGCTGTGTCCCCACCCAAATCTCATCTTGAATTCCCATGTGTTGTGGGAGGGACCCAGTGGGAGATAATTGAATCATGGGGGCAGGTCCTTCCCCTACTGTTCTCGTGATAGTAAGTCTCACAAGATCTGGTGGTTATTATAAGGGGGAGTTTTCCTTCACAAGCTCTCTTTAGGCCTGCTGCCATCCATGTAAGACGTGACTTGCTCCTCTTTGCCTTCCACCACGATTGTGAGGCTTCCCCAGCCACGTGAAACTGTAAGTCCAATTAAACCTCTTTCTTTTGTAAATTGCCCAGTCTTGGGTATGTCTTTATCAGCAGCATGAAAATGAACGAATACAAAGGCCAAATAGTAAATGTTTTTGGCTTTGCGGGCCATATAGTCTGTGGCAACTACTAAGCTCTGCTACTGTAGTGCAAAAACAACCACAGACAATATGTAAACAAATAAGGGTGACTGTGTTCCAATAAAACTTTACTTACAAAAATAGATAGCTGGCCTGATCTGGCCTGTAAGCTGTACTTTGCCAACCCCTTCTCTACAGAGTCAATGTTGTAAGAATATTGAGTAATAGAAACTTATTAATTTGGAAATGTCATATACTTCTGATTTAGAACATTCACTGGAAACAATAAAAGGTCTGCCACAAATTAGGTGACATTAGGATAATTTTTTTTCGCAGTATTAAAGCACAGAAAAGTTAAAAACAGTATCTATGCTCAGAAATTGTTGGTAACCTACCTTAAATTTCTTGCCACCGTCTTTAGAAAGTGAAAGGTTCAGAGATTTTATCAAAGCCAAATTATCCTGTTTAGTAAGTTTTTTAATGAGGGCCTCTGTAATATATCTAACTCCTGCATGTGAATCAGCTCCTGAAATTATAGAAACAGATCATCATCAGTAGAGGAAAGACATGAATATCACAAAGAACAAGTTGTTTTGATGTTATGTAACAAAAACAAAAATTAAGCCATGAATATACCAAAAAAGCTGGCTATTTCTAATCATAATGTTTTAATAATATTTTACTTCATAGCATTTCATAATTATAATGAAATAATGATGTAATGATTGTAATACTATAATGTATTATAATGTAATAACTATAATGTATTGTATATTACAATTAATGTATTGTAATACTATAACGTATTGTAATGTAGTAACTATAATGATACAAAGATGATAATGGTTATACACACTATAAATATTTGGTGTGTGCCAAGCTTTGGGCTAAGTGGTTTACATTTTTAAAATTTAATTTATACAACAAACCTTTGAGATAGAAATTATTAATATCATCACTTACTAAAAAAAATCATTTGCTCAAGATCCTACAGCTAATTAAGGCACAAATCCAGAACTTGAATCCAGTCAGAGGAATATAAAACTTGCACTTTTAACTATATGAAGTTTTCAGCAATATTTTCGTGTTAGTTTTTAAAAATAAACTGGTAATACTTAGTTGTTTGTTTTTTTAGAAAATTCCAATCTAAAGTTCAGAAACACTGAAATTCTTAAAAATCCTCTTTTCCTATTTTTTTATGGTAAGAAACTCTAAATTTGTTGCACTTTTAAATAGAGAAAATCACAACATATTTTATAGAGCTAGAGCAGTCACTTGATGGATGGCAAATCTGGTCTTATAACTTTCCTGGATATTGTTGTCAAAGACTGTTAATGCCACATTACATTTTACAAAAGTAGCCCTAAAAAGTAAATCACCTCTTGGTTCCTGCCTTACGAGTCAGAAAAAATTAATCCTGGGTTGAGATCCAGGCTGTGAGCCAAAGATTCTCTAAGATTATTTACAAGTTAGTATTAAATTTATTTTGGTGCAAAATAAAAAGATATTTAAATTTAACTTGGCTTGTTCTTGGAAAGAAAATTGATTAATATTCTAAATTTGATAACATTCTAAAATATTAATCAAATTAGAAATAACAATATGCCAACTTGCAGCAAAGATATAGTATAAACTCAGTGTTGTTAATGCTAATAAAACCTGATTAGAGTTTAATGGCTATTATTTCATGACTTACCAAAGAATAACTTACTTTTGAAGTTAAATGCTCTACCACTAAGCTATACCCCCAACAATGCACTTTTGAGAACAGATTCCTAGACTAACAGATGATTTTAAGAAAAAACTAAAACACTAGTGGAACATACATACATGTCCCATATGTGGAAATCAGTCCATTCACAGATAAGCAGTTTGCTAATAAGAAGACTGGCATAGGCCAAGTATGTATAACGTTTTTTTACTGAATTAAGGCGCTCCACTCTGAAGTGAACAGATCTTCCCTCCCCTTAACCAAAGAGGATGGCAAGTTTTGGGATGAGTTTTAAGACACTCTCCTACCACAGGAAACAAAGCTTCCTCTTTCTGAAAACTCCCTCTTTGAATCCACTGACATCTTTACCCTCACCCAGAAACCTCAATCCTCCAACTGTCCTTACAGTCCTTAATTTCTGTTAATAAAAACAATAGATCAAATTAGTACCAGAATGTTACAGTTGGACCAAAAATGCAAGCCGAAAATTTTCCATCTCTACTTGAAGTATGTGGTCAGACCAATTCTTAGATTAAAAAGTGATACCTTTATGGTCTTGATAGTCCAAAAGCATATTGTTTTCATCTGCAATCTCAACTTGCTCACACCACTGTCCTCCAGAATGAAAAGGTAGAGTCTCTGATCCAATCAAAGGTGAAAGTGACCTAGATCTCATATTGGACATAGATGATGGGATAGGAGAGTGAGATGATGATGGTATCTTTGCTTTGGAGAATATTTTTTGTTGAGAACCTTTCTTCATTGCAAGAATAAAGCCAGGTGTTCATCAAAACCTGTAAGAGTTTTCAGTATATTCAACAAGATTAATTTTTAAGAGTTATCAAAACTATTCTTTCTAGAACCTTCAGGTCTATAAAGTTATAAACTCAGAGGCCATAAATGCTAGGACCCATACTACTCCAAGCTGATGGAGCAGACACTGTATCAAACATCACTGATGACCTTGCCAGAGAGAAAAGGGATCTCCAGAGGGGATAGAATTGACACATGCTCCAGCTGGAAGTGTTGTCATTCCTGTTCTGTTTATTGAACCAAACTAGTCCCAAGGCCCCTTTTACCCACATAACGGGGTCCTAGAATGCAGGAAGCTGGAATATTTGGCAACCAGCAGTATTTAATACTGATGAGCACTCTCTCCTTCCTCAAAGTTTCTTCCTTTGGTTTCTGGGACACCGCATTCTCCTGGTATCCTCCTGCCTCCCTGGCCACTCCATGGACTCCTTTGCTGGCTTTTGTTCCTCCTTGCAGTGTAATTTAAACATCAGAACTCCTCATTGGTCCCTTCTAGTTTCTGTCTAATCTTATCTTGGACAAATTAATGCACACCCATGGTTCCCAATGCCATGTGTTTACTCTATTTAATTTTTTATTTTTTTTGAGACAGAATCTCACTCTTGTCGCCCAGGCTGGAGTGCAATGGTGCGATCTCGGCTCACTGCAACCTCTGCCTCCCAGGTTCAAGCTATTCTTCTGCCTCGACCTCCCGAGCAGCTGGGATTCCTGGCGCCTGTCACCATGCCCGGCTAATTTTTGTACTTTTAGTAGAGATGGGGTTTCGCCATGTTGGCCAGGCTGATCTCGAACTCCTGACCTCAGGTGATCCACGTGCCTTGGCCTCCCAAAGTGCTGGGATTACATATGGGTGTGAGCCATCATGCCCAGCCGATATTTATAACCTCAATCCAATCTTTCTCTGAGCTCCAGACTCCTATTTCCAATTGCCTACGTGATATCTCATTGGCATCCTACACTCAGTCCAGATTGAATTTATTTACCCCGTTCCTCCTCTCACTCTCCTTTTCGTCTTCCAGTGTTCCCTAAATACTGAACACTGCTCGCTGGAATAAGCCAAAAACCTGGGAGTCATTCCTGACACCTCCCTCTTCCCTTGTCCCATACTCAGTCAATCGCTAAATCCTGTTAATTCTTACTCCCAAATAACCTCTCAAATTAAGTCTGCTTCTTTCCATTTTCACTCTCACGCACTCTAATCCAAGCCCTCATCAAACTACTATAACAGCTTCTAACTGATCTGTCTACAAGCTCTCTTGCCTTATTCTTCCATCATTACATTGCAGTCAGATAGCCAGAGTGATCTATTTAAAAAGTAAATCCAGTCCAGGAGCGGTGGCTCATGCCTATAATCCCCGCACTTTGGGAGGCCGAGTCAGGTGGATCATCTGAGGTCAGGAGTTTGAGACCAGCCTGGCCAACATGGCAAAACCCCGTCTCTACTAGAAATACAAAAATTAGCTAGGTGTGGTGGCATGCACCTGTAATCCCAGCTACTTGGGGTCGAGGGGAGGAGGCTGAGGCAACAGAATCTCTTGAACCCAGGAGGCAGAAGCTGCAGTGAGCCTAGATCGCGCCACTGCAGTCCAGCCTGGGAAACAGAGCGAGACTCCATCTCAGGAAAAAAAAAAAAAAAAAAAAAAGTAAATCCAGCAGTCTGTAATGAAGGAAATCTTTACCATGACCTACAAGGTGGTCCCCCATGATCTGTCCCTATTGCTCTAGATTCACCTCTGTCATTCGTTCCCTCAATTGTGGGCTCCAGTCACACTGGCCTCCTCACAGTAATAATAATGCTTGATCTCATTCTTTTTACCATGTTAATTTGTAGTCTTCCTTCAGAGATCAGCTCAACTGTTGCTTCTTCAGGAAAGCCTCCAGTGCAGGGCAGATGAAGTGAAGTCCCCGGTTCTATACTCTCAATGAATTTGTATTTTTTCCTCACATAATCAGTTTGAAATTACACATTTATGTCATTTTGCTTAACATTTGTCTCCATTCTGAACTGTATGCTCCACGAGAGCCTGTCTGTTTTGTTTACACTGTCTCCCGAGTCTAGCATAGTGCCTGGTACCTAGCAGGAACTCAATACATATTTGTTGAATAAATGAATGAATAGAGTTATCTTCCAGTCATCCCTCTCCATCGTCCAACAATATTGATTCTATCTCCAAAATATTTTGAAATTCGTCTCTATCCATCGTCACAGCTACTGCCCTAGATTCAACTTTTATCCTCTCTTGCTTAGACTATTAAGATACTCTCAGAACCACCTTCCTTCCAGTTCTCCTTTATCCTCAATCCATCCTCTACCTTTGACCCACTTATATAATAAAAACAAAAGAAATGTAATGGTTCCCAATGCCTATGAGTCTAAACATTTTGGCACCATGCACTACAAACAGGACTCATCACAGTCTGGCCCAAACTTTCTGGCCTCCCCACCACATACCATTGCTCTAGTCATCTTTTTGTCATTGCCTGAACACATCATGAGTTTTTGCTCATGAAATTCCCTTTCCTTAAAGGGAATTCGTTAAAGGGAATTAAACATCCTCTTATTTCTCTCAACCAATTAAACTGTTACTTTTCTTGTGAAGACTTTCCAGAAATCTACTTTCTTCCTACAGAATGAATCCTCCCTGTTTATTACACTGAATATACCTACTATATATCTTTTGCTTGCTCAGAATGTAACAACCACAAGTGGAGAAGTAATCTCTGAATTCCCAGCAGCTCCATGGTGTCTAGGTCATGAATACATCTAACATCTTATAACTAGAATTCACCCTGTTTAAAAACCATACTTTCAACAGTGTGCTCTTTCATGCATGTGCTCTCTCTCTCTCTCTGTATGCATATTTTTTATTGCAATGTATCATACATAAAGTACATAAATCATAAGTGTATATAGCTTCATGAATTTCTATGCAGTGAACACAAGCTATGTAATCAGCATCCAGGTAAAGAAACAGAATATTTCCAGAATCCCAGAAGTCGTCTCATGCCCCCTTCCAGTCACTAACTCCCACACATGGGGAATCACCATCCTGACTTCCAACACCAGAGATTTTTGAACTATTTTTGAACTTTAGAGAAATGAAACCATAAAATATCTTTTAAATCTGCCTTTTTTGTTAAATATCGTTTCTGAAATCCATTCATATTTGTCTCATGCTATATGAAAAACATCTGATCACTTCAAACTTCAGTGTCTACTATTCTTATTTACAAAATCAATTTTATTGAAGTATAGATCTTCCAGAAGGAACTAAAGCATTTGTTAATGAAAGAGACCTTGGTCAAATTCCTTTAAATGTTTTCATATAAAAATATTTCTTTTCCTATATGAAAGAAAGGTAAAGTTCATGACCATTAAGGCTCAGAATGGTTTAGCACTGTGACTTGATTAGTCCTTAAAAATTACATCCTCAGCCGGGCATAGTGGCTCATGCCTGTAATCCCAGCACTTTGAGAGGCTGAGGCGGGCAGATCACGAGGTCAGGAGATCGAGACCATCCTGGCTAACATGGTGAAACCCCGTCTCTACTAAAAATACAAAACATTAGCCAGGCGTGGTGGCAAGCGCCAGGAATCCCAGGTGCTCAGGAGGTCAAGGCAGAAGAATAGCTTGAACCTGGGAGGCGGAGCTTGCAGTGAGCCAAGATCGCGCCACTGCACTCCAGCCTGGGTGACAAAGCGAGACTCCATCTCACAAAAAAAAAAAAAATGACATCCTCTTCTATCCTAGGCATACAGTGTGCTGTGCCTACAGTGTGCGTACAGTATATAGCACACTGTAGGCCTCGAACAGAGCCTAGCAAATGGTAAATAATTAACATTTATTGAATGAGTTAATCATAAATAACATAAAATGTAAAATGTACTAGTTAGTATCTCAACAAAAAATGTCTGCATGAGCAATACTAGTCCTTAACATCAAGAGTCCTACATTTGCAAGGTTAGGTGTATGCAAAAATGATTTTCATGATACACAGTTGTTCTTATAAGTACATTTAGTCTAAAAACAGTACAAAAATTATAAACTTTACAAACTTTTGGACAAAAAATATTATAAGATGTATAGATCTCGAGCAAGGCTACATTAATAATGATGCTATCTTTGCTTAGTACCTTAATTTCCCCTATAGTCACTGCTGAAAATGTGAAAACAGAAATTATTTTTTAGAAAAAAAATTTAATGAAATAAGATATTAGGTTAAAGTAGTTTTTAATCCAAGGATTTAGAGTAGCTCAAGTCTTAATGCTATATAAATTGATATTAGAAAGGGATAGTGGAATGACAAACATCTTCATATATGTGATATTGTGAAATACATACAGTCACGCATCACATAACAATGTTTTGGTCAACAACGGACCACATACATGACAGTGGTCCCGTAAGATTATAATAAAGCTGAAAAATTCCTATAACTTAGTAACATCATATATGTCATAATGTCATAGTGCTACACATTACTCACATGTTTGTAGTGATGTTGGTGTAAACAAACCTACTGTGCTACAAGGTGTACACAAGCCTGGCACATACAATTATGTAGAGTACATAGTACTTGGTAATAAATGTCCGTGTTACTGGCTTATGTATTTACTATACCATACTTTTCATTGTTAGAGTGTACTCCTTCTATTTATTTTTTAAAAAATAGTTAACTATAAAACAGACTCAGGCAGGTAGGTCCTTCAAGAGGTATTCCAGAACATAACACTGTTATCATAAGAAATGACAGCTCCATGCATGTTATTGCCCTTGAAGACCTTCCAGTGGAACAAGATATGAAAGGCAGTCATACTGATGATCCTGACCCTTACAGGCCTAGGCTAATGTGTGTGTTTGCGTCTCAGTTTTTAAGAAAACATTTAAAAAGTAAAAAAGTTTTTAAAATAGAAAAAAGCTTATAGAATAAGGTTATAAAGAAATTAATTTTGTACAACTGTACAATGTGTTTGTTTTAAGCTAAGTTTTACTACAACAGTCAAAAAGTTTTTAAAAAGTTTAAAGTTTATAAAGTAAAAACATTACAGCAAGCTAAGGCTAATTTACTATTGAAGAGAGAAAAAATGTTTAATAAATTTAGTGTAGCCTAAGTGTACAGTGTTTATAAAGTCTACAGTAGTGTACCGTAATGTCCTACACCTTCACATTCACTCACCGACTAACTGGGAAAGAAACTTCCAGTCCTGCAAGCTCCATTCATCTGGTAAGTGCTCTATACAGGTATACTTTTTTTACATTTTATACCATATTTTTATTGTACTTTTTCTATTTTTTTTTTTTTTTTTGAGAGGGAGTCTCCCTCTGTCGCCCAGGCTGGTGTGCAGTGGCACGATCTCGGCTCACTGAAACCTCCACCTCCTGGGTTCAAGCGATTCTCCTGCCTCAGCCTCCTGAGTAGCTGGGACTACAGGCACGTGCCACCACGCCTGGCTAATTTTGGTATTTTTAGTAGAGACGGGGTTTCACCATATTGGCCAGGCTGGTCTCGAACTCCTGACCTTGTGATCCACGTGCCTTGGCCTCCCAAAGTGCTGGGATTACAAGTGTGAGCCACCACACCCAGCCCCTTTTCTATGTTTAGATGCACAAATATTTACCATGGTGCTACAACTGCCTAAAGTATTCAGTACAGTAACATGCTGTACAGGTTTGTAGTCTAGGAGCAACAGGCTATCCTATACCATCTAGGTTTGTGTAAGTACATTCTATGATGTTTGTACAATGATGAAATTGTCTAACAACGCATCTTACAGAGCAAATTCTGTCATTAAGGGACACATGACTGTATGTTAAATTAAACTAAATTTTGCCTGAAAGTGCCTCTGTACTTTAAGTCTCTACATAATGAACTGCAACCTAACTTAGAAGGTAAACTAACTGAAAGCCTAACTTAGGAGTATGTTTTTGTAATAGCTGAGTCTCAGCCAATCATAGCAGCTGAGCTTCAATCACAGGCAGTCAAGTGATCGTACCATGTTCAAATAAGGTAAACACAGAGCTATAACCAATCAAGCTATTTCTGTACCTCACTTCCCTTTTCTATCCATAAATGCTGCCTGCCTACATTGCAGAATGGATCTCTCTGAATCTCTTCTGGTTCTGAGGGCTGCCCAATTTGTGAACTATTCTTTGTTCAATTAAACTGTTAAATTTAATGTGTTGATAATTTCTCTTTTAACCTATATATTTGATGTTCCTCCTGTTTCCTATCACATAGCTCTTAAAACCTTTGGGTTCTCCACAGTGATAAGAGTGTCTTTCGTTTACTAATAAGATGACTGGTGACACCCAGACAGCTTTGGGATGGGGGCCAGTCACCAGAAAGACTAAGGCATGTTTAGAGGGTTGGGACTTTAAGCCCAACCCCACAACCTTTAAGGAGGGGAGAGCAGCTAAAATTGATTTGATAACCAGTAGCCAATGATGTGAGCAATCACGCCTACATAAGTAAGCCTCCATAAAACCCCAAAAGGACAGGGTCCAGAGAACTTCCAATTAGCTGAACATGTGGAGGTGTCTGGAAGATGGCATGCTGGCGAGAGCATGAAAACTTCATACCCCTTTCCACGTACCTTGCCCTATGCAACTCTTCCTCTGGCTGTTTATTTTGTAATATCCTTTATAATAAATGGGAAAATGTAAGTAGTATTTCTCTGAGTTCTGTGACCCACTCAAGCAAATTAATTGAACCCAAGGAGGGGGCAGTGGGAGTCCCAATTTATAGCTTGGTGGTCAGAAGTATAGGTGGCAATCTACTACTTGTAATGGGCATCTGAAGTTGGTGGCACTCTTGTGGGACTGAGTCCTTAACCTGTGGGATCTGATGCTATCTTCAGGCAGACAGTGTCAGAATTGAACTGAATAAGAGGACATGCAGCTGGTGTCCACTGAAGAAGTATCTGGTGTATGGGGCAACAACCCTTACATGTCTGATGTCACAAGTATTGTACTGTGTGGTACGGCAGTAGGAAGAACATTTTGAGTTTTTCATATCTCTATTAAAAGATAATATAACTTCACAAGCATATGGGTACATATAAGCTGTGATTATACAGAAACTTCCTGCAAACTCCCAGCTTTCTAACAGCTGGCCATAAAGAAATTAAGACTCTCATTCCATAGGGGTCCTACCCAATACCCAGGAGGAAGGAATGCTGCACAGAGAGGCCAAGAGAAATCTGGAGAGGTAGGTGTTGCTGAGTTTCCTCACTCAGTCTATTAGCGTTAGATCATACCCATTTTGTCCAATCCTATTTCTATACAGCTGTCCACACTTCACTAATCCTAAGCATAAAAACGGATAATTTTTTCTGCATTTTTTGGGTCTTCATTCTGAAGGCTCCCATGACACATAAAGCTTTGATCGAATAAATTTGCTATGCTTTTCTCTAGTCAACCTGTCTTTGTTACAGGGGTGTTGGCCATGACCTTTATGATGGGCCAGAAAGGAATTACTCCCTTTCCTCCCCTACAGAACTTATACAGTATATAAAGGAGAGATTACACTAATATAATCTATTAATATATTCAATTTTTGGAATTCCTCTTTGGATTCTGCTTTCAAACTAATTCTTAAGTCTCACAAGAAAATCGGGTCCATCGCTTCAGGTACACTTTGTTTTTATTTTCCCAGTTTGATCACTAACCTTACTCAGTAAATTTGACTCCATATGAATTTTGTCTACTTCCAAAAATTTAATGAAAAGATGATGATTGAAGTTAATTCTAAAGAATATCATACTAGTGGCTAACATTTACTGAGGGCTTACCACGCACCAAATATTGTGATATTTCGTCAGGCACGGTATGTATACTTGCAGTCCCAGTTACTCCAGAGGATGAGGCAGGAGGATTGCTTGATCCCAGGAGCTCCAGGCTACAATGTGCTATGATCAACCTTGTGACTGGCCACTGCACTGCAGCCTGGGAAACACAGGGAGCCCCTGTCTCTAAAAAACAGACAGACAAATATATGTTGTGATAAGCTCTTTATGTGTATCATCATATTGAAAGAATTGAATACAACAACTCTATGAGATAAGTGTTATTTCCCATTTTACAGATGAAGATCTTAAATAATTTGTCCAAAATTCCTTAACTAATTGGTTTAGCCAAAACTTGAAATGTGATTTAATTCAAAACCCATGTTTTTAATGACCATGTCATATAGCTATCTGAGTTTCCTGGAGTCTAGATTATGTTTCCTTTGTTCTCTATGGCCTAGCATGATGCCATGGGCGGCAGGTGCCTGTAATCCCAGCTACTTGGGAGGTTGAGGAACAAAAATCACTTGAACTGGGGAGGTGGAGGTTGCGATGAGCCAAGATCGTGCCCCTGCGCTCCACCCTGGGCAACAGAGTGAGACTTCATCTCAAAAAAACAAAACAAAAAAAATCCTGAAGGAAACCCAGAAAATTTTATACAAAGAAAGGATCTCTGATATCATGATCCGGTCTCTCAAGGTGAGTAGTTTGAAAGGAATAAAAACCCCGTCTTTTTTTGTTTTTAAAAAGTTGATTATTATTTCACATACATTACAATATAGCCAAATGCCCCATTCCAATAGCCTCATTCACTACAGGTTAAGCACTCCAAATCTGAAAATCTGAAATATTTAAATATAAATGTAAAAAATATAAACAAGTATAAAGCAAATATTCCAAAATCCGAAAAAATCCAAAATCCAAGACACTTTTGATAGCAAGCATTTTGGACAAGAGATAATCAACCTGTACTTTATTTTTATTTTTTTGGAGGCAGCGTTTCACTATGTTGTCCAGGCTGATCTCGAACTCCTGAGCTCAAGCAATCCTCCCACCTCTACCTCCCAAAGTGTTAGGATTACAGGCATGAGCTACCACACCTGGCCTTCAACCTGTACTTCAAACTGTGAACTTAAATGTATCTGTACTTTTTCCTTCATTTTCTCATATTAAACTATACATATGGATCAGAAAAACTCCCCCAAGTTACATAACTGCTATTTATGCCATTTCCACAAGGCTTTTTGGTCTAAATTTCAAGCGTGGTAAACAATTTTTGTGCCTTATAACACAATTTTGCCATGGAAAAAAGTCTTTTAGTAATTTTAATATTATGAAATACATACTTAGTCTTAGTCCCTTTTGCTATCGTAAGTGTCTTTTTGTATACTAATGAGTTGACTGATGGCTAGCCACCTCTAGGCAGCTTCAGGATCGTGGCTGGTCACTAGAAAGAGGGAGGGGAGAGGGGCTAAAGGTTGAGTTGATCACCAATGGCCAATGATGTAATCAATCAGGCCTACATAATGAAGCCTCCATAAAAAGTTAAAAGACTGGGTTTGGGGAGCCTCCAGAAAGCTGGACACAGGGAGGGTCCTGGAGGGGAATCCACCCAGAGAGGGTGTGGAAGCTCTACGCCCCTTCCCACCTGCCTTACGCTATGCATCTTTTCACCTATATCCTTTGTAATATCTTTTATAATAAACCAGTAAATGTAAGTAAGTGCTCCCTGAATTCTGTGAGCTGCTCTAGCAAATTAATCAAACCCAAGGAGGGAGTTGTGGGAACTCTGATTTATAGCTGGTCAGTCAGAAGCACAGGTAAAACTGAGGCTTACAGTTGGCATCAGAACTTGGGGGCAGTCTTGTAAGCCAGCCTTCAACCTTAGGGATGTGACGCTGTCTCCAGGTAGACAGTGTCAGAATTGAACTGAACTAGAGGACAGTCCTGTGGTGCCCACCACTGCAGAACTAACTGCTTGCTTAATGTGTGGGGGAAAATCCTACGGAATCATGTTGTGAGCGTATAGTGGGAGAAATTGAGTTTAATCTGTAGTCTCAGTAATACTATTTTTTTCTTTTTTTGAGACAGAGTCCTGCTCTGTTGCCCAGGCTGGAGTGCGGTGGTGTGATCTCGGCTCACTATAACCTCCGCCTCCCAGGTTCAAGTGATTGTCCCGCCCCAACCTACTGAGTAACTGGGATTACAGGTGCACAGCACCACGCCCGGCTAATTTTTTTTATTTTTAGTAGAGATGAGGTTTTGCCATGCTGGCCAGGCTGGTCTCAAACTTCTGACCTCAGGTGATCCACCCACCTCGGCCTCCCAAAGTGCTGGGATTACAGCCACCATGCCCAGCCCTCAGTAATACTATTGATGCTGCTAAGCTGCACTGGCATTCTCCTTCTAAATAAGGATAATACTCTAAAATTTGAGAAAAGCTAAGAGGCATGTGCTTAGGTAAAATCTTATTCCTAATTAAATGGATTAAAAGATGACATTTATTATAGTATGTATAGTACGTAGTTGGCGTTTTTTTCCCCCCTGAGGCAAGGTCTTTCTCTGTCACCCAGGCTGGAGTGTAGTGGCATGCTCATGGCTCACAGCAACCTTGCCTTCCTGGGCTCAAGTGATCCTCCTACCTCAGCCTCCTGAGTAGCTGGGACTACAGGCGCATATAACCACGCTTGGCTAATTTTTTATTTTTTGTAGAGATGGGGGGTCTCACTATAGTTCCCAGGTTGGTCTTGAACTCCTGGGCTCAAGTGATCCTCCTGCCTCAGCCTCCCAAAGTGCTGGGATTACAGGTGTGAGCCACTGTGCCCAGCCTGTAGTTTTTACATCCTAATGATCAAGACCCTTTAGGTCTCACCAGACTATCATGAGGTCCTTTATTACCTCTCCTGATTAGTAAAAGTCAGGCTTACTCATTCATAGACTTAAACCCTTGGTTGCCACAGCTTCTGTAAAGCTTGGACACTGAAACAAGATAGACGTAATCAGTCTCAGAGAATAGCTAACTCAGTGAAGTGGGCTTAGGGGTTTACAGTGTTTGAGAATGGCTGGCATTATTTCTTAGGCTACTGCCTGGAGGTGGTAAATGCTGAATTATAATTTTAATGGAGAGATGAGGATGTAGTTTGATCTAGGATGTTGTTTGCAATCACATGAACAAAGACCAAGCAAGCAATGGAAAAATGAAGACAACTGAGAGGTAGGCTAGGGCGAGTAAAGGAGCAGGATAAAGAGAAAAAAAAAGCAAATAAAGTTCAGAGCTGCAGTTGTATTTTAAAGGCTGTCTGCAGAGCAAGAGAAAGCCATTGGAATGACATGATAATCAGAATCCTACGTCCAGGCAACAAAACACTACCCATCCTGCCACCTATAAACCCAGATAGTTGCTCTGATCTAACAATTCAGTCCATCACAGCTTAGTACAGACTGCAAACTCCACCTCCATCCAGCCTTTCCTAACCTTCCTAACTTCCCATCTTCTCTGATCTCCAAATAACGCAGACCTCCTTCTGTCTCTCTACAGACTCCCTAATATGCAAATACCCATCCCCATTTATTAACCCCCATATCCCTCTCCTTAGCCCTTTAATTGGATTTCAGTACTTTCCAAGTCTACTTCATCCCATACCCTCTGACCTACTGAAATACTTTTACTCCTTAATCTTCTCCTCCTTTCAAATATCCTGATTCCGATTCCTCTGCAAAGTCTCCAGCCATTTTTCTTTCCAAAGCCAATTCCCCCATTCTGTGCTGCCCACCCACCTCTGCCTCCCATTCTTCTTTATCCCATTCTGATTGCCAATTTTCCCACAAATTCTATCCCAGTTCCCTAACACAGTAATAGTCTCCCCCATTTCTCTATGGTTCTTTCCTGTGCCCAGACTCAACATTTCTCTATCCATCCAGACTTCCCAAGCTGCTCATCTCTCTTCACCCCAGAAAATACCCTGACATCCTAATGCGTTCCAATACTCTGACCTCCAATTACTCCCCTCCCTAAACAAAATACTCAAACCTCCATCCATTCCTCTTCATCCCAACCCAACTGCCTGCCTATTTGCCTTTCCATCCTAATACTCTAGCCCCCGTATCCTTCTCCATCCTATTAAAAGCCTGAATCCCCTCTCCCATCTCTCTTCTTCTGCTCAGATACCCTAAAACTCAAGCTTCCCATCTCTTTCCATTAATTATTCAATTTTATTGAGCAACTTTTATGTAGGAAGAACCATGCTAGAATCTAAGCTCAAGATGCAGAAGATTTTATCTCCCTATTACCCATGATCTCTGCACCAAGCAGTCTCCTTCATAGCATTTTATAACCATTATTTGTGAAACTACTTGGTTGTTGCCTGTTTCTCCTTCTAGACTATAAGCTACAAGAGAGCAGAGGTTTTGTCTGTTGTTCTATAAACAATAAATATTTGTTGACTGAAGGACTGTACTAAACACTTAGACAATACCAAATTTAAATCCTCAAAGATTTAGCTGTATAGGATCAGAATTATTAACCTGATTTACAAATGGCAATGTACCTGAACAGTTAAAAGCTTGGATTCTGGAACGAAACAGCCTGAGTTCAAATTCTGATTTTCCACTTACTGTGTGATCTTAGGCAAATTACTTAACCTCTCTGGTCCTCAGTGCTATCACTTTTTAAATGGGGATGATAACCTCATACAAGTTATTTTAAATTCTAAATGAGGTTAATACGTGCAAAGTGCTTAAAACTGGATCTGACAAATAGTGAACACCCAAAAATGATTCGCAATTATTTGGACAAATGAGGAAACATGATCAGGAAGGCTCAGACACATATCCAGGGTCACAGACCTGGTTAAGTTACACAAGGTGGCAGAATTGAGGCTTCAACCCAAGTTTGTCTGGCTTCAAAATTCTCTAGTCCCTTAACGAATATAACGGAAGTGTTTGTTCTTCCCCTTCTTTTAGCATTTCGTCCCCATATCCTGTCATCTTTCTCCACGCACTGTACTCCGTCCGATACCGTGACAACCCGTCAGGACGCCCAAACTGTCCTTTCTCCCGCTCACTCCCCACAGACAGCTGGCACATCCCAGCTCTCCCCTCAGCTCAGGTGGCAGGACCCACAACCTTCTGGGCGCCGCACCCTAACTTCCACACCTCCCCACACTCTGGTTCTTCATCCCCAATCGCCCCCGCCGTCCCCACCTCTTCCCATCCAAACCTCCCTCCTTCATCCACCGCCCCACGCCCGTTCCGGGCCCTCCCCTCTTTCCCGTCCAATCCCAATTCCCAGACACGCGCCCCCGCCCCGAATCCATCCCAAGCCGGCCCACACCACGCCCGGTCCGGGCCTTCCCGCCTTTGCCGCCGGCCCCCACTGCTCGGGCCGGATGCCGGGGAACGGGCTCGGCCAGGTCTGACGCTCACCGCCTAGAAGCCGAGCCGAGCAGTCCCGCAGGCTGAGGTAGAGCGGGAGAAGTTCGGGCTCTTTCCTCAGGGGCCCAGCGGCGCGGCAGCCATTTTGTTGTGTTGTGCCGGTTGCCGAGGGGCCGCGCGCGCGTGGTCGGGGCTAGTCTCAGCCACGCCCCTCTCCCTCTCCGGTACTGTTGGAAGGGACGCGGAGGCGTTTCCCGCCTCTTTTGCAGCCAGCGCGCTAGGATGCCGGGGAGTCTTGGGCGCGAGGCTTCCGGCCGCGCGGGGCCGACGGGATGCGGTGCCTTCGCCTTCGGATTGCGTTGCAGGTGAAGTGTCGGGTGCAGAGTCAGGGGGAGCCGAGGTTTCATGCGGCAGCTGCCCGCAGTGCTGTGGCCTTCGCTGAGACAAAGCTGCCGCCGCCACCCTCTGAAACACGGACACGCTTCTCAGGGCCTGTGTCCGAGGACGGCCTGAGGCACCGGCGCAGCGCCTCCCCGGCCTCCCCCACTTCTGATGCTTGCGCGCTATGAGCGAGTGTTCTTATCAGCACACTTCTCTCTGACAGTCGTATCTAAAGCGAATTCCCTCCAGGGACCGAACTGCCCAGGCTCGGATGAACCTCAAAGCGGACGCAGCCTGGGCTCCAGCTGTCGCGTGAGGTTCAGGGAGCTTGGGAATCCTAGGCAGAGGATGTTCCTCTGATTGCTACAAGGGAGTTAAAGCAAGAAGCACTTGCACAGGCTTCATCTGGGGCTTGCCCATGAGCACGGCGTTCACGACATGCATTCAACAGATATTTTAAAGAATTTAGCAGATACTGGGCTGGATGCTAGGGAAACACTGAAGTTTTTTTTAAAGTGTTATCACCATTGACGCCTTTCACTCCAGTAGCCTCCCGTTTTGAAGGTATACCCTGGACCATGTTACCATCAGAGGCTGCACCCGCTCCAGAAATCCCCAGTGCAATCGCTCCCCATCCTTGACTATAATCCTATCATCTTAGCAGCGTGCCTGCTCAAAAGACCCCTATGCCAGCGTATTTCTAAACTTCCTTGCGTCTTCCAGTCCCTTGTTCTTACCATTTTCTCGCGATCATTCTATCCTGTCTTCATTTCCTTTCTTCACTACAGAGTTTATAGGCCACCTGTATAACACTTTTAGAAACTCCCTCTCTCTCTGTGTCTCAGTTTCCTTATCTATGAAATGAGGTCCTTTTACCTATTAACACTTCCTACAGTTTTCCTGATAATTATAAAAGTGAATCCTGGCCGGGCGCTGTGGCTCATGCCTGTAATCCCAGCACTTTGGGAGACCAAGGTGGGAGGATCACTTGAGGTCAGGAATTCAAGATCAGCCTGGCCAACAAGGTGAAACGCCGTCTCTACTAAAAATACAAAAATTACCCGGGCGTGGTGGCGCACGCTTGTCATCCCAGCTGCTTGAGAGGCTGCAGGAGGATCGCTTGAACCCGGGAGGCGGAGGTTGCAGTGAGCCGAGATCGCGCCACTGCACTCCAGCCTGGACGACAGAGCGAGACTCCATCTCAAAAAAAAAAAAAAAAAAAAAAAGTCCAGTTTTCCTGATAATTATAAAAGTGAATCTCTGTGAAAGAACTTAGAACAGTGAGGGACCCATAGTAAGTTCTCAATATGTCTTAGATATTTCATTATTAGACAAAGGTTACCCAGAAGCAATACTTCTTTCTACGCCCAAAAGAAGAGTTTAGGCAAGGAGTAGGGAGGTGGGGAAGAATTTGCTTGGCAAAGGGAACAACTTGTGCAAACCCCGGAAGCGGGGGAAAAGAGCTTGGCAATGTGCTGAATGTTAAGTAATTCAGTGTGGCTGGAACAAAACATGAGTATGGAAACATGAAGTAGTTCAGTATGGCTTGTGCAAAAATCTGGGGTGGAGAAGCTAAATCTGGAAAAGGGACCATATTATAAGCAGTATTAGGCACTTCATTTTTCCTTAAGGCAGAGATGGCTTCACCTCTATAGGAAATTCAGGGGACGTCCAACAGGGAATAAGCTGCAATAAACATGGGGATGCAGATGTGTCTTTGATTTACTTTGATTTACTGATTTCCTTTTCCTTTTACTTAAATGTGATTCCCATTGACATTTAAGTGAATGGTGCTGTCCTCTCCCCAACTATTTACACGACACAGAACGAAGCCCTTGGAGTTTAAACGCAGAATTTTTGAAAAGCTCCACTTAAGAGGAGATTACATTCATTTTTTTTCTTTTCTTTTTTTTTTTTTTTTTTTTAATTTTTTGAACAGAGTCTGGCTCTGTCACCCAGGCTGGAGTGCAGTGGCAGGATCTCGGCTCAGTGCAACCTCCGCCTCCCGGGTTCAAGCGATTCTCCTGCCTCAGCCTCCCGAGGAGTTGGGATTACAGGCACGCACCACCAAGGCCAGCTAATTTTTGTATTTTAGTAGAAACAGAGTTTCACCATGTTGGTCAGGCTGGTCTCAATCTCCTGACCTCACGTGATCCGCCCGCCTCGGCCTCCCAAAGTGCTGGGATTACAGGCGTGAGCCACCGCGCCCTGCCGAGATTACATTCATTTTTAATCGAAGTTCAGGTGATATTTATTAGATTGGAATGTGTACGTTGCTGAGTTTCAGTTCTATTTGCATATGTTTTGACACCCATCGTTTCGGTTTCTTGTACCCAGAAACTTAGATTTATTGCGTAACCTCATTGCTGTGTCCCTCAAAGTCTGTAATGGTATTCACGTGGGATCCATTATCAAGCCGTGGTGTGCTGATGTAGTTCATTATCAATCATATTAGTATCAATTAATAGCCATCAAATATACATAAAAAGTCCAGAGGGTGGCGCAAAACACTTTTCTCTTGGGTGATCTCTCAGTCCGTATCCAGTTAGCCGCGGATGGGCACTCACCGGTCCCATGTTGCCCCCTTTTCCTCCTCATACAGACCTCTGCTGGTGTCTAGCATCATCTCTAACGAAGCTAGAGACTTCAAAGGAGAGACCTTTCTCCAGTTAATTTGAATATTAACTGTCTCTCTTAGCATGCTAAAAGAACTTCCTTCTCCAAAGCAGAAGTGAGAATACGAAAGTAACGCAGACAACTCGCGTTCCACACTATTTTTCTTTATCTGATATTATGAAGAATGTACTCTGAGTTGCATTTACAATACAAATATTAGCCACGTCAGGGTGACCAAGCTTTTACTCAGTCTTTTTTCCAAATGATAGCAAAGCTATTCTGTTTAAACTTCCCTCAGCTTTTTGCAACCCAGTTTAATCATTTTGCGAATTTGTTTTAGAGAAGAAACAGACTAGTTTGTCAGACAGGGATGGCAACTTTCATTATTGCCATTTCTTTCTGTGACTGGCCAGTGTGATTTTGTTGTTTTGTTTTTTAAGACAAGGTCTCACTCTGTCACCCAGGTTTCAGTGCAGTGACACAATCATAACTCACTGCAGCCTTGACTTCTCAGACTCAAGTGATCCTCCTCCCTCAGCCTCCCAAATAGCTCAGTCTATAGGTGTGCACCACCACACCTAGCTAATTTTTAAACTTTTTGTAAAGATGGGGTCTTGCTGTGTTGCCCAGGCTGGTCTTAAACTCCTGGGCTCAAGCGATCCTCCCACCTCAACCTCCCAAAGTGCTGGGATTACACGCATGAGCCAGCATGCCCAGCCTGATTTTTTTTTAATTTTTATTCATTTATTTTTTTTTGTTTTTGTTGGTGTGTTTTGTTTTTTGTTCTTGTTTTTGTTTTTTTGAGACAGAGTCTCACTCTGTTGCCCAGGCTGGAGTGCAGTAGCACGATCATGGCTCACTGCAACCTCCACCTCCAGGGTTCAAACAATTTTTGTGCCTTAGCCTCCCCAGTAGCTGTGATTACAGGTGTGTGACTCCACGCCCAGCTATTTTTGTGTATGTGTGTGTATTTTTAGTACAGACAGTGCTTCACCATGTTGATCAGGCTGGTCTTCAACTCCTGGCCTCAAGTATCCGCTTGCCTTGGTCCCCCAAAGTGCTAGGTTTGTAGGTGTGAGTCACCATACCCAACCTTAATTTTTATTTTTAAATGACATGTAGTAACTGTACATATTTATGGGATACATAGTGATGTTTTAATACATATAAATGTATAGTGGTTGGAGTAATTAGCATATCCATCATCCCAAACATCATATGTTTATTTTAGGAAGATTTCATACCCTCCTTCTAGCTATTTGAAACTATATAATATATTATTGTTAACTATCCTCATCCTATAGTAAGTATAGAACACTAGAACTTATTGCTCCTATCTAGCTATAATTTTGTATCCTTTAAGATATCTTTCTCTCCTTCCCTTCCCCCTGCTACCCTTCCCAACCTTTAGTATCCTCTGTTCTACTGTTTACTCCTATGAGATCAACATTTTTCAGCTTCGACATATGACTGAGAACATGTGGCATTTAACTTACTGTTCCTGGCTTATTCACGTAATATACTGTCTTCCATTTCCATCCGTGTTGCTGTGAATTACAGTATTTCATTCTTTTTTATGGCTGAATAGTATTCCATTGTAAGTATGTATGTATATATATATGAATACGCACACACACACATATATATACACATACAGAATATACATATATATATACACATACAGAATATACATACATATATATATATATATATATATATATATATATATATATATATCACCCTTCCTTCCTTCCTTCTTTCTTTCTTTCAGAATTTTGTTCTTGTTGCCCAGGCTGCAGTGCAATGGCATGATCTCAGCTCACCGCAACCTCTGCCTCCTAGGTTCAAGCGATTCTCCTGCCTCAGCCTCCCGAGTAGCTGGGATTAGAGGCGCCTGCCAACATACCCAGCTAATTTTGTATTTTTAGTAGAGATGGGGTTTCTCCATGTTGGTCAGGCTAGTCTCGAACTCCTGACCTCAGGTGATCCACCTGCCTCGGCCTCTCAAAGTGCTGGGATTACAGGCATGAGCCACTACGTCTGGCCCACATTTTCTTTATCCATTCATCTGTTGGACACCTAGGTTGATTCCATGTCTTGGCTATTATGAATAGTGCTGCAATAAACATGGGGATGCAGACGTGTCTTTGATATACTGATTTCTTTTCCTTTGGATAAATGCCAAGTAGTAGGATTGCTGGATCATATGGTAGTTCTATTTGTAGTTTTTTTGAGGAACTTCCACACTGTTCTCCATAGTGGATATATTAGTTTACATTCCACCAACAGTGTATGAGTCCCTTTTTCTGGCTGGGCAAGGTGACTCACACCTGTAATCCCAGCACTTTGGGAGGCTGAGGTGGGAGGATCTCTTCAGCTTAGGAGTTCAATACCAGCCTGGAGAAGATAGTGAGACCTCATCTCTACTAAAAATCAAAACCATTAGCTGGGTGTGATGGCACTTGTCTGTAGTCCTAGCTACTTGGGAGGCTGAGTGGGAGGATTGCTTGAGCCTGGGAGATTGAGGCTGCAGTGAGCTATCATCATGCCACTGCAATGCCGCCTGGGCAACAGAAACCAAAAAAAAAAAAAAGAGTTTCTTTTTCTCCACATCCTCCCCAGCATTTGTTGTTTGCTGTCTTGATAATAGCCATCCTAACTGGGGTGAGATTATACCTCATAGTGGTTTTGATTTGCAGATTTGCATTTCCCTGATGATTGATGATGGTGAGCATTTTTTCATATATTTGTTGGTCATTTGTATGTCTTCTTTTTGAGAAGTGTCTATTCAGATTATTTGTCCATTTTTATACAATTTTGTTGTTGAGATGTTTGAGTTCCGTGTGTATTCCAGATATTAATTCCCTGTTATATGAATAGTTTGCAAATATTTTCTCCCATTCTCTGGGTTGTTTCTTCACTATGTTGATTGCTTCCTTTGTTGTGCAGAAGCCTTTTAGTTTGATATAATCCCATATGTTTATTTTTGTTTTTGTTGCCTGCATTTTTGAGGTCTTATTCATAAAATCTTTCCTAGACCAGTGTCCGGAACCATTTCCCCTATGTTTTCTTCTAGTAGTTTTATAGTTTCTGTCTTACATTTAGGTCTTTGATCCATTTTGATTTATATATAAACTCACGTACAAGGTTTTTATATAGGGGGAGATGTAGGGATCTAGTTTCATTCTTCTGTATATGGATATCCAGTTTTCCCAGGACCATTTATTAAAGAGACTATTCTTTCCCCAGTGAGTGTTCTTGACATCTTTGTCAAAAAACCAGTTGGCTGTAGATCCATGGATTAATTTCTGAGTCCTCTATGCTGTTTCATTTGTCTGGCTATCTGTTTTTATGACAATATCATGCTATTTTGGTTACTACAGCTTTGTAGTATATTTTGAAGACTGTTAGTGTGATGCCTCTAGCTTTGTTCTTTTTGTTCGGGATTGCTTTGGCCATTTGGGTTCCTTTGTGGTTCCATAAAAATTTTGAGATTTTTTTCCTATTTCTGTGAAGAAAATCATTGGTATTTTGATAGAGATTGCATTGAATCTGTAGATTGTTTTGAGTAGTATGGTCATTTTAATAATATTGATTCTTCTGATCCATGAAAAGTGAGATGTCTTTCCATTTGTTTGTACCCTCTTCAATTTCTTCCATCAGTGTTTTGTAGTTTTCCTTGTAGCAGTCTTTTACATCCATGCTTAAAATTATTCCTAGGTGTTTTTTTAATAGCTATTGTAAATGAGATTGCCTTCTTGATTTCTTTTTTAGCTCATTTGTTGTTTGTGTATAGAAACACTACTGATTTTTGTATGTTGGTTTTGTACTCTGCAACTTTACTGAATTCATTTACTAGTTTCTAATATATTTTTGTGGAATCTTTGGGGTTTTCTACATATAGAATTATGTCATCTGCAAATAGAAATAATTTTACCTCTTCCTTTCTGATTTTTGATGTCTTTTATTTCTTTTTCTTATCTAATTGCACTTGCTAGTTCTTCCAATCTATGTTGATTAGAAGTGGTAAGTTTGGGATCCTTGCATTGTACCAGATCTTAGTGGAAAAGTTTTTAGGTTTTTTCCATTGATGATAATGTGCGCTGCAGGCTTCTCATAAATAGCCTTTATTATGTTGTATTAGTCCATTTTTACCCTACTATAAAGAACTGAGTAATTTATAAAGTAATTACTGAGACTGAGTAATTTATAAAGAAGAGAGGTTTAATTGACTCACAGTTTCACATGGCTGGGGAGGCCTCAGGAAACTTAAAATTATGGTGGAAGGCAAAGGGGAAGCAAGGCACATCTTTTGAAGCAGCAGGAGGAGAGGGGAAGTGCCACACTATTAAACCATCAGCTCTCATGAGAACTTACTCCCTATGGTAAGAACAGCATGGGGAAACTGCCCCCATGATCCACCCACCTCCCACCAGGTACCTTCCCTGACACGTGGGGATTACAGTTTGACATGAGATTTGCGTAGGGACACAGTGCCAAACCATACCATATGTTTCAAATGTTGAGGAATTTTCCTCTTTTTTTTTTTTTTTTTAGATGGAGCCTCACTCTGTCACCAACCAAGCTGCGAATGCAGTGGCGCGATCTCGGCTCACTGCAATCTCCACCCCCCGAGTTCAAGTGATTCTCCTGCCTCAGCCTCCCAAGTAGCTGGGACTATGGGCACGCACCACCACGCCCAGCTAATTTTTTTTGTATTTTTAGTAGAGACAGGGTTTCACCATGTTCATCAGGATGGTCTCAATCTCTTGACCTCATGATCCGCCCACCTTGGCCTCTCAAAGTGTGGGAATTACAGGCGTGAGCCACCGCGCCCTGCCTATTTTTTTTTTTGAGATGGAGTTTTACTCTATCACCCAGGCTGAAGTGCAATGGTGCAATTATGGCTCACTGCAGCCCTGACCTTCTGGGACCAAGCGATTCTCCTGCCTCAATCTCCTGAGTAACTGGGACTACAGGTATGTGCTACCATGCCTGGCTAATTTAAAAATAATTATTGTCAAGATGGGGTCTTGCAGCATTGCCCAGGCTGGTCTCCAATTTCTGGCCTCAAGTGATCCTCCCACCTCAGCCTCCCAAAGTATTGAGATTGCAGGCATGAGCCATCATGCCCAGCCAGGAATTTTCATTTTATACCCAAACTGTTGAGACTGTTTATTAATAAAGGATGTTGAACTTTGTAAGATGCTTTTTCTGTGTCAGCTGAGATGATCATGTGTTTTTGTTTTTTTTTTTTTTCTTTTTTTGAGACAGAGTCTTGTTCTGTCGCCCAAGGCTGGAGTGAGTGCAGTAGCGTAATCTGGGCTCACTGTAACCTCCACCTCCCAGGTTTAAGCGATTCTTCTGCTTCAGCCTCCTGAGTAGCTGGGATTACAGGCACGCACCACCTCGCCCGGCTAATTTTTTTTTTGTATTTTTAGTAGAGATGGGGTTTCATCATGTTGGCCAGTCTGATCTCGAACTCCCGACCTCAGGTGATCTGTCCACCTCAGCCTCCCAAAGTGCTGGGATTACAGGCATGACCCACCACAACTGGCCCAAAGCTATGTTCGTAAGTGCATGAAGGCTATGACTGTTGCAACTTTTTAGTAAATAATAATTATTCTCCACATTAAATATTTCTCTTTGCTCACTTAAAGTTGTGAGTTCTGTTTACCTAAAGTTATTAGTTCTCTACTAGCTTGAATTTTGTCAGTACTTGCCTGACATATGGTTTTCTTTTTTTTAATTTTCAGTCTTTCTATATCATTTAGTGGTGATGTATACCTTTTTTTTTTTTTTTTTTTTTTAAGATGGAGTCTCGCTCTGTCGCCCAGGCTGGAGTGCAGTGGCATGATCTCGGCTCACTGCAACCTCTGCCTCCCGGGTTCAAGTGATTCTTCTGCCTCAGCCTCCTGAGTAGCTGGGACTACAGGTGCACACCACCACTCCCGGCTAATTTTTGTATTTTAGTAGAGATGGGGTTTCGCCATATTGGCCAGGCTGGTCTTGAACTCCTAACCTCATGATCTGCCTGCCTCGGCCTCCCAAAATGCTGGGATTACAGGCGTGAGACACCGCGCCCAACCTGTTGCTGCATTTTTTTTTGTTCTTTGGCTGTTTCAAAAATGTCTAACTTTTAATAGAATATTTTAAGCCCATTCAAGTTTGTTGCATTTGTACTTATTCCTGTTCTTTTACATTTTCTATTGAATATGTTTTCTTACAGTTTCTTTACATCCTTTTCAGCTTTTTGCTGATTATCTTGGGTATATCCTTCTTCTTTACCCTTTTATTAAAAATTATACTAGTTTTTATTATAAAAGTAATGCTGGGCTGGGCGCAGTGGCTCACACCTGTAATCTCAGCACTTTGGAAGACCGAGGTGGGTGGATCCCTTGAGCTCAGGAGGTCCAGACCAGCTAGGAAAACATGGCAAAATCCTGTCTTTACAAAATAAAAATAAAAATTAGCCAGGTGTGGTGGCATGTGCCTGTGGTCCCAGTTACTCTGGAGGCTGAGTTGGGAGAATCGCTTGAGCGATTCGAGGCTGCAGTGAGCTGTGATCAAGGAGTTTGAGGCTGCAATGAGCTGTGATTGCACTGCTGCACTCCAGCCTGGGTGACAGCAGAAAGCTGTCTCAAAACAAAACAAAACAAAAAAAGTAATGCTGTATAGAGGAATGTGAAGTATAAGGTAAAAGCCCTTGGCCCTGCCACCTAACTGCTTTCCAAGATATTGTCATTGTTTACTATTTTTATATCCTTCCAGCAATTTTCTCCGCAATTTTCTCTACCTATAAAAATATATTGGCTGTAGATCCATGGATTAATGTCCTCCTCCCTGACTATCCAAAATTTATAAACTGAAAGGAGGACCAGCTTTATCAAGAATCTTTTTGTCCTCTTTGATGGAATGTTCCTGTGGGGATTTTTCAGTTTATACTAATTTATACTGGGATGATTTCAGCTAATTCTGATTTCTTTAGAATGTTTTTAAATTTAAAGCTAAATTTAACTTTATACTTTCATATATATATATATATATTTTTTTAGATGGAGTCTCACTCTGTCACCCAGGCTGCAGTACAGTGGCACAATCTTGGCCTACTGCAACCTCTGCCTCCTGGATTCAAGCGATTCTCCTGCCTCAGCCTCCTGAGTAGCTGGGATATTTATTACAGGCACCGCCACCATGTCTGGCTAATTTTTGTATTTTTAGTAGAGACGGGGTTTCACCATGTCAGCCAGGCTGGTCTCGAACTCCTGACCTCAGCTGATCCGCCTTCCTCAGCCTCCCAAATCCTCAGCTGGGATTACAGGCATGAGCTGCTGTGCCCAGACTATTTTATATTTTTGATTCCAAATTTGTAGTTTGAATTAAGTTTAACTCTATATGTTTAAAATTTAATTTAATTGACATTCAGCTTTAGAAGTCAAACTTAGAAGATCTGATATTTTACCAATGCTTTTGAATTTAAATTTTAAAAATTTAATTGATAGAAATACAAAATTAAAGTTGATAAATTATTTGAGGAATTTATGAGAGAATATAAAAATTGCTAACATTTGAAAAAGTATAAAATGACATTCAAAATATCAGATTCTATCACATATGAAAATCTGCAGCAATAATTCTATCACAGATGAAATACTGAAATCTTGGGGTCTAATAAGAACTATCAGGAAATGTATTTTTGTTAACAGTTTCAATATGAAAGTTAACAAAACACTCAAAGAAATAAACTAGGAAGCAACAGAAGCTAGTTTATAGTTTTCTGGAGCTATAACAAGTATTGTTTAAAACTTACAACGACCCTGTTAGGTGGACAGAGTAGACAATATCTCCTATTCTACAAATGAAAAAAGTGAAGTTAACTTAAGATTGAAAAACATAAAATCTCAAATACATAAAATCATACTCAATTATATATTACAGAGAAAAGAAATGGAAATGAGAAATAGAGTAGGAAAAGGAAAAAAGAATAATTTAAAAAAACAAAAAATAAAAAGAACAACAAGAACAAAGTGAATAAGTAAAATTTAAAAGAACTGAAATGGAAGAGATGGGGGTCATAGGTCAATGCTGGTGAGATTCATGAGAAGCAGTGATATAATTCTTCTTACAAAGAAATATCTCAAGATTCATTAATGGGATAATATTCCCCATTTTCCCCAGAATAACCACCAGTTTTAAAAGTTAACTAGATTTTGGAAGGCATTTTTGCATCCTTATCTTTTTATAATTTTCACTGGAATAAATCACTAACTTTTTATCCTGTTAAATGGGGACCATCATATCTTATTTCATAGGGTTAAAGGGTTACCTTCATGGAAAAGCATTGCAGTCCTATGACCTTTCTGGATATTGCTGCAAACAATTTTTCAAAAACATTTTGCACATTGCCACTACAGCATAAAAATAGAAGCATTTCTAAATTAAGGTTCAAATCTAACCTACAGGTCAAATTTTCCAGGTTGCTCTATTCTATTATTTAATTTTAAATTTTTTAAATTCCAGTTTTAACAAAAAATTACAAGACAAGCAAAGATGCAGGAAAGTGTAGCCCATACAAGGAAAAGATATAATAAAAACCACCTGAGGAAATCTTGATCTCCTAGATATGGACTTTACGTGAGATATTTTCAGTATGATCAAATAACTAAAAGAAACCACATCTAAAGAACTAAAGAGAAGTGTAAGAGCTACGTCTTACCATACAAAGAATAAGACGAAAATTATAAATAAGAACCAAATAGAAATTCTGTATTTGAAAACTACAATAACTGAAATAAAAAATTCAATAGGGACACTCAACAGCAGATTTGAGCAGGGAGAAAAAAAGAATCAATGAACTTGAAGATAGATCAATTGAGATTATCCAGTCTGAGGAGCAGAAAGAAAAAAGGATTAAGAAAAATGAACAGACCTGTAGACCATCTGGTATGCCATAGAAAACACAAACATATACATAAAGACAGACCTTTGGTATACCATCGAGCATACCAACATATGCATGAAGAGAGTTCCAGAAGGAGACGAGAGAGAGAGGAAAGGACAGAAAAAAATATTTGAAGAACTAATGGTCAAAATTTTCAAATGTGATGAGACACATTAATCCACACATTCAAGAAAACTCAATGAACTCCAAGTATGATAAACTCAAAGAGAACCACACCTGACTACATCATAATAAAACTGTCAAGTGTCAAAGATGAAGAGATAATCTTGAAAATAACAAGAGAAAAGCAACACATGATAGTACAAAGGATCCTCAGTAAAATTAACAGCTGATTTCTCATCAGAAAGCACAGAGGCTACTAAGTAGAAAGATGATATATTCAAAGTGCTGAAAGAAAAAGACTGTCAACCAAAAATTCTGTAAATACCATCACTTTGGTGATTAAGATTCAACATAAGAATTTCAAGAGGACACAAACATTCAGACCGTAGCACTAATGATCACAGAACCCAAGGGAAGCAGCTTGATGTTATCTAGTTGTCTTAAAATTTTCTCATGTTCTTGACATTCTTTGTTTACTCTGCCAATACCTTGCCTTGTGTTATTAGAGGAGATTCCTTGTGAAGTGTTAAGAGATTTGTCTTTGAAGTCAGATATGAGTTTACTCCTGACTTAGCTACTCCAAAGCTGGCTTCATGAGCATGCAACCTATGCAGTCACCCCAAACCCCACACGCAGAAGGGCCCCACACTTGGTTTAATGCTCTGTTGTTGTCCTGCATTTATTAATAATTTTATCTTTGAGCTTGTTTTTTATAAATGAAGTCTGACAGCACGATATTTATGTCCACAATTCCTTGCCTCCTCATTCACACAGAGCATTCACAATACCCTGTGAACACAGAATTCCAGTGGGCTCACAAGGTGCAGAAGTTTAGTGGGAATCAAAGTGAGTACAAAGTATTAAGAAAAGTATGTCTGTGGCTGAGCAAGCCGGGGCACTGACAGCCTGAAGAGACCACATTCTCCATTGGAACAGGAACTTGTTTTGAGTGCAGAAAGATGGTGAAGGCATGCTAAAAAAGAAAAAAAGAAAAACAACAACAACAAAAAAACAAGGAGCCTTATCATATCCTTTCTTACTCATGGTATTTCCTTGTATTAGGGAACTATTATGTGTACCTTGAATATGATAACATAGAAAGAAAGGGAAAGATAGGATAATTCACAGTTTCTTTTTCTTTCAGGCTTTCCTTGTCCTCAGAAAGCAAAGGTGGAGAGTGTGGGTAGAACATACACATATCAAAAAGTAAAATAAAAACAGCTGAGCTAGTTTTGTGCATAATTTCCACTGTTCTGGGAAGAATGGAATATATATACATGTATGAACTATGACATACAAATGGTGTAATTTTGGCAATTGCACATGCAAGTGAAATGCTGTTATATTTGCAGCTTAAACTGGTACACAATATGAAGATGAATGATAAAAGTCATGCCAATAATTAAAGTTATTAATTTCCCTTTATTTACAATGATGTTAAATAGCAAATCTTAAAAAGCACCATGACAAATTGAGGGAAAGACTACAGATGAAAGGAAAAGGCTTTTTTTTGAGACAGTCTTGCTCTGTAGCCCAGGCTGGAGTGCAGTGGTATGATCTTGGCTCACTGCAGCCTCGACCTCCTGGCTTCAAGCAATTCTCGTGCCTCAGCGCCCCAAGTAGCGGGGTTTCAGGCACATGCCACCACGCCCGGCTAATTTTTGTATTTTTTGTAGGGATGGGTTTTTGCCATGTTGGCCAAGGTAGAGGAAAAGGCTTTATGTTTATATTTTAATACCTTAACAGCATTTTTCCTGCTTTTTTGAATAAGAGATGCCACATTTTTATCTTGCACAAGATCACTCAAATTATGTAAGTGGCCAGAGCTACTTTTTTGTGTGTGTGATTCTGGGCTTTTATTATTATTTTTGAGACAGAGTCTCGCTGTGTCACCCAGGCTGGAGTGCAGTGGCACGATCTCCGCTCACTACAACCTCCATGTCCTGGGCTCAAGTGATTCTCCTGCCTCAGCCTCCTGAGTAGCTAGGATTACAGGCGCCCACCACCACACCCAGCTAATTTTTGTATTTTTAGTAGAGACAAGGTTTTACCGTGTTGGCCAGGCTGGTGTCGAACTCCTGACCTCAGGTGATCTGCCTGCCTCGACATCCCAAAGTGCTGGGATTACAGGTGTGAGCCACTTCGCCCGACCTGATTCTGGGATTTTTAAATGAAGCAATACAGACCTTCTGATTATCAGATTCTTTGTCTGTAAAATGAGTATAATGCTGAATCATTCCAACCAACATCAAGTGACTTCTGCTGCTGGGCAATTATTTTATTAATTTAATATTTTCTATATAACTTTTATGAAGAGATCCAGAAAGCATTCTAGGGGTCTCAGGATAAATAGGGGGAAATAAAATTACTTAGAGTCAGCTGGGTGGGGTGGGGAGGGATAGACTAAGTGTTTTGAGAGATTTGGCAGTTATTTTGGAAGGAAAAAAAAATTCAAAGATTTTGTGATACCTGGTTTTTTTTCTTGTAAAAAACAGAGACTTTAGCATGTCTTCTTTTAAAAATAATTGAAGCAGAAAGAAAAGAGTTGGAAAAGCAAGAAACAGTAATCCTAGAAAGAGTAATCATAAGAACTCCATAAATGTTTATGTGATTTTCAGTGCTAAGAAAGATCGCATTTCAGCATTCTTAAGAAGAAGGCAAAGCAGCTGTTATCTCAAGGAAGCAAAGAAGCTGGTTCTCAGAAGAGTTATTAATGTAAGATGAGAAGCCAGAGTTTACCATGAAAAGCTGTCGCACCTAAGCATTGACTTAATCAGCACGAATTATTCCAGCTTTCTTTGGGAAGCTATTAAGTTAATACCAGCAGGTGGCGCTTTCAAAGTAGGCTCCTGAAGCTGCTGCTCTTCAGGAACTTAAAGTACACTTGCTAATTATAAGCATTGATGACCGAGGAGCAAGGACCTATTTGGGTGGTGGTAGTGAATGTAAGGAGCTTTGATGAAAGTTATATTTTTAGAAAAACAGCTAATCTAGTGTAAAATTACTATTGCTATGTAATAAATTCCCCCAAACTTAATGACGTAAGATAACAACACACCTTAATTATCTGCCCAGTTCCTATGGGCAGGAATTCAGGAATGGCTTAGCTAGGTAATTCTGGGTTAGGTTCTCTTATGAGGTTGCAGTCAAGATGACAGCTGGGCTGCAGCCACCTAAAGGCATGACTAGGGCTGGAGGATTCACTTCACATGGCTCTGGGCGGGAGGCCGTGGTTCCTTTCTACGTGGGCTTCTCCATAGGCTTCCTGAGTGTGCTCACTACATGGGGGCTTCCCCTAGAACAGGCCGTTCAAGAGAGAAAAAGGCAGAAACAGCAATGTCTTGTATGACCTAACCTCAGAAGTCACACATCTTCACTTTTGCTGTATTCTATTGGTCAGATGAATCGGTGTGATACAGTGTGGGAAGGGACCACACAGAGGCATGAATACGAGGGAGGTAAGGACCACTGGGAGCCATCTTGGAGTCTGGCTACCACATTTAGCCACTGGATGAGTAACAGGTATTAGAATTAGATGAAGGAACTTATGCTGAACAAAAAGCAACATTGTCTGAAAAAGCGTGGCTCAGTGGAACCAAAGAAGGTGGTTAATGAGCTGAGCTTGATTCATTAGAAGGTCTAGGGTACAGAAAGAACAGATTCAGGTGAGGTTATAAAACTGTGAGAGATAAAGGGAGAGTGAGCATCTCCTCCTTGTATGTTGTTTCCTTTTGATTCCTCTAAGGAAAATATGCTTAACTAAATTCCATTATTAACACTGGATTTTCTCTTAGCCTTATTATTTTCCACTTCCTCCCTACTTCCTTATCTGAAATCCTATCCTATTCCATTATTATTTAGGATGTGAAGTGGCCTTTTGGGACATGCTATTCCAACCCACTGCTTTGGTGACTTTCAAGCATAGTTTAAGCAATGGCTTCCTTCTCTATTTTTCCCAGTTACCATTCAATCTTCAAATACAAATTTATCCACGGTGGATTTGAACCACTGTATTTCCCAGAATGTGGCTTATCCAGTTATTCTCTGACTCTTTCCACCTCTCACCTTTTCAGTTTGTCTTCCCAATCTGCCATCTGCCTGGTGGTCATTTCAGCCAGTCTTGCTCCAGCTCTATTGAGGAAGGGAGAACCAGACATAAGCCAGACTAGGTATTCAATTATGTCACATTTATTCCCACCTTGTGCATTTGAACCTTTGCCTAGAATACACAATAGTATATAATAAGAATCAAAATGTGTGGACTGGGATATAAATTATTTAAGAGTTTATAAAATACAGAATTAGTTACAGACAAAAAAGGCCGGGCATGGTGGCTCACGCCTGTAATCCCAGCACTTTGGGAAGCCGAGGTGGGTAGATCACTTGAGGTCCAGAGTTGGAGGCCAGCCTGGCCAATATGGTGAAACCCCATCTCTACTAAAAATACAAAAATTAGCCAGGCATGGTGGCTCACCCCTGTAGTCCCAGCTACTTGGGAGGCTGAGGCATGAGAATCACTTGAACCAAGGAGGCAGAGGTTGCAGTGAACTGAGATTGCACTACTGCACTCCAGCCTGTGTGACAGAGTGAGAATCCATCTAAAAAAAAAATTTTATATATACATATATATACACACATATATCTGGAGAAGGTGTCAAAGAGAAGGTAAGACTTCAGCATGGTTTCGTATCTTTCCTGGCTTTTTTCTATGGATCCCAAACAATCAAATCGAAATTTCTGCAAATTATTAGATGTGTTCCCTGAAGCACTACATTTTTCTGAGCCTTAGTTTACTCATTGGTAACCAGAGGGTAATAACACCCTTCTGCATGGTTGTCAAGATAAGAGATAATTTAGCAAGTTAATTATCACAATAACTGATAAATGTTGGAAGCTAATAATGGGTAGCTATTGTGTTGTCACCATTTGGATAAGCTCCTTAAAGGCTGAGAATACATCCTGTATGTCTGAGTCTCATAAAATCTCGTTTAAATGCAGTGGAGTTTACAGGTCTTATTGAGACGTGATTAACATTTATGGCATTTCCTCTTAATTGCTAGACTGATTACTGAGAAGCGAGAAGAATGCTTCAAACAACACCGGATTTAAAGTCTGAGAAGGATATTTTGGAGCAAAGAACTTCTACAACTTATGAGATAAAGAAGTAGGTTACACGGAATCTACTAAAGGCAATCAATGCCATAACAAGAGACAAAACTGTTTAGAGTGCCTTCTAAAAAGGATTCTAGTCCATTTACACTCATTTACTTGTTATTATTAATCAGTAAGGACTTAGTATTGACATTTTGTTACTCGTTTTCTGCTTGTTTTGTTGGTCCTCTCTTCCTTTCTTCCTTCCCATCTTCCTTTGTGTAAAAGTGATTTTCTCTAGTAGTATGTTTTAATTCCTTGCTTTTTATTTTTTGTGTAGCAATTATAGGTTTTTGGTTTGTAGTTATCATGAGGCTTGCAAATAACATCTCATAAACAATTATTTTAGACTTATAACAACTTAACTATTATCAGAAAGAAAAGTTTTTAAAAACAAGCAGAGAAAGCCAAACAAACATCTACACTTTTTCCTGCATTTTGACTTTTTGTTTTATCTATTTGTATCTTTTTACATGGTCTGTCTCTTAAAAAATAATTGTAGTTACTATTTTTGATAGGTTTATCATTTAGTCATTCTATTAAGTATATGAGTGGTTTACATACTGCAATTACAGTGTTACATTATTCTGTATTTCTCTGTGTAATTATTTTTACCAGCGAGTTTTATACTTTTAGATTATTTCTTCTTGCTCATTAATAGCCTTTTCTTTCAGATTGAAAAAACTTCCTTTAGCATTTCCTATAAGATAGGTCTAATGTTGATAATATTCCCCAGCTTTTGTTTGTCTAAGTGTTTCTCCATGTCTGAAAAATAATTGTGCTGGATATAATATTCTAGGTTGGATGTTTCTTTTCCTCAGCACTTTGACTATGTCATCCCACAAGCCTGTAAAGTTTCTGCTAAGAAATCTGTTGCCAGATGTATTAGAGCTCCTTTATGTTACTTGTTTCTTTTCTCTTGCTGCTTTTAAGATCCTTTCTTTATCCTTGATCATTGAGAGTTTTATTATTATATGTCTTGAAGTAGTCTTATTTGGGTTGAATCTGCTCGGCATTCTTTGATTTTTTTGTACCTAGATATTCATATCTTTCTCTAGGTTTGGAAAGTTGTCTGTTATCATTTCCTTGAATAAACATTCTATCCCAATTTTTCTCTCTCTCTCTCTACATCCCCTTTAAGGCTAGTAACTCTTAAATTTGCTCTTTTGAGGCTATTTTCTAGATCTTGTAGGCATGCTTCATTCTTTTTTCTTTTTAGTTTTTTCCTTTTTCTCCTCTGTGTATTTTCATATAGCCTGTCTTCACAAATTCTTTATTTTGCTTGATCAAGTCTGCTATTGAGAGACTCCAGTGCATTTTTCAGTTTATCAATTGAATTTTCTATCTCCAAGATTTTTTAAAAGAAATTTTCATATTTTATTGATAAAATAATACGTAGTCACAAATATTGGGGGAAGAAATGTAGCCATACACTTCTTTGTCTTAGTAATCTATATTTTAGCCAGCTCCAGAATTTCCATTTGATTTAAAAAATTTCAATCTCTTTGTTAAATTTATCTGATAGAATTCTGAATTTCTTCACTGTTGTCTTGAAGTTCATTGAAGTTCATCAAGGCAGCTATTTTGAATTCCCTGTCTGATTAGTCATATATCTTCAACACTCCAGGATCGGTCAATGGTGCCTTATTCAGTCCATTCAGTGAGGCCATGTTTTCCTGGATGTTCTTGATAATTGTGGATATTCGTCCATGTCTGGGCCTTGAAGATTTAGGTATTTATTCCCATCTTTATAGTCCAGGCTTGTTTGTCCCTGTCCTTGAGAAGGTTTTCCAAGAATTCAAAGGGGATTGAGTTTTGTGGCCTAAGCCTGTGGTTACTGCAGCCATCTCAGCACTTGGGGGTGCCCTAAGCCCAGGAACACTGAAACTCTTACAGACTCTTAGGTACACAGCCTTGGTGTATCTAAGACTTGGGAAGATAGGGGAGAATTCCCTGGGTTACCAGGCAAAGTCTCTTTCTCTCTTCCCTCTCTTTCCCAAATCAGAAGGCATCTCTCTCCAGGCTTGGCTAACTGGAGCTGGGGGAGGAGTGATGCAGACACTCTACTGGCCACAGCTGGCATTACACTGGGTCATACCTGAAGCCCATGGCCTTCCAGACCAGCTCTGTATTGGGGCTCACCAAGGCCTGCAGCCACTACTGCCTGGTTATGCCTGCAGCTAATGTTTATTCAAGGCCCAAGGCCACATTAGTCAGCAGATGGTGAATCCTGCCAGGACCAAGTCCGTACCAACCGGGCAGTGGATTCCCTTCTGACCCAGGATGGGCCTAGAAACACTATCCAGGAACAAAGCCTGGAATCGGGGGCTTCGGGAATCTGTTTGATGTTTTATCGTATTGTGGCTAAGCTGATACCCAAGTTGCAAGACAAAGTCCTCTGTGCTCTTCTCTCTTCTTTCCCCAAGCAGAAGGAATCTCTCCCCAAGCATCAGTACCTGAAGTTTGGGAAGGAGTGACATACATACTCCTGTGGCTGCCACAGCTAGTGTTAAACTGTGTTGCACCCTAAGTCCACTGCCTCCAAGACCAGGACAGCACTAGACCTTGCCCAAGGACTTGCTAACAGAGGAAAAAAAATCTGTGAAATATTTCAGAGTGGAATATTTTGAGCCAATATGAGTGATCATGGTCTTGGGAACAGTCTTAAGAGGTTCTGAGGAAGTATGCCTGAAGCAGGTAGGTTATAGTTTGGTTTTATACATTTCCAGGAGAAAAGAGTTACAGGCGAAGACATAAATCGATACATGGAAAGTATATATTGATTCAGCCCAAAAAAGCAGGACATCTCCAAGCAGGGACTTAGTAGTTATAGGTGGGTCTTAAGGATTCTTCAGTTGACAATTGGTTGAGAGGGTTAAGCTATTGTCTAAAGGCTTAAAGTCAATAGTAAGTAATGCTTGAGTTAAAGGAGGTTGTGGGGTCCAAGGTTCTTGTTACGTTGATGAATCCTCATAGGTAGCAGCCCTCCGAGAGAATCAATGGCAAACGTCTGTCTCTTTGCAGACCTTTGAGATGTCAGACTCTCAGTTCAACTCTGCCAGAACTGGGAAAAGCCTAGAAAGGGAAGGCCTGGTTGCATTAATGGAGATTATCTACAGATGCAAATCTCACTCACAAAAGATAGCTTTGCAGGGCCATTTCAAAATATGTCAAATAAATATATTTTGAGGTAAAATATTTTTATTCCCTACAGGGTCTGCTATCTGTCATGTGATGCTATATCAGAGTCAGGTTGAAAAGCAAACCATATTACAGCAGGTTTATTTTTATTTATTTATTTATTTTGAGGCAGCGTTTTGCTCTCGTTGCCCAGGCTGGAGTGCAATGGCACGATCTTGGCTCACTGCAACCTCTGCCTCCCAGGTTCAAGCAATTCTGCTGCCTCAGCCTCCTGAGTAGCTGGGATTACAGGCACCTGTCACCACACCCAGCTAATTTTTGTATTTTTAGTAGAGATGAGGTTTCACCATATTGGCCAGACTGGTCTTGAACTCCTGACCTCAGGTGATCTGCCTGCCTCAGCCTCCCAAAGTGCTGGGATTACAGGAGTGAGCCACCACGCCCGGACTATACCAGGTTAACTTTTAAAACTCATTTAATGATATTTTATGGTTTGTAGGGTGTGATTCCTTGCATGAATGGCCTGAGGTCTTGTTTATAATTTGGTATCTTATTGCCACAGAGTCTGTTTTGTCCGTCTTATGATATTTTAACTTGAATGCTGGTCAGTTGTGCCTAAACTCCAAAGGGAGGGGGTATAACAAGGCATGTCTAACCTCCCTTCCCATCACGGCCAGGAATTCAATTTTTAAGATGTTTCTGGGGTCTCTTTGGCCAAGTGGGAGTTCATTCAGTCAATAGGGGGCAAGTTGGGGGTGCTTAGCATTTTATGTTTAGTCTACACACTTTAGTCCTTGTGTCCTGACTGCCACTCAAATAGACTCAGGACCTCAGACCACTTTAGTTAGCCAGTGGTGAAGCTAGCCATGACCTGGGTTTCTCCCTCTGGAGCACAGAATTCTCCTCTGTCCCAAGGCCTGCCTAAATGCACTGTCAGAATTCTAGGCGCCTGCAGAATTCTGTCCTGTGTTATGTTCCACCATGACGGGGCAGCACTGACTTCCAGTGCAAAGTCCCACACTCACTTTGCTCTCTCTCCTCCAAGCACACGGATTCTCTTTCCTGCTGTGCAGCCTGTGGTTGGAGGAGGGGTGGTATAGGCAATACAGGGAGATCTTCCCCCCTACCCCCACCCTATCTTCAATGCCTCTTTCCTTATCATTACGGTAAAAGTAGGCACTGTGATCACTCACCTGATTTTATGGCTTTTATGAAGGTGCTGTCTTGCGTGGATAGTTGTTCTATTTGGTGTTCCTGTGTGGAGAACTATCTCGGGGGGGGTTCTATTCAGCCATCTTGCTCCACCTCCGCCCTCTCTCCAGTCAGTCTTTAAACTGCTGGCACCGAAGCCTCCAGTGCCTTTCTCCTCTATATCCCATGGAGAGTTACTGAAGTAGTTCTTTTTGGATTTCAGTTGGCCTTTTAGTAGAGCCTTTCTCCTAAAGGATTAAAACGTGAGACTGCGGGCTTGAGCCAAAAAGCAGTCAGAGGGACAAATACTGGGTTTTACTTAGAATAACCCACCTGCCTAGTGCCAGCCTACCACTCTTGAACAAAACTTGTATGATTCCCGTGTCTCCATTTAGAATAATTTAATTCTGAGGAGACGCCTCTGTTTCTCCACTGGCCTCTGGACATGGAACAGGCACATGAAAATTACCTGGGGCAGCTATGGGTCACATCACCTCTCTTACTCTAGCCAGCCAGCAGGCACTTGAAGTTCGCAATCTGATGGGCTGAATTTCTGAAAACAATAACAAACACAATGTCACTTATTTTTTATTCTCTAAATTTACAACCCATTAATATACCTCCCTGTAAGCTGTCTGATTTTGAAAATTATACATGATAAAATCTTTTTATTATACATAAAAAAGAGTTCTGTAGTTTGTATTAATAGAAAATTGGTGTCCAGACATATTTTACCAAGTAAGTACAAAATAACTAAAGAATATCCATTTGAAAGATACAAAATTATTATCCTGCTAGGAGCACCTTGGTGTCAAGGTGACTTCAGGGAATAATCAGGTAATTCAGCTCCTTGGCCGGAGTGAAGAATGGAATGTTGAGGCTGGAGAACTAAGCAGGGCTCAAGAGGGGCCTGGTGCACTAGGCTAGGTCATTTGGGCTCAATCATGAGGGGACAATTGAGGCAGCATTAGCAGGAAGGTCAGGTGACCACCAAACTTTCTGCCAGATCTGAGTTTCTTCTCTTTTAGAAATGCAGTATTTGTATAAAAATGAAAGGCTTACCAAAGGTCACATTTTAAATTATAAAGAAAAAAAATCATCTTTTTTTTTTTTTTTTTTTTCTGAGATGGAGTCTGGCTCTGTTGCTCAGGCTGGAGTGCGGTGGCGTGATCTGTGCTCAACCTCCACCTCCCAGGTTCAAGTGAATCTCCTGCCTCAGCCTCCCAAGTAGCTGGGATTACAGGCACCCGCCACCACGCCTGGCTAATTTTTGTATTTTTAGTAGAGGCGGGTTTTCGCCATGTTGGCCAGGCTGGTCTTGAACTCTTGACCTCAGGTGATCCACCCACCTCGGCCTCCCAAAGATCTGGGATTACAGGTGTGAGCCAGCGTGCCCAGCCTCAAAAGTTCATCTGTGAGCCACATTTAGAAGGTAGATAAAAAATTTTGACTAAACACAGCTTAGAATCTATAAATTGTTAAACTTCAGTTCTGTTGAGAATCTTTGAGATCCATCATTCTCTAAATGTTTTCTACCAGAGAAACAGGACAATGGCTTGCAAATATTGGTTATCAGTATTTACTCTATAGCTCAAGCAAACAAACTTATTTGCACTTAAAATACAAATATTACCTACCTTGATTTGAGTGTTGTTGTTCTCTCTTAAATTTCATTTCCCAAAAATGATGGCAAAAGTACTGTTTGTTTTAACTTGACCCATCTTTTGCAACCCAGCTTAATCATTTCACAGATTCCCTTTTGAAATAAATGGGCTAGATGATCAGACAATAGTGGCAAATGTTTGTCATTTCAATGACATATGCAAGAGATACCTTTAGTGAAATTTGTATATCAAATTTCCCTTTGTGCTCCTTTTTTCCCTAGTGAATTCAGCATTAAAGTGTTTATAAATATTTTTGGTTTATTATTTATTAATTCAAAGCAAAGAATGCCAATGTGACCATAAATATCTCATTTATATATCATAAATATCTCATTATAGAAATATGTTTAGAGACATCTGTTTTATTATTTTAAAGAAGAGTACATATTATATATTAAGGTAAAAATAGTACTAAAAAAGAGAAGGTAGTAAATAAAAAAATTCTAATGAACATAAAACATCATAAAAATTAACTTAATTAAAAATCAGCCAGGCACAGTGGCTCATGCCTGTAATCCCAGTACTTTGGGAGGCCAAGGTGGGTGGATCACCTGAGGTCAGGAGTTCGAGACCAGCCTGGCCAACACGGTGAAACCCTACCTCTACTAAAAATACAAAAAATTAGCTGGATGTGATGGGACATGCCTGTAGTCCCAGCTACTTGGGAGGCTGAGGCAGGAGAATGCCTTGAACCTGGGAGGCAGAGGTTGCCCTGAGCCAAGATAGTGCCACTAGACTCCAGCCTGGGCGACAGAAAGAGACTCTGTCTCCAAAAAAAAAAAAAAAAGTATAAAGATAAAATTTTAGTATATTGTGAATTAATTACTAGACTCAATTGTTATAGGAAGCTTTGTTTTTCTGGAGCTCTTATATTAAAATTATTAAAATCCTCACTGAAAAGTATAACATGTGTTTTCTTTAAAAGAAAGATATTCTATATCTGAATAAAGACAAACTTTGAACGAGTGGTATATGCCTTAATAAATATTGGAGAATATCTATTCTCCAATACTTAGAGAATGACGACAGCATCCTCCACATGGCGTTTTCATTGCCAGTCACAACTTTCCTCCACCTAGTGTTCTCTAGACTGAGACAGACCAAGGAACAATTCCCTAGACCTCCTTTGCAGAGCTAGGTTATGCTCAGACCATTTGCAGCACCAAGGACACTGCCATTCAGGTCACCAAAAAAAGATCATCTTGTGAGCCCTGTCTAAACCAGGCCCCTTCTAAAATCATTTCAGTGTGAAACTGAGTCCAGGTGGGTCTTCATCAGTATTAGAGTGGACCTGCCAGATGTATGCTTGCAGATGATGCAACATCAAAGCAAATGCCCTGGGCAAGAGAAGAAAGGCCAAAGCAATGGGCTTACTGGTTTCTAGCTTTGAGCCACTCTTCATAGTGCCAAATTCCCATTTTAGGGTCCCTTTATTTGTATTAATAAAAATAAATTCCCTGGGTGTAAGTTCCTGTAAAGTACTCCCTATCTGTATTCCTGGGCATGAAAGGGTGTTTTAGTTCCAATTCTAGTTTTCCCACTTAGAGGTTCACCTTTCTGACATTAATAATTAACCAGATTATCTGAATTCTTCAAGTTCAGTTTATTTAAAAGGAGACTATCCTCAAAAGTGTTATATCCGTGGTTTCCTGCTACCTCCAACCATGGGCCTTTTGGGAATACTTTGTTTTTTAATCTTCCTGGGGAAAACCTGGGGACAGGAGCAAACGTAAGTAAAACAAGCTATCTTCATTTTTCAATGCATCTTAGTTATGACGAATGAAGAGTTAAATTTAACAGATTCTGTTAACTTGAAAATAACTTGCTACTTCTGAGAACAGCAAGTGAATAGTATCATCTCTGAATGAGAAAGTCATGGAAGCATTTTGATTTGATGAGTAGCTAACAACATGACAGCTTTTATGGAATTGTTATTTATTAAAATTTACGTTAAGTGATTATTCAAATTCCTCTTCAAAAAAGCACAAAAGAAACTCCAGATAATAAACTTTCTTGACATTTTTTGCTTATTTTAACTTGGTGTTTAGTTTTCTTTGTGTTTTTCATAGACTATACACAGTTAAACCAGGGTTATTTAGGAGTCAATCTAATACTGTGATCTGAAAATCTGTTGTTGTAGTGACTTCTACCATACATTTATGAGCTGACTTTTCACAATTTTTAGTGTCATTATTGAGATAATATGCATTTTAAGTAATGTTTTAAAAATAATGATCTTATATCTAGAAATATTTTAATACTGAAAAGTAACTGCAGATCATCTAATCAAACCTATTCATTTTATATATGAGAATAAGTCCAGATAAGGGAAGTGACTGACCAAAGGTCACAGTTCTAGAGAGAGAGAAACAGGATTTTTATTAAGGTCTCCTGTTTATCACTTCAATTTTTTTCATTTTGTCATAAATGTATACATGTAAATATATTATATATAAACACATACTTAGGATGTCATTCTTTTTTAGCACCCTCGTATTTCTGATCTGTGATCTTTTTACATGGCCACAAGCACTCAACTACCTTAGCATCCTGCCTTTATTCTTTTTGAAAGACGAGCAGCTAAGGCTTAGAGAGACTGAAATTAAGTGACTTCAAATTGGTGGCAGAACTAGGGCTAGGACCTGGGTTCCATGATTCTTGTCCAGACTTATTCTGAATTCTTTCTACTAGCCCTTAATAAAAATTATTTCCTCACTTTCTCTGAAGAAGTCAGAGTGTACCATTTACAACATGGCAATCAATCACTTTAATTAATTGGTTGATTGATTGATTCAACAAATATTTATTGAGCATCTAAACATATGATAGGCACTGCAGATATAGCAAACGGTAAGACAATTCCTAGAGCTTGCATTCTAGTGGGAGAAGCAAGTAATGAATGAATGAACCAATGAAAGAATGTGTAAGGTCAGGTAGGTAGTATTATGAAGAAAAAAATAAAGCAGAGTATGAGAATTAAAAAATAATTATGGGGCACTATTTTAAAATGTGGCCAGGAAAGGTTCTCTTAAGGAGGCTGCACTCAAACAGAGCCTGAAGGAAGTGAGGAAGCAAACCATGCAAATATTTGAGGAAAGAGCATTCCAGATAGAGGCCAAAATAACATTCTTGCCTCTCTGCAAGCTCCTGCTCCTCTGCAGCAATTGAAAGACAAAGAAAACTATGAAATTATTTATATGGATAGATTATGCTACTGATAAGTCAATAAGAACCAAAATCTTTATAAAGGGTGGTTCCAGAATATTCTTTTAGGGGCTTCTAAACACTATGTATTTTTGCTTGACGGCTACCATCACATAGACCAGCAGTCCCCAACCATTTTGGCACTAGGGACAGGTTTTGTGGAAGACAATGTTTCCATGGACCAGGATTGGGGTGGGGATGGTTTCAGAATGAAACTGTTCCACTTCAGATCATCAGGCATTATATTCTCATAAGGAGCTTGCAATCTAGATCCCTCGCATGTGCGGTTCACAATAGAGTTCATGCTCCTAGGAGAATCTAATGCCACCACTGATCTGACAGGAGGCAGAGCTCAGGTGGTAATGCTCCTTTGCCCCACTGCTCACCTCCTGCTGTGTAGCCTGGTTCCTAACAAGCCATGGACTGGTATTTGTCCATGGCCCAGGGGTTGGGGACCCCTACCATACACAATTCAAAATTAAAGCAATACTAAACTTAAAAACATAAAGCTTCTATAAATACTGAAATTAAAGTAGCTTTATATCCCTAAATTTTTCTAATTACAAAACTCTTTATAAATTCCATTTAGTACAACAGTTGAAAATGTTAATTCTGGAAACGGGCTGCTCAGGTTCGATTTCTAATTCTATAATTTGTGAATTATAGAATTCATAAATCCTATATGTGTGGCCTTGGGAAAATTAATTAGCAGTTTCTTCACCTTAAAATTGGAGTAATAGTTCCTCACAGAGTGGTTGTAATGACACAATGAGTTTATACAAATAAAGTATTCAGAATAGTGCCTTATCACAGGGCAAAATTTCAGTAAATATATCTTATTATCATAAAAACTGAACTCCTCTCATTTTCTGCCATCTCCTACTAGGCATGTGGGGAAGGGGAATTCAGATGATGGTTGGAAATCTGGAAATTCTTTCCTCTCTTTTGTAATTTGCCTGTAAGTGGATCCAAATTAATTGTAATGCAGGATAACTGTCAGATGCTTTAAAGGATTTAATTGCTGATAAATTAATTCCATTGTTACTAAAAACTTCCTGCTTTTACCAGACTCTTAAAATGTCACAATGTTGGCAGAAGCCTGGAATAATTCTGCCAGGTGGGGTGGTGGGTGCCCTCCAAGCTTGTTGGGCCACTTGAATTAGTCGATCACTATGCCCTTTTGGGTTAAAACACTTTTTTTTCCTATGTAATAGCGTATGTAGTTCTCGCTATTCAAATTAGATACTCTTGTGATATACACTTAGTAATCCAGTTTATATTTGTAAGTTTTTAAATAAAATAATTTTTAAAAATCACTCAAAAGCATGTATAGACTCACTTCCATTATTGTATAAATCACATGAAAAGTAAAAATAAGAGAACAGTCTATGGTTGTGAATAACATATAAACTTGACCTCAACTGTACACATAACAACTGAGAACTCATATAAAGGCCTCCCCCATTTACTTACAAACCGTATAACCTTAGCCAAGTTAGCCTTTTACCACTTGCAAAGTACGAATAATGATAGTACCAGCATCATTGGCTTATTGTAAAAATTAACAAGAGCTGTATGTAAAGTGCTGATACAGCCTCTGATATGTGGCAAGTACTTAATTACCATTATTGTTTGAAGATGATGATTTGCTCTTAAAGGACCATCATCACTATTTCCATTTCCAAATGCACTTCCCAGCTCACTCATATTCTATCCTTTCCGTTATCCGTTTACTAGTATAACATAGTATTTCTAAGATCACTCCCTTTAAACTAATTTAGTGAGATTAATAAATCTTAACATGTATTGAGTACTAAGAGTGCTAGACCTTTTCATATATATGTTCTTATTTAATCTTTACCAGAGCCTGGTAAAGAAGGCGATTATTTTCACAGTAAGTTATTTTAGCCTCAGAAAGACTTAGTGACTTTACCACGGTCACTCAGCCAGCAGATGCCACAGCTGGAATTCAATCACTGCTTTTTTCTTCATTGAGCAAAAAATATTGACCCCATTTACATGTTCTGGTCAACATGATTAAAAGTCTTCCTTGGCTGCAGTAGCTAAGAGAAAGTGCTGCTATCACCTTAACTTTCTAAATGTAAACTAAACCTCCAGCTTCTCAGGTCTTAATTCCAAACTACTTGGAAATTATGCTGAAGTTATGGTGGGTCACAAGTACATTTTGACTTATTAGTATCATTTTTAAGTGAGGAAATATATGTATTTTAAATGGAATCTCTCAAGTGAGAGAAAAAAATCAAAAGTAAAAGAAAATATGTCATATAAAGACATTGAGCCTTATCTTTTCCTTTTTCAACAGATATGTCATTTCAGCACCAAAAATATTCCGTGTTGGAGCATCTGAAAATATTGTGATTCAAGTTTATGGATACACTGAAGCATTTGATGCAACAATCTCTATTAAAAGTTATCCTGATAAAAAATTTAGTTACTCCTCAGGCCATGTTCATTTATCCTCAGAGAATAAATTCCAAAACTCTGCAATCTTAACAGTATGTATTTATCCTTTATTTTCTTTATATATATATACAGAATATTCTCAATAAAAATGTGTACAAAGTTTGAATATTGATAACATATAGATTTAATCATTTACATCCACTGTGGGATTATTAGATGATGTCAGTCACTAATGATAATGTAAGTGAAAATTCTAACAGAAACAGAAAATTCTAAACAGAAGTTATGTCTGCTTTTTGAGCAATGCATGTCCATTTTCACATTCTTATTGGAAAATAAAATTGTACTAATGTGAAAATATTTGGAGATAATTGAAAATACTTGTTTGCTATGAAAATTACTATTAGAAAGAAATTGAGAAATATGAGTATGATTTTATCTGTAGTACATTGCCCACAAAAATCCATGGATATTATTGAACATTCGATTGAACTCTAATATTCTACAATTATAGTTTCAAAAACTAAAAAATTTGTGATTACTAAAGTGAATAGCTCTCATTGACAACCTGCAGTTAATAGAAAGAACAACCTTGATCAAATAACTCTCCTATTAAGATATTGTAGTATAGATTGCTTAGAGACATACTTGCAACTTATTTTTACTAAAAATTCTGATACTTAATAAAGAAAATCAAAGAATATCAGACGTAAAATGGGCTCTGCAGTTCATTTAGACCAGAGTTTCTCTAAAGTGAGTTCTTTATAAAGAAATTAAAAATGGAAATTTAATAAAGAGCTTAAAATTCGAATTATATTGATTTTGTAACATTTTGAATTTATTTTATAAATTTGTTTTGAGTTTTTAATTATACAAAAATCATAAGCATAAGATTGTACCGTTTTAAGTTTGTATATATTTAAGTATCTTTGTATCAAAAATTATTTTGATTATGTTATAAATAATAAAAAGCCAATGCTGAGGGTCCTCCATGACTTTTGTCCTTTAAAAGGACTATGCATATTACTCAAGTTTAAGAAACACTAATCTAAAAAATTTCTAGTCAAACATAGGAATTCTTTAATGTTCTTAGCAGTAAATGCTCATATCTCTTAACAAATTCTTCCACTTATTAGGTTTGTTAACAATTAAAATTCATTTATTAAAAGTGTTACTTTTATGGCATATGCCTGTAATCCCAGCTACTCGGGAGACTGAGGCAGGAGAATCGCTTGAACCCAGAAGGCGGAGGTTGCAGTGAGCCAAGATCGCGCCACTGCACTCCAGCCTAGGCAACAGAGTGAGACTCCATCTCAAAAAAAAAAAAAAAAAAAGAAAGTGTTACTTTCAAAAGACACTCTTTTATCTGATACAATGTATTTGTGGCTCTTAGTTTTAAATTTAAATCAAACAAATTTAACTGAAATTAAAAATGCAGTATCTCAGTTGCACTAGCAACATTTCAAGTGTTCAAATAGCCCCAGGTAGCTATTGGCTACCATAGTAAACAGCATAGATATAGAATATTTCTGTCATCACAGAAAGTTCTCTGAACAGTGCTGACCTATATGATTAACTGAAAAACTAGATTAAGGTGGGGCAATCATAGTCAATACATATTTTAACCATTTAATTTTATCATAGCAATATCATGTATCTTTATTTGCCAATTGTTTAATGTTGTACCAAGGTCTTTTAAGTGTGGGTCTATGGATTGCAGTGTCAAATCTCATTTATTACGTGCTACAAATTTAATGGATCATCTTTGTTCTATAGTTTCTTTTTTGTTGTTGTTGTTGTTGTTGTTGAGACAGGGTCTCGCTCTGTCACCCAGGCTGGAAGACAGTGGTGTAATATCGGCTCACTGCAGCCTTCGCCTCCCAGGTTCAAGCAATTCTCCCACCTCAGCCTCTCAAGTAGCTGGGATTAACAGGCGTGCACCACCACACCTGGCTAATTTTTGCATTTTTAATAAAGAAGGTGTTTCACCATGTTGGCCAGGATGGTCTCGAACTCCTGACCTCAGGTGATCCGCCCGCCTCGGCCTCCCAAAGTGCTGGGATTACAGGCATAGGTTACTGTGCCCAGCCTGTTCTATAGTTTCTGTTTCTTAAAAGGGGAGAAAGAACTTAAAGGCACTTACAAAGCAATCTGGGTGCAGAATATTTATAGATTTTTCTTGTTTTCCAAACTTTTACAATAATTTCGCATAGCTAATTCTACAGCAGTTGGTTTTTGTAATTAACTTTCATCCCGTGTTTCCAAAGCCTAATTTTTCATAGATACACTTTTCTTTTTTATCACTTTTCATGCATTAAATTTACATATCATTGAATGTAAAGGGGATAATTACAAACATAAATTGGAAAATGAGCATCTCAACTCAGGGGAGCAGAAATATGTGAGGTAATACTAAGGGTCCAGAGATGCTGGACACATGGGCACGGTGACTGATGCCTGTAATCCCAGCACTTTGGGAAGCCGAGGCAGGTGGATCACTTGAGGCCAGGAGTTCAGGACCAGCCTGGCCAACATGGTGAAACCCGTCTCTATTAAAAATACAAAAAAAAAAAAAAAAAAAAGTTAGCTGGACATGGTGGCGCACACCTGTAATCTCAGCTACTTGGGAGGCTGAGGCAGGAGAATCACTTGAATCTGGGAGGCAGAGGTTGTCGTGAGCTGAGATGGCACCACTGCTTTCCAGCCTGGGCAACAGAGTAAGTGAGACTCCGTCTCAAAAAAAAAAAGCTAAGGGTCCAGAGAATCGGTCAGGAGGTTTCACAAAGGGAATGGGGAGCATGGGGTAACCCAGCAAACTAATTGAGTGAAGGTTTCTTAAAGGCTTTTATAGTAGTAGTTTCACTAAATGTATATAAAATTTAGGAAACATGGAACCAAAGAGACTTTCAATTGCTTAAAGCTAAATTTTTATTATGTAATTAGACACTGAAGGGCTTCGGGCAAAATTTATTTACTCTTCTTGCTCCTGTATCACTTTTTAAATGATTACATATACATACTGATTGTTCTAATGAGATTACAGTTGTATTTAGAAAGTTAATGGTTTAATAACTTTAGAATTATTATACTTTTTCCATCAACAATTTCTTTTCCAGATACAACCAAAACAATTGCCTGGAGGACAAAACCCAGTTTCTTATGTGTATTTGGAAGTTGTATCAAAGCATTTTTCAAAATCAAAAAGAATGCCAATAACCTATGACAATGGATTTCTCTTCATTCATACAGACAAACCTGTTTATACTCCAGACCAGTCAGGTAGATTATAAGATATTTCTTCCTCTGGGTGGGGGATTTGACAGTATTGACACTATATTGTAGAGCTTTTTAATACCTGAAATTGAGTGGAGATCGGTTTCTTTTTAATTTGCTCAAAAGACTCTCAATTCCCAAAGACATCTATACTTACAAATATTTAATAGCATTTTAATTTTAAATTTATGGAGAAAGTGCTAAATAAATTACAAAACCAACAATTACATTACCTGCCCCATCACTTATTTCCAAGTAGAAAATGCTTTTTCAAAATTGTAAAATGTTGAATGTTATGTAAAAATGTAAAATGTTATGTTGTTACAAAAACCAACTGCTGTAGAATTAGCTATGCGAAATTATTGTAAAAGTTTGGAAAACAAGAAAAATTTGTTTTCCAATATGTTACAATTTATTAAACAAATATAAGACTTAATTGCAAATATAATTTGGCAATGGGAAAATATAATTTATTGTAGAACCATGTTCATTAAAAATTCCACTGGGTCTGGAGCTAATCCCCAAACTGGAAAAATAAATCTAACCTAGGGGATCAGATATTTCAGCAGAGGATAAACTAGATCACAGAAATATATGGATATTAATTTTCAAAGGGGATCTACCTAAGAAAGTTACTGTTAGAACATTGTTTAACATTCATGGTTCTTCTGTTAGAGGCAAAAGGGCAGAATAGCCAATCAAAATCATGTGAATAGGAATGACTGGACCTATTCCCAATGAACCAAAAGTAAAACACAGAAAAGTATGAATGCTTCCCAATATATTCATGTGTTTGCAAAGCCTTCCATTCCCCCGTTTCTCCCTCTCGTCATCAATGACTTTTAAGTACATCAGAAATAGAATATTAGAGATGTATATATGGGAAGGAGAGGCTATGGAATTTCATTAATGATATTCTTGGAGGAGGACAGAGAAAGGAAGTGGGGACCATCTGACTTTGTTGAAAAACTTTGTACACAGTAGATATTTGCTAAATGTTGGTTGATGTTGATGATGAGAATAGTGGGGTGGAACTGGACTGAACCATTACCGTTTCAGCAGGAGCATTTGTTATGATCAGCTCAGAAAGGAAAAGCCTAAAGGGGGTGGAGATATTGCTATCTACTTGGCCAGAATAAAATCTCCAGAATAATAGCATCTTTTTTCTCCAAGAGACAACTTTTTATACAAGGAAATAGTCTCTGCCCACAAAGGTTGGGTCCTTTTAGACATAATCATACCTAGAAACAAGCATATCATCTCTCTTGTCCTCCTCCTACATTGAAGGATTCTTTTTTGCTTGGATCCTGTTGACACGTCCCACAACTAAGGGTCATCAGTCTTTGTCCAGTAAGCAGTGTAATATCCAGAGGCTGGGACCTTCCTCGGTTATCAAGGCTTTCCTTAAGAATGGCTTCATGTCTCATGCCTGTAATCCCAGCATTTTGGGAGTCCGAGGTGGGGGGATCACAAGGTCAGGAGTTTAAGACCAGCCTGGCCAAGATGGTGAAACCCTGTCTCTACTAAAACTACAAAAATTAGCCAGGCACTGTGGCAGGCGCCTGTAATCCCAGCTACTCTGGAGGCTGAGGCAGGAGAATCGCTTGAACCCAGGTGGCAGAGGTTGCAGTGAGCTGAGATCAAGCCACTGCACTCCAGCCTGGGCGAAAGAGTGAGACTTCGTCTCAGCAAAAAAAAAAAAAAAAAAAAAAGGCTTCATGTATTATTTCTCTATCAGGACTTTACTGTAAGATGATGTAATACCTGGCCAGGCACAGTGGCTCATGCCTGTAATCCCAGTACTTTGGGAAGCCCAGGCGGGTGGATCACTTGAGGTCAGGAGTTTGAGACCAGCCTGACCAACATGGTGAAACCCTGTTTCCACTAAAAATACAAAAATTAGCTGGATGTGGTGGTGCACGCCTGTAATTCCAGCTACTCGGGAGGCTGAGGCATGAGAATTGCTTGAACATGGCAGGCAGAGGTTGCAGTGAGATCGCGCCACTGCACTCCAGCCTGGGCAACAGAGCAAGACTGTCTCAAAAAAAAAAAAAAAAGAGAAAAAAAAAGAAGACGATGTAATATCCTCATCCATTCTAATCGTAGAGTAAAATGAGAGAAGTTTGCTATAAATATTGGCCCATTTCTGCAAGATAGTGAAGTAAATTGGTTAAAAGCAGACTCTGGAGTCAGATTGTCTGGGTTCAAGTCACAGCTTGAGCTGCTGTGAGCTGTATGACCCTGTGTGAATCACTCAGCCTCTCAGACTCCCACTTTCCTCACTTGTAAAATAGAGATAATAATACAACTTACCTCATAGAGTTGTGAGAATTAACTGAATTAGTATGTGTAAAGCACTTAAGATAGAGCCAAGCACACAGTAAGCACTAGGAAAGTGTTTTCCATTATTATCTATGGAATAGCACAAAGCCATATTTACAGAAAAGAAAAATAATTACTTAAAAGTATTTTTTAATCGTCTTGTTATTTATAGCTATAATGTCCCGATCAACACATTTAATCTGAAGATTCTTGAGGGATTTTTAGTGTAAGCATCTTTAGGATAAAGGCTTCAAGGCTTTACTGGATAAATGACTTTAGAATATTGCCCAAAATCCTTCAATTTCATAAAGCCTGTGTCCTGCCTTCTTCCCCAGCTTCATCACCTACTACGGCCCCACCCTCTATAGACACAAGCCAAACTGACCTCCTTTCAGATGCTTTCTCACACCGTTTCCCCATCCATATTAAGGCCTGTGTAACATGCTGTTGCCTCTACATGGTACATTCTTGCCCCTCCTTTGCCTTGTTAACTCCTACTTCACCCTCACGTGTCATCACAGATCCTTCTAAAGGCAGCTTTCGCTGATTTCCCTGACCTCTTCAAATCTCCCTCTTCTACATGCTCATAAGGCCAGGCAAATATCCTTTGTGGCACTTCACACCCTAGAATTTTACATATAATTGTGTTTGCCTCTTTCCTCCACACCATTAAAAGATGTCCATGTCTGATTTGTTTCACTACTGTATCTCAGTACGTAGCATAATGACTGGCACATTAGAAGGCATTCAAGGCCGGGCGCGGTGGCTCATGCCTGTAATCCCAGCACTTTGGGAGGCCGAGGCAGGCGGATCACAAGGTCAGGAGATCGAGACCATCCTGGCTCACACGGGATGTGAGCTAATACAAAAAATTAGCCAGGCATGGTGGTGGGTGCCTGTAGTCCCAGCTACTCGGGAGGCTGAGGCAGGAGAATGGCATGAACCCAGGAGGTGGAGTTTGCAGTGAACCGAGATTGCGCCACTGCACTCCAGCCTGGCATTCAAACTTTTTTTAAATTAATAAACCACATCTTTTATTTTTATTTTTATTTAGTGAGTGTCTCGCTCTGTCACCCAGGCTGGAGGGCAGTGGTGCAATCTTGTCTCATTGCAATCTCCGCCTCCCAGGTTCAAGCGATTCTCCAGCCTCAGCATCCCAAGTAAGTGGGATTCAGGCGCGTGCCACCATGCCTGGCTAATTTTGTATATTTAGTAGAGATGGGATTTCACCATGTTGGCCAGGCTGGGCTTGAACTCTTGGCCTCAAGTGATCCACTTACCTCGGCCTCCCAAAGTGCTGGGATTCCAGGTGTAAGCCACTGCACCCGGCCAATAAGCCATATCTTTTATACAAAAAATTGTATAGATCTTGCCTCCAATGTACCATCGCTGTGAAGACAAGATTAATTTTCTAACCTAAACACAAACTGGGTTAAAAACTAGCCAAATAGTAGTAACAGAAATAATAATAAAATAAACATTTATTGATTACTTAGTATGTGTCAGGCTATGCAAAAGCTTTGCATTATTTAATTCTCACAAGGACACTATGAGCACACACTAGTATTCCTGTTTTACAAGTGAGTTAACTAAGGTTTAGAGGGATTAAGTATCCTGCTCAGGGTCATACTAAAAAGTGGCAGAGGCAGGAGTGAAACCAAAGTGTTTAATTCCAGGGCCTGTGCTCTTAACTTTTGTGACTTTCTGACTTGGGCAGCTTCCCAGTGATACTCAGGCCTAGACTGGGTGTGTCCCAAAAAGCAGGAGATAGGATTTGTGGTGGGAGACAGGTGTGAGGGGAAGGAGAGAGCAGAGAGGTGGGGCATTTACTGAGCACATTGTTTTTATCTTGTGAACTTAGTAAAACCAGTGTTAATGTGGCTTCTTATATAGAGCTTTGCATAATACTGATCTTTTAAAAGATACTGGGTTTATGGTGCCAGTTCTATTTTATTTTGTGGGTAAAGTTTTGGCCATGAAATGATTTGAGCATCAGCAACACCCTAGAGAAATTAAGTTTGTCATTGGAAAGAATTAGATCACTGTGTCTCAAACAGCTGTGAGTTAAAAGCGAAACAGATGCTTTTGTTTAAAAAGTAGGGATCTATTAACTGACAGAAAGAAATGGAAGAGAACTAACAGTTATTGAGCCCCTGCCATTGCTCTTTTAACAATGAGCGAACAAGTGTAGGATCTGGCTCAATAAATAGAACAAAACCATATAATCCAAAGCTGCCTTTTGCAATAAGAGCTAATTTGGAGCCTTGTGGGTTTTCATAAGTGGAAGAGTGTATGTCTGAATCAAGCTCCCAATTTTCCATTAAGATCTTCAACTCTGAGACAATATATTATGCTCCTCTATAACCATATGGTGATGTCACTATTTTGCTACTATGAAATTCTTAATAAATAATGGCCTAATTACAGATGTAATTAATTTCATACTGTGAATGTTTTCTCAAAACATTGTAGGTAAATGTATTTTAAGAAAGTGAACTGTACTTTAAATCCACTAAGAGAAATAGTTCTTTAAAGGAATCCCTGAGGATTCTCTTAAATAAGAGAATCTTTAGTAATGTATATGTCTGCAAACTAATTTTTGTTTTTTTCAAATATGGACTTTTGTGTATTGAGTTTTTTAAAGTAAGATTCATCTCTTTTAAGGATGGTTGTTTTAAAAAATCAAAATATCCTTGTTTTTAGCAGAGTTTTTGATTATATCAATTATTCTTACAGTAAAAGTTAGAGTTTATTCGTTGAATGACGACTTGAAGCCAGCCAAAAGAGAAACTGTCTTAACTTTCATAGTAAGTATTTTATTTATTTAAATAATACTTTAATTCATTTTTCAGGACAAGAATCTCATTTCATAACCCTGTCCTCACACTACACTAAATCATTCAATGTTCCATAAATGGTTATTGAACATCTGCAATGAGTATAGAATCATAGATCTATACCTCTGTAATACACGTATGTGAAAGGCTCATACAAATTAAATTTCAATAACTTGAAGGATTTTGAGCTAAACCATTTAAGTACAATCTTGCTGATTTATTTTTTAAAGAACACCCACTGGCCGGGCGTGGTGGCTCACACCTGTAATCCCAGCACTTTGGGAGGCCGAGGCAGGTGGATCACGAGGTCAGGAGATCGAGACTAACCTGGCCAACATAGTGAAACCTCATCTCTACTAAAATACAAAAAATTAGCTGGTGCAGTGGCAGGCGCCTGTAGTCCCAGCTACTCGGGAGGCTGAGGTGGGGGAATTGCTTGAACCCGGGAGGCAGAGCTTGCAGTGAGCCGAGATTGTGCCACTGCACTCCAGCCTGGTGACAGTGTGAGACTCCATCTCAAAAAAGAAAATCTAAAAAAAAAAAAAAAACCAAAAAACAAAAAACCACCCACCAATCACTAAGAATTGACTGAATACCCATTTAACTATAAGATATACATAATGGATATATCTATTATGTATTTATTATGTGCAAAAGAACTATATTTAATGGTACTTACTCTTAAGGAACTTAGAGTTTAATAACTATTATACTAACACAAAAAATCTTGCTAAATCATGAGTTAAAGATTGGCAGTAATTCACCATTTATCAGACATGACATATGTAACAGACGCTGTGCATTGAACTCCCATGATCTCATCTAATTTGTGTCACATACCCCAAACACTTTTGTGAGGAAATAAAATAATACAACTAGTTATAACTGCTCAGTTATTAACAGTAGGTATACTACTAATGGTCCTTCAATATAGGCTGCAGCACTTTTGCTGCTACTCAAAAAAAAAACCAAAAAATAAAAATAAAAACTTATCAGAATGCAGGTGCAAAAGCATAGATACTACAGAACAAAACCATACTAAAATATAAAACAAATAAATTATACAGTAGGACAAATACCATGAGCTCAGAGGGAAGACCAATGAGAGGTGAGAGTGGGGGTGATACACATCCTTCTCTGGAACGGAGTAGTTAAAGGGAACCCTGAGTTGGGTGTTAATGAAAGGAATTGACATAAATTATTTAAAAATAGTGAAGACCATCCATGTAAGAAACAGTGTGAGTTAAGCTATGGGGGCAAGAAGAAATAAAAAAAAATGAAGCTAGTAAATAAACTGATTGACTGATAGAATGTCTGAAAGAGAACTAAGGAGAGCAATGTCAGCTCAAATGCCCTTTTTCTATCAGGGAATGATAGGGGTGTGGATGTATGCTCTTTATCCAACGTCTTCATGGTTGAACTTAAGTGATGCAGAATCATGGCATAACCTGCAGAAAAATGAATGTCAGTCATCTCTTGTAAGAGCTGCCCCAGGAAGAAAAGATTGAGAAAGCTGATCCCAGAGCCTTAAGGAGTTAATATAGAGGAAGTATCCTCAAAATAGTACCTGAGAAAGATGATCTTAGAAGAATTGTGCACAATGGATAGTGCGATGAAGAAGAGCCATAAAAATACTCAGCTACAAGTATAATTCTTGTTCAAAATAGGCTTCTGTAAGTTTTACAATTAATTACGAAATAAAACCTCTAAAATCCAACTGTGAATTTCAGTCATGGTAAATGGTGCTAAGATTTTTTGCTTTGGGTTTTTTGTTGGTTTGTTTGTTTTTGTTTGTATGTTTTTGACAGGGTCTTGCTCTGTCACCAAGGCTGGAGTGCAGTGGTGTGATCATAGCTCACTGTAGCCTCAAACTCCTGGGCTCAAGCCATCCTCCCACCTCAGCTTCCTGAGTAGCTAGGACTACAGGCACCCATCACCACACCCTGCTAACTCTTTAAACATTTTTTTGTAGGCTGGTCAGTGACTCATGCCTGTAATTGTAATCCCAGCACTTTGGGAGGCTAAAATGGGAGGATTGCTTGAGCTCAGGAGATTGAGACCAGCCTGGGCAACCTGGAGAGACCTCATCTCTACTAAAAATTAAAAAAAAAAAAATAGCTGGGCATGGTGGCATGTGCCTGTGGTCCTGGCTACTTGGGAGGCTGAGGTGGGAGGATTGCTTGAGCCTGTGAGTTCAAAGCTGCAGTGAGCTATGATCACACCACTGCACTCCAGCCTGGATCACAGAGCAAGATCCCTGTCTCAAAAAAGTTTTTTGTACAGATAGGGGCCTCACTTATGTTGCCTGCTATGTTTATGTGTTGAGTTAAGGCTGAATTGGACCCCCATGTGTAGTCCAAAGAAAGTCAAAACCTCATTTCAATTATTTGCTAACCCAAACACAAAATTAAGTTTATGGGGAAGCTTTACGAGAACTGTCAAGTTTGTTTAACCATTTGAGAGTTTTACCAAGCTGAAAAATGCCCATACTATACATTTATAAAACATCTGGCTAAAAAATATAATTCATAGAATATTTGCTTTTGAAAGCTTTAAATGAACATATATAAAAATTAGATTCTGGTGTTTATAAAGCCAACAAAATTCACATTTAGTTTATCAAAAACATCATTGTTTGTTTGTTTGTTTGTTTGTTGTTGTTTTTACGTGTTGTTACACTTCATCTTTTAGATGTACAACGAGAGTTGAGTCTCTTCAAGATAATGAGGAGAGATGGGGAAGATTGGAAAAAGAAGAAGGGAAATGGCTGAAATGAACCATATTTCCCTTCTATAACATTTAACAGATCTTCATCCTTCATATTTAATTTGAAGACATGGGTATTTGTCTTCAAATATTTGATCTATAAATATTTTGTACATCAAAGATTGTATAATCAGTTAAATTTTTTAAAATGTAGTTTCTGGCCTTTGAGGGTGTTTGTTTTTATTTACAGGATCCTGAAGGATCAGAAGTTGACATGGTAGAAGAAATTGATCATATTGGAATTATCTCTTTTCCTGACTTCAAGATTCCGTCTAATCCTAGGTATGTAAAAATAGTTGTTAATAAAACCACATACGGAACTTTTGGTGAAGAAGCAGGTAACCAGTTAAAGGGGGCCACCTAATGTTAACAAAGGGTGTCACATAGGTGGATATGCAAAATCTTTTGAAGTTCTAGCAAGAACTTAAGCTCTGTTCTTGGCAAAAAATTTCCAATACTTCTCAGCCATTCTTTTTACATATAGAAATAAAAATTGGGAAGAGGAAAAAATAGTACCCAGGTTTTTTTGTCATAAAAAACATCAACTCCTACCCCTCAAAGTATCTAATAGATTGTCAGTTTAAAAGGCTGGTGTGGTCTTGTTCCTTGCTCTGGTTGCTATAAAATAGGGTCGTCTGTAGTTTTTGCCTGGATAAACTACCAGAAGGCAAAGTCCAAGAGGGAAGGAGTTCTCAGAGCTATATCTATTATTTGGCCTCACATGAAAGGATTTAAGAAAAAGTTTAAACAGGGTTCAATGTAATAAATATTCAATGAACACATTCTTGGTATGTGCAAATCACAATAAGAGGGAGAGATACAAAATAAATAATCCACAGTCCCTGCTTTCAAGAAATTTGTAATAGGCCAGGTGCGGTGGCTCATGCCTGTAATCCCAACGCTTTGGGAGGCCAATGTCGGTGGATCACCTGAGGTCAGGAATTTGAGACCAGCCTGGCCAACATGGTGAAACCCCGTCTCTATCAAAAATACAAAAAAAGCCAGGCGTGGTGGCAGGCACCTGTAATCCCAGCTACTCGGGAGGCTGAGGCAGGAGAATCGCTTGAATCTGGGAGGTGAGGGTTAAAGTGAGCCAAGATCATGCCACTGCACTCCATGTTGGGCAACAGGAGCAAAACTCCAACTAAGATAGAAAGAAGAAGGAAGGAAGGAAGGAAGGAAAGAAAGAGGGAGGGGAGGGAGGAAGGAAGGAGGGAAGAAAAGAAAGAAAGAAATTTATAATAGAGCAGAATGAATAAGACAAGTGCATCTATACATGGCTGCACTAGAATTTTAGAACAACATCTTTTTATGGTCATTTTTCCTCTGCCCTCAGTTAATTCGCTGACTGAAATTTTTCTAAAAATTTAAATTGAATTTGGAGGTTTTAAATAACTTGGATAATTTAAAAATTGTGTACATTCTTGAAAATACTACATGTTCCATAGTGCAGAATTAAACCTATTATTTTATTACTGCTATCATTTCTCCAACTTCATCTTGTGCCACTTGCCCCATGGCAAATTATGTGCTAGCCATGGTCTGGCATGTCCAGTGCTTTCCTACCTCCGTGCCTTTGCACATGTCATCCCCTCTACTTGGAATGGGCTTCACCTGGCTCTTCATAAGCCTGGCTTCTTTTCATTGTTATGACCCAGAGTAGAAGCTACTACAAAAAGGCTATTCCTGGATGCATGATGTAATGTAATCTCTTGCTTTGTTTTACTCCCTATCTCAGCATCTTGTTTATTTTCTTCATGACACTTATCTCAATGTCATAATCATTTCTTTACTTGCTTGCTGGCATTTTTATTCCCCACTAGCTTATAAACTCTTTAAGGTGGGCCTTGTCTGTATTGCACACCAGCAGTTCAACATAATAGGCCCTTGATAAATATTCATTGAATTGATGATGATGGTAATAATCATTATTATAATACTATTAACATTTGTGGACTTCATAGCCAATCTGCAAGGTAGGCTCAGTATATATATGTGTGTGTGTGTGTATATATATGTGTGTATACACACATATATACATACATACACACACACACACACACACACACACCCATAGTTTTTTTGAAACAGAGTCTCACTCTGTCACCCAGGCTGGAGTGCAGTGGTGTGATCTCAGCTCACCACAGCCTTGATCTCGCGGGCTCAAGCAATTCTCCCACCTCAGCCTCCTAAGTAGCTGGGACTACAAGCATGCACCACCACACCAGACTAATTTTTGTATTTTTTTGTAGAGATGGGGTTTCATCATGTTGCCTGGGCTGGTCTCGAACTCCTGGGCTCAAGCGATCCTCCTGCCTTGGCCTCCCAAAGTGCTGGGATTATAGGCATGAGCCACTATACCTGGCCTAGTATATGTTTTTGAATAAAGGTTATTAATTAAAGCCAGGTCATTTTCATCTTTTAAAAACCATGCTTTGTTTCCAACCATAAATTCATTTTTGTGAGGTGTAAATTTTATCATCTGTATAAGCTTGTCTTGTATTATATGTTTCTAGAGACGTTATTATGGATTTTGTACTGTATTTTGGATTTTAGTATTATGTTAGCATAATTAGGCTCCAAGATTAAATAAATTCTCAGAAATAATAAGTTCTTCAAATCAAAACTAATGACTGTATTAAGATAAAATACCAGGAAAAATAATACAATATATGAAAAACTGGTTACTAAACAATATCTATTATCTATTATCCTAAAAATGCTCAATTATTTATTGCTTAAAAATCAGTCACAAATAAAATATATTACTTAGGTTTTATATATCTTTGTGTATTCTTCCCTCTTTAAAACAGGAATTTATTAGATCTCCTCTGAGTGAATTAAAAACATTTGATGACATCTATAATTTTAAATATTTTGCTTCCACAGATATGGTATGTGGACGATCAAGGCTAAATATAAAGAGGACTTTTCAACAACTGGAACCGCATATTTTGAAGTTAAAGAATATGGTAATTTCTGACAAGTAAAAGTTTTTCTTTGCTTTTTGTTTTTTGTTTTTGAGATGGAGTCTCGCTCTGTTGCCCAGGCTGGAGTGCAGTGGCACGATCTCAGCTCACTGCAACCTCCGCCTCCTGGGTTCAAGCAATTCTCTGCCTCAGCATCCCAAGTAGCTGGGATTACAGGCACCAACCACCATAGCCGGCTAATTTTTGTATTTTTAGTAGAGACAGGGTGTCACCATCTTGGCCAGGCTGGTCTTGAACTCCTGACCTCGTGATCCACCCACCTCGGCCTCCCAAAGTGCTGGGATTACAGGCATGAGCCACCGCACCCAGCCAATTAAAAGTTTTTCTATAAAAAGTTAGTGTTTTGCAATAATTCTTTTTAATAATGTAGTTAATGCAAAATTATTCCCAGATGAAGATGAGGCAGCCTGTACGTATGGCTAGAAGTACTGGCTAGAGGTTGGAGGGAGGAGTAGTAGTTGAATGCCTAGATTCTAGTTCCAGCATGCCTTTAACCCTGATCAAGCAGAACAACCTCTGTGTACTTGTGTTCCCCATCAGAGAGCTGGAAGAGATCTAGTCCCCTGAAGAGCTTGACTAGTAAAGATCCTTTCTAGAATTGTGATTATTATTAGGAGAAACTTAAATAGTCATAGATGAGGTGAGTGGAACCCAGTAAAACCAATAAATGATTTACTTGAGTCTTAAAACCAATTAGTGACAAAACAAAAACAACAATTAGGTTTCCTTACCCCTAGTCCAACACTATTTTCTGGCTCCTAAATTCCTAATATATTCATTTGAATATTTAAGATATTCTTATTTTGAAATAAATTATATTAATAGACTAACAAGTAACGTAAATAGTTTAATCTTTCATTTCTTATAGTAGTTTACTAGCATTTCTGTGTGCTCTGCTATCAAATTTAACTTTCTTCTGCTTGAAGCCATTTTTTATTCCCTCAAGAGATTCATAATGACATGGAGAAGAATAAATACTGACACAAATTTTAACAATTAACAAGAAAAACAGTGACAAAACAAATTCGTTATGATGAAACTCAACCTTAAAGATTACAGGCTCTCTGTAACATATAATCCTAACCCATCTCCCTTCTTCTAAGTGTTTTTGTATTTTCTCTGTATATCTAGAATCCACCCACCTCTTACTGTCTGTAGCCACTCTCATCAATTCATCAGCACTCTCCCTCCTGGACTACAGCAAAAGCCTCCTAACTGATGTCTCTGCTTCCAAGCTATCTTGCTTGGTATTAGCCAAAATAATCTTGAAATGCAAATTTCATTATGTTATGTCACAATTGAAAAGTTTTTTTGTTTTCAAGGAACCTATACTCTAATGGAAGAAATAACCTATTGCCTATAATAAATGCTGTAATCAAAATATAGGCAAAGTGCTTCTGGATTGACCTCTGATTGTTGGAGTGGGAAGGTTCTGCAGAGATTGTTGTTGGTGATGACGATGATGACGATGATGATTATGATAATAAAGTGGATGTTGTGTTGATGTTACAGCTTGTCCAACTATACCAGAAAGTCTAGCTGTTTGCTAGGCTTTAAAGTCTGCTCTAATCAAAATGGTAATATTACCTGTTTGTTTTTATTTTCAGTCTTGCCACATTTTTCTGTCTCAATCGAGCCAGAATATAATTTCATTGGTTACAAGAACTTTAAGAATTTTGAAATTACTATAAAAGCAAGGTAAGAACATTTGTTTTTTTGTTGTTTTTATTTTTATTTTTCAAATTAACTCAACTCTGGTTGATGATAGTTGCCCAAAGTGAGATCTGTGATTTATTATCAAAGTGTGCCATGATTTGGGGACTAATTGATAAAGGAGACATCATGCTGGTAGTTCATTTGCTTATTCTGATTTTAGCTGATTCTGAGTTTAGCTTTGTTGGCTATTCAACAGCAAAAACAAAGAAAAGTGCCAAAGATCTAAGTTTGGTGTATGTGTTTAGAAACTAGGGTAACTTAGAATATTGGGACTGAGATATGAAGGATTCACTTCCTATCTTTTTTTAATGATTTAATCAGCCAGCTAATGCTGCGTAACTACTTCAAAACCCAGTGCCTTGAAACTCCCACATTTATGAGTCAGCTGGGAAGTTCTGCTGATCTGGGCCAGGCTGGTGTCAGCTGGGCTCACCCATGTAGCTGCAGCCAGTTGGTAGGTCAGCTGGGGGCTGGCTGGTCTAGGAAGGTCCTGTCCATATGTCTGGCAGTTGGATGGGGCTAAAAGTGTGTGTGCCTCTCATCATCCAGCAGGCTAGCTTGTAGCAGCAGCAACACTCAAAGAGGCAATGGAAGCATGAAAGTCCCCCTGAGCCTAGGCTTGGTGCTGGCACACCATCACTTCCACACATTCTTTTGTCCAAAGCAAGTTACAAGGTCAGCCCAGAGGAAATAGACCCCTCCCACACTTTGTGGACACAAGGAACTGTGCAAAGGTCGTTGATACATGGGGAGGTAGAGAATTGGGGGTTAGTTTTGCAAGCAACCTATCACAAAAGCTTAGGTCATTTTAAAATTACAATATAATGTAGTTATACCAATCTATATAACTATATGTGTGGGGTACTCTTCTAAGTACTCAGCATATATTAGCACATTTAATCTTTACAACAACTCTATGCGTTGATATTGTTACTATTCCCATGTTACAAGTGGAAAAACTGAGGTACATAAATGTTTAATAATTTGCTCAAAATCATACAGCTAGTAAGTTGCACAGCCTGTCTGCTTCCAGAGTCCATGCCTCAAACATTACCCTATGCTAGCTCTCTTATTAGCATTGATTTGAAAAATAGAGTGTTTATTACTTGGTCTAAACCAGCATAAAAGGCTCACTTGAGAGAAAATTATAGAAACTGACCTCCTATAATGGGGACTATTTATTCAAACCATAAATAAGGAAAGTTAGCTCTTGCTATAGTATTATTTGCTGGGTAGAAAGTTTACTTTATTCTTACTTTAATTCTAAACTAAAAAGGGAAACATGCAGTTTAAATTTTTTATGAATAGATCTCATATAACAGTGAGATTGGACACGTACCTTTTAAAAACATAAAAGAAAACAGAGAGTAGCTGATATCAAAATTATCAAGGAAGTAATTTGGCATATAGGAGAGGGCCCTGATTCTAAGTCTTGTGATCTCCCCAAGATCAATTTTTTTCATCTAGCACATAGCTTTATTAATGTGGCTTTATGAGGATGAAATGTAATAGTGCATGAAGGACACTTTATTTATTATTATTATACTTTAAGTTCTAGGGTACATGTACACAACGTGCAGGTTTGTTACATAGGTATACATGTGCCATGTTGGTTTGCTGCACCTATTAACTCATCATACATTAGGTATTTCTCCTAATGCTATCCCTCCCCGTCCCCCACCCCATGACAGGCCCCAGAGTGTGATGTTCCCCGCACTGTGTCCAAGTGTTTTCATTGTTCAGTTCCCACCTGTGAGTGAGAACATGCGGCATTTGGTTTTCTGTCCTTGTGGTAGTTCACTCAGAATGATGGTTTCCAGCTTCATCCATGTCCCTGCAAAGGACATGAACTCATCCTTTTTTATGCCTGCATAGTATTCCATGGTGTATATGTGCCACATTTTCTTAATCCAGTCTATCATTGATGGGCATTTAGGTGGGTTCCAAGTCTTTGCTAGTGTGAATAGTGCTGCAGTAAACATACGTGTGCATGTGTCTTTATAGCAGCATGATTTATAATCCTTTGGGTATATACGCAGTAATGGAATCACTGGGTCAAATTGTATTTCTAGTTCTAGATCCTTAAGGAATTGCCACACTGTCTTCCACAATGGTTGAACTAGTTTACACTCCCACCAACAGTGTAAAAGCGTTCCTATTTCTCCACATCCTCTCCAGCATCTGTTGTTTCCTGACTTTTTAATGATTGCCATTCTAACTGGTGTGAGATGGTATCTCATTGTGGTTTTGATTTGCATTTCTCTGATGACCAGTGATGATGAGCATTTTTTCATGTGTCTGTTAGCTGCATAAATGTCTTCTTTTGAGAAGTATCTGTTCATATCCTTTGCCCACTTTTTGATGGGGTTGTTTGTTTTTTTCTTGTAAATTTGTTTAAGTTCTTTGTAGATTCTGGATATTAGCCCTTTGTCAGATGGGTAGATTGCAAAAATTTTCTCCATTCTGTGGGCTGCCTGTTCACTCTGATGGTAGTTTCTTTTACTGTGCAGAAGCTCTTTAGTTTAATTAGATCCCATTTGTCAATTTTGGCTTTTGTTGCCATTGCTTTTGGTGTTTTAGTCATGAAATCCTTGCCCATGCCTATGTCCTGAATGGTATTGCCTAGGTTTTCTTCTAGCGTTTTTATGGTTTTAGGTCTACCATGTAAGTCTTTAATCCATCTTGAATTAATTTTTGTATAAGATATAAGGAAGGGATCCAGTTTCAGCTTTCTATATATGGCTAGCCAGTTTTCCCATCACCATTTATTAAATTGGGAATCCTTTCCCCATTTCTTGTTTTTGTCAGGTTTGTCAAAGATCAGATGGTTGTAGATGTGTGGTGTTATTTCTGAGGCCTCTGTTCTGTTCCATTGGTCTATATATCTGTTTTGGTACCAGTACCATGCTGTTTTGGTTACTGTAGCCTTGTAGTATAGTTTGAAGTCAGGTAGCATGATGCCTCCAGCTTTGTTCTTTTTGCTTAGGATGAAAGACACTTTAAAGTGCCTCAAGTGCTTTACGTAATTTCAAATTGTTACATTTTATCTGAATCCTGTTATTGTAACCATGTTAGTAAAACAGTTTTATGCTATTGTCTGACAGATATTTTTATAATAAAGTAGTCACTGAGGCTGACGTTTATATCACATTTGGAATAAGAGAAGACTTAAAAGATGATCAAAAAGAAATGATGCAAACAGCAATGCAAAACACAATGGTAAGATGTTAAGACACAGTCACTCACACCTACAGATGCATCCAGAGGTGAGAGATGAGAAGTTACTTAAAAACCATCTAGTCCAATCCCCCATTTTAGATAGGTTGAAACTTAAAATCCTCCATTGGCTTCCCTTTGCCTTTAGGGTAAAGTTCATTTTCCTTGGCATCAGCCTCCCTTACCAGCTGATCTCATGCCCTTTCCTCCCTCCCTCCCCTTTGTATTAATCACTCCAATTTCTCTAACTGACCAAAGTCTCTCTTGCCTCCAGGTCTTTACAATATCATTTATTCTGCTTGAAAATGCTCTTTCCCATTGTCACCTCCTGCCCCTTCTTTGCCTGGCTAATTCCTTCTCATTCTTTAAGTTTCAACATTGACAGCCTTTCTCTGGGAAGCCTCCCCTGACTCTTCTACACTAGGTTAGCTGCCCCGGCTGTATAGCCTCTTTTCTTAACACATTCTTCACATTTCATTGCAGCGGTTCTCAACTAGGGGTGATTTTTTATTCCCAAGGAGACATTTGGCAATGTCCAGAGACATTTGTGGTTGCTACTGGTGTTTACTAGGGAGAGGCCGGGGATGCTGCTAAATTCCTACCATGCACAGGGCAGGCCCCTACAACAAAGAATTATCCTGTTCAAAATGTCAATAATGCTGAGGGGTTGAGAAACCCTTCTTTACTGGAATGGCTTGTTTACTTATCTATCATTTTCAATATTAAACTATTTGTGAGTCTGAATCATTTCCCTTATATGCCCAGAGACAGCATAGTTTCTTGCAAGGAAATATTCATGAAGTTATTTGTCCATAGTTTAGGGCTAATGATTGCTGGAACTGAGATTAGGGCGCTGGTTCCCTTTCCCTTATTCAGCATTCTTTACATTATACCACAGATGATATGAGTTCATGTCATTTTTGCTCACTTTTTCGTATTCATTTGGTTTGCATCATCAATCATTTATCCTCTACAATCTTATTAATTCAAGATGTAAATTAAATGCATTTTTAAAATGCAAAATTCTATGCTAGACACTGGGATGTAAAGCTAAATAAGACAAAAATGCCTGCCCTCAAGTCGCTCAATTTTATAAGAAAAAATAAGGCAAAGTTTATTTTACTGTTGTGTTAATAATTAAATAATATAATATGACTTAACCCCACATCCCTTTACTCATTGTGTGTTTTAAAATTAGTATTTAAATTTGTAAGCAGTGAAGTACAAATTAAATATTATAAAAACCAACAAACTCTCAGTTAAGGGCGGAAGTACGCTGAGAGGCCTATAAAGATGAATGATGACGCAGGAATTGGAAGAAGTCGTGTTTGTCAGCTATTACCAAAAAGACCTGTTGGACCATGTGATGTTCAAGACCCTTCTACTTCTATAATTCTATACAAATAATTAGAAAATAACATCCTGGGCTTAATCGTGGACTCGGTTATCTACTTTACTTTTGACACTAAACCATTCTTCTGACATTTACCTTCAATTTAGAGGTTAGTAAAAGCAGATTTTATTAATTTTTCCTTATAAGTTCTTCTCCGAAATAACTCCTCCTTTTTCTCCTTTTAAAAAGTTGATAAATGGAATTGCTCAAGTCACATTTGATTCTGAAACAGCAGTCAAAGAACTGTCATACTACAGTTTAGAAGATTTAAACAACAAGTACCTTTATATTGCTGTAACAGTCATAGAGTCTACAGGTAAGTGTGTGTGTGTGTGTGTGTGTGTGTGTGTATACTTTCTTTTGAAAAATATTTAGACAGAATATTAAAGATATAAATAATTTCCAATTTCTATAATTATTTCACATTGTATTTTCTTTCATAGTTAAATATAATTATAAGAAGTAGACTTTTATATAGTTATAAAAAGGCAGTAGGGCTCTGCTTCTTTTTAGTCATTGGACAAGCCATTGGGTCCCTATTACCTCCACTTCTACTGCAAAAATGGGAAAACAGTACCCAATTCATGTCCAAAGTAGTTCTGCAGGCTCTCTGCCTTGACCATTTGGCACCCTAGTGTCCTCACGTGGTGAAAATCAAAACCAAAATAAGATTATGTGTGTAAAACTATTTGATAAAGTACTATACAAATAAAAGTTATTACTATTATCATTATTATAGTCTACATAATGATGGAGTCAAACTGAATGTTTCCTAAAGCCTAAAGTTTTCAACATTATTTTAATGTTTCTTCTTTTTATTTTTTCCTCAACTTATTTTAAATAAGTTCAGTTTAAGCAGTATCTATGAGATATTTAAAGTATTGCCAAACAGACAGGCTTGCAAACATTAATGATGTATGATGCCAGCACTAAAGTGGCTTACAAATTAGCATCAGGTATAAGACAGGTGAAGAAAGAACTGTTGCAAGAAAGAATTCCATATGAGCTCTAAGCAAAATATTAATGCAATAGGATTCAGAGGAAGGTGAGCTTCTAGATGATTGTTGAGCAAGCAAGAACAGTGTTGTGAAGATGATCAGTCTTGAAAAATAATTAGGGTTTTGAGGCAGAGTTGCTAGACAGGGTGAAATAGAAACCCTCCAGAGAGAGGGCAGATGAAGAAGAGTAGATGGTGAAGCTTAATCTTTGAGGACAGCAGATCATCCAGTTTGGCTAAAATATAGGATATGTATAGAATGTATTAGAGATGTAATATTGGAAAGGAGTTTGGGAATATTAAAGCTTCAAATGTTATTCTTAATAGTTTAACTTAATCTTTACCTGGAGGATAACATTATTGGGCTCTTGCCAGTTGTCTGGTCATGTCCCCTTCCCTCCCCCTCCCCCCTCCCGCTCCCCTCCCTCCCCTCCCCCTCCCCTCCCCCTCCCCTCCCCCTCCCCCCTCCCGCTCCCCTCCCCTCCCCCTCCCCTCCCCCTCCCCCCTCCCACTCCCCCCTCCCCCTCCCCCCTCCCCTCCCCTCCCTCCCTCCCCTCCCGAGTCTTGCTCTGTTGCCCAGACTGGAGTGCAGTGGTACAGTCTCAGCTCAATGCAACCTCCGCCTCCTGGGTTCAAGCAATTCTCCTGCCTCAGCCTCCCGAGTAGCTGAGATTACAGGCATATACCACCATGCCTGGCACTTTTTTTGTTTTCGTTTTTTAGTTTTAGTAGGGATGAGGTTTCACCATGTTGGCCCGGCTGGTCTCGAACTCCCTTTCAGGGTTCTTTCTATATCAAGCTCCCTTTTTCTGATTTCTCTCTATGTATCTATGCTCTGTGAACACCAACCCCCATCCCCCACCTCCACTTCTGTAAGGCTCAGTTTCTGGCCTGACCCTTCCCTCTCTCCTCAATCCCTTGAATACAGTCAACTGAAACTCAGGCCACTGATGAAAAGTGGTGTCCCTTCCTGGCATCCTTCCTCAGTCCAGTCCTGTAGCTCTACTTCTCCAAGGGCTTCTCTACATACGAGCTTGTGCATAAGGCCTTGGAAACTCCTGAGGTCTAAACTCTTCTCTGCTGTGCCCCTCTGAAGCAAGACCTATGTCCTACTTACTACTGGTAAATGAATGAATGCAAGAATGGAGTGAGTGAATGAATAAGTCTGTGGAGACATATAGAGATGAAATGGATATCCATACAGATCATGATACTCCTAAAAACTGTCAACATGATGCTTGCCATTTCCTTAGGTGGATTTTCTGAAGAGGCAGAAATACCTGGCATCAAATATGTCCTCTCTCCCTACAAACTGAATTTGGTTGCTACTCCTCTTTTCCTGAAGCCTGGGATTCCATATCCCATCAAGGTAGATTGGGTGAGGGGGTAGACGTTGCTACATATGATCATCTTGTTCTGTTCATGGAAAACATGTGGGTGGCAAACAGGGTAAGAATGTTGCCATGAAGTCACAGAGGGAGCTTATTCTGTGAAACCTGCCCCTCCTGGTGGACACAGACAGGGATGGGAAATTGAAGGTCAGCTGCAGCCTTGGCAATGACTTCAAAAGTGAGGGCAAGATAGCCTTGTATTAGGCATCCCTAAATAAGCATTAAATTACATGTAATAAATAAGCATTAAATTATATGTAAATAAAATCTCATAAGACTCTAGTTCAAAAATACAAACATTTAAAATTATTTGGTGGCAAATTCTTAAAAAGCCTTAAGATGGAGATATCATTCCTTGAAAATAGACTCCTTTCTCTCACTATGTTTTTGCCTCCAGTGTGTCTCATTTGTTTCCCTCTGTCTCTGTGTTGTCTTTGTGCATAACTCTGTTCAATCTCTCGTCTCTGTATTGCTCTCTGTTCTTTTCATTTTTGCTTCTTTCCGTCCCTGAATCTCTTTTTTTCTGTCTTTTTTGCTTACTCCTCTGCATTCATTTTTCTCTCTTTCACCTTCTTTTCCTCCTCTAAATGCTGACAGTATAGAATTGAAACATTCATGTGGTTTTTAGATTTTTATCTATCATTATATATTTTATTACAAATAATATATTTTATTATGTTGATTAAATGGAAATGTTTATTCCCTGCCCTTAATTTAGAAATCCAGAGCAAAATTTTTTTTTGTTCTTTGAAAATGTGTTACTTTTTAAAATCAACTTAAGTACAATCAAAATGTGTTATTTATTATTTACTGTGGGTCATGGGCTTTTAAGAAAAAAAAGGATTTACCAAGCCCAAAGCAAGGTTTGGACATGCTTGTAGGTTCTTACATATATATACTATATATAGAAAATAATATATAACAAAGTATCATATAATGCATATACAGTAATATATAATATATATACTAAAATATGTAAATATAGCAATATTATATAGAACATAAGCTTAAAATATGTTTATATAAAAGTAAAATAACAAACTATATCTGTGTGGAATTGTGTGTGTATATATATATATATATGGCAGTGAGAGGTAGATGTTAAAGGAAAAAAGGTGTATCTATTTTTGTTTCTCATATTCAAGGGACTTATTCCCAGAAGCGATTGCCTCATTTTCTCCTTTATCCAGTCCTAAACCAATCAAAGAAATACAGAAGTTAGATAGCAGAAGACCTTATCACACCTACTCCTTGACTGACTTAATAGAATGATATTTATGTTTTGAGTTTGCTTGATTTATGGGAGAATCTATTCAAGAATGATTTAACTAAATAGAATTAAATCTTTCTATAAGCTGAGAATACACTTCTCTTTACTAAATTAAACATAAGTAAACCAGGTGTGGTGGAGCATGCCTAAATAGTTCCAGCTACTTGGGAGGCTGAGGTGGGAGGATGGCTTGAGGCCAATAGTTCAAGGTTGCAGTGCGCTATGATTGTGCCTGTGAATAGCCACTGCACTCCAACCTGGGCAACGTAGTAAGTCTCTGTCTCAGAAAAAAAATTTTCAGAAAAAAATACATAAATAATTTATACTTTGGTGGGGAGGAAGGAAAATTATTTCAGAATTGTGCTTTAAAATAAGTGATGAGCTGTTGAAATAGATTTGGATTGTTTTGACAAACAGGTGCAGGTTAAAGATTCGCTTGACCAGTTGGTAGGAGGAGTCCCAGTAACACTGAATGCACAAACAATTGATGTAAACCAAGAGACATCTGACTTGGATCCAAGCAAAAGTGTAACACGTGTTGATGATGGAGTAGCTTCCTTTGTGCTTAATCTCCCATCTGGAGTGACGGTGCTGGAGTTTAATGTGAGCTGAATTCTCCTGTTGTATTTTCTAGGACAATGTGTACTCTTGACCATGTGTTTTGGCTAGTGTGCAGAACAGATGCGGCAGATTTTACACATGAGTCCAGTGAACAGTTCCATAATTTTGCATCCAAGACAAATTAGTCCCAGAGACAATCTGCTAATCCATTGAATGGTCCTTGAGGAAGATAAATGTATCAATTTTTTATTTGGGAGTTAATTGTTTTATCTTACACCGTTAAGACCATATCAGACTCTAGAAGCTTCAGAATAGGTATAGCAGTGCACATGAGTGTTAGGAATATCCTCTCTTCCCCCCTCACTTTTAATCCCCTGAAGGGCCACAAAAGGGTCAAAAATATGGAAGCCTCCCTTTTTTCTAACTACAGAAACCATTCTACTTTAGAGCCCACTTAATAGTCTTCTCTCGCAGCAAATATTATTTAAGTTCCCAATCTCAAATAAAATATGAGCAATAACATAGTAACATAGTTACAAAGTAACTTAGTAACATAATAACATAGGCCAATGACTGCAGCATGCATATGCTCACTGTCATCTATTGAGCACTTACTAAATGCTAGGCATCATGCTGAGAGCTTTATGAAGAATACATGAAACACCATTTAATTAGCAAGATGAGTTAGAATATTATCTTTGCCATTGTGTGGCTCAGGAAATGGAGGCTTCTAACCTCTCTTTTGATTAACTAATTTTATCCAGAGTTAATAAGTGGTGGTACTGGTATGTGAACCAGTGTGTACCTGACTCCAGAGCATGAGCTAATAACACTTCTGCTGTCTGAGGGTAGATATTGCTGCCATGATATCATTTCTTCTCCACCTCATATTTATAAGCACCCATCTGTGCCTCTACTTCACAATGAAACTGGGCCAGATAGTCTCTGAGATGTTCGTTCATAGCTCCTGTCCCCAAGAGTTAGTGCTACCTCCCCACTACTTCCCTTCTCCTACCCCCATTTCCTAAATGCTTAGGCATCTCTCTGTAATCATCCCATGCGAGGAGAAGTCCCAACTTACCATGACATTTCAGGAAGACCACCAATAATTATTCCTGGAGCATCTTTCTCTCTTCATTTCAGACTTTTCCGCCATAGCCCATAATCCCATCATTCTTGTCTGTAGTCTTTGTAAAGTTGCTTGACACCACAGCTGTATAAACACTGAAGTAATGGAGGGTTTTTTCCCCTTTAGCATTTGTTATTGTGAAATTTAGAAATTTATAAAGCAAGGAAAATAATTTGAAAGGTATGTTTTACAGAAAGCATTACATCACAGTATACATGTCTTTTTGAAATTTCTCTTTTCAGGTCAAAACTGATGCTCCAGATCTTCCAGAAGAAAATCAGGCCAGGGAAGGTTACCGAGCAATAGCATACTCATCTCTCAGCCAAAGTTACCTTTATATTGATTGGACTGATAACCATAAGGCTTTGCTAGTGGGAGAACATCTGAATATTATTGTTACCCCCAAAAGCCCATATATTGACAAAATAACTCACTATAATTACTTGGTAAGTACATAATGATGGATTTACATCTTATTCCCCCACCTGGAACATTTTCCTTTGCCTCTAGAGAGGCATTAGAATTATCCTTTATACTTTTATTCCCAAAGCACTTTCAAGAGCATCATCTAACTTGAACATCAGTTTCTCAAAAAACCTTTGAAATAGGGCATGATTTTCATGACCATTTCACAGATGAGGAAACTGAGGGACAGAGAAGTTAAAAGACTTATGATGGTTACTCAGCTGGGAAGAGGAAAATTTTGATTTGAGCTGAGGACTCTGACTCCTGTTCTAATAACACTTTTTACCAAAGAGAGCCTAGTTATTCCAAAGCGAGAACCTGATTAAATCATGTTGCCTCTGTTCTCTTTCATGGCCAAAGATTATATGCCTAGACCCAGTTCGGATAAGTGAATTTTATTGTCAAAAAATGGGGAAGCAAAATCCTCTCCTGAGAATTGAATCCTATCTTGCCTGTTCCAATTCCGTAGCTGAGCAACATCCCTATTGCATCATTTATATTAAACAGAGGTGGATCGATGAAGCCTGTTGGTGAAACCAAGAAAAAAACTTACAGAAAATATTAAGAGCTTCCTGACAATCACCAAATAAATGGAATGAATTATTTCGACAGCCAGGCCAAGTACATGCTGTTGGCTTTTCAACATTTTTGAGGAAGAAATTGAAAAAACAGTAATGAGGACCATAGATAAATATTGACTGATAAAGGGAAACTGTTTATGGACTAGATACCAAATCCATGTATGCAGTTCTGGTCTCTAAGGACAATTTAAGGGACCTCTGAGGGCATTTTGGCTTCACGTGATTTTTTTTTTTTAATCTTAAACCTTCAATTTAGAATCTAAACCCTGGCTTTAAATCCCCAAATAAGATGCACTCCACTTATTCATCTATTTTTTTTTAATCGGTGAAACAAAAGGGGTTTTAGTGACAGTGTGATGACTTTGAACAGTTTTTGGGTTCAAATTTTAGCTCTCTAATTTACTAGTTGTGTGATTTTGAATTAAAATCAGTATGACTTTTAGTTTCTGAGCCTCAGTTTCTTAAATGAGGAGAATAATATTCCTCTTATTGATGTATTGTGAGAATGAAAGGAGTTAAATACATGTTAAAGTTCCTGGCACATAGTAGGCCCATAAACGTTAACTCACTCTTTCTTCCTTCCTTCCTTCCTTCCTTCCTTCCTTCCTTCCTTCCTTCCTTCCTTCCTTCCTTTCCTTCCTTCCTTCCTTCTTTCTTTCTTTCTTTTCTTTCTTTCTTTCCCTCCCTCCCTCCCTTCTTTCCTTCCTTCCTTCCTTCTTTCTTTCTTTCCCTCCCTCCCTCCCTCCCTTCTTTCTTGCCTTCCTTCCTTCCTTCCTTCCTTCCTTCCTTCCTTCCTTTCTTTTTGGTGGAGTCTCACTCTGTCCCCCAAGCTGGAGTGCAGTGGCATGATTTCGACTCACTGCAACCTCTGCCTCCCAAGTTCAAGCAATTCTCCTGCCTCAGCCTTCCGAGTAGCTGGGATTACATATGCCCACCACAGTGCCCGGCTAATTTTTTTATTTTTAGTAGAGCCAGGGTTTCACCATGTTGGCCAGGCAGGTCTCAAACTCCTGACCTCAGGTGATCTGCCTGCCTTGGCCTCCCAAACTTCTGGGATTACAGGTGTGAGCCACCGTGCCCAGCCAAAATTGGTATGTCTTTTTTTTTTTTTTTTTTTTTTTTTGAGACAGAGTCTTGCTCTGTTGCACAGGCTGGAGTGCAGTGGCATGATCTCAGCTCACTGCAAACTTCACCTCTCGGGCTCCAGTAATTCTCATGCCTCAGCCTCCCGAGTAGGTGTGATTACAGTCATGCACCACCATGCCTGGCTAACTTTTGTATTTTTAGTAGAGATGGTGTTTCACTATGTTGGCCAGGCTGGTCTTGAACTCCTGGCCTCAAGTGATCGGCCCACCTCGGCCTCCCAAAGTGCTAGGATTACAGGTGTGAGCCACTGTGCCCAGCCTAACTTTATTTTTCTTTAACATAATTTCTGCTCCAGCTCCAGGCTGCATCCTAAAGCACAGGTTTTGTTTTTGTTTGTTTATTTTTTACTTATTGTTGCTGCTGCTGTTTATTTTTAGATTTTATCCAAGGGCAAAATTATCCACTTTGGCACGAGGGAGAAATTTTCAGATGCATCTTATCAAAGTATAAACATTCCAGTAACACAGAACATGGTTCCTTCATCCCGACTTCTGGTCTATTACATCGTCACAGGAGAACAGACAGCAGAATTAGTGTCTGATTCAGTCTGGTTAAATATTGAAGAAAAATGTGGCAACCAGCTCCAGGTAAGCCACAAATTATAAGTCACAATTGAATTTTCTTTTCAATGAAGGAGGCTGCCAAAGTTTTAGCTGCTTCTGAAAAGTCTTGTCTCATACAAATGATCTTTTCTTTTCTTTTTCAAATGAACTTTTAGGTTCATCTGTCTCCTGATGCAGATGCATATTCTCCAGGCCAAACTGTGTCTCTTAATATGGCAACTGGAATGGATTCCTGGGTGGCATTAGCAGCAGTGGACAGTGCTGTGTATGGAGTCCAAAGAGGAGCCAAAAAGCCCTTGGAAAGAGTTAAGTAATGCATGTCTCGCTGCAGTGTTGCATGAAGTGTGGCCACCAGGCTAGGATATGGAGGAAGAACTAAGGGAAGACTAGGCCTGCTTTTCTGTAATCTACTCAACATACTCATTTTTAGGAAGGTAAACCATCCTCCTGTCAGCTCCCAAAGCACAGGTCAATCCTCTTTTGTTTTTCAAATGTAAATGTAAGCACTTTAAGAATATATGATCATGGTAGCAATTACATTCATGGAGGAAAAATTACTATCAGAATACTTTGGAGGTTTAGGGTAGGGTGTTGATGGCAGTTATAGTAGCTAGTAGCAGCACAGGAAAGACCTGTATAGGTAACATTTGGATTTTTTTTAAATTCTCATTGAAATCCATAGCACAGAAGAATCTCAAAATCATTCAATTCTCATAAGTTCCTATTTATCTTATTATGTTCAGCTATTATTTTCGAGGCTTGAATGTCTTTGAACAAGGAAGGAAGGACTGAGAAACTGTAAAATTAAAAAATACTCGGAGAACGAATAAGCCTGTCCAAACAAGTCTTCAGCCATTTAGAACCTAGGGACCTCCCCACCAAAATGCACAAAGTTGTGCTTTTAAAGCAACTTAAAATTAATTTCTATGTTAATTCAGTCCTTCATGCATTCATACCTATTTATTTATTTATTTGGAACATTATATTGATTGCAGCATTCATTCTATGTACAAAACACTATATATCAGTTTCTAAGAAACTCCTCATCAAAGCTATTTGTTTAAGACTTAGTTCTTGATTTAACTTTGAATAGTTATGTATTTATAAATACAAAAGGACAAACTTAGAAACAAAGTTGGGAAATTTTGTCTTTGATCATTTGAAAAATATCATCTGTGTATTTCACTGGTTTGTGATAACCATGTAACAATTAGTACCTTTTAGATCTTTAGAGGAATGATTTATACATCTCAATGTGCTCAACATTTTGCCTTTCTGGACAGGTATTTCAATTCTTAGAGAAGAGTGATCTGGGCTGTGGGGCAGGTGGTGGCCTCAACAATGCCAATGTGTTCCACCTAGCTGGACTTACCTTCCTCACTAATGCAAATGCAGATGACTCCCAAGAAAATGGTAAAATGCTCAGCATGTTTATTACTGAAAATCCCATTGATCATTTGCCCCCCAGATCTCATTTTTATCCTTCTTCCCAAATATTCTGTACCCTGATCTTAGAATGCCAAGACTACATAACTCACCTGTATAAAATGTTTCACTGGCCTTCAAGATAAAGTACAAATTCTTTAGTGTAGTACTCAAAACCTTCCATGATCTTCGCCCTGGCTCTCTCCAACTAGCTCTTACCCTGCTGTGCCTTACGTTATGTTTAAGCTCTACAGAACCAAGTGGAGTTCTTGAGTGGCATTATGCTATTTTGCACCTTTGGGCCTTTATTTATTGGAATTGGTTTCCCCTTCATTAGCCTGGAGAAGCAATGTAAGAATCATCGCCTCTACGAGACCTCTTCCCCACATAGAATTTATAATTCCCTCCTCCTTTAATAGGGAGGCTATTGCAGGGACTAGATCTATTTACAAGTTATAGAACAGCATTGTGTCATTGTGCATTCTTACATGTAGTTGTAAGTCCTGCTCACCTACTGCATCAGGAGCTCTTTAAGGATAGTAACCATACCTTAATCATCTTCTTTCTATGGTTTTAAAATTGTTCATAATTATACTTGATACTGTGGTATTCATAGTTATATTTGCAATAATATAGCACAAAGAGCAAATAATAAAAATAGCATACCCAACAAAAGCATCACTCACTCTAAATGCTTAGGTATTTCTCTGGAATCAGTGGATCAGAGAGGCTGCAGGATTCAAAACCAAATTCAGATAAAATAAGTCAAAAGATATGACACTAGATCATGAACTCCACTAAGATAAAACAAGTCATATTAAGAAGTATGGTGCACAGTTCCTAATCCAAAGCAGCCCCTCAATATTTGTTAAGGAATGACTTGTGAAGGCTCTAAATACTTAAATAGTTTCATGGAATTTTTTTTTGAGATTTTATCTCCTTTTTAATCCTTCTTCTTTATCTTTTTTTAAAAAAACCAGATGAACCTTGTAAAGAAATTCTCAGGCCAAGAAGAACGCTGCAAAAGAAGATAGAAGAAATAGGTACTGTAAGATTCATGTGATTGTAAAAAGGTTATGGTCATATCATTCAAAAACTGGACAAAATTAAATGTTATATAAATTCCCCTAATTGAAATAAAATGAATGAAAAGAAAGATATGTATGGAGGTCTAGCTTATCTCTCTCAGAAAGATTAATCCAAATAAAGTCTAGTAGTTCATTTGCCATAGCCTTAATCTAAGGAAATAGGTCTTTATTACTTCAAGCTCTAAAATCCAAAATATTAGCTTTTATTTGTCATAAATATTTTCTCTCTGATAACTTCATCTGGCAATTAAAATCATATCCTTCCATTTTATTCTGACAAAATCCATGATTTGACTATTTTGGGGATATACCTAGAAGTCTATTACTTCTATTTCATATATTTAACTGTTAGTAGCATTGTTCTTTGGAAAATACATCTTGTGAGAATTATTTTAAAATAATTATTTAAATGGTTATGATAATTCGTCATGTTACTGTAGAAAGAATATCAAACTGGGAGTCAGCAAATTGAGTTCAACTAATATCATGCCTATGGTAATATAATAGTTTCTTCCATTTGTATATGAGTTATTTTAATTCTAACCTTTATTCTAAGTTCTAATGATATGAAAAGAGAGACATTGACTAATCTGAGCACTTACAATGAAGGATAATGCTACTAGGTGAAGTCCACAAACCATGTTATATAAGAAGTTTTTGAAAAATAGGATATTCAGCTTGAAGAAGGAAATATTTGTATAGTGATGATAGCCATCTTCAAATATTTGAAGGCTTCTTGGATATTTAACTTATTTTCTTAAAAAACATTTTCTATTCTTTTTCTATATTTTTCTGCATATTTTCAGCAGAACCCAAAGTTCCAGTTTCAAGAGTTAGTATTTAGCTTAATTGCAGGAAACCCTTTAACCATTTAGTGTGAGCTGGAATGGACCATTTGGTAAGGTCACATTCTCCCCATTCTTAGAATAGTTCCAAGGGGAGTCTGGACAGTCAACTAGCCATAACTATTGTGGGTAGGGGGATCATATAGCAACAGAAACCAGGTATCCCTTGAGATTCCTTCTAAGCCTGAGATGTTATCACTCTGCGTCATCAAGAGCACTTGCATTATTACCATTTCAGCTGCTAAATATAAACATTCAGTAGTGAAGAAATGTTGTTACGATGGAGCCTGCGTTAATAATGATGAAACCTGTGAGCAGCGAGCTGCACGGATTAGTTTAGGGCCAAGATGCATCAAAGCTTTCACTGAATGTTGTGTCGTCGCAAGCCAGCTCCGTGCTAATATCTCTCATAAAGACATGCAATTGGGAAGGCTACGTAAGTATGACATTTTCTATCAGAATTCTGCTCAATATGGGGAATTTTGTGTAATTTTATGCTGCTAAGAAAGGCAGTTTTCATGATCTATTTAGAATTGAAAGTAGAAAAGATAACTTGTAAATGTCCATAAGAAAAAAAAATCCTTCATTTTTGGGCATCCGAAGAGGTACAGTACAGAGCAGAGTACACTAGGCCAGAGTTAAGACCTGGCATAACCTTAAAGCCAAGTCATCCCATAAACTTGAATGATTATTTATCCTCTCTGAGCCTCATGCAAGGAGCTTCGACCAGATCCTCTCCAATATGCCTGTGAGTTCTACAAGTCTACGCTTTTGTGATATTACAACCATTAAAAATTCTGTCTATATCTACATTGATGAAATAAAGCAGAATATTTCTAAATCTAGCCTAAGGTTAAGTGTACTTATATAAAAGCTGATGTCTTATTTCAGTTTCAACCACAATACATGTTTCCAGAATTTATAGAACTCTCATTAACATGTTTTCAGAACTTTTAGGACTTTATATATAGTCTTTTTTTTTTTTTTTTTCAGTAGGAATCTGGCTCTGTCACCCAGGCTGGAGTGCAGTGGTGCAATCTTGGCTTACTGCAACCTCTGCCTCTGGGTTCAAGCGATTCTCCTGCCTCAGCCTCCTGAGTAACTGGGATTAAAGGCGCCTGCCACCACACCTGGTTAATTTTTGTATTTTTAGTAGGGACAGGGTTTCACCATATTGGCCAGGCTGGTCTTGAACTCCTGACCTCAGGTGATCCGTCCACCTCGGCCTCCCAAAGTGCTGAGATTACAGGCGTGAGCCACTGTGCCCAGCCTATGTATAGTCTTTAACAAAACAAGCAAAAGCAAAATGACAGCTTCTGTTTTATACTTATGTGTGCTGCGTAATGACATTTTCATCAATGATGGACCACATGTGCAACGGTGATCCTATAGGATTATAATACCGTATTTTTTCTGTACCTTTCCTGTGTTTAGATATGCTTAGATACACAAATACTTATCATTGCATTACAGTTGTCTGCAGTATTCTGTTCAGTAACATGCTGTACAGGTTTGTAGCCTAGGAGAAATAGGCTATACTATATAGTCTAGATCTGTAGTAAGTTATACCATCTAGATTAGTGTAAGTACGCTCCATGATGGTTACACAACAAAATCATCTAACAACATATTTCTCAGAACATAGCCCTATTGTTAAGCAATATCTAATAACCATAATTTTGGTAAATGGCCACAAAATTTATGTTTGTAGAAATATATTCATTGAGATGTACAGTGTCTAAGATTCAGATTGTTTTCCAATATTTGTTTTGCTTTGTTTGTTTGTTTGTTTGAGAGACAGAGTTTTGTTTTTGTTGCCCAGGCTGGAGTGCAATGGCGCAGTCTCAGCTCACTGCAACCTCCGCCTCCCGGGTTCAAGCAATTCTCCTGCCTCAGCCTCCCAAGTAGCTGGGATTACATGCACCTGCCACCATGCCTGGCTAATAATATTTGCTTATTATAAGCAGAATTTTAATAAACAGTCTAGTCCATATGTTGTTTTTCTTTTTGGAGGGAGGATTTGGCTTTTTTTTCTCTTAATTTTTTTTAATTTTTAAATTTATGTGGGTAAATAGTATTTACGGGGTACACGAGATACTTTGATACAGGAATGCAATAAGTAACAATCATATCATGGAAAATGGGGTATCTATCCCCTGAGGTATTTCTCCTTTGTTTTATAAACAATCCAATTATACTCTTTTAGTTATTTTTAAATGTACAATTAAATTATTATTGACTGTAGTCACCCTGTTGTGCTGTCAAGTACTAAGTCTTATTCATTCTTTCTATTTTTTGTACCCATAAACCATCCCCACATCCCCCTCATCCTCCTACTACCCTTCCCAGCCTTCTACTCTATATCTCCATAAGTTAAATTGTTTTGATTTTTAGCACCCACAAATAAGTGAGAACATGTGAATTTTGTCTTTCTGTGCCTGACTTATTTCACTTAACATAATGACCTCCAGTTCCATCCATATTGTTGCAAATGACAGGATCTCATTCTTTTCATGGCTGAGTAGTACTCCATTGTGTATATGCACCACATTTTCTTTATCCATTTATCTGTTGATGGACATTTAGGTTGCTTCCAAATCCTGACTATTTTTAACAGTGCAGCAACAAACATGGGCGTGCAGATATCTCTTCGATGTACTGATTTTCTTTCTTTTGGGTATATACCCAGCAGTGGGATTGCCAGATCATATGGTAGCTCTATTCTTTGTTTTTTAAGGAACCTCCAAACTGTTCTCCATAGTGTATAGTAATTTACATTCCCCACTAACAGTGTACAAGAGTTCCCTTTTCTCCACATCCCCTCCAGCATTTGTTATTGCCTGTCTTTTGAATAAAAGCCATTTTAACTGAGATGAGATGATATTTCATTGTAGCTTTGATTGCATTTCTCTGGTGATTACTGATGTTGAGCACCTTTTCACATGCTTTTTTGCCATTTGTATGTCTTCTTTAGAGAAATGTCTATTCAAATCTTTTGCCCATTTTTAAGTGGGATTATTACATTTTTTCCTGTAGAGTTGTTTGAACTCCTTATATATTCTTGTTATTAATCTCTTGTCAGATGGGTAGCTGCAAGTATTTTCTCCCATTCTGTAGGTTGTCTGCTTACTTTATTGATTCCTTTGCTGTACAGAAGCTCTTTAACTTGATGTGATCCCATTTGTCCATTTTGGCTTTGGTTGTCTGTGTAGTGGGGTATTACTCAAGAAACTTTTGCCCAGACCAATGTCCTAGAGAGTTTTCCCAGTGTTTTCCTATAGCAGTTTTATAGTTAGAGGTCTTAGAGTTAAATCTTTAATCAATTTTTATTTGAGTTTTGTATATGGCAAGAGATAAGGGTCACGTTTCATTCTTCTGCATGAATGGGATAACCAGTTTTCCCAGCACCATTAATTGAAGAGACTGTCCTTCCTCCAATGTATGTTCTTGGCACCTTTGTCAAAAATGCGTTCACTATAGGTGTGTGGATTTGTCTGGGTTTTCTATTCTGTTCCATAGGTCTATATGTCTGCTTTTATGCCACTACCATGCTGTTTTGAATTATACTATAGTATAATTTGAAGTCAGGTAATGTGATTCCTCCAGTTTTTTTCTTTTTGCTCGGGATTGCTTTGGCTATTCTGGTCTTTTGTAGTTCCATATGAATTTTAGGATTTTTTTTCTATTTCTGCAAAGAATGTTATTGGTGTTTTCATAGAGATTGCATTGAATCAGTAGATTGCTTTGGGTATTAAGGCGTTTTAACAATATTGATTCTTCCAATCCATGAATATGGAATAACTTTCCATTTTTTTGAGTGTCCTCTTGAATTTCTTTCATTGGTGTTTTATAGTTTTCATTGTAGAAATCTTTTACTTCTTTGGTTAATTTAATTCCTAGGTATTTAATTTTATTTGTGGCTATTGTAAATGGTATTACTTTTTAAATTTCTTTTTCACATTGTTCATTATTGACATATAGAAATGCTACTGATTTTTGTATGTTGATTTTATATCCTGCAACTTTATTGAATTCATTTAGCAGTTCTAATAGTTTTTTGGTGGAGTCCTCAGGTTTTTCCAAATATGTGATCATATCATTTGCATACAAGGATAACTTGACTTCTTGCTTTCTAGTTTGGATGACCTTTATTTCCTTCTCTTGTCTAATTGTTCTGGCTAGGACTTCCAGTGCACTAGGACTTGCCTAGAAATTGCAGTCCTTGTGGCCTAGACTGCCCCTCAAGTTAACCTAGGGCCCTAGAGCACTCCAGCCCATGGTGGGGAGGCTTGCTGGAACTCAAGCTCCAACCACTGGGATGAGCGATGCCCCTCTGGCTAGGGCCAGTCCAAATGCTCCCTCCATGGGCAGACACCAGCTGAGTACAGCCTGGTTCTGCTTTCCACCGTGACAGTGCAACACTGAGTTCAATGCAAAGCCACAGAATGACTGCACTCTCCCTCTCCCAACACAGAGATTCTCCATGCTGCACAGTCACTGCTAGGGGATGTGGGAGGAGTGGCATTGGTGCTTCAAGACTATCTTTCCTGCCCTCTTCAATGTCTCTTTCAGTGATGTAAAGTCAAAACCAGGTACTGTGATTGCTCACCTGATTTTCGGTTCTCTTGATGGTGCTTTTTGTGTGTAGTTAGTTGTTAAAATTTAGTGTACCAACAGGAAAGACAAATGGTGTAGGCTTCTATTCAGCCATCTTGCTCTCCCCTCTCATATATTTTTTCGTTTTTCAATTTTTCAACTATAATCATCTGGCTTGGCTTCAGCTGGATAGAAGTCTCTCTCTGCAGCCCCCTCCTTCCTGGAACTCTCCCTCATTCCAGACAAGTTGGCCTTGCAAAACTCCCATCAGTGTTGCCACAAGTCTTCAAAATCATCAGGCTCTGCTTGTATTCCTCTCCCTGCCCTAGTCTGTAAACTGCCTCTAGGCAGTAAGCTGGGGCAATTTTAGGTTTCACCTAATTGTTTCCTTTCTCTTAGAGATCACAGTCTTGCTTATGCTCTAATGTCTGAAAACTGTTATTTTGCATATCATGTTTTGTTTTCTATTAAGGCATCTTATATGAAAACAGAAGTTCAGTCCATTTTTATTAAAGTAAATATAAACAAATTACCAAGTTAAAGAAGGCAGAGAACCATATAAAGCCTCCTTTTTTCTAATATAAACACAATTATTACAATTATATATATAAGTGCAAATAACTTTATAGACTGATCGATATCTTGTATAATCTCAGGAATACTAAACATTTAGCAATTTAAGAAAAAAATCATTAAAGATATTTAATGCTTTGTTTTGCCAATGCTATTAGTGGAAAAATCCTAAGGCCTTTATAGTTTGTTTGTTTGTTTGTTTGTTTGTTTGTGACAGAGTCTCTCTCTGTTACCCAGGCTGGAGTGCAGTGGTGCAATCTCGGCTCACTGCAACCTCTACCTCCCAGGTTCAAGTGATTCTTGTGCCTCAGCCTCCTGAGTAGCTGGGACTATAGACACCCGCCACCATGCCCAGCTAATTTTTGTGTTTTTAGTAGAGACGGGGTTTCAACATGTTGGCCAGGCTGATCTCGAATTCCTGACCTCAGGTGATCTGCCCACCTCGGCCTCCCAAAGTGCTGGGATTACAGGCATGAGCCACTGCACCCTGCCTATAATTCTATTTTGGAAGCATTAAACAAAATGTTTTATTTACCTTTCAGAAAATGCTTAAGTTACAGATTAATGGCCATATTTTAAAATTCACCTATAAGTAGAATTTATATTGTTTTTCCATAATTGAATATGATTTTTTTGTCCAGACATGAAGACCCTGTTACCAGTAAGCAAGCCAGAAATTCGGAGTTATTTTCCAGAAAGCTGGTTGTGGGAAGTTCATCTTGTTCCCAGAAGGTATTATACTTCTTTCATGTTTCCTTGAAAGAAATGTGGATAATGCAAGTATTATGGCCAAAAATCTAGAAACTACCCATTTCCCAATAGCTTGCATAGGAGTTAAGATGATCCTGCAATTTGATCAAATTTTGTTTTGTTTTGCTTTGCTTTTTTAAATTTTTATTTTTTTAATATACATCGTACTGGTGATTGGCTCCAGGTCAGAATGAAGAAGGGTGCTATTCCATTTAATTTTATTTGACTTCATTATGCATTTACTACACACAACTATGTGCGATACACTATATTAAGCCACTATTTTTATCCTAAAATATCTGTACTATAAAACAAACATTAATAAACAGGAAGAAAAGTTTTCTTTTTAAAGTTTTCTATTCAACACATTTTAAGGAAACACTTCCTCTATACCACTGAAAACAGTGATGGGCTGAGTCCTCGAGCCATACTCTTCTTAGATGGGCTTAAAGCACTGGTTTTCCAATGAGAAGGCAAGGAATGAGTTCAAAGGCCTGCAGTTGTCTCCTCACGCATCTCCTTATTTCTACCCTTGTCTTCTCTAATCCTTCTTCCACACAATTGTCCATTTCATCTGACATTACCCATTAGCTAGCATGTCCTCTAGTAAACCTTCTGGCCACTGCTCCCCACACTACCAGTGATTGGATTAATTGCACCCTCAATTAACCCTGTTGTGTGTATCATATTGTATTATAATGACTTGTTTACTTTCCTGTCTTCCACATTAAAATGTAAATACCTCAAAGGCATGAACTAAATTCAGATTACTGTTTTATATCCAGGACTTGGCCTAGGATACTGAAAATAAATGTGTTGAACGAAAGCACACTGCCTCTGAACTCTTATAATGCCTTATTGGTACAATTATTACAGTGCAGTGTAATTTATTTACTTAACTATTTCTTCCACTAGATTGTAAACTGCCTGAGAGCAGGACTGTATCTTATCAGTGCTGTTTACTCAGTACTCAGCACTATACCTGATACAAAGTTGGTAGACAATAGCTGTAAATAAATATACAAGCTTAATCATAATCAGCAGTTTTTAGTTATGTCAACTTTGTTTTGAGCAGTGCTAACATGCATCACTTTGCTTCCCTATTTTAGAATATACTCACAACAAACATCTTTTTCTTTGTTTGTGTGCTTGGATTTTGCAATGTTTCAAAGGCATTCTTCTGAACTTGAATTCTCATCATAGAGGTGCAATGTCTAAAAACATGCAATATATAAGAGAGTTACTGAATATATTTTTCTTGATGAGGTTTTCCTTAATGATGTGATTTCATCTCGTGAATTTTTTTCTTTCTCTAAAGTAGTTTGAAGCAAAAATTCTGTTAATGGATGTCTCTGTTAAGTTGGGTTAATCAATATTCCACTGTATTTGAATATCAACATTTTAACTTCCAGAAAACAGTTGCAGTTTGCCCTACCTGATTCTCTAACCACCTGGGAAATTCAAGGCGTTGGCATTTCAAACACTGGTAAGCAGGTTTAAGTGATATATGCATTTAAATAGTGATTTGATTAGCAAGATGTAATTCTTTGTTAGTATCTATTTAGTTTACCCAGGACTTAAATGGTAGCAATTTTTAAAAAATATTCTTTTTTTTATGTATTACCAAAAGACTTGGATATACCCACATCTTTGAACATATTGATTTCTCCTTTCACTCCTCTCTTTTTTTTCTTTTTCCTTTTTTTGTAAATGAAGAAGGGGTCTCGCTATGTTGTCCAAGCTGGTCTCAAACTCCTAGTTTCAAGCAACCTTCCCACCTCCACCTTCCAAAGTGCTGGGATTACAGCTTGAGCCACTGCACCCAGCCTCAAGTCTTTATTTTCCTTCACTTTTCTCACTGACTGGGAGCTTGTGTAGAGTTAGAAACAAATAAATGAACTCTCTTGGGCTGATCTTTATGATGATTAAGTGCAGATGCTTTCCAAATAGCTTCAGGAATGGTTTTGTTTGTTTGTTTGCTACTTTTGTTTTAAAATCTTGGTTTCCACAATCAAAATTTTATACTCATTAAACATGGAGCCAATAATGAATATCTAAAAAGATTTGGTGTGTTAGTTGATAAACATTCTCATGCCTTAAATAGAATTAACTATTTGTTGAATAAATGAAGTTTTTTGTTAATACTAATTATTATTGAAATTAAGATCAATGAATAGAAAATTCAAGGACATGAGTTGAGAGTTCAGAGAAAAACATGATCTAATATTATTTTTTCCTTGAAGTAAAGCAAATGTGAGAAATTTTAATACCAATAAAACATTATAGGAATTTCCTAATATGATTCTACTTTGCTTCCACTTTGGGCTGAAGGTATATGTGTTGCTGATACTGTCAAGGCAAAGGTGTTCAAAGATGTCTTCCTGGAAATGAATATACCATATTCTGTTGTACGAGGAGAACAGATCCAATTGAAAGGAACTGTTTACAACTATAGGACTTCTGGGATGCAGGTAAGTAGGTGTTAATATTTATGGGATAAAGGAAACATTCTCTGGTTTTCTGAGAATTCTATTAGTGGAATTACCATACACAAAAAAGTAGAAGTTCAACTCAGTTCAGCAATAGAAACCAAACACTTAAAATGAGCATTGTACTATATGTGTAGGGATGTGAATTAAAGGGATGAAGGAAGGAGGAAGGACAAGTAGGTATTCATGTAACTTCAATTGAAAGAATAAATTGCATAAGATAATCCATGTGCTGTGGAAGTCCAGAGAAGGGTGAATTCATCTTTAGTTCCTTTATTTGCCTATACTCAGAGTTCCTTGATTTCCTTGATTCTAACAACCCTTTCCTCCATTTTAGCCATTCATACTCATCTTCACTTTATAGATCTTATCATCCTCTCTGAAATCTTGATTTCAGACATTCACATCTCACCATCCAGTGACAACCTCCTTCCTGTCCTCCTAACTCATTAACCAGATTACTTCCATAGCTCTGGGTCAGTAGCATCACTGAAACCTTCAGTCCATTGACTCAATCCCTTTTATTGTCCTTTACTTCCCTGCTCTTTTTACTTTACTCCTTGTTCAGATTAGAATTCACCAGCCATCATTAAAACCACACTGACTAAAATTATGCCAACTCCCTGGATCCTATCTCACTCCAGGACACAATTCCAACCATGATTGGACCCACCATTTATCTTCTCTTTGCCAGCACACCCCTAAAGAGAATTATATAATAGGCTGACTGATTTGATTTGAAAATCACAGTCACAAAACTTTGCATGAGAATTCAATGTGTTCCAAAATTCTAGCTATATTTTTTTAAAACACTAACTTTATTCTTAGAGATTAGAATTTCAGTGGTTTCCTAAAATTTTGCTTACATACCCTCTTGTTTTGGAAAAACTATGTATCCCTCTGACACTTTTTTTTTTAAGACGGAGTCTCGCTCTGCCCTCTGACACATTTTAAAATTGGCATCTAAAATTTTTATCATACATTTTTTAAAAGATGGCAATCTATTACTTTTAAAATATTTAAATATTGGTATCTTAAAATAAAACTGTTTTATCAAACTTATGTATAGCAGACTCCAAATACCATAGCAATCAATTTTTTAAATGCTCAAATAAGCCTTTTTTTTTCAAGATGGGGTCTTGTTCTATTGCCCAGGCTGGAGTGCAGTGGTGCGATCTCCGCTCACTGCAAACTCCTCCTCCCCTGTTCAAGCAATTCTCATGACTCAGCCTCCTGAGTAGCTAGGATTACAGGTACACGCCACCATGCTTGGCTAATTTTTGTATTTTTAGTAGAGACAGGTTTCGCCATGTTGGCCAGGCTGGTCTCGAACTCCTGACCTCAAGTGACCCACCTGCCTCAGCTTCCCAAAGTACTGGGATTACAAGCATGAGGAACTGCTCCTGGGCTCGAATAAGCTCTTAGCAACAGATTACATATCATTCCTTTTCCTCAATGAATTCATATTTCCATTTTACTCCCCTAATGTTACATATTTTATGCATGAATTTTTTTCTGTTGATCACCTTATTATACTTTAATGAACAAAAATATGCACATACATTGAAAATGAAATATCTTAAAATTTCATGATTGTAAAATTCCAAGTATCAAATGATATGTGGATTTAGGTATCATTACAAATATTATTATTAGTATACTATTGATAAAATAACATATTTCTAAAGTTATTAAATATAGAAATAAAATTTTATTTAAAAATTCTCTTCTCGGCCAGGAGCGGTGGCTCAGGCCTATAATCTCAGCACTTTGGGAGGCCGAGGCGGGTGGATCACGAGGTCAGGCGATCGACACCATCCTGGCAAACACGGTGAAACCCCATCTCTACTAAAAATACAAAAAAGTTAGCCAGGCTTGGTGGCAGGCGCCTGTAGTCCCAGCTACTCGGGAGACAGAGGCCGGAGAATGGCGTGAACCCGGGAGGCGGAGCTTGCAGTGAGCCGAGATTGCGCCACTACACTCCAGCCTGGGCGACAGAGCGACACTCCGTCTCAAAAAAAAAATTATCTTCTCATTAGATAAATGAAATTTTTCTCTCAATTGGCTTAATAGTTATGGATAAATGTTATTTATTGTTAGAAATGAGAGAGAGTTTGGCATAAATTCTATTCTTATTTTTCATTTTTATAGAGGTAGGCATTGCTGTTCAACCCAATTTTATCAGGAAGGTTGATAAAATAAAAATATTGTCAATTTTATTACCCCTTTATCAATATATTTTAATCTTATATCTTGGAGCTTCACATTTAGCTTATTCAATTTATGTAATATGTTTGTCATATAATCTAACTGGAAAAATCAGTCCTCATTGATAAAATGATCAGCGAAAATCAGACTTACTCTTTGTCATAGAAATGCCAATTTCATTTTTCAATCCAAATCATGTTAAGAAATGTCACTCTTTTTTTCACAATTTTAATTTTCAGTAAAAATGAACTTTTCCATATAAACTTGTTTCATCAGGTAACACTAAATATCAGAGAATGCACACACAAATTTTACTTGGCCACAGGATGTAAATGGGGAATAAACTTAAGTAATCAGAATTTACCATACTGATGGTATTATCTTTTTTTTTTTTCTTTTTTTGAGACAGAGTCTTGCTCTGTCACCCAGGCTGGAGTGCAATGGCACAATCTCGGTTCACTGCAGCCTCCGCTTCCCAAGTTCAAGTGATTCTCCTGCCTCAGCCTCCTGAGTAGCTGGGATTACAAGCATGTGCCAGCTCGCCTGGCTAATTTTTGCATTTTTAGTAGAGACAGGGTTTCACCATGTGGTCCAGGCTGGTCTCGAACTCCTGACCTTGTGATCTGCCCACCTTGGCCTCCCAAAGTGCTGAAATTACAGGCATGAGCCACTGTTCCCGGCCAGTATTATCTTATTTTTACAGAAATAAAATCAAAATGTTACTCATTTCTCTTCCTTAGAATTTACTCACAGGGTTTGCATAAATCCTATGAATCATGCCACCATCTTCAGCCCTGTGGAATTGCCCTCCCTCATTTGGCTCCATCCCCACCACCCTAAATACAACGTGAAGAGTTGGAGAAGGACCTTGATTAAGAAGCTGTAAAGTTGCCTTTACATTATTTCTTTTAAACCCACTAGCTTTTCTGCAGACAGAATGCTTCATGAATTTAAGATAATCATAACTCAGATAGAGATACCAAAGGCCATTTCTCCATCAGGTTCCTGTAGTGGTTTTCATGTCTCAAAATCCTGATTCAAGATGGGCTTGAGGCTTGGAAACTGAGATACTAAGACAGTCAGACCATCTCATCAAAACAGACTCAGCATAATTTTATAACTCACACTGATCTTGGCTACCAAAGGATTTTGGTAGATGATTAAGGAGGTGTCACTCTTAAACCATGTAAATTGTAATTTGAGATAGACACATAAATAGGTGGCCATAACAGATGGGTAAGGCACAGAGGCCACAGCCAAACTCTGCTCAACTGTAGGATTGAGATCAGCAAGGGCTCCTCTGCTCACCTAGTCTTAGACATATAAAATCGGCTTGTGTAGGTATGTGTGTATATATATATATATATATATATATACACACACATATATATATACATATATACATATATACGTATATATACATATATATACATATATACATATATATACATATACATATATACATATATATATATACGTATATATACATATATACGTATATGTACATATCTACATATATACATATATGTACATATCTATACATATATACATACATATATATATATATACACACACTGCCTCAGCAATTTGTGTTTCCACCAATAATATTATCAGAGACATCCTTTCATATCAGTATATACAGATTTACTTCATTACTTTAATGGCTGCACAGTAATTCACATGGTGGGTATACTATAATTTATTGAACCATGTTTCTATTAAAGACATTTGGGTTGTTTACAGGTTTTCACTATTATAACTGATTTTGCAAAGTCTGCATTTATGCATACATATCTTCCTACATGTATATTTCTGTAGGATAGATGTTTTGTCTTGGAGTGAACTAACTGGGCTAAAGGGCATGGACATTTTACCTTCTGATAATAAATATTGCCATAATTATCTTCCAAAAGGATTCCATCAATTGACATTCTTACCAAGTGTATGCAGGTAGCCTTGATCCCTCACATTCTTATAATTTGGGGGAATAAACATTTTTTCTTTTATTCATACAATGAACACTTATACAGAAATTGAAATGAATGGACTAGATAACTACATGCATCATTTTGATTAAAGCTCAAAAATGTAACATTGCTGAAAAAAGCAAATTGCAGAATAATATGTATACACAATGAATACAACTACATAATATTTAAAAACATGAAAGACCGCGCTATATATTGTTTGTTAATACACATAAAATTTTTGCCAAGTTGACAGACACAAGTGATATGTCACTGATGTTTCTATTTCACTACCCTGATTACTAGCAATGTTGAACCTCATTTCATTTGTCTGTGGCCATTTGTATTTCTTCTTTCATGTATTCTATGATATCCTATATACTACTTTAATATCCTTTCTTTTGCTTTCCATTGAGTTCCTTTTTTCTGGGGTAAGTTACCTAGCTTCTTCTTGCTTAGTTTCCTCATCTGACAAATGGGATGATAATAGTATCTATTTCATAGTTGAAGATTAAATGAGCTAATTCATGTAAATATAGTACTTGGCCCATAGTGAGTACTCAACAAATGTACTTATTATTGTTTACAGGAGCACTTTGTATGTTAGAGCTATAAATTCTTTATTGATTATAAATGTTGCTGGTATTTAATCTGCTACTTGTCTTTAACTTTGTTATTAGTGTTTTTAATTTGTATGTTATAAAATCTGTAGATCTTTTCCTTTATGTCATTTGAGTTTTGTGTTTTTGGAAATCTTTTCTCACTGCAAGTTTTAAAAACGTTTTTCTACAAAATACTGCATGTTCTCACTTATAAGTGGGAGCTAAACATTGAGTATATATGGACACAAAGAAGGGAACAGCAGACACCAGGGCCTGCTTGAGGGTGGAGGGTGAGAGAAGGGTAAAGATCAAAAAATGACCTATTAGGTACTATGCTTATTACCTGAATGATGAAAGAATCTGCACACCAAACCTCTGCGACACGCCATTTACCTATACAACAGACCTGCACATGTGCCCCGAACCTAAAATAAAATGTTTTTCTAAAGAACTGTTTTTTCTATATTTTCTATAGTACTTTTATAGTTTTTTGTGAGCATTTAGATTTTTTTATCTGAAATAAGGATCTAATCCCAAATAGCCAGATGATCCAGCAGTATTTGTTAAGGAATTCATGCTTTTCCAACTGATTTAAAATGTCATCTTGCCCCCATATATATTGAATTTCCATATATGTGGATCTATTTATAGATTCTCTCCTCTGTTTTGTTTACATCAGTATCACACTGATTTAAAGTACCATAGATTTGTGGTTATATTGTATAACTATTAGGCAAGTACTCTCTGGTATTCTTATTTTTCAAACGTTTTTGATGTTGTTATTCTTACACATTTACTCTGCCAGATAAACTTTGGAATTAGTTTGTTGAATTCTCCTTTTAAAATTATAATAGGGTTTTCATATTGTCCTGAATTTATGAATTAATATAAGGGAAATTGACTTGCCATATTGAATCTTTTACATCTCTTTATCCTTTTGCTTTATGAACTAAATCAAGGGTCAGCAATTTATGGACCATGGGCCAAATCTAGCCTGCCATCTCTTTTGTATGTCCTTTGCAATAACACAATTATATATAACTTGACAGCATTTTTTTTTTTTTTGAGACAGAGTCTCGCCCTGTCGCCCAGGCTGGAGTGCAATGGGAAGATCTCGGGTCACTGCAAGCTCCGCCTGCCAGGTTCAAGCGATTCTCCTGCCTCAGCCTCCCAAGTAGCTGGGATTACAGGCACACACCACCATGCCCAGCCAACTTGACAGCATTTTAAAGTGTCATGCATATCACTATACTGCCATATTTTATTTAATCTTTAAATTTTCAGTGCATTTCCATCATATCAAAATAAGAAACAAGTACATCTGTGATATTTTGGGCTTAGTTCCTGTTAATTACCTTTCCTCCTGAGTGTGGGTTACACTTTCCTATTTCTTTTTATCTAGTAATTTTGGATTGAATCTTCTACTTTATTAATAAAAATATTATAAAGACTCTGGATTCTATTACATTCCTCTGAAGATTTTTCGTGTGTGTGTGTGTGTTAGCAGGCAGTTGGCTGGATTCAGTTCCAGACTCTGAAATCTCAGTTCAGTATTTTTAGCCTTAGCTGGATGCTAGAAATCTGTGCTGTGCATAGGTCAAGGGTCAGCCAGGTTTGAGCAAGGATTATACACAGAACTTGGAGTTCCTTCACTATTCAGCTGTGGTAACTATTCCCTACTTTGTCCTCTAGTTCCTAAACCAGTATGATGTCAGGTTCTACTGGGGTTTTAGCCACTCCAAGGCACCAATGGGACCTGCCCTCAGGGTAAAGCTATAAAAAGCGGGACACTTATTCAGTGTCATTCCCTTCTCCCAAGTGTCACTTTCCCTCCCACTCTCTAGTATCTGCAGGTAGTTTGTTTTAATATGTATCTTGTCTAGAGTTTGTGGTTATTTTTACAGAAAGGTTGCCCAATATAAGCTATTTGGCTATTACTGAAACCAGAACCACTTTTTTTTTTATATTTTCTATCAGTTTCAAAAGTTCCTTTTAGTCTCAATTTACTAAGAGTTTTTGTAATGCAATTATGCTGAATTGTATTAAATGACTCTTCTATATCTATCCTTCCCCACCCTCCCCTGCTGTTCTAAGGAAATCATTGGCCGCAGGTGATCCAATAGTCTTTTGCTCTGGCTTCTCCCACCCTGGTGGTTGTCTCCCAAGAAGATAGTTAAGAAGGAAAAGGAACTTTCTGTTTTCAAGAAATTCCTCAAAATTAGTGGTTGAATAGCTGGTGCTCTCTTTTGTTTACCTGCTTGACTTATTCTGGATTTTATGGATTTATTATTTTGGGTATAGTTCTCAATTCTATCAGTTCACCAGAATTTGGAGGGAAGATGAAAAATGTTTACTATTTGAGCCAGAAGTCAGTGGGCACTATTATTATTCCCATTACAAAGATGAGAAAATGGAGGATTAGAGAGTTCATGCAACCAGTTTCCATCACCAGTTAATAAGAGGAATGCCAAAAATTGAATCCAGGTCTTTCTGGAGCCAGAGTTTGGTTGTAAAATGGGGTACAAATGGGAAGTTGATAAAATTAGAAAAGTAAGCTGGGGACATAATGGGCAGGGCCTTGAATGCCGATATAGGGAATTTTCAGTCTTTGATGAAACCCATCATTTACTGAATACCAGAGGCTGAGCTAAAAGATACAAAAATGAATAAGATGAAAATGAAAAAGTACCTGAGCCTAAGGCTCCCACTATCTGAAACACAAACATGTAAAGAGACAGGGTAATAAGTGCTATCACAACAGCATGAGCTCTGTACCCAATTTAGTACGTAACAGTCTAAGAAAGGTAAGATGTTTCTGAGACAGTGTTGACTTTTCTAGACATCTGTTTGCATTGCTAAACTCTACGGCAACTTGTGTGTCTATGTTAGGAAATCTGAAATGAACTTTCTTCTGTGCCTTAGAATCTAAGGGATTATTTTAACATTGTTAAAGTGGAGAGTTTGTGTCCAGACAAGCATAATCAAGGTCAACTTTTTTAGAGATAAAGTATTTCGAGTCTGGGCACGGATTACAGCATCATGCCTGTAATTCCAGTACTTTGGGAGGCTGAGGTGGGCGGATCACCTGAGATCAGGAGTTCGAGATCAGCCTGGCCAACATGGAGAAACCGTGCCTCTACTAAAAATACAAAAATTAGCTGGGTGTGGTGGCGCATGCCTGTAATCCCAGCTACTCAGGAGGCTGAGGCAGGAGAATTGCTTGAATCCGGGAGGCGGAGGTTGCAGTGAGCTGAGATCATGCCGCTGCACTCCAGCCTGGGCGACATAGCAAGACTCTGTCTCAAAAAAAAAAAATGTATTTTGATATAATTCTTCACTTGTATTTCAGTTCTGTGTTAAAATGTCTGCTGTGGAGGGAATCTGCACTTCGGAAAGCCCAGTCATTGATCATCAGGGCACAAAGTCCTCCAAATGTGTGCGCCAGAAAGTAGAGGGCTCCTCCAGTCACTTGGTGACATTCACTGTGCTTCCTCTGGAAATTGGCCTTCACAACATCAATTTTTCACTGGAGACTTGGTTTGGAAAAGAAATCTTAGTAAAAACATTACGAGTGGTGGTAAGAAAAACATGCTTCAATAACTTATGCTTAAATTATTGCAAAAGAGAGACACAGAAAGGGGGGGGAGAGAAACAATAGTGTAAATTTAACGAAACATTAAGCATTAAGGAAACTGGATGGAGGTTATTCCAGATTTTTTTTGTACTATTCTTGCAATTTTTCTGTAAGTCTGAAATCGTGCTTAAAAATTTTTAATAAAACAATATTTGTTTCGTAGAAAATATAAAATACTGAAAAACGACAGATAAATAAAAATCATCAATAATTCCCATACCCAGAGATATCTAATTTTAACAATTGGTACACGTCTTTTTTTGGTATACAGGTACAATTGGTACACAGGCTTTTTTTTCCCCTTAATACATTCAGAAAATGTGTCTTGAAATCTATGTGCCAGACATTATGCAAGGAACTGGAGATAAAACAATAAATAAGACATGGCCCTTGAATTTAAAGAACTTGCAGTCTAGAAAACTTTCCATTGTATAAACAAATAAACAGTCCCAAAAAAGAAGAAAAGTATAATTTGTTAAGTACAATTTACCCACAGTCTGTTAATTGTATTCACGCTATTAACATTAATATTTTTATGTAATTTTAATATTTTTATATAATTTTAATATTTTATATAAGTATGATTTACCAATTAAAAATAATAGTACTTTTAAAGGACTAAGATTCTTGCTAAGGGTCATATGGCCAATTAATGACAGACTGGATTTCCTGGCTCTTCACTCTCTGTTTTCAGCTATGAAATTCACTTCAGTAAACATGTACCGACTTATTTTGTGCAAAGCACATTCCCATGCATCCTTGCACTGTGGTTCCATGCAGTCTCTGGAGCGAGGCTGCTGGGCCTTGAATCTTGGCTCCATCACCTCCTAGCAGTGTGACAGTGTTACTTGATTTCCATGTGTGTCAGTCTCCTCATCTGTCGAATGGGAGTAATAACAGCACCAACCTCATAGAGGTTTTTAGAGGTTAAATGAGTTAATACATATAAAGCACTTAGAACAATTATCTGGCTTATAAATAACTTCTTTTTAAGCATTTGCTCTGGTCAATATGCAAATAGCCATAAAATCTTATTGCTGCTTATATCCATGTAAGTATTTATACATAGTTTGCCTTTTCCAAGAAAAATAATTTTTTAGTTTGAAAAGTGGTCCAGAAAAGTTGATCCAGGGAATTCAGGTTATATAAACTTATGTTTTTAACTGAATGTTTTCTGCCTTTATTTTAGCCAGAAGGTGTCAAAAGGGAAAGCTATTCTGGTGTTACTTTGGATCCTAGGGGTATTTATGGTAGGCAAAATGATTTTTTATTTTATATGTTATCTTTTGCTTTAGAAGTTAAAGTGTGTATGTAACTTAAAACACTATTTTTCAGAAAGTGAATTGTCTAAAATCAGTAGTATCCACTTCTGGCCAGGCACAGTGGCTCATGCCTGTAATCCTAGCACTTTGGGAGGCCGAGGTGGGTGGATCATTTGAGGTCAGGAGTTCGAGACCAGCCTGGCCAACATAGTGAAACCCTACCTCTACTAAAAATACAAAAATTAGCTGGGCATGGTGGTGGGCACCCATAGTCCCAGCTATTTGGGAAGCTGAGGCAGGAGAATCGCTTGAACCTGAGAGGTGGAGGTTACAGTGAGCTGAGATCGTGCCACTGCACTCCAGCCTGGGCGACAGAGCAAGACTGTGTCAAAAAAAAAAAAAAAAAAGTATCCACTTCTTAGATCACTATCTTTCTTGATAGCATTATAGTACAACTACTATAATCTGAATGACTGAGACACAACAATAATAATTCCATTAATTTTGAATGCAAGGCCTTGAAATAGTAACAATTGCATGACTTCCCTCATATATTATTCATTGTCTATCCATCACAATAATAATTTATAATATATTATTATTGAGCCAACAGTCCAAAGAACACCTAAGAAAAAGTCATTTACATAATTAACATGCATTATTTGAAAACATAATAATGCTAATTAATCACTAAACAAACCCATTCCTCATTGCTCCTGCTTCCCTACTTTTCCTTCAATTGAGATATTCCAAATCTTCTCAAAGCTAGAATTTTGCAAACATTTGAGTACTTAATCAAGGCCTAAATACATATACATGTATTTATGAAATTTAGGATGTGGCCAGTTAACCATTCTCTTTTCAACTAAAGAAGACAGATTACTGCAGTTCTTATTAAATGCTTACAACTTATCTTAACGTTGTATCAATAATTTTTGTTTTATTTCAATGATATAACAATGGGGAAAAAATTTACTTACAGATCATGATCACTATCATCAGTGTCATTTCCTCTGGGAAAGCAAAGAATTAATACCCTTTACACTTTAATTCATCTGAGTATCATGAACTGAGGAGTGTTATTTCAGTAGAGCAATAAAAAGTAAAATCCATCTATGTACATGCGTCCACATGCTTACTTGTTTCTCCAATTTTTTCTTCACACAGACCTCCTCCTTGCCTGCTCATTGTGAATGATCTATGGGTAGAGATATTACAAGTTTCAAGGGTTTTAGCCTCATGCAATTATATCAAGCCTCAAAAGCCACTGTGTCCTTGGCTTCTCTTTCTTTTTTTTTTTTTTTTCACCACAGATGCTTCTTCTGCTGACATTATTGCAAACAATTTTCCAGAGCAGTCTTGCCTTACTCATCCTAGGTGTGAACATCAAGGCCACAGGATAGGAACAATCTTTTATCTGGGAATAAATCTCTGTAGAGAAAATCTGGGTTAAAACAAAAATCTGTGCCTCTTTCCAATCTTCTCATATGACTTTTTTCCCTTAACATTTTAGGCAACTTGGGTTTAGGCAGCTTTCCTGATTTCTGCAGAGCTAAAGAGGGAAAAGATAAAAATTCTGTTCAGCTTATTTCAGATATTTTATTAAATACTTCTAATATTTATTATTTTTTTTTTGTGGGGTGGGGGGACAGGGTCTCACTCTGTTGCCCAGGCTGGAGTGCAGTGGCGCCATGTCAGCTCACTGCAACCTCCACCTCCTGATTTCAAGCGATTCTCCTGCCTCAGCCTCTGGAATAGCTGGGATTACAAGCACTCACCACCATGCCTGGCCAATTTTTATATTTTTAGTAGAGACGGGGTTTTACCATGTTGGCAAGGCTGGTCTGGAACTCCTTACCTCAAGTGACCCACCAGCCTTGGACTCCCAAAATGCTGGGACTACAGGCGTGAGCCACTGTGCCCGGCCTATTTCTGATATTTATATATTGAAATCGCTATACAACTATGATACTTTACAGGGTTCAGTTAAAAAAAAATGCTAAAAAGTGTTTGGAAAAATAAATGGACTATAATGTTAAAGGAAATCTGAAAAAATATATCAATGAGGGAGAACAAACAGTATATAGTAATTAAAATTGTGTGACACCAGCTTAAAAAAAGACTAAACACAGAGACTCAATGCTTAAGACTAGCTCTAGTCTTTAGTTTCTGCTTTCTGTCCCTGATAAGCCCTTTTCTCCCAACTCGTCTCATATCTCAAATGCAGAGTGTTAAGTTTCTCACTCCCTCATTTCCTGACACACCATCCTCATTGGTTTAGGCAGGCCCCTCTCGTTTTATTTTTTCCTTCATCCCGGACCCCATTCCCATTCCCCTTCCTCCAAGTGTACCCACTCAAATGTGTTTGCTGTATACTTTTGAATAGAAAGGTAATGTTGTTTTGTATGTATGTACCTCTTTAATCTATGTATATGTAACATTGTGCTATAGATCCTATTCTGTCTTAAGTTGTTACACTCAAGGCTTAGTTTTAAAGAAATATCTCGGCCAGGCGCGGTGGCTCACGCCTGTAATCCCAGCACTTTGGGAGGCTGAGGCGGGCGGATCACGAGGTCAGGAGATCGAGACCATCCTGGCTAAAACGGTGAAACCCCGTCTCTACTAAAAATACAAAAAATTAGCCAGGCGTGGTGGTGGGCACCTGTAGTCCCAGCTACTCGGGAGGCTGAGGCAGGAGAAGGGCGTGAACCCGGGAGGCGGAGCTTGCAGTGAGCCAAGATCACGCCACTGCACTCCAGCCTGGGCGACAGAGCGAGACTCCGTCTCAAAAATATATATATATATAACTCTATTGTTATAGGTATACTTAATTCATTTTTCTTACATAGAATTTCAGAGCATGTTCCCTCACCATTTTATCCATCACTGTATATACAATATATTTCCCTTGAAAAATCCATGTTAGCATTTACCTGGACCATATATCCAGGAGCTGGGTCAAAGGATATATACATATTTAATGCCATTTAGTCCTGTCATATTGCCCTTCAGAATGGTTATACTTCCATTAGCAGTGCACGAGGGTTCTCGTCTCTCCACAACCTCACCAACACTTGCCTCTCTAAAATGTGGCATTTTTAATGGGTATAAAGCACTATCTCATTATTGTTTTAATTTGGATTCTTCTGGTTACTAATGATTTTAAGCATTTCTTCATATACTTGTCCATTTGGGTTTCCCATCTGTCAATTGCCTATTCATATCTTTTGCACGTTTTTAAATTTTCTATTTGGGTTATCCTTTTAAAATTTCTTCTTGATTTTGTCTCTGATGTACCTCTTTGAGCAACAACAAGCCTTCATGGGTTTGAAAAGGAATTATTTATTCTGATGTAGTCAAATCCATCATAATTTCATCTTATGGTTATATATTTTTGAGGTAATCTTTAAGAGGTCTTTCTCTACTCTTAGTTCACAAAGACATTGCTGGATATTTTATTCTGTTAATTTTATAGATTTGAATTTAAAATGTTTTAATCTGTCTGGAACCTGCCTTTTTATGTGATGTCTTGATGAGTCTTTTACCGTGATCACTGATGAGGAATAAAATTAACTTCTCTTAGTTTTAACTTTCTCTTTACCTTTTCCACCTGGTAGTAGAGTTGCCAATGGAATTGAAATAGTCAAGAGCAGGTTTCAATGGAGAAAATGGTGAAGGAGCAAATCTAGATAATCTCAAGGCTATCTGTAATAAGTATCATATATTGAGCATGAATTGTATGCCAGGCTCTTTGTCTATATTATTTTTATCCCACAAAAATCCTTTGAGGAAAATGTTGTTATCTCCATTTAACTGATGAACAAATTGAGGCTAAGAAAGGTTGTATCTTGCCCAGCGTCACATATATACTAAGCTCTTTTTGAACTTCATGCTCTTTCACTCAAAGTGCAAACCTCTTAAATGTCTTCTGAATTTTATTTTGATATATCCTCTGCATTTATCAAGGATTAATGAAGAAAGAAGTTTTATGAGGAATGTTCCTGCATTTTTAGGAAAGCCATGTGGCTTGTCCATTAAATTGCAAAATGTGACTCATTTTTCTTTAGCATCTTCCATATGCCAGGGTCTGTGCTAAGTGCCAGGACTACAGCTGGAATGAGAAATGATTCCTGCCCCCAGAGTGCTTTCTTAGCAGGACAATGGGAGGTGGATTCTCTTTGTGGTGACTAGTGTGGGCTCTGCAGCAAAACTTCTGGAGTTCAGATTGCAGCTCCACTTGTATTGTTTCTGGGACCTTGAACACGTTACTTTCTAAGCCTCAATTTCCTCATCTATAAAATTAAACTAATGAAAATAGACCTAACATAGAGGACTGTTGTGAGAATCCAATGCAATAATTCATTTAAAGAACTTAGTAGCATGCTTGGTACTCTATCAGTAGAATGATCAATGTTACCTTTTTTTGGACATAAACCAGTGATCACAGTAGAAAAATTATCTGATACCAGTATGCTAAAACTCTGTTGTTTTGCCCATAGATTAAAAAGTATCAAAACTAGACTGGGAAGGGAAGGTGGAAAGAATTTCAGATCATACTTCCCTGTGGAGCTAATGTTCAATATATAGTTGATTAAGAAATTACATGTTAGTTATTCTTAGCTTTCAGTTCCAGGAACAATTTTCTGTCTTTGGGCAAGCTGGCATGCTATATTTTGCTGGTGAATAAGATTTATATAACCTATTTATTTCACATCTTATAATGACCAGGAAGCTTACAGCCAAATTTAATGCTTTATTTAATAAGATTATACAAGCCTAGGGTTTGATTAAAGTCCTTGATGATTTTTAACTTTCTTTTAAAATTTTAATAGTCTAATTATAAGTCTTTTATTTTGAAATATTCTTTGGAAGTAGATACATTATAAATAATCTGCAAACAGTCTTCCCCTGGAAACTCTGTATAAATCCAAATTTTCTAAATTACAGGTACCATTAGCAGACGAAAGGAGTTCCCATACAGGATACCCTTAGATTTGGTCCCCAAAACAGAAATCAAAAGGATTTTGAGTGTAAAAGGTAAATTAACAAATGCCATTTTTATTTCTCATTTCACTTGGTGCTTCAAACAAAAATCAAATATCCTCATGATTATTCTGTTTCTCCACTTCCGTGTTCAGTAGCACACACAAATCTACCTTTAGGAGTGCTCCACCCCTACCCACCCCCACTTTCAAACCTTTAATCACTTTTCCCACTATCTTCTTCCAACGGCCTGATTTACATGGAGATGCATTCTCCTCCAATGGAAGGTAGGGACTGTCATTGGCTCAAAGATGTCTCTAAAATGGGGGTCCAGTTGCTTCTAGACTTAAAGAACTTTCCATGGTCTTAGTGGCCAGTCCCGCTCCAGAGAAGGCCTATGGCCTGCACATGGCCTAGCGAGAACAGCACTGCTCTGCTGAAGTACTGGTCCCAGAAGGGTTGTCTTAGTCCATTTATGCTGCCATAACAAAATAACAAAATTTATAAATAATACAAATTTATTTCTCACAGTTCTGGAGGCTGGGAAGTCCAAGATCAAGGCATCAAGAGATTGGGTGTTTGGCAAGGGCTGCTCTCTGTTTCCATGAGGATATATGTTGCTGTATCCTCCTGTGGCAGAAAGTGGAAAGGCAAAAGGGCAAAAAGGGGTGAAGAACTTCCTCTTACCTCGTCTATAAGATTATTAATCCCACTCATTAGGGTGGAGCCATCATAACCTAATCACCTCTCAAAAAGCCCCACCTTCTAATACTATCACCTTGGTGATTAGGCTTCAGTGTATGAATTTTGGAGAGACATATACATTCAAACCATAGCAGGGATTCTCCTCCCCTCGCATACATTTGCAGAAGTGATATTTGCACAAGTGACTAGGTTTTCCTTAGTCTCCAGGCTTTACAATTCAATAACATATTACCGAATGATAGAATGTCCTGACTACATTTTATCTCAGATAAAACCCTAGAATCACAAAATGTTAGTACTGGAAAGGATCTTTTTGATCATGTGCAACCCTGCTGTTGGATATAAAAGAAAGTGGCATGTCCAAGGTTGCACAGTGAATTATAGACAGTCATGTCAGCACTCCCTGTTCAGGCTCTTTGCTTTGCTTCCTGGAAGGGATTGGTAAATATGGTTTATAATGTCTAAAGCTAACAGGTTGAATGGCAACTAATTTGCCATGTTCTCTTGCAGCAATCAGTCCACTGTATTACATTACCTACCACCATATTTTAGTGATTTTTAAAGTCTTTTTTTTTTTTGTTTCTTTCAAATTCATGTTCCTAACCGGATCTTTTTTTCTCACCCCGTTTCTGAGAAGCAAGTCAACTGCCTAGATAAAAAGGGAAGAACCATCTCTAGATGGTTGTTCTTCTCTCTTGAGAACATACTGTTAGAAGTTAATAAAAAGCAATGTGTCTACTTTGATCTTTTTTGTTTCAGGACTGCTTGTAGGTGAGATCTTGTCTGCAGTTCTAAGTCAGGAAGGCATCAATATCCTAACCCACCTCCCCAAAGGGAGTGCAGAGGCGGAGCTGATGAGCGTTGTCCCAGTATTCTATGTTTTTCACTACCTGGAAACAGGAAATCATTGGAACATTTTTCATTCTGACCCATTAATTGAAAAGCAGAAACTGAAGAAAAAATTAAAAGAAGGTAAAAAAAAAAAGTATTTCACATAAAAATTGGGTGATTCTAAACTAATATTTTTATTAAACTAATATTTAAGTTGTGAATTATAGAAAACTTTGTAAGAGAATTTTAGCAAAAAAATCATGAGATGGACTCTACTATATAAATAAATATTATTTCTGTAGCATTTTGGCTCAACTTACCAAAATGCCTGAATGAGAGGCAAGGCACCTGCATTCCAAACTACAGAACACTTCCTTCCTTTTCGAATGAGATCAGAATGTTCTACTTGATAATTCCCAATTCGAGCAATTCATATACTTCCTTTGAGAAGTTCAATGCTGGCCACAGAGCATATGCTTGCTGCCCAACACCAAAGGAAGCTTACCATTCTCAGGGCCTGATAAAGTGTTCTTTGAGTAGAAACGGAGGTCTGTTAAGCACCGTGTTCTTTTTCTTGTGCTTCTTAGGGATGTTGAGCATTATGTCCTACAGAAATGCTGACTACTCTTACAGTGTGTGGAAGGGTGGAAGTGCTAGCACTTGGTAAGTAGAAGATTTTGAGTTGCATTTTCATATAGTGGTTAATTAACTAAAGAATAATAACCATAATGGAAACTCCATTCCTCCAGTTGCTCAGGCTAAAAGCCTCGTCATCCTTCACTCCTCTCTTTCTCTTACCGTTCACATCTGATCCAGCAGATATGGATTCAAAATATATCCTTAATTTGACTACTTCTCACCACCTCCACCACACTATCCTGTTCCAAGACACCTTCCTCTCCCACCTGGATTCTTACACTAGTCTCCCTTAGTCTTCTGGGTTCAGCCCTTGATCCTCTTCAGTATATACTCAACACAGCAACTGAAGTGACCCTGTTAAAACATATGTTAGATCATGCCACTCAAAACCATTTAGGAGCTTCCCATCTTACCCAGAGTAAAAACCAAACTTTTTATTGTGATTTACAAAGCTCTGTATGATCTGGCTCCACCTCATGTCTCCTACTTTATCTCCTATACTCTCTTTCCCTCCAATTCAGCCCCACTAGCCTTCCTCAAACACACCAGGCATGCTTCCACCTCAGGGCCTTTGCACTGTTTTCTCAGTCTGGAATACTCCTCCTTAGGTGTCAGCATGACTGGCTCTCATATTTCCCTCAGGTCTTTACCAAATGTCACCTTGGGGAGGCCTCTGCTATATCATAATGTCTAAAATTGCAATCCACTCCCCTCCCAACACCTCATATCGTTTCTTTTCTCCTCAGTGTGATTACTAACGTTCTTGCTTATTCCACTATTGTGTATCTCCCCCACTGGAATATAAGCTCCATGCGGGAAGTTCTAAGTATCCCTAGTGCCTGGTACCTACCTGGCACATAGTAGATGCTCAGTAAGTATTTATTCAATGAAACATATCTTCCAAAATTCTGATGATTTGAGGGAAAGATAGTCTGAATTAATTAAGAGTCCATATGGCAGTCTATTTTCAAAAAATACCGGCTGGGCATGGTGGCTCACGCCTGTAATCCCAGCACTTTGGGAGGACAAGGCGGGCGGATCATGAGGTCAAGAGATCGAGACCATCCTGGCCAACATGGTGAAACCCCGTCTCTATGAAAAATACAAAAATTAGCTGGGCGTAGTGGCATGTGCCTGTAGTCCCAGCTACTCAGGAGGCTGAGGCAGGAGAATCACTTAAACCCAGGAGGCAAGGGTTACAGTGAGCCGAGATCGCGCTACTGCACTCCAGCCCGGGTGACAGAGTGAGACTCTGTCTCAAAAAACAAAACAAAACAAAACAAAAAAACCATCATGCTATGACAAAATATTTAATAAAAACGGTGTGCCAGCTGCTTTGTAGGTTCTATATGAAACATATTTAAGGAGTTTACAACCTAGAATACTTTAATTTTAGATTTTTTTCTTTTTTCTTTTTTCTTTTTTTTTTTTTTGAGACGGAGTCTTGCTCTGTTCCCAGGCTGGAGTGCAGTGGCACGATCTCGGCTCACTGCAACCTCCGCCTCCCGGGTTCAAGCGATTCTCCTGGCTCAGCCTCCTGAGAGCTGGGATTACAGGCGCGCACCACCATGCCTAATTTTTGTATTTTTAGTAGAGGTGGGGTTTCACCATGTTGGCCAGGATGGTCTCGATCTCCGGACCTCGTGATCCACCCACCTCAACCTCCCAAAGGGCTGGGATTACAGGCATGAGCCACTGCGCCTGGCCAGTTTTTTTTCTTTAGCTATTGAGATCTCCCAGAATTTTATCTTTGGCCCTCTTATTTTCTGTAATCTCCCCTGGTACAGTCTCATTATTGCCCATGATTTCCATAACATCTAGGCCAATGGCCCCCTAATCAATGTCTCAAGGCCTAACTTCTTTCCTAAGAAGTTAGGAAATGTCCTAGATCCATATTTCTAGGTTTCCGGAAGCCAAAGATCCTTCAAGCACAATATGTGCCAAATTCATTATTTTCTTCCTCAAATACACTTCTGTTTCTTTACTCAGTGCACAACAATACCCTGCCCTTTGTCCCCCATGGATCAAGTCAGAATCATCAGTTGGTTTTTGATTCCTTCCTTTCCTTTTGGCTTTACCTCTGATCAGCTACCAAGTTCCATAGATTATACCTTAGGATTAGGTCTGACCATGTGTGGGTGACACACTTCAAAAGACACACAGGGCCAGATACAGTGGCTCACACCTATAATCCTAGCACTTTGGGAGGCTGAAGCAGGAGGATGGCTTGAGCAGAGGAGTTCCAGACCAGACTGGGTAACATAGGGAGACCCTGTCTTTAATAAAACAATAAAAATATAAAAAAATAAATAAAAGGCTCATAGACCCCTGCAGCACACCAACCAGAGGATAACCCAGGATGCAGGAGTGGGAGTGAGTGTCAATGAAGACTGGAAACTGACACAGCAGGACCTGGGAAATAGATGCCTGGAGAGCAGAAAGCCCCACAGGAAGGTACAACAGCCTCTCAGTAAACACTCAGAGCCTTTCAAGAGTTTGGGGCAAGACTGAAACATACACCCAACTCCATGAGTTCCTTGAAAGAAATAATAGACATAGAAGAAAATGTCCAGCACCTAAATACCCTCAAACTTTTCTTGAGAAATACAAAGCAGATTTTTTAAAGTACGAATATCATTCATATTAGCAAAACCCAAAATTGATGATGATGAACATTTTTTATATTCGTCTTTTTTTTTTTTTAAAGAACATTGTGGATATTGAACTTTTCTCTTTAACTACAAGCCTCCATCTTATTTCTGTTTCTTTCCCCCAAGGGCATTCACTATCATGAGTTTATGCATCTTTCCAGAACATTTTTAATATTTTATATAGTATATATATACATGAAATCATATAGCTGTAACTTAACTCCAGTTTGGCTGCTCACTGCTCAAATGCCAAACTCAAGAGACTAAGGTTGGTGGGAGGAAAAGCAGGTTAATTCAGGAGCCAGCAACCCAAGGAGATGGCAGACTAGAGTCAGGAAACTATCCCAAATGCCCTAGGCTGGCCAGAGGGATTTTAAAGAGGAAGGGGCTTGGAAAACTGTGTGCAAGAGTTAGCTACGTACAGGTCAGCATGTCTTGTTCTGATTATTATCTTGAGTAACGGGCCATCTAGTGGTCAGCTAGACTGAAACAGGTTTGTAGATTAACTGCTCAGTATTTTTCTTCTCCAGGGGACATTTCACATCCTTGATTTTTATCTCATGGCTAGTTCCTGGAATTCTTAAGTAAGCACTGTTTAAGAAAGTTAAGCATTGTAAAAGAAAGAATGGTTATTTGCTTCCAAAATGAAGTGATGGGTTTACAGTCCCTTTTTGTATTTCTAAATGATTATAACTAGTATCATACTATACCTATCATTCTGTAACTTACCTTTTTCTTTTAATACTTTTTAGTTACTTTAGATCTAGTAGTATAGGTAAATATAGCTCACTCCTTTTCATTGCCATGCAGTATTTTATTTTACAAATATATCACATAGTATATATTCTTTATCTATTCCTATCTTGATGGACAACCATTTCCAAATTTTAATATTACAAACAATATGATAATGAACATCTTCATATGTCTCTTTGTGCACATGTGTGAGAGTTTCTCTAGGGTATATCCCAGGAGATAGAATTGCTGGAACATAAGGAATGCATATTTACAGTTTCATCAGATTTTGCCAGATTTCTCTTCAAGGTGACTAAAAAATTCTTTTCTACTCTAAATTTTTAGTCCCAGACCCTACTGTAAAACATGAGGAACTAAACTAGACCATATTAAGCACTTGTAGAGGTAGCCTAGGGTCTGGAACAAAAGCAAATCAAATAGCCTACTTCTTTTTTTCCTCCATGTCACACTTAAAATTTGAATTTCAGGGCAGTCTCCAAGGGACAGGTCAGTGGGAAGAGGAGAACGCAAAAAGCTAGAGCGAATTGTATTTGCTTTACCTTTAGGGAAGTGCTGTCTAGACTCTCACTCCTTAAGGATACCAGGGATGAGACACCCAAGAGTACCAAAGAGAAAGAGAGATAGGAGTAAGAGCTTATAAAAACCAGGTGCAGTGGCTCACACCTATAATCCCAGCACTTTGGGAGGCTGAGGCGGGTGGATCACCTGAGGTCAGGAGTTTGAGACCAGCCTGGCCAACATGGTGAAACCCTGTCTCTACTAAAAATACAAAAATTAGCTTGGCATGGTGGCACGTGCCTGTAGTCCCACCTACTCAGGAGGCTGAGGCAGGAGAATCGCTTGAACCTGGGAGGTGGAAGCTGTAGTGAGCCAAGATTGCGCCATTGCACTCCAGCCTGGGCAACAGAGAGAGAGTCCGTCTGAAAAAAAAAAAAAAAAAAAAAAAAAGTAAGAGCTTATACCTATTGAATACTTACTATAATCCAGAACTATTTTAAGTATGTTCATATATTTAATCTTTATAATTGATCCCAAAGGATGAGTCCGTTGTTTCTATTTATTGCCATTGCCTTTTTTCAAAGATGTAACTAAAGCATCTTTATATATACAGATGTATAGATAAGTGGAGAGGCAGCCTGGCCGTATAACTGCACTCATATGCCTTTCTAGCCTGCTAAAAGAAGAGAGACTTCCAAAAGCCAAAATCCCAAGAGAGACCCAATGTAAAATGTGGGCCAATCTTTGAAAATGTGAGTGTCCTTGAACCTGAGCAATCCGTAGAAGTATTTCTCATCCTTGAGAGCAGTGTGGGAGGATTAAAAAGAGAGGAGCTCTCAACTCTTACCCCCTAAAAGTCAATAGAGTAGAAAATAAATTTCTGATGTTTCTAGAGAAAGAATTAGGAAAAGGCACCTAGTTGTGGAGGGGCAAGTTCCGATTAATATCAAAAAAAAAATCTTTAAAATAATTAAATCAATTAGAGCAAAGACTGAGAACAACCTAAATGTCTACAGAAAGGGAAATGGCTTAAATAGCTTTGGTGCATCTGTACCAAAATACTATAATTTAATGTATAAAATCACTTGTAAAAGAACAAGGAAACTTTATGTATTAATATAGATCTCTAAGGCATATTACTAAATGGAAAAAAAGCCAAGTACAGGATAATGTAAACATTCTCCCACCATTTTGGTGTGGTTGGGATGGAAAGGTAGATGGGAAGGCTATATCTTGTATCTACTATTTGGAAGAAAGCACAAGAAACAATGGTCATCTTCTGTTGGGAGGTGGAGGGGGACAGGGACTGCTAGAAGGAGACTTTTCATAAAATATCCCTTTGTGCTTTTGGATTTTTTTTTTTTTAAGTTCTCTCACTCAGGCTGGATGCAGTGGCAGGATCTCAGCTTACTGCAGCCTCTACCTCCTGGGCTCAAGCAATTCTCCCACCTCAGCCTTCCAAGTAGCTGAGACTATAGGTGCCTGCCACCACATCTGGCTAATGTTTTGCATTTTTTGTAGAGACAATGTCTCACTATGACGCCCAGGCTTCACTTTTGGATTTTTGAATCATGTGAGGGTTTTACCTCTTTAAAAAAATGCTTAAAATACATTTAAAAAATGAAAATGAAAAAGAAACACAAATTTTTTAAGTGGGGGAAGTGGGAGAGCAAGTCAAGTGGTCTGAGTCTCAGACATTTGAGGACCTGGGGAGTGGAGCCTCCTGGGCGACTGAGAGAGTGAAGAGATGTTATGGGGGGATGAACCCAATCCTCTCTGATACTCTTCGATGGGTATTAGTAGAGACTTGAAATTGCTTTTTGACTAAGTAATAATGATCATTAAAATTTCCTGTGGGGTAGTAAGTTCTGTGTCAATGGCAGCACTCAAGGACAAGTGAGATAAACACTCCAGGGACATTGGGAAAGGGGACTTGGGGCCTCAGATAGGAATTTAGATTCCATGGAATGCACAAATTTTACAATCTAGAATTTTGTGATTTACTCTTTCATGTCTCATGTTCATAGGTCAATGCCTTGACTCAAAACTATTTATTTTATCTCTGTTATCTTTAACTTTAGAGTGTAATTCTTATCATCAGGAATCAATTTTTAGCTTGTGTGCTAGCGGACAATGTTGTAATCACAGAAGATGTGCTGTTCACATTTGTTTACCGAATGTTTTGGAGGTATTCCAAAAATCTTCCCTTCCTTTGTAAAATGATGACTTACTTTGGAATTGCATGTTTTAAAATGTTATTTTCTTTTAAAGAATAAAGTTGTATAAATTAATTGAAAGTCAAAAGGGATTCAGCGTTCTAAATATTTATTTATTTGATTTTGTCTTAAAGGTTAACAGCTTTTGCTTTAAGAGTACTTGGACAAGTAAATAAATACGTAGAGCAGAACCAAAATTCAATTTGTAATTCTTTATTGTGGCTAGTTGAGAATTATCAATTAGATAATGGATCTTTCAAGGAAAATTCACAGTATCAACCAATAAAATTACAGGTAAGGAAACCAAATGCACAAATTAGCAATAGTTTTATTTAGTTTGAGTTTTATTCTCATCTGATTATGGGAGGATGAAGAAGAAGAAGAAAAAAATGTAATTCTGCAAGAAATTCCTTTGTGAACAAGCAAAATATACAAAGGTCTTTCCCATAATATCTGAAGTGAAGCGATCTTCAGACAGTTCACTAGAGATCAGAGAAGTGATATCTTAGACCTCTCGTTTAACGGGGTGGAGGTAGATGGGCAAGTGAAAGCACTCAAGCGAGATAGACCCAGGGCTTATTGAGAAATGGGAAGCAGGAAGGGAAAGAGTGGGAGATAAGGCTTAAAACACAGAGTAGAGGCCAGGTGCGGTGGCTCACGCCTGTAATTGCAGCACTTTGGGAGGCCAAGGCGGGCGGATCATGAGGTCAGGAGTTCAAAACCAGCCTGGTCAATATGGTGAAACCCCGTCTCTACTAAAAATACAAAAATTAGCCGTGCGTGGTAGTGCACGCCTGTAGTACCAGCTACTCAGAAGGCTGAGGCCGGAGGATGGCTTGAACCCGGGAGGCGGAGGTTGCAGTGAGCCAAGATCAAGCCATTGCACTCCAGCTTGGGTGACAGAGTGAGACTCCATCTCAAACAAACAAACAAAAAACAGAGTAGAATCAGGTCATTTCGCCTTAAAGACACCATTTCACTCCCCTTTTAAAACATTGCTTCTTTTTAGGGTACCTTGCCTGTTGAAGCCCGAGAGAACAGCTTATATCTTACAGCCTTTACTGTGATTGGAATTAGAAAGGCTTTCGATATATGCCCCCTGGTGGTAAGTAAGAGTTTTCTTTCTCTCACACCCATCATCTATTTCTGTACTATATACTGGAGGGGCCACCAATCAGAAGACCTTTTGTTTCAAAAGCTTCTTTTCCTTCTTTCCAATAACTTGAAAATAACTTAAACTCCAGAATTGAAAGATTTCAGAACAATGATAGATATTAGAGACCACCTAGTCCAACCTACTCATCGGCAGTTGAGAAAGCTGAGGACTAAGTAAGGTGAATTCAGTTTCCCAGTGTCACAGGCTAATAAATTGTAGAGCTGGGTCTAAAACTGATAGCTGGGACTGGGATGGAAGAATGATCCAGTGCCCCCAGCTTCTCTGTCTTATCTTTGCTAAATCCTGCTTTATATGTTACTGTTATCCTATAGTGAAAGCATTCTGTATCATGCAAGTACTGAGGATACACAACAGCAAATGTGTATCCTCCAAATCCTTCCAAACAACATTTGCTTGGAAACGGGAGAAAAGTGATGAGCCACCTAAGTAAATCAACATAGAAGATTTCCAAGGTTGAGATGGAAAATCTCAAGTGGATTTGCAAAACTGGAAGCACAAAACAAAACCATTTGTTTTCAGTTTGTTTCAGAAGCTTAACAAGACAAAATAATCAATGAAGACTAGTTCCCAGGCACCTAGTGGCCACATGGGTGAGAGATGCATGTGGAGCTGGGAGAGGAGGCAGGCAGGATGTTAGCAGCATCGCAGCAGGCTTTCTGCTGGCCCACTTGCCCAACACAACCATTTTGGTGGCGTCAGGACTAGTGATCGGGACTATTTACCCAGGCATTCTTAGGATCTAAAAGTACTGTGGCAGTTAGGGTTTCTTTCTGCTACTTATTGTTTTATTTATTTATTTTTTTAAGTGTAACTCCTTTTGAACCTGTGTGCCTGTTGCAACTACGCTGAGAGGGAACAATAAAAGTTGTGTCTATGGGCCGGGTGCAGTGGCTCACGCCTGTAATCCCAGCACTTGGGAGGCCGAGGCGGGCGGATCACAAGGTCAGGAGATTGAGACCATCCTGGCGAACACGGTGAAACCCCGTCTCTACCAAAAATACAAAAAAAAAAAATTAGCCGGGCGTGGTGGCGGGGCGCCTGTAGTCCCAGCTACTCCGGAGGCTGAGGCAGGAGAATGGCGTGAACCTGGGAGGCGGAGCTTGCAGTGAGCCGAGATCGCAGCACTGCACTCCAGCCTGGGCGACAGAGCGAGACTCCGTCTCAAAAAAAAAGAAAAAAAAAGAAATTGTGTCTATGCTCGGTGCCTTTTCTTCCTGGAGGCTAGGTCTGACGGTGTACTCAGAAACTAAAGGCACAAAACCTCTAAAAGGAAAGTGAGAATTCAGAGGCAAAAAGCTTAACCTGATTTGGACAACCTCATTGTCCCTTCCAAGATTATGCTCTGCTCCTTCTCTCGGAGGGATTTGCTTCACTGAGAAGCCATCCATTTCCATTAGGTCAGTCCTCTTTTCACCCCCATATTGCTTGCTCCAGGATAGTGGGATCTGAGGGTAGTTCATATCAATTGATAGGTGGTTGCTTGACATAGAAACTGAAGTATCTTCTCTTGTTTCCAGAAAATCGACACAGCTCTAATTAAAGCTGACAACTTTCTGCTTGAAAATACACTGCCAGCCCAGAGCACCTTTACATTGGCCATTTCTGCGTATGCTCTTTCCCTGGGAGATAAAACTCACCCACAGTTTCGTTCAATTGTTTCAGCTTTGAAGAGAGAAGCTTTGGTTAAAGGTATAACTTGTTCCATACATGTATTCAGTGAGTGTTCACTAAGACATAAAGTCTGCTAGTCTGGGAAGTGGGTGGTGACATGTGAACTTGAGTAAGATGCAATTCCTGTCCTCAAGGAACAAACCGTCACAATACGATGTAATGTGTGCCGTTATTCATTCATTTATTCATGCATTCATTCAGCAAATATTTATTCTTTTTTTTAAGACAGGTTCTCGCTCTGTCACCCAGGCTGGAGTGCAGTGGCATGATCGTGGCTCACTGCAGCCTCGATCTCCTGGGCTCAAGTGATCTTCCCACCTCAGTAGCTGGGACTACAGGTGCCCACCACTGAACCCAGTTACTTTTTTTTATATTTTGCAGATACGAGTCTCACTGTGTTTCCCCGGATGATCTCAAATGCCTGGGCTCAAGCACTCCTACTGCCTCAGCCTTCCAAAGTGCTAGGATCACAGGCATGAGCCACCACACCTGTCCTCTATTTATTCCTTTATTCAATAAATATGCATTGAGTATCCTATGTACACCCTGGACACCCCCTATATACCTGGCACTATTCCAGTCTCTGGGAATAAAGGAATAAACAAAACAGGCTCCCCAAAATCCAGGCCATCATGAAACTTAAATTCTAACTGGGGAGACACAAACATGATAAATAAATAAAGCTTTATGAATAGATGGTGATGGCTGATATGAAGAAAAATAGAGCAGGGAAAGAAAATAAGGTGAGAGGATGCATTGTAATTTTAGACAAGCTGACTGGGCTTAAGTTTCACTAAGAGGATGGTGTTTGAGTCAAGAGCTGAAAGGAGGTGAAGAAGCAATTCCTGTGGCTATCTAGAAGGAAGTACCTGGTGGAGAACAGCACGTGCAAATGCCCTGAGGCATGGGCATGCCTGGTGCTCCAAGAATGGCAAGGAGGCCAGTGTGACTGCAGAGGAGTGAGAAGAGGAGTAGGAAGTGAGGTCAGGTAAGGAAAAAGTGAGGGAGCAAGGGAAGGTCATTTAAGGCATTAGAGAGACTCTTCAGGGCTTCTGTAAACAGTTGTGCCGTGGACAAAGTACCTAAGCAATCAAGTGAATCGAGGCTGAAATCTAGCCTGTGCTCCACTCCCCCGGCCACATACCCTAGTTTAGGGCTGCTTCCACCTAGAGCAAGGAGTGCCCATGTCTTATCCACAGCAATGTGCTGTGGGGACCAGAAGGAGCCCTAGAACTTTAATTTCAGCTTTGAGAGTGAAAAGGGGAGCCACTGGGGGATTTTGAGCAAAGGAGTGCATGACCTGGCTTATATTTTACCAGGTTTGCTATAAAAGTATGTGTTTGGTTTTGAAGAATAAAGATACTGCTTCCTATAGGTCAAGAGACAAAAAATAGAAAGAGAGTAGCAGTGATTATTAGCATGGTTGGGCACTTTGGAGTCCTCTTCTAGCTAAGGCTTTATAAATCTTACTGAGGTTTATGACCATCTACAAAATATGATTTGTGCCATCATTTTAAAATTACTATATTTTAACATATGCCTCAAAACCACTTGTACGATACTTCAAAAATAACACAAAAGAAATGTCTTGGGTATTGTGAGATATGGGTCATAAAATCATAAAATTTAAGATCTAGAAGGGAACTTAATAATCCAAGAGTTGTTCCAGTTGGGTTTCTTTAAAATCCTAAACTCAACTCTTCATTTTAAATACAGCAAATCTGAGACTCTGAGAGGAAGGGTCAATATCATTTTCAAGGTCATGCAAATAATGTAGTTATGAATTATAAACATACACATCAAAATTTTTACTAACCTTCAAATATGATTTCCAAATATGCATTACTTTTTTTAAAACAAATAGTTTGTTCCAAAAAGGATTTGAGGTTTACAGGTTTAAATAACAAATATAATTTACAGCCTAATTTATGAAAAGTGCTGCATGTACGAAATTGTCTTGAGTGCTTTAAATTGGAAAGAAATAATGAAAGACTGAACTAAGGCTTTAGGTTTAATCTCATAATTTCCAGGATGTAAATTTTCCTATCAGGAAAAAGGTTCTCCAGTTTATTTTTTAGTGTCAGTAATAATAATAATAATAATAATCCCTTATATATGCATGGTGCTTTCTAGTTTACAAAATCTTTTACTTTAGTATTTCATTTGAGTTTCACTGCATGGAAGAAAGTATTATCTATACTATAGGTATTAGGAAATTGAGTCACACAGAACTAAAGGAATTTGCCCAAAGTGACATGGTAAGTTAGCAACAAAAGAAAGACTAGAAGCTGGGTGCAATACCAGTTTATTGCACTTTCGACTCTACTAAACTGCCCCTTCCTAGTACATGTGTACTATGTTGATTTTAAAATACAGATTGAGGCCGGGTGCAGTGGCTTATGCCTGTAATCCCAGTACTTTGGAAGGCCAAGGTAGGAGGATTGCTTGAGCCCAGTAGTTTGAGACCAGGCTGGATAACATAACCTGGCATGGTGGCACACCCCTATAGTCCCAGCCACTCAGGAAGCTGAGGTGGGAGAATCACTGAGCCCAAGAGATTGAGGCTGCAGTGAGCTACAATCACACCACTGCACTCCAGCCTGGGTGCCAGCAAGATCCTGTCTCAAAACACACAAACAAAAAAAACAAAAAATAGGTTGAGTGTTCCTGATCTGAACTGCTTGGGACCAGAAGTATTTCAGATTTCAGATTTTTTTCAGATTTTGGAATATTTACATATACATAATGATATATCTTGGGGATGGGACTCAAGTCTAAACATGAAATTCATTTATGTTTCATATATACTTTACACACAGCTTGAAAGTAATTTTACACACTATTTTCAATAATTTTGTGCATGAAACAAAGTTTTGACTGCATTTTGATTGTGACCCATCACATGAGGTCAGGGGTGAAATTACCCACCTGTGGCATCATGTCAGAGCTCAAAAACTTTCAGATTTTGGGGGCATTTCATATTTCAGATTTTCAGATTAGGGATGCTCAATGTGTAAAGACAAGTAATACCATATTAAGGGATCTCGTTTTGCATTGGTCATCTTCAGGAAGTTCCTCTAACAAGAAAAAGTAAGTAGCTTCTAGAAACTGGAAGGCCATAATACACCTGGTAGAATTATTATGTCAAATTCACATTTTTAATCATATTAATGAATGGAATTTGTTGATGTTCAGGTAATCCACCCATTTATCGTTTTTGGAAAGACAATCTTCAGCATAAAGACAGCTCTGTACCTAACACTGGTACGGCACGTATGGTAGAAACAACTGCCTATGCTTTACTCACCAGTCTGAACTTGAAAGATATAAATTATGTTAACCCAGTCATCAAATGGCTATCAGAAGAGCAGAGGTATGGAGGTGGCTTTTATTCAACCCAGGTAACATTTCTTTGTCTTGTTTCATCTCCCTGTAGACATTTTTATTTTCTCCCCCACCACACTCATCTGGCCTCCATGCCTTTGTCCACCAAATGAGCATGCAATAGATATGAATAATGCCTAGAATTGAAGGACCCCTACAGGTTATCTGCGTCAACACTCTTATTATACAGAAGAGGAAATTAGCCCAGGGAGTTTTACTCAGGGAATTCATGGCAGAGCCAGAATCAGAACTCATGTCTCCTGACTTTAAGCCCAGTACTTCCTTCATGATTCTAAATCACCATGAAAGGCTAGTAAGGTTATTGGCAATTATATCATATCCTATGTAATAAATAGTGGTTGCCATGTAGACAAAGGTACTGATGCTCCTTCTCCACAACGAAATAAATAAAAAGTGGGAGAAATACTGATTGTTACATGTTAATCTATCTAGCTATTTAATGTAAACTCATTTGAGTATGTATTTTTATTACAACTAATTATTATGTAGTCGTATAATACATGTTTATATTCAAAGTTTAGATCGAATGTTAATATCTTCCCTGTTGCCTGGATGTTTAGATAATGATGGAGTGTGTATATTTATATATATGTAATTTAGATGTAGAGAGGGCCTTCAGTATTAATTTACTGACCATGTAATGTGTTTTATTTTGGGTACAATTATAGGGTTAGCAGAAAAGACTGCCCTATTGATTAGCATTTGCCGCCACAGATATAGGCAGAGGGAATGGCCACATTGTTTAACATCTCTGATCTAGTCATGTTTCTCAGTTTTATAGATGAGAAAGATGAGGTCCAGAAAGATAAAGTTTATTCATTTATTCCTTCAACAAATATTTATGTACCTGCTAAATGCAATGGACATTGCCTTAGTCCATTGTGTGTTGCTGTAACAGAAAAAACGACACACTGGATAATTTACAATGGACAGAAATTTATTACCTCATGGTTCTGGGTCCTAGGAAGTCCAAGATCAGGGGGGCTGCACCTGGTGAAGGCATTCTTGTTGCATTATTCCATGGTGGAAGGGCAAAGAGAAGGCAGAGTGGAGGGTTGGTGGGAGTGGAGTATAAACTCATCTTTTTATAACAAATTCACTTCTATAATAAGCAGCATTAATCCATTTATGAAAGTGGTACGCCCCATGACCCAAACACCTCCCATTAGGCCTCACCTCCTAACACTGCCACATTGGGGACCAAGCTTTCCAACACATGAACTTTGGGGGACACATTCAAACCACAGCAGGCACCAAGAAAAATATATTACCTACTTGCCTCACAAATCTTATATTGCAGTGGGGTAGGCCAACAATAAACTATAAATAAAAGCATTACAAATTGAGATGAATGCTAGAAAGGGCAAAAAGGGAACCTTAAAACAGAGAATAACGGGAAAGGGGAGTTTATGGCCTTGTTGTGGAGATACTTAAGGTCAGACTAAAGGATGAGGAAGAGATAATTGTTCAAAGACTCAGATGAATTCTGCAAACAGTGACTTGCCTGAGGTTACATTTGCAGAATATATAGAGGACCCAGATCTGAGGCCACACTTCCTTCCTGTCCCTGCTAACAGCATCTTTATTGAGGAGGGAGAGACCTTTCTTCCACCTCCACAATGGGGCTCTTAACCAGTCTTACTGAGTCAGCTGGAGTTTCATCTCCAGACAATGCTGCCCTACCCTCTCATAAAAAGGGCATTTGTAAATAGGGAGTACATAAATAAACTAAACATATTTTTGTGCCTTGCTGATTGCTGACAGGACACAATCAATGCCATTGAGGGCCTGACGGAATATTCACTCCTGGTTAAACAACTCCGCTTGAGTATGGACATCGATGTTTCTTACAAGCATAAAGGTGCCTTACATAATTATAAAATGACAGACAAGAATTTCCTTGGGAGGCCAGTAGAGGTAAATGAAGAACTTTCTGTAGTATTTTACAATTGGCTGAGACCATTGAAATCATCTGTTCCACTCTTTATTTTATAAATCTATCTCTTCACTACTTAAACATATATTGAGTGTCAGCTATGTCCTAAACAGGGATGCCTGCTATATCCTGGGCACTGAGGATTCAAAAATAAAACACAAACAATCAGCGTAGTGCAGGGAGATTGTCATTTAAGCAGATAGTGAAAAATAAGAGTCTTGATAGGTACATGGAAGTACAGAGGGGCCCTCCTGATCCTGGCTGAAAGATGGAGGGAGTTTGTCAGATGTGTCCAGATGTGTGGGTTAAATCTGAAAAAATCAGAATGAGTTAGCCAAGTGAAGAAAAAGGAAGAACATTCCAGACATAGATAACAGCGCACAGAGCAGTACAGTGAGCGTAGGAGGGAAGGCATGTCTGGGAGGCTGCTGGTGGTCCCTTCTGGCCCTGGTCATACATGCAGACTGTGGCCAGGTTGGAGTTGGCCTTTAGGGTCCCCAGCTCCTTGCCCCATGTCCTTTGCTACTGCTGGATTTTTAAAGGTGGTAACTTTGATGGCTTATGAAAATTTCACAAAGAACAAGACATGTTGGAAAAACTGGGTTCTATATTAATATTAGCTGCCCACATATAGCTGCTGATACATATTTTTCTAATTACTGTGTTTGCATTATTTTAAAGTATATTTAAATGTACAGTAATTGGAAATAATCCTCATTGTTGACATCCTTCACAAATTGGTGTTTGTTAAAAGTAAACAAGCATGAGAAATAATTTTTTTTTTTTGAGATGGAGTTTCGCTCTTGTTGCCCAGGCTGGAGTGCAATGGCGCAACCTCGGCTCACTGCAACCTCCTGGGTTCAAGCAATTCTCCTGCCTCAGCCTCCAAAGCAGGCGGGATTATAGGCGCCTGCCACCACACCTGGCTCATTTTTTGTATTTTTGGTAGATATGGGGTTTCACCATTTGGCCAGGCTGGTCTCAAACTCCTGACCTCTGGTGATCCACCCACCTTGGCCTCCCAAAGTGCTGGGATTACAGGTGTGAGCCACCATGCCCAGCAGAGAAATAAAATTTAATGCAAAAATTGCAAACTGGTGGCCCATACTGAAAAAAAAGAATATGGATATAAACATAGACATAGATATATGCCAACATTTAAGGATCCAGATATTTCAAATAAAAACCTGATTCCCAACTTCCCTTGATAAACCAAAAGACCTGAAAGCAAAGCACCAGGCATTGGCATGGCTTCTACAATTTACTGCAGTCCCCACCAGTCACAGGACGTATGCATGTGCATTTATGTTCATACCTGCTTTGTGCCCGGGCCTCTGCAGGCATTTGTGCTTGTGGTCCCTAGTTTGGGAATATGTCTCCTTTCCCTGGGATCATTTAGAGTTCACCGGAGATTCATGTTCTGAGTCTAAGCTCTAAGAAGGATCTCTTGACCTTCCAGCTACCTGAGGTAGCTGAAATTATTCTTCTCTATAGGGATAATGCTGTAAGAGGCCTCTTGTCATCCTAACAAAATTTAAACCCCAGCCCAGGATGCTGCTTCCATGTAAAACCTGGGCTGTTATTATCCAGTGTGGAATTTTCTACTCCAGCATTTCCTGAAATGTGTTCCATGAAAGAGTGTTAGGTGGTTGAGTGTGCATTAATTAAGTTAAACAAATTAATTTAAATTAAGTTAAACAAGTTCTTTAATCCAGAATTCCCCTGTTCTGTAACATGTATGTGATTAAGTGTGGTGACTCTGGGTGTGAAAAGGGGCAGAGGCAGGGCACAGTGCACAGCATTTCCCAAACTTATTTGTCATGCATGCTTTTCACATGCAGTATCTCAAGACACCTGTTTTCCAACAAATGCTGCTATATTCTATCAGGGAGAACAAGAATGTTGACCTACTTTCCTACATTTACTAAAATTTGAAGGAAGGATTGAGAAACTTTAACATATGCCCAATCCATCTTGCATTATTGTGCTAAGCAAAGGAAAGGGGAGGCTTGGAGTAAAGGAAGTGCCAACCCCTCGGGCTCAAAATTATCTCTCCTGTACTTTCCACAAATTAGGGAGCATTTGGATGACAGAGTTTCTCTGGAGAGGAGAATGACTTAACTCCGTTTATGTCTTCAGTTTCCTCCTAGCAGAGTGGGAAGAAGAGCAGCAGCAACTAAGGATTTGGCAGGCTTGAGTGGGGTGCTAGTGGTTTGGGGTGGGGTACCAGGGGTTTCTGCAAACAAAGGCGGTGACAAGTGGAAAAGATAAATCATCAAGAGATGGAAAAGGGGTGCAAAGGAGGAGCTCAGAGAGGACCAAAGATAGATGCACCCGCTTTCAAGTTATGTGGAGGTTCCCTGCTCTGGGTTCTAATGAAAACGATCTCCATTGGCACACAGGATGCTGATTCCTGAGCTAGGCACAGAAAGGAATTTATTCAGTTGGCAAAAGGAGATGAAGATCCAGATTTACCATAGCCATATGTAAATGAAAATGTAACCAGAAGTGACCTCTGACATGTTGCTTTTGTTGGTTCACTCAGGAGATCTCAGACATCTTATTTACATGTAGAAGGGAAAGGGGAAATACCAGCCTTGTTTAGCACCTGCCATGGGCATAGGATTTTCAGTGTCTCATCCAGTTACTCTCAGAAGAGCTCTGAGAGAGGAGGCTGGTACATGTCAACCCACTTTTCATAGCTCTATCCTCCCTCCCTATCAAATGATGAAAGAAAGCATGGTTTGTTTCTCTATTATCTTTCCAGGTGCTTCTCAATGATGACCTCATTGTCAGTACAGGATTTGGCAGTGGCTTGGCTACAGTACATGTAAGTATTTAATTGATATCCAATAACGAGTTATGTGTCCATTTGTACTAGGTAACATAAAAGTTAGGAGCTTTGCCACAAAGTCACAGAAATCTGGGCTTGGGTAACCATGACTAAAGTGGGATTCACTTATGTAAATCTTTCTAGCAATCTTTGTAACTATCCTCACAATTTTTTTGAAAATAACAATGTTGGTCAGGCATGGTGGCTCACGCCTTTAATCCCAGCACTTTGGGAGGCCTAGGCGGGCAGACCACGAGGTCAGGAGATCAAGACCACCCTGGCTAACACGGTGAAACCCCGTCTGTACTAAAAATACAAAAAATTAGCCGGGCATGGTGGCGTGCGCCTGTATTCCCAGCTACTCAGAGGCTGAGGCAGGAGAATCACTTGAACCTGGGAGGCAGAGGTTGCAGTGAGCCGAGATGGCACAACTGCACTGCAGCCTGGCAACAGAGCAAGACTCCGTCTCACACACACAAAAAAATTTAATCCTTATATGTATACATTCTGTATACTTATAGAAATTATATATATTTATAGAGATATATAATTTTATGATTATATATGTGTATACGCATATGGCATATGTGTATATACATATATCTGTGTACATATGTGCATTGTATATATATATGTTTTCTATCCCATCTCATTTATCCAGGATTTTGGGGGATTTATGTGTTATTCATAAAGACTTATTTCTTCATTTTAGCCACTTGGCAGTTGCAATTTTTTTTCTTTTTTTTTTTTTTTTTGAGATGGAGTCTTGCTCTGTCACCCAGGCTAGAGTGCAGTGGTGCAATCTTGGCTCACTGCAACCTCCGCCTCCCAGGTTCAAGCAATTCTCCTGCCTCAGCCTCCCAAGTAGGTGGGATTACAGGCACATGCCACTACGCCTGGCTAATTTTTGTATTTTTAGTAGAGACGGAGTTTCACCATGTTGACCAGGCTGGTCTCAAACTCCTGACCTCAAGTGATCCGTCCACCTTGACCTCCCAATGTGCTGGGATTATGGGCGCGAGCCACCACGCCCAGCTGGCAGGTGCAAATTTTTCTAGGCTGTTTAAGTATTTTCATGCATTCTTAAATTGCATGTTCTGAGCATAAATTAACATCCTATTAATAATTTTAATCACGCTCTTATCTTTAGTGCATTCATTCCTTCAAGGACTGTTGTAAGTTTATATGGGGGAGGAGAGATTGTCCACTTTTCTGCCACTTCTGGTTGGTGTCAATATATCTACTTCTGGCAGCACCTCTGCCCATTCATACACACCTATAATTTGTTGTTTGCCATGATGGCGTGTGGCTGGAAGAAACCCACACTTCTTAGCCTTGTGCTGTTGTGTGTAAAATTAAAGTGGAAAGGTTCAAAACAAGAACCTTGGGAACTCTCCTGTAGAGTGAGGTGCCCAGATTTGACTGCATGGAATTTAGACCAAGCTTCTGACCGGCCAGAAGTCATTTTTTGCTTACTTTGGGCCTCTCAGGTTTAGATTATGGAGTTTGCTTAAAGTCCAGCTGCTGGAAAAATGAGTCACTAATGTACACCATTTGTGCTGGATTATGAAAATGATCCTTCGAGCATCCCATCTGCAGCAGCAGTGTTGCCATAATACCTTTGTCACTTTCCCACTTTAAATAGAATCTTCTTGCTTACTTGTCCCCAATGTAGGTAACAACTGTAGTTCACAAAACCAGTACCTCTGAGGAAGTTTGCAGCTTTTATTTGAAAATCGATACTCAGGATATTGAAGGTAAAAACAGCAGGATTTACGCTGTAATTTTGGCTAAAAATAAAGCATGTGTATAAATAGAGAGCTTCTCTGATTAGTAAAAATGTGCTTACTCAAAAAGTGAAATTTCTTAACCAAATACTTTAGCAGGTTGACATCCAAGTAAATATTACTTCCATTTTTTACAATAGATAACTCTTTAATATAGTCGGAAGCTAATATTAAATAACAATGACTAAGCTAAATGTATTTGCTATTGATCAATAAATTGTTTTGACTATGTTATTTTTAAAGAGTGTAACTAGTTGTAAAGCCACATTAAGGTCTAATTCCAGAACCAGGAATTTCTGTTACTTTTGTGTTAGCCTTCCAATCTGGGACCTTGAATTCTCTTATCACCCTGTTAGTTTTCCATCCCTTAGCCTTTCTGTATTCCAAGGGGCCCAGAAAATAAACATTTCTCTGCCTCCATCTTTAACTTAGTCTCTCCTGTACCCCTTTCTTTTTTAGTCTCTCCTGTACCATCCTTTCTTTAAATGTACCCCTGACCCTTTTATTTAACCCAAGGCCCTCACATCCCTCTGCTGGTTGGTTCTCCCTTCCTGGTCCAAAAGCAAGTCCACTTGCACACTCCAGTCCTCCTGGTCTCCCCATTGCCTCCAGGGTCAGAATGAATGTTGCTGCCTCTGCCCTGATATTTTCCATCTATTGCTCAGAAGCCTGTTCCTACAGGAAACTTCCCAACTACCAGCAAATTAAGGCATCTGTTCTTCCTCCCTCCAACATCCCCCAAACATATTACCAATACATATTTATCTTTAATAATTTCTTCATTAAATTATAAGTTATTTGAGAGCAATGAACTGTTAATTATTTAAAGACTTCCTGGTATTGTCAATAGCCATGAATTTCCATTAGAACCACTGAAAGTATCTAAACTTCCAAATCACAAATCATTTTTAAGTGTGTTCAAAGATTTGCTCATTAATGATTCTGTTCTGACAGGTTCCAAAGCAGCTGAAAACAGTTTACTCTTATATTTGTCTGTTTGTTTTCTTGTCTTATGTGCCAGCATCCCACTACAGAGGCTACGGAAACTCTGATTACAAACGCATAGTAGCATGTGCCAGGTGAGCCTATTTCCACAAAGGGGAGCATAGACTCCAAGTTCTCATTTTTGTTAACGTATTGTTTCTTTACATATTTTCAAATTTTGGTATGTCCAGAAGATACAAAATTGTTCAATTGTTTAAAAATGCAGAACATATATATTCTTAAATTGCTACTTACCATAAAAAACAGCCTTGGTTTTGCTCATAATAGTTTTCTCTGTCTGTTTTGTCTTCTGATTCAAACAGTGTAATATTAATTTTTTCTCTTTCAGAGGGATAGAAATGTGATTTAAAAAATTAGGAAAAAAATATAAAAGATTCTCTCAAAAACAGCCCCTACTCTCTTACTTAGAAAAATCACATTTACCTAACAAAATCCATTATCAGCTAGATTCTCAACTCAAGCTGCACATTGAAGTCAGCTGGAGAGCTCTTAGAGCTGTCCAAATGTCCCGGGCTCCAGAGGTCATTCTAATGGTAGCCAGGGTTGAGAACCACTGATGTTAAACCCTCTCCCAACTAAATACCGAGGCCTCAATTGGCCACTGTATTAGTTTCCTGTTATTGCTAGGTAACAATTTATTGCAAATGTAATGGTTTAAACCAACACAGTTTTACTATCTTGCAATTCTAGAGGTGAGAAGTCCCAAAATCAAGGAGCTGGGTAGGGCTGTATTCCTTCTGGAAGCTCTAGAATTTCTTTGCCTATTCCAGATTCTAGAGGCTACCTGTGTTCTTTGGCTTGTGGCCCCTCTCTGTCTTCAATACCAGTGTCACAGCATCTTCCAATCTGACTGTGACCTCTGCTTCCATCATCACACCTCCTTCTCTGACTCTCCTGCTTCCTTTCCTCATAAAGATTCTTGTCTTTACATTAGGCCTGCACAAATAACCCCCTATCTCAAATCCTTAATTTAATCACATCTGTAAAGTTCTCTTTGCCACATAAGGTAACATATTCACAGGTTCAGGGGATTAGGACATGGACACCCTTGGGGGCCATTATTCTGCTTACCACAGCCACCATCCTAAAACATTTATGAAAGTGTAGGTTTTTTGCCGGGTACAGTGGCTCATACTGTAATCCCAACACTTTGGGAGGCCAAGGAGAGAGAATTGCTTGAGCCCAGGAGTTCAAGAACAGCCTGGGCACCATAGCCAGACCCCATCTCTACAGCAAATTTTAAAAATTAGCCAGACATGGTGGCACACACTTGTAGTCCCAGCTACTCAGGAGGCTGAGGCAGGAGGATTGCTTGAGCCCAGGAGGTTGAGGCTGCAGTGAGCTGTGACCACGCCACTGCACTCCAACCTGGACGAAAAATTGAGACCTTGTCTCCAAATAAAAAAAAAAAGAAAAAGAAAAGAATATGTAGGTATTTGAAAATATGTATATACTTTTGGCTTTGGTGATCACACAGTGTGATCAGAGAGTGGTAGAGCCAGGACTGAAACACAGACTTCTTCCCTGTTCTTTCCATCGTCCCTCAGTCCTTTCTATTGTGTTCTATTTTCTTAACTCTTGTATTGTCAATAACAGTGATATCTGTGGATGGCATTTTGCTGATTTTACTTATAATCATGCACCCAGTGTGGATAACTTGGAAATTCAATAGTGTTGTGCAAAAGATGAGAGCTGAGAAGGACCTTAGGGATGATATCATAATCCTCTTGTTTTGGAAATGAAGAAACTAAGACCCAAAGAGATAAAGTCGCCTGCCAAATGCTCACAGAGTTAGAGGCAGAGCTAGGGGCTCAAATCCCCAACCTCTGATGTTCAATCCAGTATCTAAACCACATCTTTTTTTTTTTTTTTTTTGAGATGGAGTTTCACTCTGTCTCCCAGGCTGGAGTGCAGTGGCGTGATCTCGGCTCACTACAACCTCCACCTCCCAGGTTCAGGTGATTCTCCTTCCTCAGCCTCCCGAGTAGCTGGGATTACAGGCACATGCCACCATGCCTGGCTAATTTTTTTATTTTTAGTAGAGATGGGGTTTCAGCATGTTGGCCAGGCTGGTCTTGAACTCCTAACCTCAGCTGGTCTGCCCACCTTAGCCTCCCAAAGTGCTGGGATTACAAGCCTGAGCCACCACGCTCAGCCTAAACCACCTCTTTCAATCAGTGTAATCTAAGACCACTAATCCCAAGGAACAGCACATAGTTTCTCCCTGCCTCCCTCCCAGCTGTTTCCCAGTCTTCTCTATGTCCCAAGCCCAATCGCTTCTTAGGATTCCTTCACTATTCAGCCCTATTTCCTTCCTCATCAGCATTTCTTCCTTCCAGCATTTCCTACTTCCTTCTGTGGCCAGTCCCTGCTCTCTGTTCCCGCTCAAACATCTTTCCTCATTCCCTAATGTCTTTCCAGTAAGGTCGCCCTTTCCCAGGCAGCTTCTTTCCCCCTAAATGCCATTCCTACCCTTGGGCACCTACCAGCTGGGGAGGAGCATGATCACAATTACCTTTAAATTTGTAACAGTTGTCAAAGGGAAGTGTAAGCAAACTTCTGGGCAGAGCTCGAATCAGTGCCTGGGACCCTACAGGGAGGCATCTAGACTTGCAATAAAGAAGAGCTCTCTGATAGGGTGAGACACCTGTGGGATAGCCTCTACCAGTAAGAACTCCAGTGACCTTCAGGAAATCAGTTTACTTCTCCAATCCTCTTCTATAAAGCAAAGATATTGCACTACCTTATCTCAAGTTTTCTGCCAGTTCTAATTATCCACAATTCTGCCGTACAGAAAAAAGCTGTTATCAAAAATTCATTCATTTGACTTCATTGTCAGGAGGCCTAATTCCAGATTATCAATATACAAAAGAAAGCAAGGAGAAATGCAATCTTGAATAGTCTATCCTTTGGTTTTTACAAATTGGGGACAAAATGTTCCAGAAAGGCGGGTGGAATATGCTTTTGGCTCTGTTGACACTGAAGTTAGGTTGGGTAAATTCCAAAAGGAACTGTGTAGTACTTATTCATGTAGGAACTTCTTTGCCTTCAAATATTCTCTCTCCTGATTAAAAAATGCCAGCATGAAGTTTCTGTGTTCAGAGGGTCTCTTTCGTGTATTTACCTTTTTACAACCTCTCTGTTGTATTCCTAAGAAAAGAAAAAAGGATTTCATTTCCCTCACAACAAAATGCCTTTGGGGAAGATTGCTGGTTTTGGCAGCAGGCAAAGGGCTTCTTGAAAGGAGGATTTCTGTTCCACCATTGAAACAGTCTCCATGGCAACCAGTCATCAAGGCTCCAGCAACCTTTTCATAGACACTCTCCACTCGGGAGGCCCTTTTCCATCCTGCTGACAAAGTGTTTGCATCTGTGAGCAAGAGTGCTCTGCTTCTACCCATCCAATTAGGGAGATGTTCGGATGTCACATTAGAGTTCCAAGTGTTTTATATTCTGTTCTAAATTGTTAATTTGGTGAAGAATAGGGTTAAATTTTTATGAGTCAGAGATTTTAGAATACTTTTCTTTATTGTGGCAAATATTACATCTATGACTTCTAATGGGGACTGCTTTTATTTATTTATTTATTTATTTATTTATTTATTTATTTATTTTTGAGGCAGAGTCTTGCTCAGTTGCCCAGACTAGAGTGCAGTGGTGCGATCTCAGCTCACTGCAACCTCTGCCTCCCAGCCTCAAGCCATTCTCGTGCCTCAGCCTCTTAAGTAGCTGGGATTACAGGTGTGAGCTACCACAGCCAGCTAATTTTTGTATTTTTAGTAGAGAAGTGGTTTCACCATGTTGGCCAGGCTGGTCTCGAACTCCTGGCTTCAGCTGATCTGACTCAGCCTCTCAAAGTGCTGGGATGACAGGTGTGAGCCACCGCACCCAGCTGGGACTGCATTATATATGCTCTATGAGGTGTCATTGAGGAAAAGATATGCCCTGACCCCTCACTAACTTGCTTAGTATCTCCTCTTCCACCAACATTCATACCTGTAGGTGAGATCAATTCATTTTACCCCTTATGAAGCTGTCTTTTAATTTCTTCCTTTAATCCTGACTGCTCTCCCAAGCTTCACTCTCAAACATCCAGCTGCCTTTCAAGCATCTTGAGGTGAGGCTGGAACCTGAAATCAACTTTTACAGAATCACACTCCGTCTGTCTCTGCCCCAGCCTCAGCCCCGCCAGCCTGTCTCTTTTATGTCTTCTAACATCTCTTAATGGTAGCTCTAAGCCTCTGCCACCCAAAACCAAAGCCTGGGAATTATAAAGATAAATTTAAAACACAAACTTATACTTCTTCACAGTTAATTTTACAAATAAGAAAATGAGCTTAGAAAGGGGAAATGATTTGTGGGAATCTCAGAACTGGAATAAAACCCAAGTTTCCTGATTCTCCATTTCAGTATTCTTTTCTCTCTTACAAAACAAAAACAAAAACAAAACCCTCCCATTGTGCCCTTTTTGCATTTCCGCTTAAATTCCTACTAGCAGAATTCCTACTGAAAGGACAGTCCTTGAAACATTTTCTATATAAAGTAGCTATTATGGGAAATATAGAAAATAGAGAAAAGCATGAAAAAGAAAAGAGATAATTGCTTATAATCTCACCATCCAAAGTAGCTACTAATATTTGTGGGTTTGTTTGTTTGTTTGTTTGCTTTTAAAGAGGGATTCTCACTCTGTCGTCCAGGCTGAAGTGCAGTGCTGCGATCTCGGCGCACTGCAACCTCCGCCTCCCAGGTTCAAGCAATTCTCCTGTAGTTAGGATTACAGGTGTGTCCCACCAAGCCCGGCTAATTTTTTTTGTATTTTTAGTAAAGACGGAGTTTCACCGTGTTAGCCAGGCTGGTCTTGAACTCCTGACCTCAAGTGATCTGCCTGCCTTGGCCTCCCAAAGTGCTGGGATTATAGGCGTAAGCCACCGTGCCTTGCCTTAGTGTATTTTCTTCCAGCTTTTCCTGGACATGTTTATTGAATCTCTTTTCAACATACAACTGATTTTTTCCTTGGAATATGCTTCATTAGAAAATGAACTAACGTGAGAATCCAAAGACCTGGATTCTTCTGTAGCTCTGCATGAATTAGCCATGTGACCTTGAACCAGTGCCTTACTCTCATCCTGAGTTTCCCCAGCTAGTTAGCTTGGTGTGGATGACTTCTGTGTTCCAGTAGAGTGGTCTGTTGAGATTATTGATCAAGTGAGGAAAGAGAATAGATGACTCAAAGATCTCTTGCAACTCTAAAGTCAGAGATTTTAACCCATACATTGTAGAAAAGCAAATAAATGGAGACCCAAATTTAAAAATTAAGGTCTACTAAGGAAGAGTGTCCTTTCTTAAAGACTCTTATTCACTTATTTATTATATTTTCTAACCTCTTTTTTATTTTAGCTACAAGCCCAGCAGGGAAGAATCATCATCTGGATCCTCTCATGCGGTGATGGACATCTCCTTGCCTACTGGAATCAGTGCAAATGAAGAAGACTTAAAAGCCGTATGTGTTTTCTTTTAAATCGTGTTGTGAATGCTTCATTTTCTTTTCTGAATTATTTTATAGACAATTTTACTTTCTTTCATTTGAATATACCACTTTTATAGAATCACCCAGAATATTTTTTTTTTTTTGGAGGTGGATTTTCACTCTTGTTGCCCAGGCTGGAGTGTGATGCAGTCTTGGCTCATTGCAACCGCACCTCTCGGGTTCAAGTGATTCTCCTGCCTCAGCCTCCCGAGTAGCTGGGATTACAGGCATGCACCACCACACCTGGCTAATTTTTTTGTATGTTTAGTAGAGACGAGGTTTCTCCATGTCAGTCAGGCTGGTCTCGAACTCCTGACATCAGGGTGATCCACTGGCTTTGGCCTCCCAAACTGCTGGGATTACAGGCGTGAGCCACCAGGCCTGGCCAGAATATTCTTTTCAAAACATAATTAACCTAAGTTTTGATTTATCAAAGTGAAGCAGAAGCATACACTAGCATGCTCTGTAAAATATGAGTTTATATGCTAATGTGTTCAGACTTTTTCAAGAAGAGGAACTGCTCTTCAATTTCTTTGAATTACAGATCACATCCCTGCATTGTGCTATCTCATCAACAGGTGAATGCATTTAAACAAAAAGATAATGAAATGAAATTCAAGCTTCTCTCTTTTCCCCCTTAGCTTGTGGAAGGGGTGGATCAACTATTCACTGATTACCAAATCAAAGATGGACATGTTATTCTGCAACTGAATTCGGTAAGCTCCACCTGCAACCATTTTTCCTTTACTATTACTATTCAAAATATACAGGCTAAAAGATTATAAATATCATCTCTCCATAATTTCCTTAAATCCTTGAATTTGTTAAACAGATTCCCTCCAGTGATTTCCTTTGTGTACGATTCCGGATATTTGAACTCTTTGAAGTTGGGTTTCTCAGTCCTGCCACTTTCACAGTGTACGAATACCACAGACCAGGTAATCAACTCCATGCTAACATTTCTTCAGAAGAATACTTTGTATTCTTTCCAGAACATTTAGAAATCCACTAGAGTCCTGTAAATTTTATGTATTGCCTCTCTTAGGGACCACTCTTCATGAAAGTCCCAATTTGAACATTCAAAACTACTGCATACAAAATATTGTACATAAACTACTTCTTGACATTGAGCAGACCGTTTCACCTCAGTCCTCAGTTTCTTCATATTTAAAATAACTGGATTATAGTGCCTCCAACTTCAATATTCTTTGCCTCAGGTTTATCTATGGTGTTCACAGATAAATCATATCTCTCCTTTTGAGAGAAATCAACTCAATCCCCCCAGAACAACTTCTAGCCCATCTATATTCTTGTTACACTTTGCAGATAGCTCTATTATAGCAGCTGTCACATTGCATTCAATTATTTGTATGTCTTTTTCATCAACCCCAGGGTGTTTTCATTCTTGTGTCCCTAGTATCTAACGCAGCGTCGGGTATAGAATGTGAACTCAATAAATATTTATGAATGGGTGATCCCACATTTGACTATTCAGCCATTTTTGAGAATGTTATGTGGTTGGAGAGCTTATTGGATCACAAGACAGATGACTCCACCTTGGGCAGTTCTACTTGTTAGAAAATTCTTGAAGTGAACCAAAACTCTGACACCCATTCATTCTAGTTTTATATTCTGAAATCACATAGAACATACATAGTCCCTCTTCCCCTTGAGATAGATATATAGAGATACATAGATATATGCTTTTCTTCCCTTGTCCACCCTAAACAATTCCAACTCTTTCAAAAGATCCTCATGCAACATAATTTATTTTCCTCTTACTTAGAGAAGCATCAAATGTTTTATTTCTGAGAAACGAGTGTTTCAAGCACAGAACTAAGTGAAAAAGGGGAGATCTTTCTGAGGGTAGCGGAACCCTTCCCAGGACAGCCAATTCATAATTTTACCTCCCTGGGCCTTAGCTATAAAAAGAAGGGTTTAAAATAAGCAATCTCTGAGGCTCCATGTAAGACACTTGCCAATTAGTAAATGTGTTGTTCTTCAATCAAACCACTTCTCTTAACCACACTTTTGTTGCCACAGATAAACAGTGTACCATGTTTTATAGCACTTCCAATATCAAAATTCAGAAAGTCTGTGAAGGAGCCGCGTGCAAGTGTGTAGAAGGTAAACTTTATTTAACATATTTAGGCTGCATGCTTATTTAAAGCAGTCGTTCATAACCTGAGGTTAATCTGGGGGACACTGTTTGGTAAACTGTTCTTTCTCAGAAGTAGAAATGCTATCTCAGCTAATTGAAAGCTAATGATTCCTTGAGCATTGTAAAACTACATTTTCACAGTTCCTGAACAACCTGATAGTTCATGCTGTACAGAGGCAGGGAAACACCATCGAGAGGGTTGTTGAATATTATAGGGGCAACATGATGTGAGATTTTACTTTCACCTAGTCTTTTTATCATATAAGACAAGAGGCTCAGCACTGAACCACTAGCTTCTGTTCCTTTTCTCTTATACTTCCCAGTTAATGGAATTCGGTTTATTGTCCAGTTCCATTTAGTCTTTCCTAAATTGAAGAAAGCCTTCTTGGCCAAGGAAAAGATCCAGAACTCACCAATAATCAACAGCTGGCTCCATGAGGGTCTCAGTTAGTTTTGGTTTTTTCAAAATCCTCAATATCTACACATTTTCTAGGTACTTATTGTGCCATTTTATAGCTATAAATCAGTCACATTATCATTTTGGGTCCTTCAAAGGACTTCTGATTATACTCAAAATGGAAAATTTCCCCCTTTCATCAAGGGAACCACATACATTTCTAAAGACCTGAATGTGGAGTAGCCACCCAGTCTAACAATAAGTCTTATGCCAGGGGTGTCCAATCTTTTGGCTTCAGTGGGCCACATTGGAAGAAGAATTGTCTTGGGCCATACATAAAATACGCTAACACTAACAATAGCTAATGAGCTAAAACAAAAATCACAAGAAAAATTTCATAATATTTTAAGAAAGTTTACGAATTTGTGTTGTGCCGCATTCGAAGCTGCCCTGGGCTGTGTGCTGCCCACGGGCCATGGGTTAGACAAGCTTGTGACATGCTCAAGATTTTGTTTTTTGTTTTTGTTTGTTTTGTTTTCTTTATGTAATATTTCACTTTATGAAAGAAAAGAAAATGGGCAGGTCTTAGAAATCTGACATTTGTAAGGTTATATTGGGTTGTCTCTGGGCTCATGAGAAACCGTGTTTACTCCTGGAAAGAGTGTCTACTTCTTTCCATTAACCTTATTTTTACCAATTTTCACAAAATCCAGCTGATTGTGGGCAAATGCAGGAAGAATTGGATCTGACAATCTCTGCAGAGACAAGAAAACAAACAGCATGTAAACCAGAGATTGCATATGGTGAGTTCAAAAGTTCAATATAGCTCCTTTAAACATGAAATTTTATGAATATGTGTTCAGTTAGAAAGATCAAAAACTTTATATAGTGATTATATGAATACAACATTCCATGTGATCCCCTGAAGGAAAATGCCATCGATTTTTAGCATTAACATGCAAAGTTTTTATTCCTCAGCAAAGAAATGTGATTTTCATTATAAATAATAGAAGTGACATGTATACCCAGCCAGGATACTTTCCCACAATAGAGCTTTTTCAATTACAGGCACTAAAACATAGTCAAAGGGAACTTTTGAGAAGCCACAGAGGTATAAGATTTCAGTTCTGTACTCTTCCAATTGATAGACCAGAGGCAGAGGCAAAGGTGATTTAGGGGGCTTGGTTTTTAAAAAAATATCTTCAGGGTAAAAATATAAATACCAAATAATTTTTAATATATTCAAGATTGCAATCCATGTTTGAGACACTCTCCATTTGAAAAAGCAAATCTCAGTGCTTCTAGTTGTCCAGCGCTTAGAGCTAAATTAGTGTTCAAGTACAGTTGTAGCCTTGTCTCAGTTCCTGATAAAATTAGCTCCTTTGTTATCTATTCAGTTTTTGATGTTTATTGCTGGCATTTTTTGAGAGAGAGAGAGCATATTGTACACTATCTCAAATCATTTTTTCATTTTGAAATTGGAAGGGTGGAGCCGGGCGCAGTGGCTCATGCCTGTAATACCAGCACTTTGGGAGGCCGAGGTGGGTGGATCACCTGAGGTCAGGAGTTTGAGACCAGCCTGGGGCAAACATGGCAAAACCCTGTCTCTACTAAAAATACAAAAATTAGCCAAGCATAGTGGTGCGTGCCTGTAATTCCAGCTACTCAGCAGGGTGAGGCGGGAGAATCACTTGAACCCAGGAGGAGGAGGTTGCAGTGAGCCAAGATCGTGCTACTGCGCTCCAGTCTGGGCAACACCAGCAAGACTCTGTCTCAAAAAAAAAAAGAAAGAAAGAAAGAAAGAAAGAAAGAAAGAAATTTGAAGGGTGTTATTTATAAATTAAAAAAATAAACACAGCCAATTTGGTACTTTGTGTTTAGCAACAGCTTCCATAAACAGTTTCTCATTGCAATGGAAAGGGTTCTCATTCTTACGGAAAGGGTCTCGTAAGAACTTCATGAGGGCTGGGTGCGGTGGCTCATGCCTGTAGTCCCAGCACTTTGGGAGGCTGAGGCAGGTGGATCACTTTGAGCTCAGGGGTTCTAGACCAGCCTGGGCAACATGGCAAAACCTTGTCTCTACAAAAAATACAAAAATTAGCTGTGCGTTGATGGCTCATGTCTGTAGTCCTAGCTACTTGGGAAGCTGAGGTAGGAGGATCGCTTGAGCCTGGGAGGTGGAGATTGCAGTAAGCCATTGCACTCCAGCCTGAGTGACAGAGTGAGACCCTGTCAAAAAAAAAATGTAACAGAGTATTATCACTATTTACCAGTGAAGAAACTGAGGCTCAGGGAGATTAAATAATTTGCTCAAGGTCATGCAGAAAGCAAGTAATAGAATTAAGATGCATCCTGATCTCCAGTATTTTTTCCATCGAAGTCTACTGAATTCTCTTAATAGTAATTCAGGCAACAGAATAAGTTTTATATGGTTAATAACTTTTCTTTCTTTGAATTTATATTGATTTTGGAAAAAAAAAAAAGCTAAAAAGCTGCCTGACTCAGCCTAGGCCCACTGCAGTTTGTTAAATACATGAAGACTTGAGAATACTATATTGTTTTAACAAACAAAAGTTCCACTAAATTATTTCTTCCCTCCATTTTAGAACTATTTTAAATCTAAAATATCAGAAATCTATTTTAACACAGAGAATAAATGCAATTTGGGTTTATTGTGTTGTTTCAAGAAAAGACTTCGCTGGCTTTTTCTGGACTACAAGCCAGAATAACAGAATAGAAACAAAATTAAGTAGTTCTCTCTCTGTACCCAGGCCCACATAGTAAGTACATTGCCCATGTCCATTATAAAGACTTATGAATCTGAAAGTCAGAACACTTTTCATGCATTTTAAGCCACTAATTTACATAGCCCCTGGTTCTGCCATGATGAGTTCACCTAGCTACCTCTCAATCAGTCAATCTATATCTGGGATAGACTTAAAGACTTGAGGGATATCTAGAATGAACAAATCTTTTAGGTCACTAATTTCAAAACAAAAAATAGATCAAAAGCAAAAATAAAATAAATCTCTCCTGAGGCCACATAGAAAGAATGGGTCCCTTCAAGCTGGTCTTTCCAGACCTGAGGTCAAGCACATTATGCATCAAACATTGATATCTGAATGAAGGGAAAACAGGATTGTAGGCAGCTCTTGTTAGGTAGTTGCCAAGCAAGGGTGAGTGAGAAAACAGAATCATCCTAAAAACCAAGGATTAAAGCCAGTGGAACTATATGAGGAAGCAAAGCAAGGAACCAAGAAAGCTCACATGGTAGACCTGAATGAGAGATAAGGCCTCCTCTGTGGCCATGGAGAAGAGAATGAAGGGGCTCTTCAAAAGATGCCCATGGGCATGACTCCACTCATCTTAAAGGATCAGCCTCTGAACTTAACATCTAACAAAGGTTTATCTTGTTTGTTTGTTTTATGTGCTTCTGTTATTTTATTAAATATGTCTCTTATTCTAATCAGCCTGTTCTATAACATTGGCCAGGGCTAATGATTCTAATAGATTGAGAGATTGAATCAGACTGAGGGGATTGGGGAAGGCTTCTTGGAGGAAATAAGAACTATAATAGTTTGCCATGCTTCATTTCTCGTGTTTGACAAATTCTGGCTTCTACTGGACATAGCATTAATAGTATTAAGACTGAATTGTTTCATTGTTGTTTGTCTTTTGCCAGCTTATAAAGTTAGCATCACATCCATCACTGTAGAAAATGTTTTTGTCAAGTACAAGGCAACCCTTCTGGATATCTACAAAACTGGTGAGAATTCATTCGTTCATTCGTTCCTTCATTCAGCAACTATTTAGTACTGACTATGTGCCAGGCATTATATTAAACACAGAAGATACAACTCAAATAAGACAGAGCTCTTGCCTTTTTAAAGCTTATATTCTACTTGGGGAGAAACATTTTTTAAAGATGTTCGTATAAATATTTCTCATTGAATTCATTTTTCTAAAACTTCAGCAAAATGTTTTTTTCAATTGCGTAATTGTCCAATTTCTTTTTCTTTACAACTTTTATTTTAGGTTCAGGGGATACGTGTGCAAATTTGCTACATGGGTAAATTGCATGTTTTGGGGGTTTGGTATATAGATCATTTTGTCACCCAGGTAATAAGCATAGTACCCAATAGGTAATTTTTCAATCCTCACCCTCTACCCTCAAGTAGGCTCTGCTGTCTAGTGTTCCCTTCTTTGTGTCCATGTGTACTCACTGTTTAGTTCCCACTTATAAGTGAAAATATGTGATATTTGGTTTTCTGTTACTGTGTTAATTCACTTAGGATAGTGGCTTTATTTCTGGGTGCTGTAACCTGTTCCATTGGTCTACGTGTCTTTTTTTGTATCAGTAACATGTTGCTTTGGTTACTGTAGCCTTGTAATATAGTTTGAAATCAGGTAGTAGGAGGCATCTAGCTTTGTTCTTTTTGCTTAGAATTCCTTTGGCTATTCAAGTTCTTTCTTTGTTCCATATGAATATTAAAATGTTTTTTTCTAATTTTATGAAAAATGATAGGAATAGCATTAAATCTGTAAATTGCTTTGGACAGTATGGCCATTTTAACAATATTAATTCTTCCTATCCATGAGCGTGGAATGTTTTTCCATTTGTTTGTGTCATCTCTGATTTCTTTGAGCAGTGTTTTGTAATTCTCATTGTAGAGATCATTCACCTCCCTAGTTAGCTGTATTCCTAGGCATTTTTGTGTGTGTGTGGCTATTGTGAATGGGATTACATTTTTTTTTTTGAAATGACGTTTCACTCTGTCACCCAGGCTGGAGCGCAGTGGCACGATCTTGGCTCACTGCAAACTCTGTTTCCCAGGTTCAAGTGATTCTCCTGCCTCAGCCTCCTGAGTAGCTGGGATTACAGACATGCACCACCACGCCTGACTTATTTTTGTATCTTAGCGGAGATGGGGTCTTACATGTTGGCCAGGCTGGTCCTGAACTCCTAGGCTCAAGTGATCCACTCGCCTCAGCCTCCTGAAATGCTGGGATTACGTGTGTGAGCCACCGTGCCTGGCCTCATTTCGATTGATATAAATTTTGCAATAAGTAGGACCATAAAGCTAAATTGCAATAATATGTTTATACTAAATTTTTTTCTCTTTTGAAATTCTATCAAATATTTCAAGTCCTAAAATGCTTGATTTTTTTTCTTTTGAGACGGGGTCTCACTATGTTGTTCAGGCTGGTCTCAAACTCCTAGGCTCAAGGGATCCTCTCTCCTCAGCCTCCCAGCTTGATTATTACTAACCATACCCTAGAGTTTAAAATTCTAGTAATATTTTTCAATTTTGTATTTGCTTTATCAACACTTTGATAATTTTTTTTAAATTTTTGTTATTTTGAAAGTTTCATTGTATGAAACTTATTTGTGAAGTTATTTTATTTTTTTCTTCATTGATGGTCACAATTTTTTAATTTGCAGGCTAGTTGCCATTCTAATGAAATAAGTGTTTAGAACTTTGATGTTGCCACAGTCCAACTTTTGAGCAACATTTTCATCCAATGTTCATATTACAAGCAGTAATAAGCCATTCTCTTTTTACTGAAATAACAAAGTGCTTTTCATTCCAGAAATACAAATTATTTGTTTTATTTGATACTGATTCTTGCATAGTATCAAAAGACATTTTAGACTGTTCTGAATTTTTCATAGCATCGGATGGTTCCCAAGCTACAATTTTTTTATTAGTATCATTTCTTCTTTGTTCTCCTGTAGATCCAAAGATGCATTTTATGATATTTAAAAGGAAATGTTAAGAAACATTGGCATACTTCATCTCCTCATTCTGGGCCCATTTTTAACACATAAATTTTGAATTTTTATAAATATAAAAATACCACACACTACTTACAGAAGAATTGTGGCACAGTGACCATAAGCCATTTAGAATCAAGGGCAAACTGTAGTTTGAGGATAAGGATAAATTGGTATTTCTCCAAAGCACAGAGTGCTTAGAATAGGTAAGGATATAGAAGAATAAAAGTTTAGTTATTGTTGAAGCCCAGGGTAGTTGCCTGTTCTCTCTTCTGAATATACTTTAAATTTTCCATGATGAGAAGCTTAAAAAATAATAAGGCCCCACACAGCTACACTGCTTACTATGACAGGGGCTGAAATGGCAGATAGTACTGGTAATGTTGCTCAGATATTGACGTAATAGGAATCTACACCATCAGGGCAGCCTAAGAAATCAGCTTGAACTAATGGGTGTACACTGAAATTTATATCACTAATGAAAGTTTACCATTTACACAGTTTCTATTATACACTATTTGCCAATTGGTTCAGAAGTTTTTCAGGACTTAACAATTAAGATGACTCTGCCAGAACTTAATAGTTAAATATCAGCCCTGTATATATAGCGATAAATCAGACACAGTCCATGCCTTAAGAAGTTTCTAGTCTAGCTAGAAGGACAGATGTGGGACAAAAAATTGTGACAGAAATTCAAGTGTAAAAGAGGTAAAGAGGAGACAGAAAGATATTTAAAACAAAGAGCATCCAGGAATATTTTACTGGATACTGTGAGAATTGAAGGAGACTTTCAAGATAAATGAAATTCAAGAGGCCAACATGGGGAGGAATGCATTCCAGGTAGGGGAACTGGCTACTTGTGAGTTCTTTGAGAATCCCAAAATTACTATCTTTGAAGTTTTCCAAGTCTTTCACATTTTGTACTTTTCCACAAAGTTAACAGTTGCCAAATACCAAATAATTTTATATTTTACTATATAATGTGGAGATTAATGTTGTTCAACTGTAGAGAGGTTCTTTTAATTCTGGTTATATAAGAGTAATAATAAGTACTTACATAGTTCCTACTATGTTCCAGGCACTTTTCATGTATTAACTCATTTAATCTCACGATGGTTCTACAAGGTAGGTTTTATTATCATGCCCAGTCTTAAGATGAGGGTCTAAGGCCTTATACAGATAACATAAATCATTTTCCCAGAGTCACATAGCCAGGAAGCAGCATGCTTAGAGTTTAACCCAGGCAGTCTGGCTCCAGAGACTGAAGCCTTAACCACATGGATATCACGGCTGTCCACTAGCCATGAACCTCTCAATAGCCACGAGGAACCAGAAAACTTGAGAGTTTATAATTGTGACATTAAAACATGAATGGTATAACCTTACTTGACTTGCATGTCTCTCAGGGGAAGCTGTTGCTGAGAAAGACTCTGAGATTACCTTCATTAAAAAGGTAACCTGTACTAACGCTGAGCTGGTAAAAGGAAGACAGTACTTAATTATGGGTAAAGAAGCCCTCCAGATAAAATACAATTTCAGTTTCAGGTAAGTCACCAATATTTTTCAGTCACTGATCTTCCCTCCAAAACTGAGTATAATTTATTCTTAAATACACTACGTGTTTCTTATGGCCCTGCTCTTAACCAACAAACCATTTTGAACTAAATAATATTAATGTCAAGCAAAGAATGATTTAAAACCATCGTGGCAGCTGAGGACTTAGCTGCCTGATTAACCATCTGAGTGTCTGGACCTGATGATGAATCTGAAAGTACTCACCGGACCTCCCCTAACCACCACACCAGCTCCCTTGATAGTTCTCAGACTGTTTGTAAAGAGGAAAATGTGTAAATATGTATTGTATTATCTGCTTTTAGAAACTAGTCATTGAAATAGATGTACTTTCTGCCTTTAATATGGGAGCCCCAGGCAGCTTTACAATTCCTTAAGGGTTTGTGAACCCTCCCCAGGAGAGGCCGGTACAGAAGAGTTTGGCGGACAGCCTGACCCCTGGGGACCTGACCACAGCTGGGCTCTTATAAAATAAATCAGGCTGGGCACGGTGGCTCACACCTGTAATCCCAGCACTATGGGAGGCCAAGACGGGCAGATCACAAGGTCAGGAGATCGAGACCATCGTGGCTAACACGGTGAAACCCCGTCTCTACTAAAAATACAAAAAAAATAGCCGGGCGTGGTGGCAGGCACCTGTAGTCCCAGCTACTCGGGAGGCTGAGGCAGGAGAATGGCGTGAACCCGAGAGGCAGAGCTTGCAGTGAGCTGAGATCACGCCACTGCACTCCAGCATGGGCGACTGAGCAAGACTCCGTCTCAAAAAAAAATAAAGAAATCAAATTCAGCTTTTCTGTTTTGTGGCCACCTCACAAACACTTTGTTTCTTGGTAGGTACATCTACCCTTTAGATTCCTTGACCTGGATTGAATACTGGCCTAGAGACACAACATGTTCATCGTGTCAAGCATTTTTAGCTAATTTAGATGAATTTGCCGAAGATATCTTTTTAAATGGATGCTAAAATTCCTGAAGTTCAGCTGCATACAGTTTGCACTTATGGACTCCTGTTGTTGAAGTTCGTTTTTTTGTTTTCTTCTTTTTTTAAACATTCATAGCTGGTCTTATTTGTAAAGCTCACTTTACTTAGAATTAGTGGCACTTGCTTTTATTAGAGAATGATTTCAAATGCTGTAACTTTCTGAAATAACATGGCCTTGGAGGGCATGAAGACAGATACTCCTCCAAGGTTATTGGACACCGGAAACAATAAATTGGAACACCTCCTCAAACCTACCACTCAGGAATGTTTGCTGGGGCCGAAAGAACAGTCCATTGAAAGGGAGTATTACAAAAACATGGCCTTTGCTTGAAAGAAAATACCAAGGAACAGGAAACTGATCATTAAAGCCTGAGTTTGCTTTCAAACTGTGCTAAAAAGCCTGTTATTTTATGCTAGATCAGCTTCAACCACACAAAGACAGGCAAATTGAGAGAGATGGAGAAAGTCAGCAGTAGAGAACCTTAACCTTGAGCGGGCTTAGCCTCAGAGCCCTCAGCGCACTGAGAAGGTAGGTGGGTTTGTCCCTGCCCCCTCCCCGTCCATTGCCCTCTCCATACCCCTGAAGGGAGACCCTCTACTCTCTTTCCCTCCCTTCCGGCACATGTTCATTTCCCCCAGGAACCTGCTCTCGCCAACAATTGCTTTACTAAAAGACAGGCCCCAGTGCAGCAACCTGGTGAAAAGAAACTGAGTGGCGGATCGGGAGACCTTTCTCCAGCCCTAACCAGGTCTCTCTCTGAGCCTCAATTTGAGCTTTATAAAAGAGGATACATAACAGAAGTTAATTTTTAAGTGACATTTTGCAGCACTTCAGATCATATTAAAAAGCTCTCGCATATATTCTCATTTAATGTCTCAAGCCTCTCACAAGATTCAGAAATTATTATCATTATCATCCCCATCTTACAGATAAGAAAATTGAGATTTAGGCCTGGCATGGTGGCTCAAGCCTGTAATCCCAGCACTTTGGGAGGCCAAGGCGGGCAGATCACTTGAGGTCAGGAGTTCGAGACCAGCCTGGCCAACATAGTGAAACCCCATCTCTACTAAAAATATAAAAATTAGCCAGGCTAATTTAGCAAGCCTGTAATCCCAGGTACTCAGTAGGCTGAGGCAGGAGGATCACTTGAACCCAGGAAGTGGACGTTGCAGTGAGCCGAGATCATGCCACTGCATTCCAGCCTAGGTGACAGAGTGAGACTCCATCTCAAAAAAGAAAAAAGAAAAAGAAAAGAAAATTGAGGTTCAGAAAAGTAAAGCAGTTTTCCCAACCTAGTAAGGAAAAGAATTGGAAATCAAACCCCAAGACTCTATCTCAGTTTAAATACATCTCTGTTCCACATCACTACATATTGCTTGTTGGGTTGAATTTTCTAACAGTAAGGCAGGATATAGTAGAAGTTTCTTAGACACAGATTAACCAGCCCCACTGAACTATCACAGGAAACATGAAGATGACCTCCGGATGTAACGGTAATTAACAGAGACTGGAATGCATCTCCTTTTGAAGAGTCTGCTTTTTACTAGTTAGGTGAAGCTACACAAGGCCTTGTAGTGTGCCTTTGTAAATAACACTAAGATTTTCCACTTCCAGGGACTAAGGACTTATTTTTCTCTAATGTCAAAGCTCACATTGTAGGCACTCCCTTGGCAAAAACAACCAATGTGTCATGTTCAAGATGCCCACACTCCCTGTCAGCGAGGGGTGAGGAGACCTTCTCCAGAGCAGGCCTCTCGGTGTCTCCTGTCACTTCCTTGCTGGGAGGAGGGAACCACTGGTGCTGCTTCGAAGGCACAGGAGTCTGACTGCCTTTTCCTGAGCACTTTGGCAAATAGGGCAGGCCACAGTGGCCTAATTAACCCACAATGCAGCTGTCAAATATCAAAGAAGGTTTTGTGAATTAGCCTGGCACCATTTAAAATATCTGCCAGCTCCTCTTCAGCTAACTCCTATGCATTTGAACATATTTTCTCAGTGAGGCTTTTGTGACCCTCCAAACCAGGCTGGGCCCATTACCCAACCCTGCACTTCTCCTCCAAGGCACTTGTGCTCTTGCAATGATTTACTTAATCAGATTGAATTATTAGTTTAGCGTGACCACACTGAAAGCTCCACTTAGGTAAGGTCTGAGTCTGTTCTATTCGCCAGTATCTCCTGTAGTTGGCACAATGTCGGGCACATCATAGGGACTCAATAAGTGTTTGTGGATTCCCCTACAGTGTAGAGAATCAGAAGACCCAAGTTCTAGTCTTGGCTTTGGCCCTAATTGGCAGTGATTTGGGACAAGCCTCTTAATCTCTTTGATAGCCTATAAAATAAGGGAATTGGACACTCTAATGTCTCTTTTATCTATAGCTAAGAAGATGTTCTATAATCTTATGATGTGAAACAGGAAAAACCAAACGGCATATAAGCATCCAAATATTGGGCTTATGTATTTCATTCTTTCTTTCTCTCTTTTTTTTTTTTTTTTTTTTTTGAGACACAGTTTTGCTCTTGTTGCCCAGGCTGGAGTGCAATGGCGCAATCTCGGCTCACTGCAACCTCCGCCTCCCGGGTTCAAGCAATTCTCCTGCCTCAGCCTTCCAAGTAGCTAGGATTACAGACATGTGCCACCACACCCAGCTAATTTTTTGTATTTAGTACAGATAGGTTTTCGCCATGTTGGTCAGGCTGGTCTCGAACGCCTGACCTCAGGTGATCTACCTCCCTTGGCCTCCCAAAGTGCCGGGATTACAGGCGTGAGCCACTATGGCCGGCCTGGGCTTACATATTTTGTCTGTAAGTATGGAGACAGTGCAGAGAAGTAAGCTGGAAGAGCTGCCAAGGCTTTCTGTAGAAGGACACTGGGATTTGGGTAGGTGGGAGGTACAGGGAAGGCCTTTCTGGTTAAGGGGCAACGCTTAAGGCAGGTTTCCCCAGGGGTAAGCAAGATGTTCTTAGGTGATACGATGCACATTGTTCACTTTAGTGGCTATATGTTTATTTTAACATGTATTTTAAAAAAGTAATTAGCACATCAAAGCCATGATGTAACATTTTCTTCCAAAATAAATCTATTTTCCAAGAAGTAAGTCTATTTAAGAAAAAGTATTGAGTAAATAAAAGTAAGTTTATTCTTAGGGCAAAAATCATGCAGTTGGCATGCAAATGATTGACGTTTAAGATACTCTGTCTTAAGAAAACACGTGGAGGTCTGTGAGCCAAGGTTGAGGCAAGCAGCCTTGCTCCATATTTCTCAGTGAGAAATTCTGGACCAAAGTCATGTTTAGTCTTTCTTTCCAGACCCTATGATGCTGATGTATTCAGCAACACCCAACAAACATGTATTGATTGGTGACTGCAGGCTAGGCCCAATTCTAGGTGCTTGGTACCAAGATCCCTGCCATTGTGGAACATAGATTCCAACTGGGAGAGATATGTAATAAAAAATAAAGAGAATAATTAAGCAATTAGTCTTGGATCTCAGAAAGTGATAAGAGCAATGGGAAAAAGAAAAAGCAGACTAAAGGAGACTGGTAATGGTCAGGGGAGGGGTTGCAGTTCTAAATAGGGTGGCCAGGTCAGGGTGGGCTTCAATGAGAAGGTGAAATTTGAGCAAAGACTTGAAGGATGTGAAAGAGTGAGCCACATAGCTAGCCAAGGGGAGAGTGTTCCTGGCACTCTTGGTACATAGTGTCCGGCCTAAGGCAGGAGCATGCTGGTGTGTCACAGGAAAAGCAAGGAAGCAGGGGTGGCAGGTGCAGATTATGAAGCCAATGGAAGAGGCTTTGGCTTTACTTGGAAGGAAACAGGAGCCATTGCAAGGCTTTGAAAAGAAGAGTGACATGGTCTGTCTTGCCTTTTTAAAGGACTACTGTAACTGCTGTTGAAAATAAGGCAAGGGTAAAGAGAACGGATAGGAGGCTACTGTAATAAACTAGGTGAGGGATGATGGTGCCTCAGACCAGAGTGGTAGCAGTGGAGGTATTGAAAAGTGGTTGAATTCTGGATATACTTTAAAAGTAAATGATACAGTTTGGATATTTGTCCCCCAAAATCACATGTTGAAATGTGATCCCCAGTGTTGGAAGTGAGGCGAGGTGGAAGATGTTTGGGCCATGGGAGTGGATCCCTCGTGAATGGCTTGGTGCCCTCCCCATGGTAATGAGAGTTCTTACTCTGTGAGTTACCACGAGATCTGATTGTTTATAAAGAGCCTGGCACCTCCTTCTAGCTGGTTGCTTCCTCTCTCACCATGTGCCACTTAGGCTCTTTTTTCCCTTCTACCATGACTGTAAGCTTCCTGAGGCCTCACCAGAAGCAGATGCTGGCACCATGCTTCCCGTATAGCCTGCAGAACCGTGCGCCAAACAAATCTCTTTTCTTTATAAATTATGCAGCCTCAGGTATTCCTTTATAGCAATACAAAAGGGACTAATACAGTAGGCTTAATTGAAGGGACTAATATTGTAGGTTTAACTGAATTCCCTGATAGAGTGGAAATAAGTGTGAGAGAAAGAAAGGAGTCAAGGATGATGCCAAGACTTTTGGCCTGAACAACTGGAAAGATGGAGTTGCCTGAGATTAGGAAGGCTGCAGATGGAGCAGGTTGTGGGGAGTTAGGAATCTGTTCAGTTTTGGATGTGTTGAATTTTAGAAGAAATCTATTAAACATCCAAGTGAAGGAGCCTGGAAGGCAATTGGTCATATAGTTATCTAGTTCAGGAGAGAGCTCTGGGCTGAAAAACATAAATCTGAGAATCATCAGCATACTAAAACCATTAGACTAGTTAAGATCACTAAGGATGTGAATACAGACAGAGGAGTGGAAAAAAAGAAGACCAAGGATAGACATTTTGAGCATTCCAAGATGAAGTTATTAGAGAAAAGAGATAGAGGATCCATTGAATTAGGAGAAAAAACAAGAGATGAGGTCCCCTCAAGCCAAACAAAAGAAAGAGGTTCTGGGAGGAAGAGTGTTGAACTGTATCAAATGCTTCAGAGAGAAGTAAGATGAAGACTTGGCTGTTGGGTTTAGCATTGGTGACTTTGACAGGGCAGGTTGGGTGGAGTAGTGGGAAGAATAGCCTGAATAGAGTGATTTAAGAGTAGATAGGAGGAGAGGATTTGGAGACAGGGAGTATGGACAACTCATTCAAGGAGCAAAGAAATGGATTGAGGGGAGTAGAGTGAAGGAAAGTTTAAGACGGAAGAAATAACACATTTGTGTTCTAAAGGGAATGACTCAGTAAAGAGTAAATAATTGACGATGCAGGAGAGAGAAAGGAGAACTACTAGAGTAATGTCCTTGAAGAGGTAAGAGTGGATAGGATCTGGAGCACAAGTGGAGGACTTGGCTTTAAATAAGAACATGACTAGCTCACCTATGCCAGGGGTCAGCAAACTTCTGTAAAGAGCCATGCATTAAAATAACTGTAATATTTTAGGCTTTGTGGGCCATAATTCTCATAAGTCTCTATTGCAACTGCTCAACTCTCTCATTGTAGCACAAATGCAGCCATAGATAATGCAGAAAAGAATGGGCATGGACTAGGCAGGCTGGATTTAGCCCTTGGGCAGCAGCATACCGATCCCTGATCCATGACCCATGGTTGTAGGCAGAGAAGCTGAGCACATGCAGCAGACGCTGGCAAGGGGTAGATGTGGTGAGAGTCTGTGGAAGTCCCTTTCTCAGAGAAGTAGGATGAAGATCATCACCTGAGATGGAGGATAGGGAGGAGCAATTGGAGGTGTGACGGGAGGAAAGAAGGGTGAGACAGTTATCTAAAAGAGAGGGAGGCTGAACCAACTAAGGACTTGTAATATATTTGCTTCTTCGTATTAAGGGTCCACTTGAAGTTTCTAGTCATGAATTTAAAGTGGGACTGATCAGCATGGGTTGTGGGATTTTCTCCAGCCACATACACATCCTTTTCAGAATCTAATGAAAGCTATAGACTTATCAATTCCCTCCAATCAAGACAACCAGGAATACCTGGAACTGAACAAGTTTCAGTTTATTGAGTCTTTGCAACAAGGGAGAACACACACCATGGGGACCATAAGGCTTCTCGGTGAGAGTGCATTAGAAAAGCCTTATTATAGGATTTGTACTTGTGATAGAGTATTTGGGAGGAGCCTCAAAGAAATGGAACTTTACTCTGGATTGGATGCTTTCAGGAAGCAGGGGCAATCCTATGACCCAGTATCTTATTTCTTTTCTAGCTGGGAGGAAAAGTAGCAGCACTTACTCACTTTAGCCAGGAAAAGGGTGTGTGTGGTCATTTTTGTGGTTTGGACAATGTTCTTGTTTTTATATCCTGCTCAAACATGATTATAGAGTAGTCGTTTTTAGTATGGATCCATTTTGTCTGATGTTGATGTTCTATGACATCAGACACAGAGAACACCCCAGCCTGGCTCTGGGCACCAGACTGGCTCCCAGGGACACCGAGGCCTCACGCCAGTTGTCCAGGGCCACTCTTCTCTTTCACAGACCCCTGTCCCAGAAACATGCACATACACACACCATGCTCACAGCCTCATACCTGACAGAGGCCCCCCGCCACCAAAATTCCACTCCTTCTCTGTTTCCATCATTATAGTCAGATATGTGTATGTTACATGCACAGTCATGAATTATACAAATCTAAAATGCCCACACCAGAAAGGACCTAGAGCTCATCTCATCCGATTCCTTCATTTTTTGCCTGTGAACATGGAGGTCCAGAGGAGCAGCTTGTCTAGGATTATGGTGCTGATAAATGGAAAGGCCAGGACAGAAGCCCAAGTGAGGCCTCTGAACACCGCATTCTTCCCACCACTGAGATGAGCAGGAGTTACAGAGACACCAGTTTTGGCTCCCTGTGAAGAAGCATTTTCTTATAGCCATAGCCATTCAAAAGTAGAGTCAGGTCCAAGTTCCTTATTGCTGGGGCCATCTGAGCAGAGTCTAGCTGCCACCTTCCAGGGATGTTTCTGGGCAATTCAAGGTAGGGGGCTTAATGTCCCTTCAGTGCTGAGAGACTTTTAATAGTCAAGAAAACATCTACTTGACTGCTTTAATAAAAAGGTGAAGTTTTCACATCTGAAAAACAGAAGTACTAATAATACCCAAGTCAGAGGATTTCTGCAAGGCTCAAATGAGATAATACAGATAATGCACATAAAATGATTAGCACAGTGCCTGGCACAATAAAAGTAACTTGTGGCTGGGTAATAATACCTCTCTGGCACACTAGAGGTGGTAAATTCAATAATTTTTTACCTGTGAACATCCTACTTAGATTCATAAAATATTGACATTTAAAGATCCTCTAGAGATCATCTCATCAATGCCTCCCCATTTCACAGACCAGGAAGCAGGCCCAGGGAGGAGCCAGGACTCACCAAGAGGGTTCCACAACAGAGCTGGGGCTAGAACCCGCAGCACCAGGCTCCTCTGCCTTCCTATATGCAGCCTGGTGTCTCCTCAGGGCCTAATAGAAACATTGCCTGCAGGGGCAAGCAGAGACCCGAGCCTGGTGGTGAGGGCCAGGGCTAACATGTCTAACAGATGAGTTGGGAGCAATCAGAGGGTTTTGGTGTTGTTGTTGTTAGGCTGGAGGGGTGTGTGTGTGTGTGTGTGTGTGTGTGTTGGTGTTGGAAGGGTGGTCGGTGGGAGGGGGGTTGAAACTGAATGAGACAAGAGAAATTGGAGTTAAGGAAAGGATTGTTTGGCTTAATAATATATTTTCCAAATAAAGAACCTTTAGGAAATTAGAGCCAGGACTAGACTGTAATTCTCTGAGGGCAAAGGAAGAGGAAGGGAAAGGAGATATGCTTAGAGTTGGAGGAGAAGGCAGAAAGGTTTCCTGAGTCTGTTAGGGCCTTGGGGCAAGGCTGGTCGTCATTCATCCTCTTCTTGCCTCCTCCTTTCACCTCTAAAGGCGAAAGGCCAAACTGTGGTCTGTTCATTAAATAAATGCTGGGTGTCGAAATTAAAATGGCTCACTGATTTGGCTATGTTGTGTGTGTGTGACTGACAGACAGAGAGAGAAAGGAGGAGTTAGTATGGGGAAGTGATACAGTGAAGAAGTAAGACATTGAACCATGAAACAGAGGAGCTGCCCTGACTTGTGGCCTTGGGAGAGTTCCTGAACCTCATCAAGTCTCAATTTGCCCATCTAGAAAGCGGAAGTAACATTATCAGCCCTAATGGGTTATAATGATTAGGAAAAACACCTTAGTGCCAACTCAGGAGCCCACAATCTGTGGCAGTCAGCTGGAGTGTGATTTCCAGCTGTCTTAACTCTCTAGGCCTCAGTTCTATCTTTTAAAAATAATGAAAGAATTTCCCCCAACCCAATTTACAGATTTGTTGCAAGGATGAAATAAGATCCAACAAGTGAGAGAAATTTTAAAATGTAGAATCTTGCACAAATATAAACATAGCATTAAAAACAAAAAGCATCTTTGTGCTAAGATACCATAGACAGAGACTGCCTGGTGTGCTTTTTTAAAAATTGGGAAAAGACCACTATCTTAAAAAACAACCTCCTCCAGTGCCTCGAATTTTCCCATTTGCCTTCCTCTTTTGGTCCTCAGGACTGTCAGCCTTAGAACAATGCTATACAAAGTGTGGTCCCTGGCCGCCTGGGAGTTTGTCAGGAATGCAAATTCCCAGACCCCACCCCAGACCTACTGAAACAGAAAATCTTGGGAGCAGAGCTCGGAGATCTATATTTTAATAAGATATCCAGGCCTGGCGTGGTGGCTCACGCCTGTAATCCCAGCACTTTGGGAGGCCGAGGCAGGTGGATCACGAGGTCAGGAGATCGAGTCCATTCTTGCTAACTCGGTGAAACCACGTCTCTACTAAAAATACAAAAAAATAGCCGGGCGTGGTGGCGGGTGCCTATAGTCCCAGCTACTCGGGAGGCTGAGGCAGGAGAATGGCGTGAACCCGGGAGGTGAAGCTTGCAGTGAGCCGAGATTGCGCCTCTGCACTCCAGCCTGGGTGACAGAGTGAGACTCCATCTCAAAAAAAAAAAAAAAAAAAATCCAGGAATATTATAGGCATGTTAAAGTTTCAGAAGTGTTGTTTAAGAGCTTGTGAAAGTGCAGGTTCTCATTCTATAGGTCTGGGATGGGTCATCCTGTTAACTTTTGTACGGTTTTAATAATTTTTCTTTTTTTCTTCTAATTACCATAATTTTATAATTACAGGTTGAGCATCCCAAATCTGAAAATCCAAAATCTGAAATGCTTCAAAATTTGAAACTTTTTGAGTACCAACATGACACCACAAATGAAAAATTCCACACATAAGTACTTAACACAAACTTTGTTTCATGTAAAACATTGTTTAAAACATTGTATAAAATTACCTTTAGGGGATGTATATAAGGTATACATGAAACATAAATGAATTTTGTATTTAGACATGGTCCCATCCCCAAGATATCTTATTGTATGTATATGCAAATATTCCAAAATCTGAAAAAAATCTGAAATCTGAAACACTTCTGGTTCCAAGCATTTTGGATAAGGATTACTCAACTGGTACCTTAGTCTGATTAATTTATTCTCAGCTTCTATGTATTAGTTCTTAGGGATTCTTTTTTTTAACTTCACCTTTTTTGTAATGTTCCTAGCAAATGTTATTCATGTTATTTCACTTTTTAAAAATTATGCCATTGCTCTAGTGGCGGAGCAGGAAGCAAAGGAATACAGGGCCAGCATGCTGCTGAATGGGCCTGGCAGCAGCAGAACTACGTGAAGAGGCCTCTGTGTTCCTGGAGGTTTATGGACAGAGGTCCTTGTGTAACTTAATGTTCCAGATCCCGTGTCCTAAGCAGAGTAGCTGCAACCCAGAAACAGCCTCTGCAAAGGAGCCTTCAGTACCAGATCCAAGCCTCACTTTGTGTCCTCACTCCCACTTGCTCATTGGCCCCTGACCCAGCCTTCAGGATTTCAACAGCAAGCCGAAGAGCAGGTGCTCCTGTCAGCTTTTCTGCTCACTCTGGCTCCTGTGGCCAGACCCAAGTTCATACAGCAGATCTTTCCTGCCCTGCGTGGGCCTTTGAGACGCTGTGGAGGGTGGGCCTGCTTGGTTGATTACTACTGCTGCTGCTTCTAGTTCCATTGACCCACCAGGGACAGCAGCTCTGATTCGGCCTATGCCTGCCCTCCGCCACCTCCCTCCTTCCTTTCTCCCTTCCCCTCCCCCCTCTCCCACATACCAGAAATCACTGTCTTGGCACTTGGGATTTGAAAATTTGCCCAACAAATGAAAACTGATCTTATCTGTCTGCAAAGCAATTCGACAATGCATTTCAGGAGCCAAAATATGTTTATATTTCTTGATCCAGTAATCCTTCTCCTGTTGAATGATTTATATAAATTCCCAAAAGGAAAAAAAAATAGTTGGTACACAAAGATCTTCTGTGGAAGATTATTCATTTAATAAATATTTATTGAGTGCCTCCTGCATGCCAGGCACAGTTCTAGATGGTGTAATCAAGATAAACAAAGTCCCTGCTCTCCTGGAGATTATGTTATAATTGAGGAAAAAGACAATAAATACCCACTTAAAGAGGGAAAATAATATATTTACTAAATTCTCTGCAGAGGAATTTTTTTTTTTCTTTTTGAGGTAGAGTCTCACTCTGTTGCCCAGGCTGGAGTGCAGTGGTATGATCTTGACTTACTGCAATCTCCGCCTCCCAGGTTCAAGTAATTCTCCTGCCTCGGCCACCTGAGTAGCTGGGACTACAGGTGCGCACCACCATGCCCAGCTAATTTTTCTTCTTTTAGTAGAGACAGGGTTTCACCATGTTGCCCAGGCTGGTCTCAAACTCTCAACTCAAGTGATCTGCCTGCCTCGGCTTCCCAAAGTGATGGGATTACAGGTGTCAGCCATCGCGCCTGGCCTCTGCAGAGAATTTTTTAAAAGTTCTATGATATAGAATGACTCAGTGGCTGCTCTAGATTGCATGGTTAGGGAAGGTCTATCAAATATCACTAAATAAGGTGGCATTTAAGCTGAGATTTTCTTGACAAGAAGGAACAACCACATGAAGGTCCAGGCTGGTGCGTGTAAAGACCCAGGGGTCCAGGGAACAGCGAGAAGGCTGACGTGGCTGGATCGAAGAAAGCAAGTGATGGACAATGAGGTCAGAGAAGTGAGAGGGGCCAGATCACTGGGATTTTGTAAGAACTGGTGAGATGTTTGGATTCTATGCAGTTGAGAGTATTAAGCAAAAGGGCATGAGACCAGGTTGTAGATGAGAACAGAGTCAGGGGAGACCAGTGAGGAGCTGGTGCCATTGTCATGTGACAGGTAACAGTAGCTTCAACTAGAAAGGAAGAAATGGAGATGAAGAGACAGGGATGAATTCAGGATAGTTTTGGAAGTGGTGCTGAGAGGATTTGCTGAAGGAATCAGGGTGGGGTAATGAATGCAGAGGAGTCAAGGATTACTCACGGATTCCTGGCTTGCACTGCTGCAGATGCCATTTACACAGCTGGAGAAGACAGGAGAAGGTACACATTTAGGAAAACAAGGAAAGAAGATGTTATGGGTTGAACACTACGTCACTCAAAAAGATATGTTGAAATTCAAATCTACAGTACCTCAGAGTAGGACCTGATTTGGAAATAAGTTTGTTGCATGTGTAATTAGCTAAGGTAAGATGAAGTCACACTGGAATAGGGTGGCTCTTAATCTAAAATGACAGGTGTCCTTATGAGAAGAGGGAAATGTAGACACAGGGATACGCAGAGAAAACCTCACGTGAAGATGCAGACACTGGGAGAGGACGGTCGCATGCAGACAGAGGTAGAAATTGGAGTAATGCATGTACAAACCAAGGAAGGCAAAGAACCACTGCTGTCACCTGAAGCCAGGAGAGAGGCACGGGACGGGTCCGCCCTCAGAGCCGGCCAGAAGAAACCAACCCTGCCGAAACTGCTTTCAGACTTCTAACCTCCAGCCCCGTGTGAGAATACATCTCTGTTGTTTCAAGCCACCCAGTTTGTGGCACTTTGTTACCCAGTGCTCACAAGCAAATACAGAAGAGAAGAAGGATTTCTGTCAGGGCTTTGTTATGTTTAAGAAGCCTTTTAGACATTCTTGTGGAGATATCAAGTAGGAATTAGCCTAGAATTACTATGAATCTAGAATTATGGTATATAAAGCAATACCACTGTAATTTATTGAAGTACTTTGTGTGATATAAAAAACCTGACATATAAATTAATAGTTCGAAAGGGGGAAATTGTAATTATTACTCATAATTACATGTAAATGACAGAATGCATATTCCATGAAATATTATGCAGCCTCTAAAAAGAATCATTTTAAAGACTAGGTAGGAGCATGAAAAATGCTTATGATCATCACAAAGGCAGTGATTGCCACTTTGTAATAACTGCCTACGAATGGGAAGCAGATGTCAAACTTTATGGATTCAAATCATAGCTTCAGCTCTTCTGAGTGCCCTGAGATACACAGCATGTCAGTATCCTGTGCATTATGTGTGTTCCCTGTATTTGCAGCACCAGGGTAAATGAACACAAGGCTGAATTGCAAAGTGCTGAGATGATAAAGTAAAGAAGTAATCGGAGTAGACATAGAATTAAGCAAGGATAACTTCCTGGAAGCACATGGCCTGGGACAGGAAGCTTATCATGGGCCAGACATAGTGCCAGCATCAAGGGTACACTCAGGACAAGCCCCTGTAAGTCCTTCTCTGGAAACACATCTGTGCTGGAGCTCCTGCCACCCACAGCCTTCTCATTGATTTCTTATCATGGCCTTCTATCCCACTGTGAGCTCCTGGCGGACAGGGGCTGTATCTTGTTCTTCTCTGTATCCTAAGCACAAGACCTGACACTTGGTAGGTATAAATTAATGACAATTAATAGAACATCAGAACCATAATTTTACTGTCTTTGTTTACAAGAACTTGCAACAAAGGCACGTTAATACTGAGTCCCTCAACCTGTGAACATGAGAATACCGAGCAATTAAGGGTTTAAAGCCTGAAGCACAGCTGATCTTTCAGGTAATGGTTAAGTGCCTTTATCTGAGGTAAGCCCAAGCTTTTAGTTGCTTTGGAAGATGTGATAGAGGCAAACAACACCAATTAGAAAAATATAATGGAAGGAGAGATCCCATTTTACAAAAGCAAATATAATTGCTAAATTAAGTAAGTAGGACTCCCTGTGCATACTCATAAGTCAACTTTGTTTTGCCTTCCAGCTCCCTATAAAGATTTATTCAAAGGGAAGGGAGAGATATCCTTTCTCTATCCTTTAAGGAAAACTCAAGCATCTTATGACTGTTGTGATCACTCTTAGGAACTAAAAAGTCCTATGATCACTTCAGTCACCAAACAACTCTATTCATAAATTTGATGTTCAGTCCCATACAAAAGCAAAATTCTCAACTTGATTTAAAATACAATCTTCTCTCCCAAACAGGGCTTGCTGCAGGTTTGGGACCCCTATAGCTGGGAATAGTGTCACGGGCAGCTGCTTCTTTCCCTGGAGTTTCCTTCTCAGCTTACTAAGGCTGTTTAGTGTGGCTGCTTCTTTCTTTAAGATTGTAATAAATTTAAAATGCGTAACATAAGATTTACCATCTTAACTACTCCCAAGTGCACAGTTCAGTAGTGTTGAGTATATTCACATTGCTGTGCAAGCTGTGACTTCTGACCTCTCCAGCACTAGAGGGATTGGTAGGGAGGAAAGGTAGAAGAAAGGGGAGCAGAAGAGCTTACTTGACCAGTACTGCCATAAGATGGCTTTCAAGGGCTTTAAAGCAGACTCGGACTCTTTCATGGGCATGTCCATGGGCTTTTTAGACACTCCCCCAATCTCTCTCTCTCTTTTTATTTTTGAGAAGAAGTCTTGCTCTGTCACCCAGGCTAGAGTGCAATGGCATGATCTTGGCTCACTGCAACCTTCACCTCCCAGGTTCAAGTGATTCTTATGCCTCAGCATCCTGAGTAGCTGGGATTACAGGCGTGCACCACCATGCCAGGATAATTTTTGTATTTTTAGTAGAGATGGGGTTTCACCATGTTGGCCAGGCTGATCTTGAACTCCTGACCTCAAGTGATCCACCCGTTTTGGCCTCCCAAAGTGCTGGGATTACAAGTGTGAGCCACTGTGCTGGGCCACTCCCCCAGTCTCTAAAGACCTTTCACCATTCCACGTTCATTGCACCACACTGTATCCCATCGTTCACTCCTTCTGCCGCCGTAGGAATCCAGCAATGTGTTCAGTTTGTCACCCTCCCCCACTGGACAAAACTAAGAGGCCTTTCACATCAGCTTCCTTGTGCATGGCCTGCTTCTAGTCCATGGGAACAGCGTTCTTTGCCCACACCAACTTTAGGAATTGAGGCTGATCTGAGCAGAGCCACCTCTCCTTTGTCTTGTTTGTCTAAAATGGTGCCCATATCTCATTGTTAAGATTTCTTGGGTGGCTGGTATATGCTATCATGAGACAAAGCTCACCATGTTTCCCCTTCTCAAACTACCATTGACATTATTATGTGCATGCATACACACACACACACACACACACACACACACACACACACACTCATACCCATATAGGAGAATCCAAGATGAATCCAACACTGTTTCTTAAGGGATTCAGTCTATTAGGGGAACTACAACATGTGCCCATGAGACAAGTACAAGGCAGGTTCATTTCTGCTGCATGCAGTGGAGAAGGCTCCATGGAGAAGATGGCCTCTAAGCTGGGTCTGGAAGAATGACTAAGGTTTGGATACACTGAAATGAAGTTATTTCTGAGAGGAGAAGTAATGTAAGCAAACACCCAGCAGTGGGACTCAAGGGAGGTGCAGACAGAGACCCTTAAGCAGTTTGCTTATATGAGACAAGTGGAAGATAAGGCCAAGCCAGACCAAAAACAAACAAGATAAAGGGTTTGGATGTTTTCCTGCAGGAACTGAGACATTTTGAAAGTTTCTGGACAGCGCTGCAGGATGGAGGATGGATTAGGGAGGGTAGTGACTAACTCTTGGTGAAATGTAGGGTCCCATTAAGAAGAAAAACAAAACAAAAACCTTTCAGGACCTGCTTTCTTTCCCAGAAAAAACCCTGCCCTTTGGAGCCTCTCATGCGTTTGGTTGATAAAGGCATTTGATCCTGTTTTTTACTGTTAAGGGGCCTTGGCACAGCTGCCAGTCCCAGGAGCCTATTCCCAGCTCTGAGTCCTGGTGGGGCTGCTTGACCCATTCCCCTGTGTCCCCTAAAGACTGTGTCCCCCAAAGATTGCTCTCTGGTAGTGTACAAGGAGAAAGGCTTGCCTTTCTGGGCAGCCAGGCCAAGGAACCCTGGCCTCTGATGAGTCCAGCCACAAAGGCTCCACCCTGGGCCCCACTGAACTCAGACCTGCAGCCAAATGGAAAAAATCCAGGAGGCTACGAAGCCAAGAAAAAGAAGATTTGGATTCAAATCCTAGCTCTTCCCCTTCCCTTTCTGACCTTGAGAGACCTCACTGAGCCTCTATGTCTTAATCTGTAAAATGGAAACAAAAGCAACTACCCTACAGGTTTATTTGCCAAGATGAAATGACAGAGATTCATAAGTATACCTTGCACATAGCAGCCATTCAATAAATATTCCTCGCACCTCTTCCCCCAAAATCTCTCTGTGTCTCCATTTCCTCACTTATTAAATGTGATGGAGACCCAAGAATAAAGTTGAATGAGGTGATTTTCCCAAACCTCTGTCATCTGCCCCACACAGAGGCCCTTGGGAGAGCAGAGGGCCTTCATCTGAGCTCTTGAAGCTATTTATTCTTTTATTTTCAAAAACGTAAAAAAAAATCACAAAAGATCCCTTGCTAGTAATAACACTGGCACACACTTGCAATGGGCCAGTATCCTCTAACCTCTCCTCACTACCACCATCTGACTTAGGTTCCCATCTGTAAAGCAGCCTGGGGCAGGTCCCATCTGCAACTGCCCACAAGGTTGGGAGGACAGTGCCCGGCAGAGGGCGCTCCGAGTGTAACCTCCTAGCCAAGGCCCTGGGGGAAGGCAACAGGCCAAGGAAAATTCTGGTGGAAAAAATGAAGAAAGGATTCCAGGTTTATGAGTCTCAGACTTTGAAAAACAAAACTGCTGAGTTGTCTCCTGAGTTAGGAAAAAGAACACCACAGCCGCCTCGAGATTTCCAGGAAACTATTTCTGAAGGCTTTGGGCAAGGCTGGCAGGGGGCTGGCAGGGGAAACTTGGGCTGCCCCAGCTTAGGGTCCAATGCCCTGGCGGGTGGGAGATGGAGGTGGGTGGTGTGCATGTGGGAACGTCAGTGTGCATGTGTTCTTCAGCATGGTGGGGCTATGTGGGTTTACATGTGCCCTGTCTGTACACGTTTGTATGAGCCTGTGGGTACAATCCCACCAGTACGTATTGAGCACCTTCTGTGCTCTGCTGGGCATAGTGCCAGGTGATGGGATGCACCAGCAAATGAAACACAGTCTCTAAATTCATAAAGCTTAGTTTAGAGAAGGATGCAAAGTAACTGGCAATTTTAATTCAGAGTGCAGGCATCTGGGTGGTGGTTTGTGCAGCGGTTCAGAACACTGGCTTTGTGGTCAGGCAGCCTAGATTTTGACATGATCTTAGAGATCTTTCTGACATTCAGTCTCCTTAGGTGGAAAGTGCAAATATTAAAACCACATCCCGGGAGATACTATGTGTGTGTCAATGTCCAATGAAGGTCTCTATTATGTGTGTGCAGGGTCCACATCTGGATGAACAATGTGAACAGCCCGGGTGAGTTACATGTGGGCACGTTCACACATCTGCTTTTGTTGTGTTTATGGAGTGCCAGGCTCTACCAGAGGTCACAAATAGTGGCCCACAGACACAGTTCATAGGGATGCTCATTTGGTTTGGGTTTATTTTTTGGCTTATAGGGTGTTCTAAAAATCAAGTCGTTTCACATAAAAATCCAGATTTCCAACTTCTTTTGAAATCTTGGGTAAGCCAGCCATCCTGCGAGCATGTGCGTGTGTATGCCTGCCTGCCACAGTCTCTGCTTCCTGATAGATACGTCCTTCCCAGGGGCACCCTCCCCCTTGGCCAGTGTCCAGGGCTGTCCTTGGAGGGGTTCCAAGACTGCTCAGGAGAGCTGGTGTGTAGACATGTTCCCTGTGAAAGGAGAAGCAGGACTGAGCAGGAGCTGGTGCCAGGGCCCCAGGGCTCCCCAAGCAGTTCCAGTTTCAGCAATCACAGGGGCCAGAGAGAGCCATGGGCCCTACCCACAGCTCTCTGGCTGTGCAGCTGGGCACTGGTTACAGAAGATAGTAACCAAGGATGGCAGTAGACAGAATGGCTTTTCTTATCTATTTGATTTTGCATTTTAAAATGTTACAAGTGCACATCTGAAATGATTAAGACAATGATCTCCAGAAAGTGTTGCTAGATATATATGCTAGAATTATTTTTAAAATTTACAAAAAGATTGTAGGCTCATGCCTATAATCCCAGCACTTTGGGAGGCCAAAGCAGGAGGATCACTAAAGCCCAGGAGTTTGAGACCAGCCTGGGTAACATAGTGAGACCCTGTTTCTAAAAAAAAAAAAAAATTTGTTTTTAATTAGCCAGGCGTGGTGGTGCATGCCTGTAGTCCCAGTTGCTTGGGAGGGTGTGGTGGGAGGATCACTTGAGCCCAGGAGGTGGAGGCTACAGTGAGCCATGATCACAACACTGGATAAAGGAGTGAGACTCTATCTCAAACAAAAAAAAATTGCAAAAAGGCTAATGGTAGAAGCTAAACACATATTTGTTAAATACATCTGGGTAACCCACAGGTGTGAAAGGTAGGGTTAATATTTCCTAGTATCCCAGAATCCTCTTATGAAGGCAAAGAAGTCCCTCTTAATATATCATTACTGGGCCCCCACTGTGTACAAGATGCAGGCTAGGCACAAAGGAGCCTACAGAGATGTCTGTGCCCTGCTTCTTGGCCCTCAGGAAACTCAGTCTTGTGGAGACATATCCAAGGAGAAACGAATGCAGGAATAAAAGGACAGAGTTATTACTAAGATGTCTTGAGACAATAGGGCATCAGAATACAGAGGAAGAGGCTTCTGGACCTTGGACTGACTGTGCAAGTTCATTTCTCTCTCTGGGCCCCCATTTCCCCTTTTGTAAGACAAGGAGTTCAGAAGAGATGAGCAAACATCAACTCCACTTTCACAACCCTCCCGACCCCCAGCTTGTGCATTCTTTGAGAGAGTGAGAGCTGCACCCTGGTTCTTAGCCTCTTGCTCCTGCTACATATTCTTGCTCCCAAGCCTTGGCTTGTGCTGGGAATTTGCCTGGCTTGAGCTCTGAAAGAAATCCATCAGAGGAGGTTTTTCACATAGCTTCCCTTAAAAAAAAAAAACGCACAAAATGTTTGGAGTCCAAAAAGACCATGCCTCTAGTGGAAGCTTCCAGCACCCGTTATAGGGGTTCCTGGTACCACCCCAAGTACAGGTGGGGAGAACAGCCCCTCAACAGATGGGAGAATGTGCCTCTTCCCCAGGACCAGGGCTTGAATGATTAAAGTTTAAAGAATTAAATGGTTCATGCTGAAGGATTCCCCTGAAGTCATTCTCCCACTTTGCAGGTAAGAAAAATAAGGTTCAAGGATGGGAGGAACTTTCCGCCACAGTCCTCCAACATCAAAGCAAATCTTCTGATTTCTGAGTAACAGCTTTCCCCACTCCTTGATTTTTCTCTCTCAGGCTGAGTCCTCAAGATAGAGTGAGATGGGAACCTTCATACTGTATCCTTCCTCAGCCAGATGTTAACAGCTGTTGAGTTCGAACACTGCGTTATTCTTGTGCTGTACTAGCCAGTGGCCAGGGAACCCAAGCCTCCCAAAGGTGAGTGTGAAGAAAGAGCAATAATTCCGTAGCCCGGAAAAAGGCCCTGGGGCAGCATGTCCACCTTTAGGAGTGTCTTTGTTTCCAGAGTCCATGAAAGAAGGAATTGTCACACAGCAAAACCAGTCTCTTAGAACAGGACGCATAGGTAGCCAGAGATGGCAAAGAAAGGCAGTAGGCTGGCTAGTATCAATGTCTTCCTCATCATTGGCATCTTAGAGCATGTCCCTATCAAAGGGTCCCTCTGCTAAGCTCTTCCCCTGAACCACATTACCTGACCACGAGTGTCATTGGCACTTCCATCAGAAACTGAAATCCCCATTGCGCCTTCAAAGTGCACAACCAATTAGTAAAACCCCAGGGACTGCTTGGTGCCTACAATTCAAATAACTTCAGAGGTTCTTTGTTTCTTTTCTTAAAATCTGGAAATCTCTTGGGATAGAGAAAATCACTGGACATAGAAACTCCCTTCAACAAACAACCCCAGATTTCTTTCCAAATTTTTCCTAGAATGCTATTTCTAACTTCACAACACACAGGAAAAGGCCAGGTTGAAGATACTTAATAAATGTTTTCTGATGGTGGGGAAATCATCATTAACTATTGTTACCATAAGTAAAATTTGTATTAATAGCATCTTGCATATTAGTCATTTATTGAATAAATATTTAGTGATGTCTCCTATGTAACTAGCATCATGCTAAGCCAGGGGAAACAACAATGAAATCAGATACAGCTTTACTTTCATGGTTTTAATTCATCTAATTTCATATATTCCTATACACATTTTCATATATTCCTACAATTTCGTGTATTCATAATTCTGTGGTAGAAAGAAAAAAACCTGTAAACAGGCACGTTTTTAAAAATGCTAGTTATTATAAGTGTAATAAGAACCAAGATGGAGATTAACAGAAGGAAATTTGGGACATTTTTAATAATCAGACCATAGCAAAAAGTACACGTGTTATGCTGTCATTTTTATAAGATCATGTTTTATTTCTTTGTTTTGTTGTTGATATCAGTTCTGTGTAATGTGCCAAAGGGACATACTGAATTTGGATTGAAGAACCCAGTACCATTTGGTCTTCTAATCTGATAGGTTGCTGACAGCTTGTAATCATCTGTTTAATTAAATTTCTTGGTTCAAGAATCAGAAGTTATCAGAGCAGATTAAAATGATGCTAACAGAAAAGCTGTTCACTAATTGTTTTTACTGAACACAAGCCGTATGACAGAGACAAGGCGTGCTGCTGGTAATAAGAAGAAGGCACCAAAGGGCTGACTGGGGTTGAGGGAGTGAGAACCATTCTGGGCTCCACATTTTAAGGGCTGTTGACAAACAGGAGCCTGCCCAAATGGCTGCCTTTAGCCGGCTGGATTCACTTACGTGTTCCATTCATTCTGCTTAGAATGGATGATAAATCTCTACTCTGGGAAACAGTGCAGGCCAGGAGGTGGTTGGATGCTTAGAGGCAAAGTCTAGGGTGCACATCACTTGTGCTCCATCATCTCATCATCTCCAATGCAGAATGGCTTGCAAATCTGTGATCATCTAGAATCCCCCTGGCTGCAGGAGCCACAAAGGCTACTAGGTTAGGCAGACAACTTCAATGTCAAGGGTCGGATTGCTAAGGGATTGGGGCAAAACTGGAGACTGAAAGCCTTTCCGTGCCTCTTAGAACAAGCCAAACATATTAATACATGGACAAGAAGGTAGAGGGTGGAGGCTCAAACACTGCCTGCTTCCCTGTGTTCATTTTCTTGTTCCTCAGTCATGGCTCCATGGTCAGACCACCAGATATGAGGCTTTGGCCAGATAAACTATTTCTCTTTTTAAAGTTATTTTTAGAAAAAAAAAAATTCAACTGGGTAGACATGAGTGGCCTCCAAAAGATTTTGTTTCCTTTCTGAGTCAGGTTCAGCCTCACTGGGCTCGCTTTCAATTTCTGTTGCCTTGCTGCTCCCTGGGCGTTCAGAGGTCCTCCGGTGATGCCCCTCCATTTCAAGAGCCCCCCAAATGAAGCTGAATGACTACAGATAAGTTTTTGGTACTTTCCAAAATTAAACTATTTCCCTTGGTAAATTTCCAGCAAATGAGCTCATTAATCTGAAAACAGGATGTGGCACATGAAGAGAGTGAGGTCAGACTGCCTGCTCTTTTCACTTACACTGGCTTAGGGCAGAGAGGAAGGGGTGGGTGGGACAGAAGAGAATGGCTTTTATAGGCCCCAAATCCTTGAGAAACTTTTCTTCAAAAGGCCCTTGTGCAGTGTGCCCACCTTTGGAAGAGTCTTTGTTTCCAGAGTCCATGAAAGGAAGAATTGCCACACAGAAAAACCAGTCTGTTAGAACAGGACACATGGGTAGCTACAGATGACAAAGAGAGGCAGTGAGCTGGCTAGTATCAATGTCTTCCTCATCACTGGCATCTTAGAGCATGTCCCTGATCCATCTGCCAAGCTCTTCCCCTGAACCACATCACCTGACCATGAGTGTCACTGGCACTTCCATCAGAAATTGAAATCCCCATTGCGCCTTCAAAGTGGCCAGTCCCATAAACAACTAGAAAAACCCCAGGGATTGCTTGGTGCCTAGAATTCAAATAACTTCAGAGGTGCTTTGTTTCTTTTCTTAAAATCTGGAAATCTATTGAGTTAGGGAAAATCACTAGACTTAGAAACTCCCTTCAACAAATAACCCCAGATTTCTTCCCAAATTTTTGCTGGAATGTTATTTCTAACTTCACAACACCCAGGAAAAGGCAAGGTCAAAGATAATTAAATGTTTTCTGATGATGGGAAAACTATCAGACTAATTGACTCAGAGTCCATCAATTTTTATTTATTTATTTATTATTTTATTATTATTATTATTTTTCTAGATGGAGTCTCGCACTCTCTCCCAGGCTGGAGTGCAGTGGAGCGATCTCAGCTCACTGCAAGCTCCGCCTCCCGGGTTCACGCCCTTCTCCTGCCTCAGCCTCCCGAGTAGCTGGGACTACAGGCGCCCGCCACCACGCCCGGCTAATTTTTTGTATTTTTAGTAGAGATGGGGTTTCACCGTGTTAGCCAGGATGGTCTCGATTTTCTGACCTTGTGATCCGCCCGCCTCGGCCTCCCAAAGTGCTGGGATTACAGGCGTGAGCCATCGCGCCCGGCCGAGTCCATCAATTTTTAATTCAAACACTTAACTCTTTGAATCCTTTTCCCGTAGAATTGAATGGCCCCACAGAGGCTACATCTGGGCAACCTCCCGTAGATTGCAGAAATTCTCTCTTAGAGGCCCCTGCCCATAGATTGCAGAAATTCTCTCTTAGAGGCCCCTGAGATCTTCTGCTTGTCCACAAGCAGCATCTCCCTCCCAGGTGGGCCTCTGAGGTCCCCCTTTCACTAGAGTACCCTGTGTTCCGCAGCTTCCGCCTGTCTAGCGGAAGTTGGAGGACAGCAGCTCTGCCTCCAATAAGTGAGAGTCTTACAGGCATGCCAGGTTAAAAAACAAGTAAAAGATCGTTCCCTGCTCTTACAATCCAGTTGAGAGTCAGGACATAAAAAGGGACCCTAGGCCAGGCGCGGTGGCTCATGCCTGTAATCCCAGCACTTTGGGAGGCCGAGGTGGGAGGATCACCTGAAGTCAGGAGATCGAGATCAGCCTAGCCAACGTGGTGAGACCCCCGTCTCTACTAAAAATACAAAAATTAGCCAGGCGTGGTCGTGGGCGTGGTGGTGGGCCCAGCTACTCAGGAGGCTGAAACAGGAGAATCACTTGAACCCGGGAGGCAGAGGTTGCAGTGAGCCGCGATTGGGCCATTGCACTCCAGCCTGGGTGACAAGAGCCAAACTCCATCTCAAAAAAAAAAAGACCCTAACACATAAAGAGATTTTGAGCTGTTAAAACCAAACCAACAAGGTGGGCAGCTTCATCCCTCCCTCCACCATCAGTCCTACAAGGTTAAGACATCTGACAGAGAAGGAGCCCTTGTCAAATTGGTAGTTCGCAAAAATAAAGGTGTAGCTTTTAATCTAAAATTCTACCCCAACACTAAGTTCCATAACTATTTTGATTAATATATTCTTAAGGATTTAGCGACCGTGTGTGTGTGTGTTTAGACGAAAACAGAAACGGTTCCTTAAAATATCCAGTTTGTAAAAGCACAGTGCCTTGAACCACTTAGTACTATCATTTTGATCAAGTACTATCAAGTACTATCACTTGATTGCTCCAACCCAATAAGCTTGGGCGAGCCTGGCACTGTGCTAGGATCTTCTGGAGAAATCCAAGAAAGGTAAGACTGCGGTTTTACTCCTCTTCACCTTCTCACTACTCGGATTTTGGGCAGGCAGGGGACCAGGGTGGGGGCTCCAATTCCCGGTTTGTGTTTGTTTTTTCAGGGGGCATCTTACTGAGCACTAAACACGCGCAGGTGCTGCACCAGATGCCAGGAGCCCCGCAAGCGGAGGAGCTGCGTACACGCGTGTCAGTTAACTGGGCGCACAGTGCCCGTGGCGCCGCAGACCCGGCCCTCAGACTCAGTTTCCCCTCACAGGGATCGCTCGCCCCGCCCCGCGGCGGTCTGGGGAGCAGCAGCCCCGGGCCCCGGCCCTGCCTTGCCGGTTTCCGCCGGTGCGGCTGCGTCCTTCACACTCCACCGGAAGCTCCGGGCCTGGCCGCCGGTAGGCGGTGGCGGAGGCGGCGCCGAGGTTGGCTGCCCTACACCCCTGCCCCGGGACCGCAGGGCGGCTCCCCGGCCCCCTTCCTCGCCCCGAACTCCCCGCTCCAGCTCCCGCTTGCTGAGGCGGGGACTCCTCGGGTGCAGCCGGGGACCTGGCACCTCGGCTGCAGAGACCGCCCCGGACTCAACTGCCCCCAGCCCAGCCGCGGGCGCCCCGGCCCCGCAGGGGCTCATTCCTCTTTCCGCGGGCACCGGCGCTGCCTGGCTCCCAGCGCTGCCCTCGCAACTGGATATGTGGAGGTGGCGACGCGACACTCCCCCGCCCTCGGGCGGGCTCACCGACCTGGCTGGGGGCTCAGCCTGCAGAGCCGGGCGGCGGGGGCTGTGCTGGCGCCGGCAGGCGCGAGGAATCACAGAGCGGGGCGCCCAGCCTCATCATGGGGCGGCCCACGGAGACTTCCCGTGGGAGTGGGGTCTGGTGCAGGGGCGCCCCAAAGGACGAGTGGGAGATGGGGACACGCGGCGCAGAGAGACTCCTCGTGGATGGAGCCGATGGAGGCCCAGTGTAGAAGAGAAAGGGGTCAAGGAGACGGATAAGGAGCCACCAGAGACGCGGGGGGAATTCCCCGCAGAGGATGCGGGAAGCCGGGGAAAGGAAGGGATTCCGGAAGGAAGGGCTGAGAGCCGGGTCAGGTGCTGGCAGGAGGGCTGGTTGGATAGAAACTGGGGCGGGCCCAGGGCATTTGGCGTCCCCGACATGCGTATACACTTGGAGAGATGATTCCCTGGAGATCCAAGTGCCTGTATAGACAATCTTTTCTAGAAGTTCTACCGTTAGGTGAGGCGAGAGTAGATGTAGAAATTGGAGACGAGAATAAAGAGTGTTTTAAAAGCGTGCGTGGTTACAGGACTGGCTCTGGGTTCAGGGGTCCCCACTCACTAGCTGTGAGACCTTGAACAAGTCGCTTAGCCTCTCTGTGCCTCAGTTTTCTCATCTGTAAGGTGGGGATGATGATGGCAATACCTGCTTCACAGAGTGAAAATTAGATGAGATGATGTCTGTAAAATTACGTAAGACGGTACCCAAAAGTAGTACTATTTTTCCCTTTTCTTATTAGAGCAGGTTGCGCACGTTTTGATGTCCGTGGGAATGAGCAGGTAGAGAGGGTGGTATTGAGGCCGGAGGGGAGAGAAGGGACCCACAGATGGGGAGAGAAGTCTTGGGTGCCTGTTTTATCCCAAACCAGGGGAAGGAGGGAACAGGTAGGGCTGGCTGCAGGAAAGCTTGCAGGTATGGGGTACACAGTTAAAAGGGAGTGTCTTCTGATAGTCTTGATGCAGGCCTGGAGGTCGTTTGTTATGGGGGTGGAGGTCCTGATGTACATTGTGGCGGTAAGATGCCGTGCTGTCTTTGCCACCAGCCTGTGGCAGCCCTGGTGTTACACCAGGGCAGGTGGGCAGTTTAATGTATCTCAGGCCAGATGACCTGCCCTGCCCACCTGTTGAGGCTCCAGTAGATAGACGTGAAAGCACAGTATAAGCATAATGCACCACTTTAATCCTTTTCTCTGAGGAGCTGGAAGGCCTGTAGTCACCATCTGAGCCAAATGTCATTCAAGTACTTCACTTGGGTTACACACCACACTTTGACCCACTATCTCATTTAGTCATCACAACAAATGGGTGAAATAGGTATTATTGTCCCATTTTACAGATGCAGAATCTGAGTTTCAGGGAAGTTAAGGACTTTGTCCCAGGGCCCACAGTTAGTAAGCAGTGGACCCAGGATTTCAACTCAGCTCTGTCTGACCTCAAAACCCATGATCTGAAACCACTGTGAAAGTTTGCAAAACCTCTGTAGCAGCCAAGCAGGATGGAAAGATGTGTAGGGATTGTCTTCTCCATTTGATAGATGAGACAAGAGCTGGGTACTCTGATCTCCATCCCAAGCACACAGAGCTTGGGGCCCCACAGCCCTGGTGTGAATCCCACTCCACTACCAGAGGCTGTGTGCCTTTGGACCAGGCATCTTGCTTCTCTGACCCTATATACAGCTGCAGAAGAATTCCTTGCAGGTTGCTGTAAGGATTTGGAGGGAAACTGTTGCCCAGCACACAGTACACATTCTGGGAGCCATCGTTTCCCCAGTGCACTTTTCCTGCAAATGTGGATCTACATCCCACTTGGATGCTGAGACCAGCTGCTGTGATCTTGCATTTGTTTAGCGCTTTGTTCTCCTTGAGGCAGTAAAGTGGTGGCACCTGACCGGAGCATGTAGCCACCTATGACTTCCTGAGTGGGGTGGTGTGGGGAGGGCCCTGAGGAGTCTGTGGTCCTAGGCCTTGGATTTCATCAGGGCTTTCCTGCTCCTTCTGGTTGCCTCAGTCCCAGGCAAGATAGGGTCCCAGAATCTTACAGCCCAGAGGCCACCTGTTGCAACTTCTTTTTTACAGATGGAGTCATCAGAACCCACTGTGAGGAAGTGACTTCTCCTTGAGGTCACCCAGACACTCCAAACAGAGCAGAGCAAAAGCGCCTAGAACTTGAAATTTTGGACCTGTCTCCAACACCCTGGGGATTTCCACCAGGAAGGTGAGCACCCCCACTGAGAATTCCAGGCTGCTCAGAGGTGCCAGGGAACACAGACCAGGGACCAGCTGTGGCCCCCTCCTCCGATGTGCCCAGGGAAGTGGGGGAAGCCAGCGGCAGCCTGCGATTCTCAACCAGGGGAACTCTCACTGTGCTTTCTGAGAGTCTGTGACACGGGTCATTTTCTCTGACTTGCTCTCTTGCTTTTTCTCACTCTAAAAAAAAAAAAAAATGACTGGACACTCCTAAAGCCTTCAGTCACCATCCAGGGGATTTTTATCGCCACAAAGGGTAATTCCTGCTCCATCCCTGCTGTGACTCAGCTGTGACGTTGAACCACACAAGCCAGAGAGAAGAAGATAAAGTCATCAGAGCTCCTACTCACCAGAGAGTGAGGCCCAGGCCAGGACTCCACAAGGCTGGTCCCCTGCCCTGGAGCAACTTAAACAGGCCCTCTGGCCAGCCTGGAACCCTGAGATGGCCTCCAGCTCAGGCAGCAGTCCTCGCCCGGCCCCTGATGAGAATGAGTTTCCCTTTGGGTGCCCTCCCACCGTCTGCCAGGACCCAAAGGAGCCCAGGGCTCTCTGCTGTGCAGGCTGTCTCTCTGAGAACCCGAGGTGAGGTGATGGAGGAGCGGAGGGTGGGCAGAAAGTGGGTGCCAGGGAGGGACCCCTGATGGGAGGTGAGGGGCAGAGGAGCCTGTGACTTCAGGCGGTGACTTTTCTTCTCTGGGCCTCAGTTTCCACACCCTTTTCTCACACTCCCTGACACTGCCCCTCTGGCTGTGGTGGAAGGAGAGGAAGCCACAGAAAGGCATCAGCTCCCACAGGGGAAAGCCATCCACACCGAGGAGAGCCTCGAGGCTGTGAGGCCACTGTCTCACTGTGTGGTCTGGTGCTCTGCTAATGTCCCTAAGCCGCAGCTCGCTTGTCTGTAAAGCTGTTTTCTGTGTCATAGAATTGTTAATGAAGCCCAATGAATAATAATCACAAAAGTCCTTATAATAACAAATATAAACCTCTTGGTGAATGACAAACTGTTAGACGAATATCTCTCCTTCCACAGCATTGCTCATCACCTCAGACCGTTTGCTGGGAACCCTTTTGGAGGGGACAAAGAGATCGATATATATTTGTGTATTTAATGATACTTAAAATATTAACAACCCAGAAAGGCATGATATCAGTACTATTGTGGACATCCCTCTTTAAGCAATTATGCACCTACTGTGTGCCAAATGCTCTGCCCTTGGGTCCTCAGCACAACTTAGAGGGGTGGATACTATTATGATCCTATTTTACAAATGAGAACACTGAGGCCTAACAGATTAGGTCAGCTTTGGTCAGTTTCCTGGCAAATATGCCCTTAAACTATCTCATGTGATGACCTTTTGTTTGCGGTTTTACAGCTTAAGAAGGTGGCAAAGCTGAATCAGGCAAGTGAGAAGTTCAAACATGACGACAAAGGAGGAGGCTGTGAGAATAGCGAGGAGAGGCTGTGGCCGTGGAAAGGCCAGCCAGGAGGTGGAGGAGCAGAGGTTCACTGGTTTTACCATCAAGCGGATTGTCAGGGTTCAGCTCAGGCTCTGGTAGTGGGTCTCCTGGTTTCCCCTCTCCCTCCTTCCAAAACCTGGCAGAGGAGGGAGCTGATTGGAAGTTGGAGGGCTGAGGCCTGAGGCCTAAGTCCTGAAGAGCTTCTACTCAGCTCTGCTCCTGACTCACTCTACCTTGACCAATCCACATGCCCTCTGGGGCCTCATTCCCTCACTTGTAAAATAGACTATCTCGGTAGCGGTAGCAGGTCAGAGACACCAGGAGCTTTGTAAAAACACAGTTGCTGGCCAGGCGCAGTGGCTCATGCCTGTAATCCCAGCACTTTGGCAGGCCGAGGCAGGAGGATCACTTGAGGTCAGGAGTTTGAGACCAGCCTGGCCAACAAGGTGAAACCTCATCTCTACTAAAAATACAAGAATTAGCTGGGTGTGGTGGTGTGCACCTGTAATCCCAGCTACTTGGGAGGCTAAGGCATGAGAATCACTTGAACCTGGGAGGCAGAGGTTGCAGTGAGCTGAGATCGCACCACTGCACTCCAGCCTGGGCTACAGAGTAAGACCCTGTCTCAAAAAAAGAAAAACCCCCAAAAAACAGACAAAAAACCCACGGGTACCCAGGTGTTACCCATTAGAATCTGACACCCATTCCTGATTAAGAACCTCTAGGACAGATGTTCTCTGAGGCCCTTTCTTGTTCTAATAGGCCATGATCCTCTGTAATTACTAAACATATAAGACCAAAACCAAATGGAGGACCAAATGAGAAGAGCAAATATAGTCACATGTCAGCAATCTTTTGCCTAAACCCCTGAGATCAGATGTGTTTTGTAATTCAGAATTTTTTTTAGAAAAGCAAATCAGGGCATCATGTAATTGTGGCAGGGAATGCGGCAGTGCCCTGTAATCAAGCACATTAATGTTTCTGCAATGAAACATGTATATATTCACACTAAGTGGGGCAAGTAAGGGCTATAATAGCTTCCGGTCAGTGCAGTCACGGCAGGTTTGGCAGCCCAGGAAGCTCACTGCAAACTACCAAAAAATGTGGGATACTCGGCAGTTTTGCGATTTAGGAACTGTGGCTCTGGGATTGTGGACGTACATGATCACCACCCTGCTGATAGTTGAGGCTTCTGGAGCTGTCAGGAGAGTGGATGGTGCAGGGAGCTGTAGTGCCTCTCTCCAAGGCTTTGTCCATGTTTCCCCAGGAATGGCGAGGATCAGATCTGCCCCAAATGCAGAGGGGAAGACCTCCAGTCTATAAGCCCAGGAAGCCGTCTTCGAACTCAGGAGAAGGTACGTTGGCACATCACAGAAAGGCATTTGTCCGTTGTCTTGATTTTTCCAGGTTGAAGCCAAGTAGACAGCTGCCCACTCCACCCCTGGCAGGCACCTCCCAACTAGTCCTGAGTCCAGACTGAATTTGCTTTATAAGGAATAAGGAGACTGATGTTCACAGTGGTGAAGTGTCTTGCCTAAAGCTACCTGGCAATAGACTTAGAGTGAGAACAGTCCAGACCAGGGGTCCACAAACTACGGTTCATGGGCCACATTCTGGCCCACCACCTAAGCAACGAGCTAAGAGTGGTTTTTATATTTTCAAATGGTTGAAAAAATCAGAAGAATGATAGGCCATGCATAATGACCTGTAATTCTCGAGGCTGTGAGGCCACTCTCTCACTGTGTGGCCTGCTGCACTGCTAATGTTCTCAAGCCACAGCTTGCTTGTCTGTAAAACTGTTTTCTGCATCACAGAATTGTTATGAGCCCCAATCAATAATAATCAAAAAAGTTCTTATAATAACAAATATAAACCCCTTGGTAAATGACAAACATGCCTGTAATTCTGAAGTGTTAGAATTCAAATTACATAGAATTACATGCCTGTAATTCTAACACTTTGGGAGGCCGAGGTGGGCGGAGAGCTTGAGCCCAGGAGTTTGATACTAGCCTGGGCAACATGATGAAACCACATGTTTACAAAAAATATAAAAACTAACCTGGCATGGTGGCACATGCCTGTAGTCCCAGTTAGTCTGGAGGCTGAGGTAGGAGAGTCGCCTGAGCCTGGGGAGGTCGAGGCTGCAGTGAACCATGATCGTGCCACTACACTCCAGCCTGGGTAGCAGAATGAGACCCTGTCTCAAAAAAACAAAAAAAGATATTTTGGGACACATGAAAATTATATAAAATTGAGTACTTGCAACAAAGACTTCATAGCCCAAAATATTTACTATCCACCCCTTTACATAAAAAAGGTTAGCAAACTCCTCATCTAGATGGTTCTGTCTGCCTCTGTTTGCCTTTAGGTGGGGAGAGACCATTATCAGCTCACGTCCTGAGCTCTGTCAAACGGTGCTTCTAGGAATAAGAGACACATTTGGAAGTGTGATAGGCCAGAGAGACATTTTCAGGAGCTACAATTTAGAACCCTGGCCCTCCCAAGCTGGAAGGACCCTCATAGGTTACATGTCCTGCTCAGAGGTTCCCACATGCTATCCAGAACTGATCCATTCCCACCAGCTCATGACAAAATGATAAAAATAAGGCAATTCTATAAATCAGTTTATGTAAACTAAATTCTTTCCATTTATAAAACCAAACTTTTACTCTGAGATTGCGTCTGTCCTATGCATGTCTTTATATAAATGAAAGGATGTAATCGTAGATGATAGTTTTTGGCAAAGCCTTTGCTAAGTAAAATTAAAAAGATGACAATCTCTTTGTTAATCTCTCAATTTAAAAAAAAACACACTCGTATTGGTCCACGAATCCAAACAGGCAGGAGTCACTGCTCAAAATCAAATCCTCTTGTTTACACACGGGGCCCTGAGACCTGCAGAGGAGTCTCGTTGCTCAGCCGCCCTCTCTACCTCCACTGGGAAGTGCCTGGCTCCTTTCAGCCAAAGCCCTCTTCTTGCAGCAAACTGTGGCCCAGGGATCAGGAGCCTGATGTCCAGGGGTGGTTCTGCATAATTCTCTGCTTGGCTAGCAGCAATTCCCAGGCCCTGTTTCTGTATCTGTAAAATGAGGATATTAAGTCAGCTCTGCAAGGCCTTTCCAGGATCTGTGATGTCCAGACCGTGATAGCAGTGCTGGCAGGGCAGCTATCCCCCTACCGCTGGACCAGAGGCAGGCGAGTGTCCACACCTCCTTCTCCTTTCTCTGAGCTGGTCCCTCTCATTCAGAGAGTTCAGGGGAATTTCCTGTCCCACCCAGAGCTGGTTTTGAGCACTCTCCCATCTGCTTCTCAGCAACCTCTCCATCGGCAGGCCCTCAGAGAGTAAGAGTAAGGACCAAATGCATGTTCTTGGAACTTTACACTCTGCAACGTGGTAAGAGTTAATATGATATGCTGCTCCGTGGAGTAACTCCCTGAGCCTCACTGTTTGGCTCTTGGTGGATCGGCTGTGAGACACAAGCAGACCCTCAACTCTGTGAGCCACTATGCCTCACTTGCAAAAGGCCCTTACCTGCTTGAATGCTCTAGGACTGTTGTTTTTAGCTTGTTTTATTCTTTCCTCTTAACAAAATTAATACACATTTATTGTGTAAATCTTAGATCACATAGATATTTTAATATCTCCTAATCCAATGGCTTTTTTTCATCTTTTTCAATCAGATGAAAGTAAAAGCATTCTGATGGAGGGGGATCCTGGAGCCCCGACCTGTTAATTGCCCCATTTCTTTCTCCTATCCGAGCCCCTAAGAGGTTCTGGGGACTCCTAGGGCCCTGCAGAGCACAGTTTGAAACTTGCTGCCTTAAGCCAAGTGAAGGCACTATAATTCATGGTAGAATTATAGGCACCCTAACAGGCTACAGGATGGGAGAGGAAGCTGCCTGTATTTGGGAGCAAAGAAGCCTTCTTTAATGCGGGCAGACCTCTGAGAGGCATCAGCCCCCTCCCCTCCCTGCTGGCTTCCCCACCTCGTGGAGTCATGGACTTCTGGTGAAAAGCTGGGGTGGGGAGGGGCGGTAAGTCATGGTCTGATCACCTACACAAAGCCACATAGGGGAAGGACCAGGGACTCCTCTGACTTTTGCCCCAGTGGGAACTTTGGGGGACTTTTGACCAAAGGAAAGTGGCTGATGATAAGTCACCACTTTGCATGTGTGGTAATTCCTAAGTTTGCCTGCACATCTGGGGCAACCTGGGAAATGGAGGCAGGGTGGAGGGCTGAGGACCAGCCCTCCTTGCAAACACTTCCCATGCCATCTGCTTATCAGTTTGTCCCCAGCCTGTGACTTCATTAGATGATTATCTCCCAAAGAAGTGCCCAGAGCCATGGACTGATTACCTAATGTAAGAAGCAGATATTAGAGGATTAATGTTGACCTAGTTAGAGACTTGATACTTGCCTGGCGTGATCTTCCTGTAGAAGTGACAGTGAAGGAGGGGATGCCAGGGGGCTGGAGATAATCTTCAGTCCTGTCTGCTGAGGATCAGCAAATGGGATTGTTTCTCCCACCCCCTCCCCCTGAGGCCCATTCAAGAAGGTCAAAAGCAAGCTGACAACTGATGCCAGTAGCTCACAGTAAAGCCTTAATTTGTCTAGACTCAGAAAGTGACAAGGGTTTAAGCTGTCTAGTCCAATTTCTGTTCTGTACTGGATTCATGCTACGTGGCTCCATGTCCTTCCAATGGCAGAGAGGTCATTACTCCATGAAACAACCACACCTACCCTGGGGAGCTCTGAGTGATGCAACATTCTCCTCTTTCTTTGTACTGAGCTGAAGTCTGTCTGTCTCCCTTGAGGTCACAAAAGGCAACTTAGCCTCCTATCCCTGGAGTCAGTCCTGCCTCCATGGAAAGACACTGAGCAGTCTTTCCCCAGTCTCTGTGCATTTGGGGTAAATGCGCTTCTGTTTATCTGTGTTCCTTGAAGTGTGATACCTGGGAATAAACCCCCAAACCTTACACTTCTGAGCTTGACAGTGTTCATCTGTAATCGCCCCGATCCTGTGACATCCTGTGTGGTGGGTGGCGGTGATAGCCCTATTTTACCAATAGGTAATATTTTGAGGCTCCATGAGGAGGTGTGCCTGGACCAAAGTCACACAGCAAGTGGGAGGCAAAGCCAGGCTCTAACCCATGGCTCCTGAGCTGGTGGCATCTTCTCTATGCTGCCTCTACACAAGGAATCCTCCCCTAAATGTTTCATACCTGCTTAAATAACACAGTCAGGCTTTAGTGCAGGAGTCCACCAAGTGCTATGGGAAAAACAGGAATGGGCAAGACTATGTTCAACCAGGAGAATCAGGCAGGGCTTCCTGGAGGAGGTGGCGGTCGAGCTGAGCAGAGGCTGACAGAGAGTAAACCGGCCCAGTTACAGAGGAGGGCAGGAACGGGCGGACAGTGGCAGACTGACCAAGCTCCCCATGTGACTGTAGAGCACCCCCTCAGCACCAGCTGAGACCTGAGTCACAGCAGCCCCTCCGGGCATCCCTGACCTCAGCCCAGTGTGGGGGTAGGCAGTGCCTGGCCTGCTCAGATCCTCTTTGTTCTGTGCAGGGGCTGCAGAGGTGGCACTCATGCTCCCAGCACCCTCTTAACAGTCACATTCCCGGAGGCCCCAGGTCTCAGAATGGGGCCCCCCGCTAGGGCCCACTGTGACCCCACCACAAAGGGCCTGGGTAGCCAGGGTGGCCGGAAACACCACACACGCAGAGACTCCTCAGACCCAGACAGAAGAACGAGTGTTCCCTCAGGGCTGGGAATCTGTTTTCTCTGTTTCTGTCTCCTCCTCGGAGGAAATTCCACTGCACACTTTATTTTTAGCAATTTGCAAGCAGTGAGGCCACTCACACAGGGGCCACTTGTGACACCAGACAGGGTTGGCCCAGGACAGATCCTCTGTTCTTCTCCTGCAATGCAGTCTGATTCCTGATTCCCTCTCCTGTCCCCTCGGTCCCTGGCCTTTGAGTGAGGCCACCCCAGGCAAGGACACTATGGTGGGGAGGACGGAGCCTGCACACGGACTCCAGGCTCCTGGGCTCCCCTCGCCTGCCCCGTTGCCTCCTGGAAGTCACTGATCGCCCCTGGGCTTCGGCTTCTCCACCTACCCGAGGGAAGCAGAACCTCAGAGCCCCAACCTCCCCCTCATGGCTGTGAGGATCTGATGGGACAGTGTCTACATGAGTGCCAGGAGAGCAGCAAGCCCATGCAGGGGCTCACAACTGTGAGAGAGAATGCACAGGTGTGCCCAGCTCCTCTGCTCACAAGCTCAGCATGACCTTAAGCCATTCCCTCTGTTTCTGCCTGTGTTAAGGTGACTCTAATACAGCCCCACCTGCCTCAGATGATTGTCACAGGGATCCTATGGGACAACATTCAAACATATTTTGGTCCTGTTCATTTAGGAATGTTCCTCACCACCTTGAGGAAATCCAGTGGGAAAATGGAGTTTTAGAGAGTTCATTGTTAAAGAGTTTGTGATGTGAGGATTAAATGAGATACATGTATATGACAGCCACTGAGGGATTGGGACTGGGAGATGTCCCGGGGCAGTGCTTAATCCACAGGAATAAGAATACTAATTAGTAGTAATACTAGTAGTATTACTACTATTAGTATTATTAGTGTTATTAGTAGCAGTAGTATTCAACAAGTATTCAGTAGTAGTATGGAATAATTTCAATAAATATGAGCCATTATTACTATTAATTTATTATTAGTAATAATGGCTCATATTTATTGAACACTGTGTTAGGCAGAATAATGTCCTCCAAAGATGTCCACATGTGAATCCCCAGGACCTGTGAGTATGTGACCTCACATGGCTCTATGCATTTGCCAGGGCTGCCATAACAAAGTGCACAGACTGGGTGGTGTAAACAACAGAAATGTATTTCCTCGCAGTTCTGGAGGCCAGAAGTTCAAGGCACGGTATTGGCGAGTTGGTTTCCTCCAAGGCCTCTCTCTTTGCCTTGACATGGCTGTCCCCTCCCTATGTCTTCATGTGGTCCTTCTTCAAATTTCCCCTTCCTAAAAGGATACCAGTCACATTGCATTAGGGCCCACCCCCAATGACCTCATTTTAATTTAATTAGCTCTTTAAAGGCCCTGTCTCCATATTCTGAGATACTGGTGGTTAGGACTTCAACATCTGATTTGGGTGGGGGTTGCTGAGCCCATAACAATGGCAAAACAGACTCTGCAGACACGATTAAATGAAGGATTCTGAGATGGGGAGGTGACCTTGGATTATCCAGGAGGCCCAAGTGTCCTCAGAAGAGGGAGATGAGGGTCAGAGAGAAGGGGAGATGCTCCACTGCTGGCTTTGAAGATGGAGGAAGGGACCACAAGCCAAGGAGTGCAGGCAGCCCTGAGAAGCTGGGGAAGGGAGGAAGCCATCCTCCCCTTGGGCCTCCAGGAGCAACGCAGTCCTGCTGACATTTCCATGTTAGGACCCCTGGCCTCCAGAACTGTACGATAATAAAGCTGTGTTGTTTTAAGCTGTTAAGTTTGTGGTATTTTGTTACAGCAGCAATGGGTAACTAATACCAGTGCTTACATGTATTATCTCATTTAATCCTCACAATAACCCTGTAAGGGGGTATTATTATTATCCCCATTTTGCAGATGAGGAAACTGCAGAACAGAGGAGTTAGTAACTATCCCAGAGCCACAAAGCTAGTATGTGAAGTGACAGAAACAAGCTCTGAACCCCAAAAGGCTGGCTCCAGAGGCCACATCCTGAACTCCCGTGCACTCTAAGGAATGAATAATGATGATGGAGAAGCCTCTGAAAGCCTCTCAAGTCACCCCTGCCCCTTTCTCCAGCAACTGTTCAAGGCTCATCACAGTCCACATCTGTACACGCATCACAGAAGGATGTCCCTACATCTGAATAGCATTTCACTCCCTAAAACAGACATTTGCTGTTCACACAACGCCAGGACAGCTCCGCTGCTGAAAGACACATCCCCTCCACCTGCGGGGTGATGTCTGGAATTTCACTCTTAGCTTGATCATTTTCATGTTCTTATCTCTTTTATGACTCTCCCACCAAGCTTTGACCCTTAGAACCACAGACTATTGGAATCATGGACCTGTGGGGAGGGGTGGGACCTGAAAGGCTCCCCCAGGTATATTCACCAAGGAGCCAGGTCTACACATAGCATCTTCCCTCCACTGTTCTCACATGTCAAAAGCTACATGTTTGGGGAGGTTTCATCACCACAGACTTCCCGAAGCCAGCACGGTCTCCCTGCCAAGGCCGCCCTCTGCCTGCCTTCCATAGAACATCTGTTTTCTATTATTTATTGGGAACAACTTGTCCCTGAAGCCCTGGGCAGTTGGTGGGTGGGGGTGGGGGCAGGGTGGCCTTTGCTGGGCTGTGTTCTGTGTCTCAACCCAACTGTACTCATTAAGCCCACAGCTCTCTGGTTATGTTACTTTTAAAGAATAATAACTAGTGTGACTTTTTGTATTTGCTCAGTCCGAAAGACCTCTGTCCTCTCCTGCTTTCGTCCAAATCCCCTTTCACGTGGTTCCATGAGATTATTCTCTCAAAAAAAAATAAATAAATAACAAAGCGCTTATAGAATCAAGATTTTATTTATATGCCATAAAACTCACTCATTTTAAGTGTACAGTTTGATGAATATAAATAATCATGTAACCGCCACTACAGTCAAATGGCAAATGTTTCTGCACGGGATAAAGCTGCTTTGTGTCCCTGCATAGTCAGTCCCCTCCCCACCCACAGCTCCAGGAGGCAACCACTGATCTACTTCCTGTCACTCTAGTTTTGCCTTTGCTAGAAGCTCGTAAGAATGGAAACAGGTAGTATGTAGTCTTTGGTGTTTGACTTCTTTCACTTAGCATAATGTTTTTGAGGTTCATCCATGTTATTATTTATGCTGGTATTTAATTCCATTTGGTTGTTCTGTAGTATATATAGACCAATTTGTTTACCCACTCACCAGCTGATGACACATTTGGGTTGCTTTGAACAAAGCCGCCATGAACATTCACATACACACCTTTGTGCAGACATATGTTTTACTTTCTCTTAGGTAAATTCCTAGGAGTGAAATGTGTGGATTGTATGGTAACTTTATAAGTATGGTTTATAAGTAAATTATTTTATAAGTATGATTTAACTTTATAAGATACTTTCATAGATTGTATCTGTTCATTATTCATTTATTTTTTTTAAGAGAGACAAGGTCTTTCTCTGCTACCCAGGCTGGAGTACAGTGATGTGATCATAGCTCAGTGCAGCCTTGAACCCCTGGGCTCAAGCGATCCTCCCACCTCAGCCTCCCAAGTAGCTGGGACTATAGGTGTACGCCACCAAGACTGCTAATTAAAAAATTTTTTTAAGTAGAGATGAGGTCTCATTATGTTGCCCAGGCTGTCTTGAACTCCTGGCCTCAAGTAATCCTCTTGCCTCAGCCTCCCAAAGTGTTGAGCTTACAGGTGTTGAGCCACTGAGCCTGGCTGTGCCCATTTTTTATTAGGTCATTTGTCTCTTATTAGGTTGTAAGAGTTCTCTATATATTCTGGATACAAGCCTTTATGAAGATACAGTCATGTGCCATGTAGCAGTCAACACCAGACCACATATACAACGATGGTCCCAGAAGAGTATAGTACTGTATTCTTACTGTACCTTTTCTATGTTTAGATATATTTAGATACACACGTACTTACAGTGTTAACAATTGCCTACAGTATTCAGTATGGTCACGTGCTGTACAGGTTTGTAGCCTAGGGGCAATACGCTGTCACAGAGTTTCGGTGTGTAGCAGGGTATACCATCCAGGTTTGTGTAAATACATCCTATGATGTTCACACAATGATGACACATTTCTCAGAATGTATTCCTGTTGCATGACTGTATATGTTGGAAAAACTTTTTTCCCATCTCTCCTGGGCTGACTCCTGTTAAGAGGTAGTGATGTGCGTGGGAGGGGCCCTGTGGCTGTGCTGCCTCCCAGCTCGGCCTCCTTGGGCAAATCCCTTCCCCTCTGTGAGCCTCAGTTTTTTCATCAGTAAAATAGGAATAAAAACCCACCCTCTCTTCCCCACCATGCTGTAAGGAGCCCTAGGAAGAATTATGGCCATGAAAGCATTTGGTAAATGCTTCAGACCTAAATAGGCTAACAGTGGGGTCAAATTGCTATTATAATAGCACTGAGACCCTCCTGTATCCCTTCCCTCAGGCTGGATGTTATCTGGAAGGGAAAGTTGTGCGGAGTGGACACACCTCAGTCAAGGATAGATGGCCAAGGAGGGATGCAGATGGGAATTGTGAGCCCAAGATTCCCCATGAACTTCAGGAGGAGGGAGGCATTTACTCATGCAGTCAGTGTGTTCTGAGTGTCTCAGCTGTGCCAGGCACTGCCCTCAGCACTGGGAACACAGCCATGGCCCTCACAGAGCCCCCCCGACCAGTCGGGGCAACCAGAGAGTGAGTGATGATTACGGAGCTGTGTGGACTGTGCCCTGACAGGAGAAATAGCAGTGCTGCCCAGGATCACAGTAAGGGCCCAGGTCCTGTTTTGAAGGAAGGTCATGGAAGGGTGGAAGCTTAAAGGGTGGAAAGGAGATAGCCAAAGGGAACAGCAGTGTGCAAAGTCATGTGGCCCAAGCCATCTCCTGCCCTGGTGGATCCTGGTGCATTGAAGAGAGCCCCAGGGTAGCCACAGGGATCGCTATAACATTCAGTGATGTGATTATTATTTCCAGGCTCACCCCGAGGTGGCTGAGGCTGGAATTGGGTGCCCCTTTGCAGGTGTCGGCTGCTCCTTCAAGGTAAGCATCTGAGTGTGAGAAAGGAGATCTATCCACTATGGTTCCAGACCTCCAGGTCTCCCCACTGCAGCCCCTCCATGATTTTCCCGTAACATCAGTCCACTCATCTGGATGTCCTTTGTACTAATGACTTTCCCAAGCATCAGAGCCTACTATTAAGTCATCACAGTACTCAGGGAAGTTCTTCCTAATGTCTTACCTAAGCATAGGCAGAACATCACTAAAATGACCCCCACCCCCAATGCCCCTCTCCATGGTCCTGAATCATCCTTGCACTCCAGGGCAGGGCAGAATTAGAAGCTGCAATGCATGTGGCTCATCGTGGGCATGTCTGATGCCAGGGTCTTCCTCTGAATCCCTCCCACTGTACAGAAAGCCACTCCTTTTTGCTGGGTGAATGAATAATCCTTGGTGACCTTTGATAGCAGGGCACTCCACTGCTCCCCTGTCCTCACTCCACCTCTGTTTTCACTGATCAGCCCCACTCTCTTGTCAGGGAAGCCCACAGTCTGTGCAAGAGCATGAGGTCACCTCCCAGACCTCCCACCTAAACCTGCTGTTGGGGTTCATGAAACAGTGGAAGGCCCGGCTGGGCTGTGGCCTGGAGTCTGGGCCCATGGCCCTGGAGCAGAACCTGTCAGACCTGCAGCTGCAGGCAGCCGTGGAAGTGGCGGGGGACCTGGAGGTCGATTGCTACCGGGCACCCTGCTCCGAGAGCCAGGAGGAGCTGGCCCTGCAGCACTTCATGAAGGAGAAGCTTCTGGCTGAGCTGGAGGGGAAGCTGCGTGTGTTTGAGAACATTGTTGCTGTCCTCAACAAGGAGGTGGAGGCCTCCCACCTGGCCCTGGCCACCTCTATCCACCAGAGCCAGCTGGACCGTGAGCGCATCCTGAGCTTGGAGCAGAGGGTGAGTGTGGGAGGCAGGTTTGCCTTCAAGCCCGGCTGAGCCCCATCCTGTCTCCAGAGCGGCAGACAGGCTTCCTCCTAATCATTCATCCTGCTTACAGCAGTCACTCCATCAAAACGTATCTCCCCTTTATCCCACACCCTTCCAGGAAGAGCGCTGAGTTAGAAGCTGTAGTCAAGGTCATAACCTCCCATCCAGTGCTTCGGTTCCTTTGCTTGAACTTTTGTGATAAGACACCACCTCCCTGAGCAGCTCATTCCAGTGCAGGACATATTCCACTCTTAGCAAGTTCTTCCTTGTACTAAGCTAAAATCAGCCTGTCTCTTCCCTGCATTGTTCCTGGCCCTGCCCCTCAGAGCCCACAAGACAAATCCACCTTCTAGTCCCCATGACAGCCCTTCAGGGATGGAGGGTCAGATTCTGTCCTACCTGAGTGCTTCCCTTTTCAGGCTAAAAGCCCCAGCGCCTTCACGTCTTCCTCAGAGCATGCTGCTTCACATTGCCATCCTACGCTCTGGCTCAGTCTCCAAAGAATTCTGTACGCTTGGAGTATGGTACCAGGCTGACTCCAGATAATCCACTTGGCCACAGTTCTTGGTCCAACAGGGCTGTCTTCTCCCTTATTCTAGAGCTTATACTTTTCTTTTCTTTCTTTCTTTTTTTTTTTCCTTTGAGACAGAGTATTGCTCTGTCGCCCAGGCTGGAGTGCAGTGGCGTGATCTTGGCTCACTGCAACCTCCACTCCCAGGTTCAAGCGATTCTCCTGCCTCAGCTTCCTGAGTAGCTGGGATTACAGGCGTGTGCCACCACACCCAGCTAAATTTTTTGTATTTTTAGTAGAGATGGGGTTTCACCATGTTGGTCAGGCTGGTCTCGATCTCCTGACCTCGTGATCCACCTGCCTCGGCCTCCCAAAGTGCTGGGATTACAGGCATAAGCCACCGCGCCTGGCCTATACTTTTCTTAATGTAGCCAATGACCATTCTAATGTTGCTTCTTTTGCAGTAACATTACATCATTGTCTCATATTGAGTTAGGCCTGGATTTTAGTTCCTGCTTCACCATTACCATTATCTGCCTCACCATTCGCAATTACCATTACAGCAGGTGATCAGAGCCACCTGCCGTGTGGGTCTGAGCAAGTCACTTTCCCTCTCAGGACCTTCCCCATCAGTAAAATTAACGATTAAATTTTCTTTAAGGATGCTCACTTCCATTCATGGCTTCCCTACCTGAGCACACCCAAGAATAAATTTATATTCTTTCCATTTTATTGGGGAAAGCTATTAGAAGGGCCAGGCGCTGAGTTGGAGTGGCTGAGGCTTTAGCCTTTATTTATGTAACTCTTGCTCCAGTTAAAAGGCAGCCTCCCTGAAAGCCACAATTATACCTTCATTTCACCCACAAACTTCCCAGCTCTACTTTTACATACCAGGTACTATGCAAGGCATGGACACAAAGACACAATGAGCATGGGCCCAGCTTTCGGTGGAGGAGACCATCTGGTAGGGAAGCCAGAAAAATATGTCTCATGAAATCATTGTAAGGGCTCTGTAAGAACATATTGAAAGAGAGCAGCTAAGCTAGGACAGTGGTTGAAGGCTTCCCAGATGAGGGGCCATATGAGCTGGATTCCTGGTGGATAAGGAAAAGGAAGGCCAGGCAGGGGGCAGCACATTCAGATGCAGACGCACACCTGAGTGAGGCGTGGTCAGCAAAACACATCTGGGGCAGATCAATCTCCACATCCCGCCATTCCCATCCCATCCCCAAGCCGGGTTCTGGTGTTCCTGGCTGAACAGTCTTCCCTACAGGTGGTGGAGCTTCAGCAGACCCTGGCCCAGAAAGACCAGGCCCTGGGCAAGCTGGAGCAGAGCTTGCGCCTCATGGAGGAGGCCTCCTTCGATGGCACTTTCCTGTGGAAGATCACCAATGTCACCAGGCGGTGCCATGAGTCGGCCTGTGGCAGGACCGTCAGCCTCTTCTCCCCAGGTAACACCTCCCAGGGGCACAGAGACCTGCCTGGGGAAACAGGCCCCACAGGACCCAGGAAGCAAGCAGTGAAAACTGCCAGCTCTGTGACAGACACGCTGTGTCCAGTTTAGGCCAGTGCCCATTCAGGCCACTCACCATGGGCAGGAACCATGCTGGGATCTTCAGGTTGGTGGGTGAACCGTGCTCTGCCCTGTGGCTCTCAGCCACACATAGCGGTGGCCCCAGCTGACTGACATTCAGGCCCTTTCTCCTCCCTGAATGTCAGTCCCATTCTGCAAATAGGAATCAAAACTGTTACCCACTTCATGGGTTTGGGATGTGAAGGAAAGTGTGCTGTGGGCCACAGTATGTGCAGATGAGATGGATGTGGATGATGATTTTCACAAGTGAACACCGTGGCCTCAGAGAGCCGACAGTCTGAAATAAGATTAGAGAACTGAGTAAGACACATGCACTTGTGTATGATTGCAGGTAGCATATGTGAATGAGTGTCTTACTCAGTTCTTACTCATTTCTGGGGCCCCTGGGCTTGGCACAATGTCTTGCATAAAGTAATTACTTGGCAAGTGTTTCTCTTAACTAAATGATATCTGTTAATATAACAGTGCATATATTTGTGCAAAAAATGAGGCAGCAGACTGCGTGCAGTGGCTCATGTCTATAATCCTAACACTTTGGGAGGCTGAGGCAAGAGGATCATTTGAGGCCAGGAGTTCAAGACCAGCCTGGGCAACGTAACAAGATCCCATCTCCACAAAATTTTTTTTAAATTAGCCAGGCATGGTGGCCTGCACCTGTGGTCCTAGCTACTTGAGAGGCTGAGATGGGAGGATGGCTTAAGGAGTTTGAGTCTGCAGTGAGCTATGATGGTGCCACTGAACTCCAGTCCAGGCAACAAAGCAAGACCCTCTCAAAAAACAATTTTTTTTTAACGAGGCAGCGGAGTGTGTCACAATCCCAGAGCAGGGCTGGGACTCCTTTCCTGCAGGAGTAGCGCTCATCCCACTGTGTTGGGACAGCTCTCTTCATGGGGTGGCCTCGAGCCCTACTTGTAGACCTTTTTCCCTCAATTCTTTTCAAAGAGGGAAAAAGCAAGCAGTACCTCGTGCTTCCTGTTCTACCAAAACGTAATGGGCAAAGATGAGTCAGACTGCCAGCCTGTCCCTCCTCCACCCTCTTCCTGCCTGCCCCCAATTCATGTCCCCAGTCAGCCTCTCCCAGAAGGGCGCTCTGCCAGAGGACATGCTCTCATGGGATGGCCCCTTTAGCTGCCCAGGGGGTTTCTGTGCATGTTCACCAGGTATGATTCAGCCCTCAAAGGGTTTTGCCACCTGAGAATGGCTGGCAGAACTGCGAGTCACCCCATGTACCCCCAGCCTCCAGGGGACCCCAGCCAGTTGGCATAGGGCAGAACTGTGAGTCACCCCATGTACCCTCAGCCTCCAGGGGACCCCAGCCAGTTGGCATAGGGCAGCAGAAAGAAACTGCTGCTGGGAGGCAGGAAGCCTGGCCCCTCATTCTTGCTGGGTCCCCAACATACCGTGAGATGGTGACCAGCCACTTTGTTTTTCTCAGCTTGGTTTCCAGACTGTAAAACATAGGTTGGTTAGATCAGTGGTTCTCAGAGTGTGGTCCTAGGACCAGTGGCATTGGCAACCCCTGCAAACTTGCTGGAAGTGCCAACTCTCAGTTCTCACCCCAGGGTCACTGAGTGAGAAACTCTGAGGGTGGGGCCCGGCAGTGTATGACTTGGATGGCCAGCTGACAAACACTAAGCTAGATGACCCCCAAGAGCCCATTCCTGTCTGACACCCTACTCGAGAAGAATGCTGGGTTCTAACCCCATCTTTCATGGTTTTGAGCCGCTGACCTTGGGCATGCCTGACCACTGGATCCCAGTCCCACATCTGCAAAGTCCAGCACTTCCCAACTGCCTCTGGCTTCTGCGTTTCAGCCTTCTACACTGCCAAGTATGGCTACAAGTTGTGCCTGCGGCTGTACCTGAATGGAGATGGCACTGGAAAGAGAACCCATCTGTCGCTCTTCATCGTGATCATGAGAGGGGAGTATGATGCGCTGCTGCCGTGGCCCTTCCGGAACAAGGTATGGGTGTGAAGGTGATGGGGGTAAGGTGGGGAGCATGGAAGCCTGAGTCCTAGTCCTGGTTTGGCAATGAATTGGCCATGTGACCTGGCAAGTCCCCCACCCTCTCTGTGTTATCAGTTTCCCTTTTTATAAAACAATCAGATCTAGTAACTAGGGCTCCCTCCAGCTCCATGAGTCCAGGAGCTAAAATGTCTGGAATCTTCCTGAAGGTTATATAGAAATAAAATTCATGGCCAGGTGCAGTGCCCCACACCTGTAATCCCAGCACTTTGGGAGACTGAGGTGGGAGGATTGCTTGAGCTCAGGAGTTTGAGACAGCCTGGGCAACATGGCAAGACTTCATCTCTGCTAAAAATAAAAACCATCTGGCCAGGCATGGTGGCTCAAGCCTGTAATCTCAACAATTTGGGAGGCCGAGGCGGGCGGATCACTTGAGACCAGGAGTTTGAGACCAGCCTGGCCAACATGGTGAGACCCCGTCTCTACTAAAAATAAAAAAATTAGCTGGGTGTGGTGGCATGCACCTGTAATCCCAGCTACTGGGGAGGCTGAGGCAGGAGAATCGCTAGAACCTGGGAGGCGGAGGTTGCAGTTAGCCAAGATAGCGCCACTGCACTCCAGCCTGGGTGACAGAGCGAGACTCCATCTCAGAAAAAAAAAAGAATGTGGGAACTAAAATTTTCATTTTTAATGTAATCCCCAAGATTTTCTCCAAGAAATAAATTGTTGTTTTGTATTTTGTAACTTAAAAGCAGCTATTGGTAAATTTCTGAGATATAGCAGGAGACCAAAACATGTTTGGAAAGAGAATAAATATATGAAGAGAGACTGGTTGTTTTATTTTCAATGTATTGAATATATTAGATTACAATTTATTTTCTGAGTGGATGTGATTAAATATTCAGACGTTTAGTGTATGATTAACAGTGAGATAGAGATTTCTTTGGAGTTATTAAATCCATCCTGTCTTTTACATAATGGACAAATCAAGTTAAAAAATTTTTTAGATAGCTTAGCTTATTTTCTGGTGCTGTTGACCTGCAAGAGAATATACTTTCGCATATACAGGTGAAAGTTTTGCAATTTATGTATACAAGAAATTGTAGGCATTAAAAATATTTTATTGATAAAATAATAATAATAAAATAATAATAATAATAAAAACCATCAGCTGGGCGTGGTGGCACATGCCTGTAGTCTCAGCTACTTGGGAGGCTTAGGTGGGAAGATTGCTTGAGCCTGGGAGGTTGAGGCTGCAGTGTGCCATAACCTTGCCACTGCACTCTAGCTTGGGTGACAGAGTGAGACCTTGCCTCAAAGAAAGAGGAGAGAGAGAGAGAAAGAAAGAAATGGAGGAACGGAAGGAAGAAAGGAAGGGAAGGAAAGAGGGAGGGAGGGATGGAATGAATGGCCAGTGGCTGCCCACTCTTCTTCCTCCTTCACATCGTGGGGTAAATAAGGAAAACTTCTGGGAGGAGGTGCCGTGAGGCTAGCCTGAACTAGCAGAATTTTCAGGAAAAAGGAAGGAGGCAGGTATCACTACATATTAATACATACTAGAATGGCCAAAATCTGGAACACTGACAGTACCAAATGCTGACGAGGATGTGGAGCAACAGGAATTCTCATTCATTTCTGGTGGGAATGCAAAATGGTACGGCCACTTTGAAAGACAGTTTGGCAGGATCTTACAAAACCAAACACACTCTTACCAAACGATATAGCCAGTTGCTCTCCTTGGACTCAAAGGAGTTTACTTAGAGGAGTTGAAAACTTATGTTACACAAAAACCTGCACAAGGATGTCTATAGCAGCTTTAGTCATAATTGCCAAAACTTGGAAGCAACCAAGATGTCCTTCAGTAGGTGGATGGATAAATAAACTGTGGTGCATCCAGACAGTGGAATATTATTCAGTGCTAAAAAGAAATGAGCTATCAAGCCATGAAAATACAGGGAGGAAACTTAAACACATATTACTAAGTAAAAGAAGTCAATTTGAAAAGACTATGTTCTGAATGCTTCCAACTATATGACATTCTGGAAAAGCCAAAGCTATGAAGATAGGCCGGGCACAGAGGCTCTCGCCTGTAATATCAGCACTTTGGGAGGCCGAGGCAGGTGGAGCGCTTGAGCCCAGGAGTTCGAGGCCAGCCATAACGAAACCCTGTCTCTACAAAAAATACAAAAAATTAGCTGGGCATTGTGATGTGTGCCTGTAATCCCATCTACTCTGGAGGCTGAGGCACGAGAATCGCTTGAACTCAGGAGGTGGAGGTTGCAGTGAGCTGAGATCGCGCCACTGTACTCCAGCCTGGGGGACGGAGTGAGACTTGGTCTCAAAACAAAAACAAAAACAAAAACAAAAGCTATGGAGACAGTAAGATCAGTGATTGTCCAAGAGTAGGTGCCGGGAGAGATGAATAGAGCACAGGGGATTTTGGGAGCAGTGAAACTATTCTGTTTGATACTGTTATGGTGGATACATGTCCTTATGCATTTGTCAAAACCCATAGAAAGTGAAATACCAAGAGTAAATGCCAATGTAAACTGTGGACTCTGGGTGATAATTATGTGTCAATGCAGCTTCATCAATTGTTACAAAACTACCACTCTGGTGGGGATGTTGATAGTGGGGGAGGTTGTGTACTGGGTGGGGGCAGGAGGTATATGGGAACTCTGTATTTTCTAATCAGTTTTGCTGTGAACCTAAAACTGCTCTAAAAAATACAATCTATTAAAAATTCTTTGCCGGGTATGGTGGCGCACGCCTGTAATTCTGGCACTTTGGAAGGCCGAGGTGGGTGGATCACCTGAGGTCAGCAGTTCAAGATCAGCCTGACCAACATGGTGAAACCCTGTCTCTACTAAATACAAAAAATTATCTGGGCATAGTGGTACATGCCTGTAATCCCAGTTACTTGGGAGGCTGAGTCAGGAGAATCGCTTGAACCCAGGAGGCAGAGGTTGCAGTTAGCCAAGATTGTGCCATTGCACTCCAGCCTGGACAACAAGAGCGAAACTCTGTCTCAAAAAAAAAAAAAAAAAAAAAAACACACCATAATTCTTATAGAGGGGTTTGGGGGATAGGCATTTCCTGTGGGTGAACAGCAGCATTGCATGAGGGGAGGGTGTCAAGAATAGAGACCTCAGGTCTGGGGAAACAGGTGGGGCAGGGCAGGTGTGCCGCTTTGGTCTGGATGTGAGTCAGTAGGTTCTCCTACCCCCGGCAGTTCCCAAAGGTGCTGGGGAGATTTTTAAAACACCAGTGACAGAATCTCACCCCCGTAAGTGATAAGGCCTGAGCATCAGGATGAAGTCTCCGCAGGGGGTCCTAATGTGCAGGGTGAGGATGCTTCAGTTGGCAACGGGAAGCCATTCAGCTTCCTGATGGACATTTCAGGGGCATGTGCCAGGGAAGAGGGTTTGTGTCACTTTTAGACAATCGGCTTCTCAGGGGAACCTCCGTCTGTGCTGTGTATACCAGAAGCTCCACAAATGTCTCAGGACATCGATGACAGCCCCTCAGTAGAAGACCTCTCTGTTCTGGCCCTTCTGCCTTGCCCCAGGAGGTTCCAGCTGTAGTTGATGAAGCAAAACTTTCCAAGCCAGAGGGGGTGTTACAGGTTATTGCCTCCACCCACCTTGTCAGTGCTTCAGTCACACCCTCTGCCCCCAACAGCCAGTCACACTTGACTGGGGCATCAGAACCTTCCCCTGCTTCCTGCTGGCTGGAGGGAACATCTGATCCTCATCATGGAACAGCCCCTGAAGTGCACTCAGAATACCAGGTGCCGCTGGCTCCCTGGGTCTGGCCATACGCCAGGTGCGCTCCTTACTTGGTTTCTCTGACTCCTAATCCAAATGAGCCAAGGGTCTGAGGGGCTGCACAGGCAGTAGGTGTGGAGCACAGCTCTGAGCCCAAGCCTGGGCCTCCAAGCTGCGCTGCTGCTGTAGGGCCTGATCTCCCACCTATCCCTTCCCTGCAGGTCACCTTCATGCTGCTGGACCAGAACAACCGTGAGCACGCCATTGACGCCTTCCGGCCTGACCTAAGCTCAGCGTCCTTCCAGAGGCCCCAGAGTGAAACCAACGTGGCCAGTGGATGCCCACTCTTCTTCCCCCTCAGCAAACTGCAGTCACCCAAGCACGCCTACGTGAAGGACGACACAATGTTCCTCAAGTGCATTGTGGAGACCAGCACTTAGGGTGGGCGGGGCTCCTGAGGGAGCTCCAACTCAGAAGGGAGCTAGCCAGAGGACTGTGATGCCCTGCCCTTGGCACCCAAGACCTCAGGGCACAAAGATGGGTGAAGGCTGGCATGATCCAAGCAAGACTGAGGGGTCGACTTCGGGCTGGCCATCTGGTTAGGATGGCAGGACGTGGGCTGGGCCCACAAAGGCAAAGGGTCCAGAAGGAGACAGGCAGAGCTGCTCCCCTCTGCACGGACCATGCGACACTGGGAGGCCAGTGAGCCACTCCGGCCCCGAATGTTGAGGTGGACTCTCACCAAATGAGAAGAAAATGGAACCAGGCTTGGAACCGTAGGACCCAAGCAGAGAAGCTCTCGGGCTAGGAAGATCTCTGCAGGGCCGCCAGGGAGACCTGGACACAGGCCTGCTCTCTTTTTCTCCAGGGTCAGAAACAGGACCGGGTGGAAGGGATGGGGTGCCAGTTTGAATGCAGTCTGTCCAGGCTCGTCATTGGAGGTGAACAAGCAAACCCAGACGGCTCCACTAGGACTTCAAATTGGGGGTTGGATTTGAAGACTTTTAAGTTTCCTTCCAGCCCAGAAAGTCTCTCATTCTAGGCCTCCTGGCCCAGGTGAGTCCTAGAGCTACAGGGGTTCTGGAAACATTCAGGAGCTTCCTGTCCTCCCAGCTCCTCACTCACCTTCAGTAACCCCCACTGGACTGACCTGGTCCACAGGGCACCTGCCACCCTGGGCCTGGCAGCTCAGCTTCCCCAACACGCAGGAGCACACCCAGCCCCCACATCCTGTGCCTCCATCAGCTAAACACCACGTCACTTCATGCAGGTGAAACCCAGTCACTGTGAGCTCCCAGGTGCAGCCAGAGGCACCTCAAGAAGAAGAGGGGCATAAACTTTCCTCTTCCTGCCTAGAGGCCCCACCTTTGGTGCTTTCCAGAATCCCGTAACACCTGATTAACTGAGGCATCCACTTCTTTCAGCAGACTGATCAGGACCTCCAAGCCACTGAGCAATGTATAACCCCAAAGAAATAATTTTTAGAATCTCTTTCGAAGTTTTCCTAAAGTGTATGGTTTGGGAGTTGTTTGTACTGAGCCAGGTTTGAAAAGGCCATTGCTGAGTTTGAGGTGGTGCCACCAGTTTTGCAGGTGGCATCAGAGGCTGGCATGCTGGCAGGAACATCCCCTCTTAGCCCCAGTCTTCTCTTTTCTATAATGAGACCCACCCCAGCTTGCCTCCCTCCCTGGCTTCTCTGACCCTCAAAGGAGATGCCACGCAGGACAGACTGGAGAGAGAAGCCTGGGCAATACTGCCCGCCTGTCATGGCCTGGTGGTGGCCCACACCTATCTTCTCACCTTGGAGGCCACACCCAACTTTCCAAAGACCCTGAGACAAGTCAGGACCCTACTACTCTCCCCTGCTGCTTTCCTGACAGCTTACTCTTCCTCCACCTGCTGAGCCTGTGCCAGACTCCATTGCTCAAATCGTTAGGGTTGCTTCTATAAAAATGGGTCAGTAGCCCTTCCTGTTCTCTCCAGCCCAGCATACAGGAGGATCAAAGGAGGTGACGGAGCATCGTGGCACGGCAGTCTCAATGGGTCAGAAACCCAGGCCAGCTGGGCTCTAAGCCTGGCATCCTGTCATGCTTAGTCCTTCAGCTGAAGATCAGAGGAAGCCTCTCCCTTGCCCTCTCCAGCTCTAGGGGTTTTCAGGAGGCCCAACTGCAATAATGGAGCACTAGTGCTTTTATGTGCAATGGTGTCGTCCATGCACGACAGCAGCAAACATTCTGGGGCTGCTTTTTATTGTTCCCACGGCTGACAGCGTGGCAGCGGAGACTGTGGAGGCAGTGGAGACTGACTTCTTCCTGCTGACAGCTGGATGTCACACATGAAGGTCTGGCCTAGCGAGTGATGGGTCTAGGCCCTGAAACTGATGTCCTAGCAATAACCTCTTGATCCCTACTCACCGAGTGTTGAGCCCAAGGGGGGATTTGTAGAACAAGCCCCCATGAGAAACAGCTGTTACTCTACACTTTTGATTGCCTATTTCTGATGGCAAGAGATACATACTCTCTTCAAAGAGCATGAGATGCAGCCATTCTTTCAGCAAAGCTTCATTGACACCTGCACCTGTTAACTGTGTTCGACATTGAAGGGAGAAAGGCAAGATGTGCACTCTGGACTCAAGAAACTCTTAGTTCAGTGGAGGAAATGAGCAGATAAGTAGATCATTATGATTGAGAGTAGGAGAAGCTTAGAGAAAGCACAGAATCCCAGATCCAGCTGGTGAAGGAGGGAAGGCTTCAGGCCTTTAAGCTCAGCCTGAGAATATTGTGAAATGCAGAGGATGGGGAAAAGGGAAGAGTACCGACTTGAAAACGGAGAGCTGTCTTGGCTGAGGGCAGGGTCTGTGTGGCAGGATGGGGGAGGGAGTCAGAAGGGTCAGATGAACTGGAGTGTAGACAGCATCAGATGCAGCAGTGCCCACCGCCCCCCCCCCCACCCCCCGCCCTGCCCACAGAGCACCTGCTGGTAACCCTGGGCCTATTGAAAGCAGGATGAGATGATAATTTAAGACACTGAATGATTTCTTTTCCAACAAAGCTCTATGTTAAGTGCATCAAAGATGTGACATTGCATCTTTTACAGGTGATTCAAGGGTGGGGGAGGCAAGATGCAGGCAAAGCCACCGTTTCACTGGGTGGATTCAGTAGGTCCCCCACCCCCAGCAGTTCCCGAAGGTGCTGGGGAGATTTTTAAAACACCAGTGACAGAATCTCACCCCCGTAAGTGATAAAGCCTGAGCATCAGGATGAAGTCTCCGCAGGGGGTTCTAATGTACAGGGTGAGGATGCTTCAGTTGGCAACGGGAAGCCATTCAGGTTTCTGATGGGCTTTTCGGGGGCACGTGGCAGGGAAGAGGGTTTGTGTCACTTTTAGACAATCAGCTTCTCAGGGGAAACTGTCTGCACTGTGTATACCAGAAGCTCCACAAATGTCTCAGGACATCGATGACAGCCCCTCAGTAGAAGACCTCCCTGTTCTGGCCCTTCTGCCTTGCCCCCGGAGGTTCCAGCTGTAGTTGATGAAGCAAAACTTTCCAAGCCAGAGGAGGTGTTACAGGTTAGTGCCTCCACCCACCTTGTCAGTGCTTCAGTCACACCTTTTGCCCCCAACGGCCAGTCAGACTTGACTGGGGCATCAGAACCTTCCCCTGCTTCCTGCTGGATGGGAGGAACATCTGATCCTCATCACTTAACAGCCCCTGAAGTGCACTTAGAATACCAGGTGCTGCCGGCTCCCTGGGTCTGGCCATAAGGTGCACTCCTTACTTGGTTTCTGTGACTCCTAATCCAAATGAGCCAAGGGTCCGAGGGGCTACATGCAACCCCTTCCCTCAACGGTGTGGCAAGCACCCTTTAATCCTCTTTTACAGATTAGGAAACTAAGGCCAGAAAAGCCAAGTGCTTGGCCCAAGGAGGCAGGGATGGGACTGGCATTAGAAATCAGGTATTTGCAGCTGGGTGTGGTGGCTCACACCTGTAATCCCAGCACTTTGGGAAGCCAAGGCGGGTGGATCATCTGAGGTCAGGAATTCGAGACCAGCCTGACCAACATAGTGAAACCCTGTTTCTACTAAAAATACAAAAAAAATAGCTGGGCATGGTGGCACATGCCTGTAGTCCCAGCTACTCGGGAGGCAGAGGCAGGAGAATTGCTTGAACCCGGAAGGCAGAGGTTGCAGTGAGCTGAGGTCGCACCACTGCACTCCAGCCTGGGAGACAGAGCGAGACTCTGTCTCAAACAACAAAAAAAAGAAATCAGGTATTTGCTTCCAGTTTCTTTCCTTCCTCTCCTTTCTGGGTGAAATCTTCAGCTTCGATGAGATCATATCTTCATGGAGGCAGTAGGTCCCTCTACCCCCAGCCAAAGGGCAAGCCCTGTGGTACCTACTGATGCCAGCCTGGCAGCACCCCAGGAGGGCAGGGCAAGCAGTCAGTGCCATACAAGCTTGCTCACAGAGGCCACCTCACGGGTGTCCACAGGCAATCCTCAGGCAACCCTGGGCAGTAAGGGCAACTATTATTTATGCCTTCAATTACTAATTCCTGATTGTAAGAGACACATACTCATTATAGAAAAACTAGGCCAAGCACAATGGCTCACGCTTCTAATCCCAGCACTTGGGAAGCCAAGGCAGGAGGATTGCTTGAGGCCAAGAATTTAAGACCAGCCTGGGCAACATAGCAAGATCCCGTCTCTATAGAAAAACTGAAAATTAGCTGGGCATGGTGCCATATGCCTGCACTCCCAGCTACTCAAGAGGCTGAGATAGGAGGATCCCTTGAGCCCAGGAGTTGGAGGCTGCAGTGAGCTGTGATCACATCATTGCACTTCAGCCTGGGTGACAGAGCAAGACCCTGTCCAAAAAAGGAAAATAAAAGAAAAACTAGGAAAGTACAAAAGTCATATAGAGAAGAAAGCAAAAATCACCCATGAGCCCAGTGTCCAGAGAGTACTACTGGGAACATTTTGGTTGATTTTCTTTGCATTTTTGAGAAAGTAGATACAAACACATACATGTAGATTGACTTTTAAAAATGTAATTAGAATCATATTGATTACTGTTTTGGGCTCTCCCTTTTCACTTAACATCCTGTTATCACATTCTACCATTAGCCCCTTCTTCCAGGCAAAGACACAGAAACTAAGAAAATGAAGTCAAGGCCGGGTGCGGTGGCTCACGCCTGTAATCCCAGCACTTTGGGAGGCTGAGGTGGGCAGATAACCTGAGGTCAGAAGTTCAAGACCAGCCTGGCCAACATGGCGAAACCCTGTCTCTACCAAAAATACAAAACTTAACTGGGCATGGTGGCCCATGCCTGTAACCCCAGCTACTCGGCGGGCTGAGGCAGGAGAATCACTTGAACCCAGGATGTGGAGGTTGCAGAGAGCCGAGCTTGTGCCACTGCACTTCAGCCTGGGTGACAGAGCAAGACTCTGTCTCAAAAAAAAAGAAAAGTCAGTTGCTCAAGGCCATTCCAACTCAACATTCACACTCGGGTCTTTTGATACCAACGCCAGGGCTGAAATGATCACAACTGTTTTTAGATGGAGAAACTGAGGCATGGAAGGGCAGTGTCCTGCACCAGTGTCATGCTGGGACTCACCCTGGGGGAACTGAGGAGGGGATTTGCCTTGTGGGACTGGAGGAGCTGATGGATTTAGAAGCTTGTGGGCAGGACACCGTGCTCACAGCCTGGGCTGGGGAGAGTAACACAGCCTCTGCATTCAAAAAAGCTTAGCCCCAGTGAGACAAACAGCATCTACTTTCCTCTACTGAGCTCCAGAGCAGAGGCTAACTAAGCCTCAGCTTCTACTTCTGCCATGAGAGTGAAAATTCTAACTTCACCATGTTGTCGTAAGGATGCCAATTGCAGAAGCCACTTGCTTTGTCCACTGTGGGGGTGCCAGTGTAAGAATAACAGAATCTTTTTATCTTTTTTTTTTTTTTTTGAGACGGAGTCTTGCTCTGTCGCCCAGGCTGGAGTGCAGTGGCGTGATCTCGGCTCACTGCAAGCTCTGCCTCCCAGGTTCACACCATTCTCCTGCTTCAGCCTCCCGAGTAGCTGGGACTACAGGCGCCCACCACCATGCCCTAATTTTCTGTACTTTTTAGTAAAGACAGGGTTTCACCATGTTAGCCAGGATGGTCTGGATCTCCTGACCTCATGATCCACTTGCCTCAGCTTCCCAAAGTGCTGGGATTACAGGTGTGAGCCACTGCGCCTGGCCTTTTTTTTTTTTTTCTTTGAGACTGAGTCTCGTTGTGTCGCCCAGGCTGGAGTGCAGTGGTCCAATCTTGGCTCACTGCAACCTCTGCCTCCTGGGTTCAACAGATTCTCCTGCCTCAGACTCCCAAGTATCTGGGATTACAGGCGCCTGCCACCACACCTGGCTAATTTTTGTATTTTTAGGAGAGATGGGGTTTCACCATCTTGGCCAGACTGGTCTCAAACTCCCGACCTCAGGTAATCCACCTGCCTTGGCCTCCCAAAGTGCTGGGATTACAGGCATGAGCCACCGAGCCTGGCCGGAATAAGATAATCTTAAACAATCATGGAGTGCTTAGCTAGTGCCAGACACGGCACTGCAGGCTCTACCTACATCGCTCCATGAAACTTTCATAAAAAACCCATCAGGAAGGTGTGATTATTATCATCTCTGTTTTATAGTAGAGAACACCCAGTCTTCAAGGGGTAAAAAATCACTCACCCAAGGTCACACAAGCACCAGGAGCCAGGACTTGAACCAAGATCAGTTTATGCCAGGTTCAAACCCTTAAGTCCAGTGATTTGATTCATGACTAGAAGCAGCATAATGTTGTGGGAAAAGTACAAAAACACCTATCAGCTGTGACATCCAGTTTTAGTTCTGAACAGACTGCACATTAATTTGTTTAAATAGCCATGATAAAATGATGATAGCACTCATTTGTTGAGCATACGCTTTTCTTGCAAGTATCACAATACTGATAACAGACCTCAGAGGAAAGTATTATTTTCCTGACTTTATAGATGAAAAAACAATCTCAGGGCCGGAGGCGGTGGCTCATGCCTGTAATCCCAGCACTTTGGGAGGCCAAGGCAGGAGGATCGCCTGAGGTCAGGAGTTCGAGACCAGCCTGGCCAACATGGCAAAACCCCATCTCTACTAAAAACACAAAAATTAGTTGGGTGTAGTGGCAGGTGCCTGCAGTCCCACCTACTTGGGAGGCTAAGGCAGGAGAATCGCTTGAACCCAGGAGGCGGAGATTGCAGTGAACTGAGATCGTGCCATTGCACTCCAGCCTGGGAGACAGAGCAAGACTTCGTCTCAAAACAAACAATCTTAGAGAGATTGTTTGAAACTCACACAACACGTGAAATGTGGCTGATCCAAATTGAGATGCTCTGTCTGAAATATACACCAGATTTCAAAGACTTAGTATCAGAAAGAGAATTTAATATTTCTTTTTTTTTTTTTTTTTTTTTGAGACGGGGTCTCACTCTGTTGCCCAGGCTGGAGTGCAGTGATGCGACCTCAGCTCACTGCAACCTCTGCCTTCCAGGCTCAAGTAGGTCTCCTGCCTCAGCCTCCCGAGTAGCTGGGACTACAGGGGCCCACCACCACACCCGGCTCATTTTTTGTATTTTTGCAGAGATGGGGTTTCACCACGTTGGCCAGACTGGTCTCGAAATCCTGACCTCAAGTGATCCGCCTGCCTCGGCCTGCCAAGCTGCTGGGATTACAGGTGTGAGCCACCATGCCCGGCTGAGAATTTAATATTTCATTCGTATTTTTATATTGATGACATGTTGAAATGATAAAAAAAAATTTGATAGGTTAAAGTATATTAAAATTCATTTCATCTGCTTCTTGTTTTCTTCTAATATGGCTACTAGAAAATTTAGAATTACATATGCAGGTCATGTAATATTTCCACTGGATAGCACTAGAGGACTTTTTCAGTGCCTTGGCTACAGGGAACAGGCCCCACCCACTCCATGTGACCTGAAACCAAGCTCCTTTATAGTTAGGGGCCTTGCACTGGGTAAAGGAATCATCCCCCATACACACCCACATATCTTCACACTGCAGGTGGAGAGTCCTGGTGGTGCATCCCCACCACTTCCTCCCTGACTCCCATCTGCCTCTGGGCCAGCCTGTGTCCCTGCAAGACGTGACTGTTATTTTTAGCACTTGCCGCCTCAGCACAGCTGGCTGGGGAGCTTGCTGGGCGTGGGCCAGCCCCAGGACTGCCATCTCCCTGCCAATGGGGGTCTCAGGAGAACTCGATTGTGAGGCTCTGGGGCTTCTGAGAGCCTGTGAGCAAGCTCCCAATATCCCTGGCAAGTACATATGATCGTAATCCGCATATTTGCAGATGACAAGACCAAGGCGAGGAGGTCTCTACAAGCTAGGAGGTGGCAGCGCTGGGGCTTGAAAGCAAGTCATCTAGCCTGGGCCTTCTTCCCAAAGGCCTAACACTTCACAGGGGTGGGCTGTGGGCCCTGCCCACTACACTCTGGGCAGATGCCAGGTCTCGTGCAGCCTTTCAGTGGGGGCGTGTTATACCTTATAAAGTATCCTACACAAGAGAAAGGGAAACAATCGATTTGGAAGGAGGTGGATAAGTAGATGAAACTTCATTTCAGGGTGTGCAACGCAGCATCTCCAAATGAAGTGGGTTACAGTAATTTAAAAGAACCATACAAACGGCCGGGCACGGTGGCTCACGCCTGTAATCCCAGCACTTTGGGAGGCCGAGACGGGCGGATCACGAGGTCAGGAGATCGAGACCATCCTGGCTAACACGGTGAAACCCCGTCTCTACTAAAAATACAAAAAAAATTAGCCGGGCGTGGTGGCGCGTGCCTGTAGTCCCAGCTACACGGGAGGCTGAGGCAGGAGAATGGCGTGAACCCGGGAGGCGGAGCTTGCAGTGAGTCGAGATCGCGCCACTGCACTCCAGCCTGGGCGACAGAGCGAAACTCCGTCTCAAAAAAAAAAAAAAAAAAGAAAAAAAAAAAAAGAACCATACAAACATAAAACTACACAAAAACCAACACTGTCTCATGGTTCAGAACCCAAGCTTCAGGGTTCTAATCTGTGCCTCATCTGTCCAAGCTTCGGTCTCCTCCACTACACAATTGGCATGAGAGTGGTTAGAGGATTAAATGAGATCATGGACCTAAGAGCTTAGCAGAGTGCCAGGTACGAGTGAGCCCTCAGTAAACACTAGCTAGTGTTATTATTTATCAAGGTTTTATTGTATATCAAGTACCATGCTAACTTGTTACATAATTCCTCCCCTTAAAACCTCACAACAACCTCCTGAGGCAGCTACTTTTATCCTGCCCATTTTACAGATAAAGAAACTGAGGCTCAGAGAGGTGAGGTCACTCTTCAGGGTCACATGGCTAGTGAGGAGCAGCAAAGCTTGGAGTTTTTTGGTAACAGCTTTTTAAAGATGCAATTCACACACCATACAATTTACCCACTTAAAGTGTATAATTTGGCCAGGCGCAGTGGCTCCCATCTGTAATCCCAGCACTTTGGGAGGATGAGGCAGGCAGATCACTTGAGGTCAGGAATTCAAGACCAGCCTGGCCAACGTGGTGAAACCCCATCTCTACTAAAAATACAAAAATTAGCTGGGTGTGGTGGTGCATGCCTGTAGTCCCAGCTACTCGGGAGGCTGAGGCAGGAGAATCACTTGAGCCCAGGAGGTCGAGGCTGCAGTGAGCCAAGATAGCATCACTGCTCTCCAGCCTTGGTGAGAACTTGACTCAAAAAAAAAAGTGCCATTATAGCTAATTAGATAAACGCAACATGAAAGTCACAGGCTTCTCTTTAAGGCAATCACTTGTCCTTAAATTTAAAGCTCAAAACCCTGGGAGAGGGGAGCAAAGTAGAGCTCACTGGGGGGTTCTATGCTTTGTTTTGGGGTTTTTTGTTGTTTTTGTTTTTTGTTTTCTTATTTTATCTTTTTTTTTTTTTCTTTTGAGACAGAGTTTCTCTTTGTCACCCTGGCATATTTTTTATTTTTTTGAGACGGGATCTTGCTATGTTGCGCAGGCTGGTCTCGAACTCAGGCTGAATCCATCCTCCCACCTCTCCATCCCTAAGTGCTAGGATTACTGGCATTAGCCCCCATGCCCGGGATTAAGGGGACAGTTCTATCCTTTATAAGTCTTAGTAACTCTGGGATTCCAATGAGAAAAGCCTCCAGGGAGGCCAGGGTACATTAAGGTGTCAGCAGGGTCCCCTCCCTCTGGAGTTTGGATAGAAAGAGCACTGGACGTGGAGTCCTTTAACCCGGATTCAAATCCCGACGTGCTACTTGCTACCTGTGTGACTTTGGGCAAGTCACATCACCAGCTCTGAGCCCAACTGTCATCTTGGGCAAAGCTGGAGAACAAAGTCCCTGACCAGTCGGGGATCTGGGACTGGGATTACACAAATACAAGAGAAGGTCCTCGCCCATGGCAGGCTCCCATCGATTTTTGGTGGAGCCGAGGCTGGCGGACTGTGTGCTGGGTTATTTAAGGAGTCGACTCTCTGACGCCTTCTACCAGTAAGTCGTGTATTTAGCATTCATTCATCAAAGCCTCCGGATGCCTCCTACGTGCCCTGCACTATGCTGGTCTTGGTAATCCGTGGTCCCTATCCCAGCGCCCAGGTGGGTCCGGGAGATCGACAAGAACCCGCGGGGCGGGCGCGAGGCTGGGGAGCCGCGGGCGGCCGGGTGGGCCCGCGCCGCCGCCATATGGAACGCATTGAGCGGCGCTCGCATTCCAAACGCGCGGGGCTGCCCTGGCTCGCAGGCGCCGGCTCCTGGCCCGCGCCCGGCCTTCTCTTGGCAGCCGGGGCCTGCGCGCCCTATCAGGGGCCTCCCGCCGCGGCCTTCGCGGGAGCGCGGCCAAAGCAGACGAGGCGGGTGGGAGGCGTCGTGGAAAAAGGGCTTGCCCCGCCACGGACCCGGGAGGTACCTCCGGGATGGCCAGAATCCCAAGGATTCCGTTGCTTTGTTGTATTACAGAAAAGTAATGGAAACATGTGAGTCTCCGCCGCAGACAGAGGCAAAGAGAGGTCCTAAGGTTGGCATTCAGGGCCTTAGCCTAAGTTTCAGATCAGCTTTCCCTGACCTCCATCCTGTTTCTCCTTTCTGCTGGAGCCCTTATCTTGGGTTCCATGACTGACAGAGAACAGCGCCAGGCGGTAGCTGACCCTCCAAAGGTAGTGGGTGATCAGTCTTAGGGGACGGTGGCTCAGCACCAACCACGTGCCAGGCAGGCTTCCCACGTTCATCTCGTGGCCCTTCCAGAAGCCACTGCCATGATTAGGGTCGTCCCTGTTGACAGATGAGGTGACAGGTTCCAAATGAATCCACCATTCCAGTGGTCCAAAAACCGGCCCTACATGGGATCACCCCTGGGCTTGTGAAAACTGGGAGCGCTGGGTGGGCCCCACATGGTTTGAGTCAGTAGTTCTGGAGTGAGGCTGGAGATTTTGCATTTATAAGAGCTCCCAGTCTAGGCTGATGCTCCAGGTCTGGAGCTACACTTTGAGAACCACTGCCCTATGCAACAGTGCCTCTTATGAATAAATTTTAGGCCCTTAGGGAAACCTACAACTCACCATAGACCACCTTCCATCGCAGGGATCTATATGATGTATTTTCTCCCTCGTAACAGTATTAGAGAGTTGCTTTCCTGACTGTCTGCCTGGTGTCCAACCCTCAGAGGGAGTGAGCCCCAGACACTACATTCAGTCATCTCTGAGTGCACCTCCTGTGCACTGCATGACGTGTGCTTTCTAAAGCATGCGTGCATCTGTCAAGCAAAAGGTCAAGGAACCGTTCAAAGATGAATTTGCTCACTTAAGTGATGACCAGGAGAGGGATCAGTCAGGGCTGGGAAGCTTGCAGAAAACTGCCAGAGGCTTCCAGAAAGGGAATGTACAGGGCTAGGGCTAGAGATTGGATGACGGGGGCAGACAGGACAGGGTCTTTAGCACATAAGCATGCTGAGAGGGGAGTGATGGGGCAGCCACACTCAGACAGGGAGCCACCTGCCATCACTGCTATAATCAGAGGGGCCCTGGTGTGGAGGGGAGCAGAGACCTGGGACAAGGAGCTGAGGGAATCGAGAGCTTCTGGAAGGCCTCCCCATTTTATTGACCCAGTGAATCCATGTGGTTTCTCTGTCACACTCTAGCTGGCTTGAGCAAAGGGAGAGCGTCCTCACTCATGTTGCACACATTACTGCCTTTACTAAGTCATTTAACAATGACATTCATAGATGAGGGTATTTCTGGTGTTGAAATAATCACAGCTGCCACTTATTAAGTGCCTGTTACATGCTAGGCACTTTACATCATCTTACTCAATCCTCCCAGCAACTCTGATAAGGTGGCACTGAGATTGTCCCCATTGTACAGACGAGGAAACTGAGGCTAAGAGAGGTTAGTCAGCTTGGCTAAGGTCCCAGTCGCTAGGAAATGGCAGGGCTATTGTCTTTCCATCTCTAAACTGCTGCTTTCCACTCTACCATCCTGCCCTCATTTCCTGAACACCTGCTCTGTGCAAGGCCCTGTGTGCAACCACAAAATGAATCATTCAAGTAGTCATGTATTCAATAACCCTTTTTTTCAGCACTTACTATTTTTATGGGCTTATTTATTTATAGCATGCCTTATTTCAGAAAGCACTTAACTTCTTTATTTGATATACAAGCATAAAATTTTACAGGAGTGGTCATGTGACAAGCATCAAACGAAAAACAGAAGTTGGAAAGGTCAGAAGCACCCAGGAATGACAGGTATACAAGTGTGGACCTTGAGGTCCTATATGCCATGGGGACAGGCCACAAATTGCCCTCTGACCTTTCTAGCAGCTAAAACTTGATCCCACGCAATTCAGTGTCCATAAGACACTGGCACACCATTGCTGAGGCAAATCAAAACTCTATTAGGCCCTGAGACCTGAGAGGTATTTTTTTAGAGAGTTGGCATGAAGAGAACACTGTTAAACGTGAGGAACAATGTCCCCAAACAGCCTCCCAATTGCACGTACGGCACAAGTCTCAGGGGCCGTTTCCTGTACCCGCTCCCCACCGCCTCCCCACTCCTACTCCGTGCTGGCCCAAGTCCCATAGCAGGAAAACAGCTCAAAAAAGAGAGAGCCGAGACAAGGCCAGGCAAGCACACCACCCTCTAGCTTCATCCACGTGTGGGGTTTGCCGCAAACATTGGTAATAGATGCTAAATTCAGGTCCCAGGTAAGTTTTGTTTGGTCTGAGCTGTGTACTTAAATGGCTTGAATTAGTTGTCAGCTTTAAACAAGTTTCACCTTTTTAAAAATTCAGATTTTTGGCATTCTCTTTTTAAAAAAGAGGGACTTGACAACATGGGGCCCACATTCCCAAAGGACAAGAATTTGCTAGAGCCAGTCGTTTTCCAGTCCCCGCATGGTCCCCTGGAGGCCTTTCTTTGCTTTGAACTTTCCTACCTGGCTCTGCAAGGCGTCAGGGGTTTGCAGCCTGTTTTAGGATGTTTTGAGCCCTGGCACATTTGTGTGCAGAAGGATCACCAGGAGACTTGTTTATAGCACAGGGTCCCTGGTCTGGCTCCTTGGATTTGGGGTGGGGCTCAGACAGGCATCCTTCTACCAGGTGACTGTGATGCTTCCGTCTCTCCTAACAAGCACGGAAGACTGGGTGGGGCCTGTGGGGGACTATACAGCTGCTCAATGCTACTGACTCAGATAAACAGATGACTAGTTTTCTTTCAACACAACAAATATGGCAAATATAGTGGGGTTCCGAGTTCAAGGTTATACTCCCCGAGGTGCCTGGAGTGCAGCTCCTCTAAGTGGCTGGGTGGGTCTTGAGTCGTGTGCTGTAAATTATGGTGGCGCTCCACCTGGGCTGCACCTTGAACCACCCGGGGAGCTTTTCAACCCACACTCTTCACCCCATGCCTAGGCCACATCCAGGCCAATCAAACCAGAGTCTCTGAAGATAAGAACACAGGCATCAGCATGTTAAGGTTCCCGGGGTGATCCCAAAGTACGGCAGGTGTGCGGGCTTAAGATTGAGCAAGGTTCTCTAGGCCAATACCTTCTCTAGATATTGACTGTAGCTGGACCAAGTTCCTCAGAGAGGGGAGGGGAGGGAAGGAGAGGAGAAGAAGGGGAAAGGAGGGGAGAGGAGGGGAGAGAAGGGAAGAGGGCGGGAGAGGCAGATGAGTAAATGGATCCTTACACTAACTGTGATGAGCAGAAACCCAGGCGCTCTGGGGCATGAGCAGGGATACCTAACCCAGCCCTGGGGGCTCAATCTCTCCCCACCCCTGCAGGAGAGGCTTGGGGTGAGTTTTGGGAATAAGGACCATCCAGCCACATGACGAAGGGGAAGGAAAATCCCCATCAAGGCAAAAACACAGTCCAAGGCTCTGAGGCCCAAATTCCGGGGAGAGGGGTGAAGGTTGTTTGTCGCACCTGGGTTAAAGGGTGGGGGTGGAGAGTAGGAGAAGAGGCTACACAGGTGAGAAGGTGTCAGATCACAAAGGGCCTTGTATGCCAAACTAAGAAGACTGAACTTGACCATGAAGTTAGGCAGACCCTCTGGAGAGTTTTAAAGCAAGGAGTCGTGTGGATGAACAAACCTGTGATGGGCTGGGGTTACCAAGGAGGGCTTCCTGGAGGAGGTCAGACTTGAGCTGAGGGAAGGATAGGATTTGGAGAGCTGACATTCTGATGAGCGGCTTCGGTTAAAGCTCACAAAAACCCTTCCCTCCCCCATGCCCTTTGAAATCATTTGAATCAAAGATTGCGTGTGTTAAAGACATGTTTGTCTGTTATCTGAAAGCTGTGGTTTCTCTTTAACAGATTCAGGGCCTCATCCTTTGACTCGGAACCAGGAAGGAATTAGGAGCGAGTCCTCCTGCCCAGAGAGCTAATTACTGAAATTCAGTGGCCTCACCAGGGCGAGTGGCGTCACCGGCCTGCATCCCCCAACAGCTCCTAATTTCTAACTGGTCAAAGTTAGACATTTCAGTACATTTTTATGGGCTGCCCAAAGCCAGCTGGAAGCTTTTTTTCCATAAACTCTCCCTGAGACAAGTAGCCAGGTTTCACATATTAAAATGAAAACGTCAAAAGCGTTAACAGGAAAAAAAAAAAAAAAAAAAAAAGCAGGCTCATTTGTGAGGCCTCAGCTCACAAAACCTGAATCAGGGTCCAACAGCATCTGCCTGTTTTTATTCTGCAAAGCTGAGATCAAGTTAAAAGGATGATGATAATCACTTGTTTATCTATTCACTCAGCAAACACTTATGGGACATTTACTGGGTGCCAGGTCTTGAACTGGGCACTGAGATGAGAAGCTGCCTGAGGCATGATGGTCCCATCCCACTGCCCTCCAGGGCTCAAAATACTTTATAGTTTACAAAGTGTTTTCACATGCAATTTTGTGAGCTGTGGGTGCCATTATTATCCACATTGCTTAATACATGGCAGAACCTGACCTTAGGTTGTCCAAGTCCAGATTCTAAGTCCAAGTCCAGTCCAGATCCTAGAGCCTGTCCACTCTTTCCTTCCTTCCTCTCTTTCTTTCTTGTTAGTTCTTTCTTTTTCTTTTTCTCTTTTTTCTTTCTCTTTCTTTCTTTCTTCCTTTCTTCTTTCTCTTTTCTTTCTTTCTCTCTCTCTCTCTTTCTTTTTTTCAAGACAGGGTCTTGCTCTGTCACCCAGGCCAGAGTGCAGTGGCACAATCATGGCTCACTGAAGGCAGCCTCAACCTCCCAGGCTCAATTGATCCTCCCAACTCAGCCTCCTGAGTAGCTGGGACTACAGGCGCCTGCCACCACACCAGGCTAATTTTTTAATTTTTCGTAGAGGCAGGGTTTCGCCATGTGGCCCAGGCTGGCCTTGAACTCCCAGGCTCAAAGGATCTTCCTACCTCGGCTTCCCAATTCCTGTGCTGGAATTACAGGCATGAGTCACTGCGCCCAGGCTACCTTGGTCCTTTTTTTTTTTTTTTTTTGAGATGGAGACTTGCTCTGTCGCCCAGGCCAGAGTACAATGGCATGATCTCAGCTCACTGCAACCTCCGCCTCCCAGGTTCAAGTGATTCTTCTGCCTCAGCTTCCCGAGTAGCAGGGACTACAGGCGCCTGCCACCATGCCCAGCTAATTTTTGTATTTTTAATGGAGACGAGATTTCACCATGTTGGCAAGGCTGGTCTCAAACTCCTGACCTCGTGATCCGCCCGCCTCAGCCTCCTAAAGTGCTGGGATTACAAGCGTGTGCCATCGCGCCTGGCCTCATCTGTTATTGGCCTAAGGTGGGCAATAGCTCCAAGAGGTTTAGCTGTCACTTATGATCTGTCCAGCATCCACCCCCACCTTAAAATTCTGGTTCCTTTTTGGAGGAGCTCCCCATTTTGAGGAAGGATAAAACTAGCACCCACCTCCCAAGGCCACCATCACTGTGAAATCCTAGTGGAGCTAAATCCTTCCATGGCATCTTATCCTGCCTGGCTAGTGGACAGGCACATGGAAAATGCAACACTAGCCAATCAGATAATCATTCTTGGGGCTGACTCTTGAGTGAGTGGTGAGGGGACCCTTGGAGATCACTCACCCACAGTAGAGAACCCTGGATCAGACTGTGCCTGCAGCCTTCCCTTGGCCAGAATTCCTCTCTTGGTCCTGCCCTTTGTCCAAGCCTGTTCTCCAGCCTCTTGTTCATTCTGTGTACCTTCAGTACCCTCCAGAAAGTCCCCCTTTTGCTTTGGATGGACAGAGTTGGTCCTGGTTGCTCATAATCAAGAATTCCAACTGATACAAGGCCCTTGGTCTCCATCCTGTTTACAGAGATGGCAGGAAATAGCCACCTCCCCTGGTGCTGTGGACACTGACCAAGGAGTTTCTTCCCAGGAAAACCATTTTTGGGTGCCATGAAAATATTGGCATAGCCTCTCTTGCCAAGGCCTGAGAATTATCACAGCAGATAGACCCAGTTGTCCAGGTTGCTGCCTGCATCCTGAAAGGCAGACATAAGTTCACGGCTCAGTGCTGGGTTCCACACCTCTCAGCTCTTCGAGCTGCCACCAAGCTTGTTCTCCCTGCAATTCCATTCCCATCTGGGAGCTTCTAGCCTTTTAAGGGTCATGAGTGTGAAGAAGGAGGCTGGGCCAGGCGCGGTGGCTCAAACCTGTAATCCCAGCACTTTGGGAGGCCGAGATGGGCAGATCATTTGAGGTCAGGAGTTCAAGACCAGCCTGACCAACATGGTGAAACCCCCCTCTCTACTAAAAAAATACAAAAATTATCCAGGAGTGGTGGCGCATGCCTGTAGTCCCAGCTACTTGGGAGGCTGAGGCAGGAGAATCGCTTGAACCTGGGAGGCAGAGGTTGCAGTGAGCTGAGATCGTGCGACTGCACTCCAGTCTGGGCGACAGACGTGTGGGGACTTGCAAGAGGACAAGGAATCAAGAGACGTGCACGCGTGTCATTAGGTGCTCAGGGGACGAGCTCCGTTCTCAAGGACTGTGAAGGAAGGTGGGTCGGTCAGTCCCTGGAGAAGCAGAACCAATGGGAGATACACTAGGTATGTATACAGATGCTTGTCCACTTACGATGGGGCTTCTCCAATACCGTAAGTGGAAGATGCATTTAATATACCTAACCTACCAAATATCATAGTATGATTTCTACTGAATGCATATAGCTTTTGCACCATCGTAAAGCCAAAAAATCATAAGGCATACCATCATCATTCAGGGACCATCTGTGTGTGTGTGTGTGTGTGTGTCTGTGTGTGTGTGTGTGTGTGTGTGTGTGTGTTTGTTCATAAACAGATGTATTTAAGAAATTAATTTGCATGATTGTGGGAGCTGGCAAGTCCAAAATCTATAGGGCAGGCCAGCAGGCTGGCGACTCAGCAGGAATTGATGCTTGAGTCTTCAGACAGAATCTTTTCTCCAGGAAACCTCAGTTTTTGTTTTTGTTTTTGAGATGGAGTTTCACTCTGTTGCCCAGGCTGGAGTGCAATGGCGTGATCTCGGCTCACTGCAACCTCCGCCTCCCAGGTTCAAGCGATTCTCCTGCCTCAGCCTCGCAAGTAGCTGGGATTACAGGCACGCGCCACCACGACTGGCTAATTTTGCATTTTTAGTAGAGACAGGATTTCACCATGTTGGCCAGGCTGGTCTTGAAATCCTGACCTCAGGTGATCCGCCCACCTTGGCCTCCCAAAGAGCTGGGATTATAGATGTGAGCCACCGCACCCAGCCAGAAACCTGTTTTTACTCTTAAGGCCTTCCACTGATTGGCTGTGGCCTACTCACTCTATCGAGGGTAATTTTCTTTTTTCTTTTCTTTTCTTTTCTTTTTTTTTTTTTAGACAGAGTCTGGCTCTGTCACCTAGGCTGGAGTGCAGTGGGGCGATCTCGCCTCATTGCAACCTCCATCTCCCAGGTTCAAGCAATTCTCCTGCCTCAGCCTCCCGGGTAGCTGTATAGGTGTGTGCAATCACACCCGGCTAATTTTTTTGTATTTTTAGTAGAGACAGGGTTTCACCATACTGGCCAGGCTGGTCTCGAGGGAATTTTTCTTAAAGTCAACTGATGATAAATGTTAACCACATCTCTAAGATGCCTTGACAGCGACACCTAGATTGATGTTGGATTAAATAACTAGGTATGATAGCTTAGTCATGTGGACATATAAAATTGACCATCACAGAGGGGTCAGCCCAGAGTGGTGCCTCTGCCAGAGGGCGGTGACTACAGGCTGGATGAACCAGCCGTTGGAGTGGGAAACACTCCAGCTGACATTGGGTCATCTGGCTGTGGAAGGGATCTCCATAGTCACACCAGGAGTGCATGGCTAAATGCTGTGGTTAGCCGTGAAGGATGAGTGAATAAATGACTCGTGGTTTGAGCCTATGTTTTTCTTTGCTTTCCCTGTGACCTGCACAGACCAAGCTCCTTGCTGCAGAGGTCTGTTCCTTGGAATGCTTCCCCCCACCCACTTTCTGTCTAGCTGCCTTCGCATTTCTCTATTTTGGTTCGGTGTCCATACAAACTCTACTTGCCACCACACCAGCCACATATAACTCCCCAGAGCCTCTTTCCTGCAGGCTGACTGTTCAGATTCCCTGCACACACATGCCTGGGGCCTGTCGAAGCCTCATGGGTGAGACCCAGACCCCGATGGTTAGAACCACATCTGCAATGAAGAGCTCTCAGCTCACAGGCTCCTACCCTGAGGGATGTCCCACACAGCTGGGCTCTCTCCGTGCAGCTCCAGCCCAGATGTTTCCTCTCCTCTGCAGGGGGAGGCATCTGGGACTTTGAATTGTAATCTTGGAAGAAGCAGCTATAAGACACAGATCTGAATGGTCCCAGCTAAACCTCTTGGAACTATTGCCCCAACTTAAGCCGAAGATCAGGGAGCAGAACAGACAACAGAGAAAGGCCAGACGTGAGAGTTCCTTCTGAGAGCTGTAAAAGAGTGAAGATTAGCTTTAAAGAGCCATGGAATTCTGGCAACAGAATTTCCGCTTCTCCAAGCTGAAAGAGGTCCTGAAGGTCACTTAGGTATTCCTCCACCCAGGCAGGGATTACCTCTGAAACTCATAAGAAGGTCACATGTCATGGAACACTCAAACAGAAGGATTTTAAAATAAATTTTGGCAATTAAAAAACTCAAGAGGACTGCTGGGGACCTGACAAAAGTGGCATGGCATACATCTCTGGGCAAGGGAGGGGCAGAGGCCTGGACCCACTTATGGCTCATGTGCTGATTTACTACTTCATCTTGAATGCGTCTTTCCTGCAGGACTTTGGCCAGACCTCTCCTGCTTTGTTTTTTTTTTTTTTTTTCCAAGATAGAGTCTTGCTCTGTCACCCAGGCTGGAGTGCAGTGGCATGATATCGGCTCACTGCAACCTCCGCCTCCTGGGTTCAAGCCATTCTCCTGCCTCAGCATTCCCAGTAGCTGGGATTACAGGCGCACATCACCATGCCCAGCTCATTTTTGTACTTTTAGTAGAGACGAGGTTTCACCATGTTGGCCAGGCTGGTCTCAAACTTTTGACCTCATGATCTGCCCGCCTCGGCCTCCCAAAGTGCTAGGATTACAGGCGTGAACCACTGCGCCGAACCTCTCCTGCTTTCTAGATATCCGTTTCCCCATCTGAAAATGAGAAGTTGGAAAACTTGACTTGGAAGGTTCCCTCCATTAAGACACAGGGTCTCACTCTGTTGCTCAGACTGGAGTGCAGTGATGTAATCATAGCTTACTGCATCCTCGAACTTCTGGGTTCAAGCAATCCTCCTACTTCAGCCTCCTGAGTAGTTGGCGCTGCAGGTGCATGTCACCACCCCAGCTAATTTATTTTTATTTTTAGAGATGTGGTCTTGCTATGTTGCCCAGGCTGGTCTTGAACTCCTGGCCTCAAATGATTCTCCCACCTCAACCTCCTAAGTAGTTGGGATTTACATGAGTGGCTGGTATTGGCTTTTTTTAATTTTTATTTTTATTTTTTTAGACAGAGTCTCGCTCCTAGGCCAGAGTGCAGTGGTGCTATCTGAACTCACTGCAACTTCTGCCTCCAGGGTTGAAGTGATTCTCATGCCTCGGCCTCTGGAGTAGCTGGGATCATAGGCGTGTACCACCACATCCAGCTAATTTTTTTTTTTTTTTTTGTATTTTTTGGTAGAGATCTGGTTTCACCATGTTGGCCAGGCTGGTCTCAAACTCCTGGCCTCTGGTGATCCGCCCACCTCAGCCTCCCAAAGTGCTGGCATTACAGGTGTGAGCCACCGTGCCCAGACTGGCATTAGCTTTTGAATACACCATATCACCTGGGTTCAAACCTCAGTTCCACCAATACTAGTTGAATCATACAAATGACCCTGTTGTATCCACTATCTTCTTATTTGCTCTCCTCTGGCTATATCTTGGGCAGTTGGTTATATCTTGTCTCCTTCATGAAATGCCCAGCAAGAGCCTTGGCTCCCGGGGAGCAGCTCTCATCTCATACATTTCCTCTTTCTCCTACACACCCAGCTTGGGGCCAGGAGCTCATCCACCTCACGCGGATCGACTCATGGATTGCTTGATTCCAGAAAGGATGCCTTGTAAATACTGGAGTTCATTAATAAAATGACACCTCTGTATTTTAACGTGGGGAAAACTTTAAAGGTATCTTTAATTAACTATATCTGAGTCAGTCTTTTATGATCACACTGTTTTAATCATATCAATCAAAATCTCTAATTGAATGTAGTATGTAGACCTAATTGATAAAAAACAAGAAGACAAAATATCTCGCAAATAGTCAATGCAGCTTTTGGTGGGTCAAATCTTTATATAACAACCTTTATAAAGAATGACTGGGAGCAACTCATTTGTTCTAGACTTCATATATTGACCAGTGAGTCCATCTGAAGCCCTGATTAGAGAAGTGACCCATCCTAGGTTACCGAGTGAGGGAGAAACAAAGCTTAGACTGAGTTCATAGAATCAAATAATTTTGCCATCAGAGGCAACTTAGAGGTCATTGTGGTCTGACCCTCCTTGTCCTGATCACTCCTTGTCTCGACACCCTCCCACAATTATCTATCAATCTGTCTGTCCCCCTAGCCCCACCCCCTAGCTCTGGACCAGGAGCTTCTATTTTTTTTTTTTTTTTTTTTGGAGACAGTGTCTTGTTCTGTCACCCAGGCTGCTGGAGTGCACGGTGTGATCTCAGCTCACTGCAACCTCTGCCTCCAGGCTCAAGTGATCCTCCCACCTCAGGCTCCCAAGTAGCTAGGACCACAGGTGCATGCCACCATGCCCAGCTAATTCTTTGTATTTTTGGTAGAGATGGGATTTCACCAAGTTGCCCAGGCTGGGCTCGAACTCCGGAGCTCAGGCAATTCACCCACCTCAGCCTCCCAAAGTGCTGGGATTTCAGGCATGAGCCACCGTGCCCGGCTGGACCGGGAGCTTCCTGAGATCAAAGGCTGCATCTTATTCATCTTCATGCCACGCCTGTCATTCCTAGCATGGTGCCTGCCTACAGCATGGTTCGCTACACATGTGCACTATGTTGAAAGGGTGAACAAACCACCACTTTATCTTTAACAGATGGGGAGACTAAAATTTAGACAAGGGAAGGGATCCTTGGTTCCACAGCAAGCTGGCAAGGCAGGGAAATAGGATCTCCAGTGTCTGGTGAAGGCTCCCCTTTCTTTTCTACACCCCCTGGGTTCACAGAGAAGGCAGGCAGACTTCTCTCATTTCCCCACAAAAGCCACAGGTAAAGGTGTTTATAGTTTGGCAGCTAACCAAGGCCACAGGCATGCCAACAGGTCACAGTCTGACCCTGGCAACCATTTTTTTTAAAACTGGTGTTAATAACCGTGCTTTCTACTGTAATCTGAAAACTCTCTACACCTCCATGCTGAGGACATGATAAACCAACCCCGAAATTCAGGCCATAAAACATGGGCTCGTCTAACTGGTCACCTGCATAATAATTACTTCCAAAAATTATGTAATAATAATTATTCATATTTGTGAAAAGCCTCTTGTGTGTAGAGCAGTTTCTTTCTTTTTTTTTTTTTTTTTGAGATGGAGTTTTGCTCTTGTCACCCAGGCTGGAGTGCAATGGCACAATATCGGCTCACTGCAACCTACGCCTTCTGGGCTCAAGAGATTCTCCTGCCTCAGCCTCCCAAGTAGCTGGGATTACAGGTGGCCGCCACCATGCACGACTAATTTTTGTATTTTTAGTAAAGATGGGGTTTCATCATGTTGGCCAGGCTGGTCTTGAACTCCGGACCTCAGGTGATCCGCCCACCTCAGCCTCTCAAAGTGCTGGGATTACAGGCATGAGCCACTGTGCCTGGCTGTAGAGCACTTTCATATAGGCTAACTTGTTTGGTATTCAAATAAGTATTTCTGAAAGAAAATGATGTTCTCTCAAAATAATGACTGTATATTTTAAGTAAGTGAATTTGTCATACGTGAAGTATATTTCGATAAATCTGATTTTAAAAGTAACAGTGAAAATCACAAGTTACTTTTATTTTCTTCCTCGTGCTTTTTGACATTTTCCAAATTGTCCTTAATTGAAAGAAAACATAGAATAGCACAGCAGAAGGAAGAGGATGGATCACTGGGAGGCAGGGAACCTTCTCTCAGGGCTCTCTGGCCCTTTGGTGGTCTCCCTGGACAGAGAGGTACTGAGACACTGCTGAGCAGAGGGGACAAGCCCTGACTCTCTATTGTGTGTGACACTGAGTTTATCACTACGCCTTTCCAAACCTCCATTTCATCCCCTGCAAAATGGACCTGATGCCTGCCACACCTGGCTCACCACGCTGTGACAAGCCTTAAAAGAGAAGGGTGGGCCAGGTGCAGTGGCACGCACCTGTAATCCCAACACTTTGGAAGGCCAAGGCTGGTGGATCATGAAGTCAGGAGTTCAAGACCAGCCTGACCAACATGGTGAAACCCAATCTCTACTAAAAATACAAAAATTAGCCAGGCGTGATAGCGTGCACCTGGAACCCCGGCTACCCAGGAGGCTGAGGCAGGAGAATTGCTTGAACCTGGGAGGCAGAGTTTGCAGTGAGCCGAGATCGTGCCACTGCACTCTGGCCTAGGCAACAGAGCAAGACTTCATCTCAAATAAACAAACAAACAAATAAGAAGGGTGATCAGTCCCATGCATGAGGGGACACTGTGCACTGTAACCACCCTGGACACCTAACAAGCAATGCTATCATCAAAACCTCCTCTGCTGCAATCTCCTCATAGCTTCCTGCCCCTCCCACCTTTAAAATCACCAAATATCTCAAACATGGAAAAGTTTTAGACTTGAGAAGGAGAAGGATCAGAGAGAACAACTATGGATCAACCACCCAGCTCTGTTACATCTTGACACTTGGTCATACTTGCCTCAGATTTTAATTTTTTTTTCTAAGAAATAAAACATACAGATAGAATTAAACCCCCTGTGGGCCAGGCACGGTGACTCACGCCTGTAATCCCAGCACTTTGGGAGGCAGAAGTGGGCGGATCACGAGGTCAGGAGATCAAGACCATCTTGGCTAACACGGTGAAAGCCCGTCTCTACTAAAAATATAAAAAATCAGCGGGGCGTGGTGGTGGGTGCCTGTAGTCCCAGCTACTCGGGAGGCTGAGGCAGGAGAAGGGCGTGAACCCGGGAGGCGGAGGTTGCAGTGAGCCGAGATCGCGCCACTGCACTCCAGCCTGGGCAACAGAGCGAGACTCTCTCAAAAAAAAAAAAAAAAAACAAACCCCCGATGTGCTTCCTTCTGATCTCATTCCTGTCCCTCCCTTCCCAAAGGTTACCCTATTCTAAATCTAGGGTCTTTGATTTCCCATGCATGTTTCAATACTTTTACTAGCTGACTGTAGCCCCAAAATGTCTACATAGCTTATTTTGTATTTCTTTGGGTTTTTTGTTGTTTGTTTGTTTGTTTTTGAGAAAGTCTCTCTCTGTCACCCAGGCTGGAGTGCAGTGGCACAATCATGGCTTACTGTGGCCTCAAACTCCTGGGCTCAATCAATCTTCCCACCTCAGTCTCCCAAGTAGCTGGGACTACAGGTGCATGCCATCATGCCCAGCTAATTTTTGTATTTTTAGTAGAGATAGGGTTTCGCCATGTTGCCCAGGCTGGTCTTGAACTCCTGGGCTCAAGCGATCTTCCCACCATAGCCTCCCAAAGCGCTGGAATACAGACTTGAGCCACGGGCCCAGCTGAATGCGTTAAGAAACATTTTTTATCATTTGTGTCACACTGTACCTATGCTACAACTTGATGTTAGTTTTTTTCCTAGGGTGTAACTATGTTGAGGCTGCAGACTTAGTTTATTTTTACTCCCAGTATATTATTCCATTGTATGACTACATCACAATTAATCTATCTGGTCTGCTGTTTGTTTGTTGAGACGGAGTCTCGCTCAGTCACTCAGGCTGGAGTGCAGTGGCACGATTTCGCTCAATGCAACCTCCACCTCCCAGGTTCAAACAATTCTCCTGTCTCAGCCTCCCAAGTAGCTGGGACTACAGGCACACGCCACCATGCCCGGCTAATTTTTGTATTTTTAGTAGAGACGGGATTTCACCATATTGATCAGGCTGGTCTCAAACTCCTGACCTCAAGTGATCCACCTGCCTTGGCCTCCCAAAGTGCTGGGATTACAGGCATGAGCCACAGTGCCTGGCCTATCTGGACTGCTGTTCATGGATAATTCATTAATTTCTAAATTTTCACAATTATGCGCTGAATGACGAGTGGAGTCATTGAATTGTAGCTATGAGTATCTTCCACTTTCTTACAAGTTGCCAAACTGTTCTCCAAAATCGTTTTACCAGTTCATATCTCCATAGGTATTTGAGGGTCCCAACTGTGCGACATCCTCACCCCCCACCCCCCTATATTGACAGACTCGACTCCGTGCCCATCTGGTGGATGTGTAATGGTGTATCACAGTTCTCTTCATTTGCGTCTCTCACGTGGCCAATAAGGTTGAGCACCTTTTCACATTTTAGGCTATTTTAGCCATTTAGGTTTCCTCTTTTGTGAGTTGCCTGTTGATATCCTTAATCCATATTTAAAAAATTGGATTGTTGGTCAGCCCATTAAACTCCCTCCACCTGGCACACCCACCTCCCTATTTCCACAACCTAACTGATTGCTACTTTTTCCGGGAAACTTGTTCTCTTTCCTCAATTCGAATTTAGAGTTGCCTCTAAATAATCACTGGTGACACCGTACCTTTCTTGTGGCATTTATAATTTCCTGTTCTGTAGTGTTTTAACTTCTTATTTTGCATATCAAACTTTTTAGTTTACAAAAGCACCTGCTCCTTCATTGTCTTATTTGAACATTTATGCAACAGCCCCACGAGATGGGTAGTATTATTACCCTCTTTTCAACCGATAAAGAAACATGGTGTAGGAGGGTCTAGCTAACCCAAGACCCCGCCCTGGCTCAGAGGCAGAGCTGGACTTGAAGCCAGGACAATTCAATTCCACGTGCAGCTCACAGCACAATCCCCTCTTATTTATCTATGCATCAACACCGCCTCCTCCACGAGGTTGCCAGTTCCTTGTCTCTCATCCACCTGTGTGTCTCCCATCCACCTGTGTGTCTCACATCCCCCCGCTCTAGTCCCACACAGTGGGGCAATCAAGATTCTGAATACAGAATTTCTTAACAAAGTATTAATACAATGATCACTTACTGCACACCTACTGGGCACCAGGGGCTTTGCATACATTAACTCTAACCTTCCCAATAACTCTATTTAGGTGAGGACACGGAGGCTTAAGACTTAAAGTCTCTGGAGCAAGAATTGTTTAAAAAAAAAAGAAAGAAAGAAGTGACACACTCAGGCTCCCATGGCCAGTAATGGGTGGAGCTGGCCTGTAGCCTCAGAGGTGAGCACTTCGCTCTATCATCTCTGTCCCCCAGCATCCTGAAGGCAGACCCAGCCAGCTTAGAAGCTAGTGGGAGTGTTCTGCTCCCATCATCAGCCCTACCCGCGTTGGACACACCTTCTCTTGGCAGAACATGGTTAAGTAGCACAATCCTAGGGCCCCTTTGGGACTTGAAAATGTGCTCTCCAGGATTGGGAGATTTTGTGCCATGGGGCTGCTCCCAGGCTTTCCTTCCAGGTTCAGGCAGGTACTCAGCAGTGCTAGGTTCTGCTGAGGCGCCAGGATCCAGAATGGGGCAGTGAGGCAGGTGAGAGCAGGGGGATCAAGGGGCAGAAGGAAGTGAGGAAGGAGGTGAAAGGACTCCTGGATCTCTGCTGAGAAGGTGAGGTGGGGGGCTGCACAGATCATGCTCCAAGGCCAGGAGGCAGAGGGCCCAGAGTGAGCAACTGACAGTGAACAGGGAAGGCTCTGGGGGAAGGTGCTGTCCACTGGCCACACCCATGAAAGCACATATCCCTGTCTGGTGGGGGTGTCTGCAGAGTGGGATGGTAGCCACAGAGGTGGGCGCTGTGGACTGAGGGCAAGGATGGGGGTGGGGTTATTGGTAAGTGTTCTTCCTCCCTTCCCCCAAGAGTGAGTCTGGGTGGGGCCATGTCTGCCTTTCCCCCACAGGGCAGGGTCCCTATGATTGGAGCTCTGCCCACTGACTCCATCTGCCATTCCTATGACTCTGTGCATGTTGTCTTTCATTGTGTGCCCTTTATTTACATGACATGTTGTGCGTGTGGTATATATTTGCGATTGTACCATGTATTTCTGTGCACTGTGTCTCTACGCAATTTGTTGTTTGGGGCTATTTCGGCCATGTAGGTTTCCTCTTTTGTGAATTGCCTTTTGATATCCTTAACCCGTATTTTAAAAATTGCATTGTTAGCCCACTGAATTCCCTCCACCTGGCACACCCACTAACCTATTTCCACAACCTATCTGAATGCCACTTTTTCAGGAAAACTTGTGTCTCTTGCCCGTCTGTGTTGTGACTTTATGTGTTATGTCCGTCTACCTTACATGCATGTTCTGTTGTGTGTCTCTGTTGTGTACAGTGTGTTCCCCCTTGTGTATCTATGCCTATGGCTGGTGTGTACAGTACTTCTCTTTGTGGTGTGTTTGTGTCCTGTACATGCTGTGGTGTGTTCTGACCTGTGTCGGAACAACATGCGTTGTGCACTGTGTGTTGTGTATCTACATTATACTTGTGCTGTGTCTCTGTGCCGAACGCCTGTGCTGTTAGTGCAAGGTGTTGTGTGGCCTGTTTGGGCGTCCTGGGTCTGTGTCTGCGCCAAGGGTCCGCGCCGCCCTGCTGTGTGTCTGTGCCAGGGTCCGCCGGTGCCTGCGCGCAGAGCTGTGTTTCCTCAACAAGTGTGCGAGCGGTCGTGTGCGCCATGAGCGCTGCCTGGCGTCTCCGTGTGCGCCGCGGTGTGGCCGCTCCTCGGCGGGGGGCCCGGGTCCTGGCTAGTGGCCGCGGAGGATGCGCGCCCGCGGGGCGGGCGGGGGCGGGCGGGGGCTGGCGGCGCTGCGGAGCCCGGCGGCCGCGGGCTCCAATGGCGAGGCCGGCGCGGCCCCCGCTAATTACATAAGCGGGACGTCAATAATTCGCGGGAAAACGCGAAAAAGATGGCGCCCCGCGCCCGGGGGGCCCCTTCCTGAGCGCCCCGGCCCCTCCCTCCGCCGCCTCCCCCTCCTCCCCGCGGCGCCCCCGCCCCGCCCCGCCCCCGCCGAGACCCCGACCCCGGCCCCACGGGCGGACACTCGGCCGGGCAGCCGCGGGCCGAGCGCAGCCGCCTCCGCCACCGATGCGCCTGGTGGCCAGACTCCAAGTGGGACCGGCGGACACGCAGCCTCGCGGTGAGTTCTGCGCTGTTGGGCGGACTCCCCGCCACGCTCTCCCCTCCCGGCCCTCATCCCTCTCTTTTCGAAATCTCCCTGAACTTTGGCGGCCCGAACGCCTCCGGGGGGTGAGACTCCTGCGGAGCGGGGCTCTCGGGGGTGGGGACCGGGGGTGCAGGTTACCTGCGGGGCAGAGGGGCCCCACCCGGGTTCCCGAGCCCCGGGGGGCATGGGTGACAGGTCGTTCTTCCTCGCCCCCGATCTTTAATTTTCCTATCGGGGTGGGGGAAGGACAGACGGGCGTTTGGCATTTCGCTCACGTCCGAAGTCAGGCTGCGGCAGGGTTGGGATGGGGGAGGCTTGGCGTCCGAGCGACTGAGGAGAGGAGCGCTGAACCCGAAGGGGGTGCTTCTGCAAGCTTTTTCCCCCCTCCTGAACATCCTTTTTAAAAAGCCAACGGCCGCCCTGGGAGAGGCCCCGGCGCATGAATCATCCTCGCTTCCTGCCCCCGCCCGGCCCCGCGCTCCCGGTGCCGCGGATTTGAACTGGACGCAGACGGGAACCCGCAAACAGGCATTTCTTTGCAAATGGGTTTGAATCAGCCAATCACAGCCCGCGGGGGCCCGCTCCGGGAGGACGGAGGCGGGGGCTGGGGGGGCGCCACCCGGGGGCCCCCGCCCGGCCAGGGTGGAGGCGGGTGCGGCGACCCGGCCGGCTCCTAGAGGCGCAGCGGGAGAGGAAGTGTCAGTTTGTGAACCTGCAGCGGCCCCGGCCTGGCCCCTGGCCGGGCGGGCGGGGACCTCGCAGCGCCGGGCGAGCCAGGTGGCAGGGAGAGGACAGGGATTCAGACCGCATCCCCTGCCCGGGAGCCTGTGCGCTCTGCGCTGGAGAAAAAGGAGATGGGAGTGGGGGTGGAGAAGGTCGTGGCCACGCCACCATCTGGGGAGCCGAGACCCCTGCAGTGCCTGGCTCGCCCCAGGGCCCCGCACATACTTAGCTTCACACACTCCCTGGCACAATGCCGTAGACATCATCCTGCCCAGTCTCACAGGAGTACACACACGCACCACACAGAAACAGGCACTGGACTCTCTCCCTGTGAACAGATAGTCACAACACCAGGTGCCCAGCGCCATGGCCACAAGGAGGAGACCCGAGTAGGCCCGCGGGGAAAGAGAGAGGCTGTGTGTGGCTGTAGTGGAGAGCATGTGGAGGGACTTGGAGCCAGGTGAGCCCAGCAGAAAGGAGGGGGCGTTAGGGACGGCTTTGAGCACCAGTGAGGGCAGTGGGGAGCCCCAGAAAGTTTCTGGAAGGAAATTGGTGGCCCTGCGGAAGAGTCTGGTGGAGAGGCAGGAATGCAGGAACGGCCTGTTTAGCACTGGGTGCTGGTAGTACCGTTCCCCACCCTAGGTGCCTAGTGGAGGTAAGCACAAGGCCCAGGAAACTGTTATTGGGTGAATGAATGAATGAATGAATGGCCCAAGCAAAAGATGAGGCCTGAACTGAGACCAGGGCAGGAGGATGGAAGCTAGAGCTGGAAAGCCAGAAATCATGGCACTTAAAATGGGCCGGCTGTGGCAACTAATTGCTTGGAGGAGTTTGAGATGCATGAAGGCAGTACCACAGGCAGGGAGAGAGAAATCGATGGGTGAACTGCACGTTGAATAGGATGGTGAGAGACAGGCGTGGAGAGGCTGGCATGGGGATGGATGACTTCACTGCTTGGAGCAAATGTGTATCTGGGTGAAAGCATAAGTGGGTTTAAATGTCCCAGAATTGGTTTCCATTAAATCATCTCATAATTGAGAACAGAAGGGGGGATTACAAAAGACAGATGACCCAGTCTACACTAGCTACAAGCCACCCAGTTTTCCTTTCTAGGTGAATTTTCTCTGGACAGATCTCAGGTTAGGGATGGTTGCAGGGGTTGGGGGTAAAAACAAAACCCAACTGCTTGCCTGGAGAAGATCCTCCATCCAGAGCACATGGACTGTGTTTGCTTAAGGAATAAAACCTCAGCCTCCTGAGACAGGGAGTGGTTCAGGCCCGCTGGGTAGGGGACTTTGTTCTGTGTGGGTTGAGAGATCCATTCTCTTTAAAAGGTAGTGTGGTATGGGCCATGGCTCTGCCTTTGGCCCATCAGCCTCTTCTCCTTGCCACACCTGTTTCCCTATCTGTAAGATGTGAATAATAATAATGTCTCCCTCATAGGATGGTCACGAGGAATCAGTGAGATAATAACCAAGTCTGGCTTATAGCACAGGGTACAGAAATGGTGGTTTCCTTCCTTCCCCTGATGGGCTTTCTGAAGCAGGGAAGCAAGAAGCAAAAACCCTGTTCTTTCTCTCCCAGTGTCAGGGGAAGCTGATGGAGAATCGAGCTCTGGATCCAGGGACTCGGGACTCCTATGGTGCCACCAGCCACCTCCCCAACAAGGGGGCCCTGGCGAAGGTCAAGAACAACTTCAAAGACTTGATGTCCAAACTGACGGAGGGCCAGTATGTGCTGTGCCGGTGGACAGATGGCCTGTACTACCTCGGGAAGATCAAGAGGGTAAACCCATCCTCTCTGGCCCCTGTTCTCAGACTCAGAATCTCTCTGCTCATGTTCCAGCCTGGCTGTCAGACCAGGGGGCAGGGGGATTGCTGGAGAATTCCCTTCTTGTCCCTCATGCCCAAAGCTGGTGGTGGGAGGGGCCAGAGCCTGGTCTTGCAGGCACCATCCCTAGGGTCAACATCATCCAACTAGTTCTTTAGAAAAGTGCTCTGAGAGCCTACAAAACAAAAAAGTCAGGTTTGAGAGGATCACAGAGGAGCATCTGACTTGTGCTTCTGTCCTCAACATTCTGACCAAGTTGCCATCCATCGGTCCCTGGCTGTACGACTCCAGGTGACTAGGAGTACACCCTGTCCAGGAACTGCCATCCTTCTTCCCCTTCTAGCCCTGCTTTCTGGAACATACGGAGACAAAAATGGGGGAGGAAGACTATGTTCCAGGTTGGCTTTTCCCCAGCCCTTTCTCACTTGCTCCTTCCTATCTGTACCCCAGGTCAGCAGCTCTAAGCAAAGCTGCCTCGTGACTTTCGAAGATAATTCCAAATACTGGGTCCTATGGAAGGACATACAGCATGGTGAGTTTTCCTAACATTTCGGGTAGCCCCCAACCTCCCCAGGTCTTCTCTCCTCTGCTGCCTTCATTTCTTCCTTCTGTCCTTCCATCTCTTACTCCTGGCATCTGCCCTTGACCATGAACCCCAAGCCCACCTGTGATGATGATCAAATCTGGTTGTATATTGACTTAGGAAGGTACTTAGGACATGAGTCATCCCCTTGAGAATTCATACCCCAGGAGGGAGGATGGGCAGGTGGGGAAGGTAGCTTAGGGAGGTGCTGGGAGGGCCAGGACTGGGCCTCAGGCCTGCGTTTGCTTCCTGGCTGCACTACAGCTGCAGCTGCTCAAAGCTCTGCGTCAGTCTGGGCTAGAAAAGGGGGCGTGCCCAGGTATTCAGAATTGTCAGCTCTAGATGCAAGCACAGTGTCCCTGATTTAACATATGAATAAAACTAATGGAAGCAGCCTTCTCCACGGGGCAAGGAGTTGGGAGGAATGGGAGAAAAACCAATAAAGCAGAGGTGAGCCAGGCAGGGTGAAGATGGACATGCCTGGATGGAGCTAGACCAGCTTTTAGGGCTGAAATGAATCTGGGTTGGGTATCATCCCTGCCTTCAGAAAGCTGACATCTCTCCCTTGCAGAGATGGCAAGTCAGGGCCATCTTTGCCACCATTCTCCCTTCCCATACACACAACAGACATCAGTAGCCATTGACAACACATGTACTTTCAACTTGGAGCCCCAAGCAGCTACTGCCTGTCAATCAGAGTTGGCATAAGAGGAGAAACCTGTTTGCCATTTATACTCTAACAGGAGAAGAGACATGGCCCCTAGCAGGGTAAGAAGCAGATTTTAGGGTCAGGTAGACCTTGGACCAAGTTCCAGCTTTGCCACTTACTAGCTGCATTTGCAGGAGCAAGTAATATGACCTGAGTTTTAGTTTCTTCATGTGAGAGGTGATAGTGAAAGTACTGGCTTCATAGGGTGGTTGGGAGGCTTAGGTAAGCTAATCCATGTAAAATGCTTAGCTCAGTACTATTGGTTTTAGAGAAGCTGTTACTCAAGAATTTGTTACCAGCCAGGCGCAGTGGCTCATACCTGTAATCCCAGCACTTTGGGAGGCCAAGGTGGGTGAATCGCCTGACGTCAGGAGTTTGAGACTGGCCTGACCAACACAGTAAAACCCTGTCTCTACTAAAAATACAGCTACCCGGGAGGCTGAGGCAGGAGGTTGCAGTGAGCTGAGATCACACCACTGCACTCCAGCCTGGGCAACAGAGCGAGACTCTGTCTCAAAAAAAAAAAAAAGAAAAGAAAAAGAAAAAAAAAGAATTTGTTACAATAAGAGATGATTCCAAGAAGCCTGCCAAGAAGAGGCTGCAGAACTCAGCCAGTTAGTAAAGCTTTCGAATTGCCCCCTTCTCCAAGAAATTGTGGCCAGTGCAGACCGATTCCTCTCCAACCCCTGAAATAGTATTATATAAATATCCAAAGCAATGAGGATCTCCTCTCCTGGTTTACCCCCTTATTGAAAGCATAAGGAGCCAGATGGAGAAGACCATGCACCTTAGCTGACCTCCTGTGGAGGCCCACCACATACCAGGCTCCTTGGAGGTACCCACAGTGATCAGCTGAAGAGTGGCTTGTCTCCTAGCCAGAACTGCCCCTTCCGGGCAGAATGGTGACCCTCTAGCATCTCCTGAGATGAGAGCATAAGGCTGAGCACCACTGTAGTTATTGATCCATTGCTTCATTAACCCAGTGAGGACTTACTGAGATGCACTGTGGGCACCACCTTCCTGGGAGCATGTTCAAGAATAGGAGGCAACGTTCCTGCCTGGCCATATATTCAACAAACGTCTTGGAACACCTGTTACATGCCACACTCTATGAGGTCCTGGGGATACAGAGATGAAGAGGTACCATTTCTTTTTTTTTTTTTTTTTTTTTTTTTTTTTTTGAGACAGAGTCTTGCTCTGTCACCCAGGCTGGAGTGCAGTGGCTTGATCTCGGCTCACAGCAACCTCTGCCTCCCAGGTTCAAGTGATTCTTCTGCCTCAGCCTCCTGAGTAGCTGGGACTACAGCCACGTGCCACCACGCCTAGCTAATTTTTGTATTTTTAGTAGAGAGGGGGTGTCACCCTATTGGGCAGGCTGGTCTCGAACTCGTGACCTTGTGATCCGCCCGCCTCGGCCTCCCAAAGTGCTGGGATTACAGGCGTGAGCCACTGCGCCCGGCCGAAGAGATCCCATTTCTACCCTTACAAAATTTTCAGCATGCTGGGGAAATAAGACAAACACGTATCAAAATGTGTTTAATGTATACATACAAACCTTTCACACATAAAAACATATTTATTCTTCAACCAAAATAAAATGCAAAGAAAAAAAGAGATGGAGAGGGGACCTGTAGACTAAAAGCAATTTTAAAAACATCAGCCAGTCACCATGTATGGACTTTACTTGGGGACTTTGATTCAAAAGAACAGACTTAAAATTGTTAAGGTATTTGTACTTAAGAAACAATTGGAAATGAGAACATTAACTGAATTTGTTAATGATATTAAGCAATTATGTTAACTTATAGGTGCAGTAGAGGTGTTTTAATTATGTTTTTTAAAAAGAGTCTTGATCTTTCACAAATACATACTGAAATATTTATGGAAAAACTATTGGGTATCTGGGACTCAATTTAAAATAATTACAGGAAGGAGAAGTAGGTGGGAATATAGTAGAAACGAGATTGGCCATGAGTTCATAAGTGATGAGAAGATGGAGTTTCATTATAACTTCTAGGCTGGGCACAGTGGCTCACGCGTGTAATCCCAGAACTTTGAGAGGCCAAGGCAGGTGGATCACTTGAGGTCAGGAGTTCGAGACCATCCTGGCCAACATGGCAAAAGCCTGTCTCTACTAAAAATGTAAAAAGTAGCTGGGTGTGGTGGCATGCACCTGCAATCTCAGCTACTCGGGAGGCTGAGGCAGGAGAATTGCTTGAACCAGGGAGGCGGAGGTTGCAGTGAGACAAGATCACACCACTGCACTCCAGCCTGGGTGACAGAGACTCCATCTCAACAAAACAAACAAACAAATTATATTATCCCATAATAAAGTTTTAAGAAAATAACAACCATTTAACAAAACAAGTTAAATAAGGCGGGAGAGGCAGCATGATGTGTCAAAAGAACAAAGGGTTTGATGTCAAACAGCCATGGGTTTAATCCCCCCCTCACCTACTTACTAGCTAAGCAAGGGACTTAACCTTTCAGAGCCTCAATTTCCCCATCTTTCGAATGGTAATGATGATAGGCATCTCAGAGTGGTTGGGGAGATTCAGTGAGGTGGCATGTGGGGCCCAGCGCTAGGCCTAGCAGACATTAGAGGCTGGGCATCTGGAATGTGAGTATAAAACTTCCATTCCTGTGAGCTGGACCCGACCCTCGAGGCCCTCTCTTTCAGCCGGTGTTCCAGGAGAGGAGCCCAAGTGCAACATCTGCCTAGGGAAGACATCAGGGCCGCTGAATGAGATCCTCATCTGCGGGAAGTGTGGCCTGGGTGAGTGGAGCGAGCAGGGCCCTGAGAAGGCCCCGACCTATAGGTCCCCACGCACTGGCCCCTGACGGGTACTGCTGCAGCCTGTTGGGGCCTCAGCTGGCTTCCTGTTTCTCTTGGCACTGCAGGGTGAAAGGGGGCCAGTTGCTGTAAGTGAGGGCTTGGGAAGAGATCCTGGGGAAAGCTGGGAGGGTATGATGGTGTATGTAATTTGGGGCCCAGCTAGATGGAGAGGATGGGTGGGAAAGATGGGGCTCAGGCACTGAAGTCAGACCTTCCTGTGTCCCCCCCAACCCCACAACTGGCCAATGCTGTCATTTAGTTCCCAGCCTGGACACTGACTTGGCCATCTTGGTGGGCACCAGCAGCCAGGCTCCCGGCAGCTGGCAGGCAGAGCTCCTAGGACTTCCCTCAGCCCTCCCAGCCCTGCCTCCTTTGGGCCAACTGGCCTTGGGCCACGATGTCCTTGTGGGCGCTCACCGCCCCCTCCTCTGCCGTAGGTTACCACCAGCAGTGCCACATCCCCATAGCGGGCAGTGCTGACCAGCCCCTGCTCACACCTTGGTTCTGCCGACGCTGCATCTTCGCACTGGCTGTGCGGGTGAGCCTTCCATCCTCCCCAGTCCCTGCCTCTCCTGCCTCCTCCAGTGGGGCAGACCAGAGACTCCCATCACAGAGTCTGAGCTCCAAGCAGAAGGGCCACACCTGGGCTTTGGAGACAGATAGCGCCTCTGCCACTGTCCTTGGCCAGGATTTGTAGACTCCCTGAGCCTCAGTTTCCTCAACTGTAAAGTGGAGATGGGTTTGGTGTCGGGAATAACGGGACCAATAAATGATGCTTTACTATTAAAAAAGAAAATCCATGTAAATACATGTTGGTAATTGTTGCCTTTATTGCGCTTATTACTCTTAATTCTGTTATCAACGGAGTTCCTTCTGGGATAGAGGGGATGGGTTTGGAATTAATGAGAAAAAGCTCCTTGCTTTTCTGACTATATTGGAATATCTGCGGGTCCCCCAAGCCCTGGCAGCACTTCCCTCAATAGACAGCCGCGTGCTGACTCGCGTGGTCCACCCGGACCTGGTGGTTGACTGGGGCCCTCGTCTCCCCCCAGAAAGGCGGCGCGCTGAAGAAGGGCGCCATCGCCAGGACGCTGCAGGCCGTGAAGATGGTGCTGTCCTACCAGCCCGAGGAGCTCGAGTGGGACTCGCCCCATCGCACCAACCAGCAGCAATGCTACTGCTACTGCGGCGGGCCCGGAGAGTAAGGCAGGGGGTCAGGGCCCCCCGGGCGGCAGGGCAGGTCTCCAAGAATCGCCAGCAGGGACCGCCCATAGGGAGCGAGCCTGGCGTGTCAGCCAAGGCGGGGACCTTGAGGGCGGGCCCAGTGTGTTGCGCTGTGGGGGCGGGGCCTCGAGGGGCGGGCCTGGAGTGTCAGCCGCGGGGGTGGGGCCTCGGGGGCGGGACTCGGGGAGGGGGGGGTCAGCCGCTGCGGAGGTGGGGCCTCGAGGGGTGGGCCCGGAAGATTGGACCTGAGGGCGGGGCCTCGGGGGGCGGGCCCGGAAGGTTAGACCTTGGGGCGAGGCCTCGGGAGGCGGGCCTGGCGGGTTGCGACCGCCCAAGCAGGGCCCCAGGGAGGTGAGGCAGGTCGAGAAGCACCCTGTGGAGGGGCGGGGTGGGGAGGAGGGAATAGTAAGGCCTCGGGAACAGGACCTGAGGAGGCGAGGCCTCAAGGGGCGGTCCCTGAAGGGAAGGGCTCGGGGTGGGGCCCGAGGGGGCGGGACCTCAAGGGGAGAACAGAAGGCCGGCTCCGCGTGGCATCTAGCACTGTGGAGCAGGGCTGGAGGGCAGAGGTGTTACCTTGGAGCTTTGTAGGAAACGAGGAAGTATTGAAGAGTGGTTAAGAGCCTGGGCCGGACACAGTGCGAATCCTCCCAGGACGTCCACGTCCTAGCTCTGCTCCTTACCAGCTGTGCAACCCCTTAGCCTCAGCTCTCTGAATAGTTTCCCCATCATGTGGTGATTATGAGCAGAGCATGAATTACGTAATTCACATAGAGGTTCTCATAGTGCCTGGCATTTGGTAAACAAAAAAAATGTGAGCTGTTACTGGTGGTAGTGGTGGTACTAATGCATGAAAGTCAAGATAACCTTTTCACAGTCAGAGTCAGTGGAACCGGCTGCTGGTGAGATATGAAGATCCTTTTCCCGCCTGGCGCGGTGGCACACGCCTGTAGTCCCAGCTTCGTAGGAGGCTGAGGTGGGAGGATCACTTGAGCTTGGGAGATGGAGGCTGCAGTGAGCTGTGATCATGCCACTGTACTCCAGCCTGGGCGACAAAGCAGGACGACCCTGTCTCCAAAAATAGAAAAGATTCTTTTCCCTGGAGATGTGCAATCAGGCAGGGGTAGGGGGCCGGGGGGCGGGGCATGCTATGTCGGGGCCACTGTGGAGGGAATTCTTGTCCTGGCTCTGCGGCAAGAGTCTTTGATTCTTCCTTGCCGACCTGGGCCTCTATGTAGCCATGGCAGTTGAGCTTGCTTCTTTGGGCTGAGTGCACGTGGCATTGTGGAAGGAACCACAGATGTAAGAGGGAGGGTCTCTGCCCTCAGGAAGTTCAGCCGTCAGGACCCCCTGAAGTCCTGAATCTCAGCCCCAAGCTCCAGCTGGGTAACTTGGGCAAAGCTTGAACTACTTCATCTCTCAAATGGGCTTAACCTTAACTTCAGGCCCATGAGCTTCCCCAAGTATTGTCAGATGGAGAAATGCTTATGGAAACCTTTCCTGCATTAATGCAGTGTTTCTCAACGCCTATGGGCAGAGTTGCACAGGATGCTTGTTAAAAATGCATCCCAGAGGCTTCCCCAAAGATTGAATAGGTCTGCAGTGGACCAAGGAATCTGCGTTTTAACCTGGAGCTCACCTGACAAGGTGTCAATGAAGCATTGAGCATTTTGCTCTTCATATTCCATGAATAGTTGTTGGATGACCATGATAGGCCAGATACAGTTGCAGGTGAGAAAAGCCAGATGTAGTCTTGCCCCCGTGCAGCTTACAGAAACCATTATTCTCCCGTGAAGTCTCCAAGGCAAACGTTTCCCTGTCAGCAGTGTTTGGGAAGCAGCAAGTCCAGAAATGGTGGCTTCATTGTGGCATGGCAAGGAGAGCACAGCCTCTGAAGTTAGGGAAACCAGAATTTGAATCACCATCCTCCACTTGCCTGTGAGCTAGGGCAAGCCATTTCACCTGTGACTTATCTGTAATATGGGGACAGTGTCCCATCTTTTACCAGGTGGTGAGGTGAAATGAGAGTATATGTCCAACTCTCAGGTCCTCCCTTGGCACAGCCTAAGTGCTCAGTAACTGAATTCTCTTCCCTTTCTGCCAGTGGAGGGCAAATTTAACTTGGGAAAGGTTGCCGAAGCTCATACCTGACTGGGGGTGTGGTCCTGGCTGACCTTGGCTCCTCTGTCTCTCCAGATGGTACCTGCGGATGCTGCAATGTTACCGGTGCAGGCAGTGGTTCCACGAGGCCTGCACCCAGTGCCTCAATGAGCCCATGATGTTTGGAGACCGGTAGGTGCTAATTTGGTCCAAGTGGGCCTTGGGCGTGGTGGGGAGAGGGCAGGGATGGCAGCAACAACTCCTGCAGGTTGACTGCCAGGCTCCAGACAAGAGGAGGTCTGTGACAATGTATGCCTACCTGTTTACTGGAGGCAGCTCAAGGTAGGGGATCCCCTAGCTATGCAGGGCCAGGAGGCAATAAAGAAGTATGCTGGGCCACATCCCTAGTTGCCATTGATTTCTGGAGTACCTTAGATAAATGCCTGCCTTCCCTATGCCCTAGTCTCTTAAGTGTCTGGGGAAGAAGGGATGACACAGTCCTTGCGCCAGCCCTGCCCAGGGTTGCTGTGGGAGTCACTGGGGAAATGGATGGCTTAATGTGGCTTCTAACCGACGGAGCAAAGCTAATGGAGTCCTTATGGATGTCAAACCTGATGTTATGCATCTTTTGGTTGGTGTCTCATGTCATTTGTGATTGCGTGTGTGGCTGTCTCAGAGGGGAAGAGGGTGACCATGGCAGCCCAGCCTAGCTCAGCTCACTCTCTGTGAACTCAGCCACGCTTCAGGGCAAGATTTGGGAAGGAGATTGAGGGCATGGGTTAGAAGGAATATGGGGTATCTCTTAGTCCCTGTCCTGCCCTGTCCTTGACCCCCAGTGGCCAGCAGTCCTAGGAGTGAGAAGATTATGGGAAGGTAGGTGGGGAATGAGGAGATCAAGGGGCTGGACTGGGGTGGGGGTGTCAGAGCCCCTCCCACCATAGGCCCCCGTCTCTACCCACCCACAGGTTTTACCTGTTCTTCTGCTCCGTGTGTAACCAGGGCCCAGAGTACATCGAGAGGCTGCCCCTGCGATGGTGAGAGGGTGGGGCTTAGTCCAACCACCGCTGCTCCTCCCAGCTTCTCCCCTCCCTCCTCCCTCCTGGAACAATTCCATTTCCAGCTACTGGGTCCCAACCCTGCCCCTGTCTCTCAGCCTGGACCCAGAAAGCTGTGACCCTGGCTGAGCAGGCTGCCACCTCACCTGGTCCCACCTCCTTGCCCCCTTGCCCAGGGTGGATGTGGTTCACCTGGCCCTCTATAATCTGGGGGTACAGAGCAAGAAGAAGTACTTTGACTTTGAGGAGATTCTGGCCTTTGTCAACCACCACTGGGAGCTCCTGCAGCTTGGCAAGGTATGTGGGGTTGTGGGATGTCAGTGGCAGGAGGCAGAGAGGTTTGCCCAGGGCCACGCAGTGCAGGACTAGGATGGAAGTCTCTGAACTCTCACCCTTGAGTTGCTGCATCCCTGAGTCCAGGCCTCTGATCTTGTGTCCTTTAAGGGCCTTCCTAATCCCAGATTTTGGCAGTGGGCAGGTTGGGGCCTCCCCAGTTCAGTGGAGGGGAGCTGAGGCCCTAGATCAAGTCTGGCTGGAACACAGCTCTCTGCTGAGTGTTTGACCCACTCCAGATTTCCTGGCTAGGTTGCAACATGGAGTGGGTCTGCCCACTGCTGATCCTATGCTAAATAGTGGGTCACCAAGGGCCTTGGAAGCCTCAGATCCACGGAGTGAAATTACAAACGGAGACTTTCGGAATGTCAGAGTTGCAGAGTGACTTGCCCGTGGTCAGCAGAGCTTTGAGGCTGAGCCAGAGCTGGAGCCAGGGCCTCCCTAATCACTCCCACGGGGGTGCTGTGTCTTCTTTTCCCTAATGACATCCTTAGAATCCTCTCCACCACATACAGAGTGAGGCATCTTCTCTATGGACTGCCCCAAATCTTTCTTTGATGAAAAGGAATTTAAAAAGAATAACCTTTATGCTTTGCAAAATATTTCATGTAATAACATCTTCATTTACAGTATTTGATAATTTTTTTAAAAAAATAGATATTATAAAACCTTAAAAGATACGTAGAGTTGGTTTTTAGTAACTTTTTTCTAATTTTTTTTAATTGTACATATTCGTGGTGGAAAATCTTTAAAGTACCAAAAAGTATAAGGAAGTATACTTTTTAAAAAATCCATATCACGCCACCCAGAAATCACTAGAACTAATGCATGGGTACATTTCCTTTCCGACTCTCTTCTATGTATATCTTTTTCTGTTTTATCGTTTAAATGATACAGTATATACAATTTTAAATAATCTTTTTTTTAGTATACATTATACTTTTCCATATTATTAGAATCTTCATAAAATTTTTTGTTTGTTTGTTTGTTTGAGACGGAGTCTCCCTCTGTCGCCCAGGCTGGAGTGCAGTGGCGCGGTCTCAGCTCACTGCAACCTCCTCCCACTGGGTTCAAGTGATTCTCCTGCCTCCGCCTCCCAAGTAGCTGGGATTATAGGCGCCCGCCAAATTTCATGGCTGCATTGGTTTCTACCATAGTTTACTTGTTTCCTTCCTGTTGGGCAGTTTCTTTCCCATTTGTCCACCATTAGAAACAATGCCACCATTTTTTTTTGTATGTAAAGTTTTGTTCCTATTTCGTGTTATATCTGCAGATATATAGATTCCATGATAGATTCCATGGAGTAGCATTACTGGGTCAAGGGTATGGACTTTTTAAAGCTCTCAATACAGTTAGGTCAGGAAGTATTCTCTCCATTTACAAATGGGAATGAACTTGGAGAGGTGAAAAGGCTTTTCTGAGATCCTGGAGTGAGTCAGTGGTCCTCACCTGAAGGACTCAGAAGCATCAGGAGATGGAAGGGAGGGAGTAGGGGCTTGGGCCTCCCCATGCGCCATATGCCTGGGTCTGATGTCCTGCTGGCCTGCTCTCCCACAGCTCACCAGCACCCCAGTGACAGATCGAGGACCACATCTCCTCAACGCTCTGAACAGTTATAAAAGCCGGTGCGTGCAGGGAGGGGAGGGAGTGTGGTGGGGCCCTCTACAGGTGAGATTCCTTCCTACCTCATAGCCTTTGCTCAGGCTATGCTCCCTGCCTCTCTGATACTCCCCTTCTCTCTGAATCATTTCCATTCTCCGAGATCCAGGGGGTACCCCACCTCCTTTGCACAGCCACTCCAACCACCCCAGCAGCCTGCCGTATTTTGGTACTGGGCTCAGCTCTGTAGGGGGGCTGCACCCCTGCTCTCTGAGGGCCCCTCCGGCTCTAGACATCTAGGCCTTGGGGGCCAGGCACTGAGGGATGGGTGCATCATCTCGGGTGGGCTACATCCTCGGGTGGAAGACATCCCTCAGCCCCTGTCTTCCCATCCAGGGTTCTCAGCACACACAGCTGGCCATGTCCCTCACTACACCACAGAGGCATGCCCAGCCTCCTGAACCTGGCACTCAAGGCCTTTTAAGACCAGGCTGTGCCCGCGTCCTCTGCCGCTGTCCCTTTGCTTTCTGTATTCTGGGTGCCAGCCATCCTGAGTCCTTGGTTTCCTACCTGGCACTTTTACTCATGCTCTGCCCTTTGTCTAGGATGTGCCTCAGTCTTTTTTACTCATTCGTTCCATCAACAAGTATTCATTGAGTTGCTGTTCTATGTCGGGCCTGTCTGGGTGCTGAGGTCATGGTGGGGAATAAAATAAGGTCCTCATCGCTGAAACTCTTCCAGACACCTCTGGGTAGAATTATCCACTCTCTCTTCCACATTCTCATGGTTTAGGGCCCAGACAAAGCTCTGCTCTTCAGTACAAGAGGCCACCTGCCCTCCCAATGGACAGTCCTCTATTGGGAGGGCAGGTGGCCTCTTGTACTAAAGAGGGTAGGGCTGTGTCTAAGTCACTTCTGCAGCCTCAGAGGAGCCCAGCCGGTGTTGCTTTCAGTCTCCTGGGGAAACCAGAGAACAGAATGAAGTAGATTCCAGTATCTTGACCATAGGAGTTCCACTGTAAGCTGGAGGAGGGCTTCCTGCAGGAGGTGGCCTTGGGGCTGGTTGAGGCAAACAAAAGGGAGAAGAGCAGCAAGAACCACACTCATGCAGGAGGAAGCACAGGGAGGAGGCACCAGCCGTGTTCTCAGCTGCTACCTGGAACCCCGCATCCCATGGGCTTTGAGGAAGTCAGCATCTGCAGAGACCATCCGGATTTTAGCTCTGGGTCCAAGGAGGCAGAGAGGCTTGTGTCATGCTTGACCCCACTCCCCAGGAGGATGGACTGACAGACTCCAGAGCTTCTTCCTCCCACTGCCCACCCCCAGGTTCCTCTGCGGCAAGGAGATCAAGAAGAAGAAGTGCATCTTCCGCCTGCGCATCCGCGTCCCACCCAACCCGCCAGGGAAGCTGCTGCCTGACAAAGGACTGCTGCCAAATGAGAACAGCGCCTCCTCTGAGCTGCGTAAGAGAGGAAAGAGCAAGCCTGGGTCAGTGCTCGGGGACCCAGGGGCCAGGGCTGCCGCCAAACTCGGTTTCTCTGCTTCCAAGCAAGCAAGGAGGACCTGCACCCAGCCAGTCCCAGCTGTAGGACCCTGAGAGGGCTAGATAGTGGCTGAGCGGGATCCCAGATCCCAGATCCCCAACTCCTTTCACCACCACAGCCCCCTTATTACCTCGCAAGGAGGAAAAGCCAGATCTGAGGACCCAGCCTTGCTGGATTAGGACTTGGGCAAGGAGGTGAAGGGGAAGGCAGGGTGTGTGAGGGGTCCCTCTCTCTCCTGGCTCAGCTGAGCCCCCTCATCCTGGCACTGGGGGGCAGGGCATCTGGATGCATGTGCCTGGGGAGGCACCTTTTCTTTTTCTGCCCACTATACCTTCTCCACACCTTCCCACCCCTACTGCTCCTGAGGACTCTCCCTCCTCCCCAGGCCTCCCTGTGAAGGTGCAGCTGTGTTCAGAGCCTGTCTCCCCAACTGCTGTGACCCCCGCCCCTGCGGCGCCTCCCTCTGGGCCACCCTAGGGCCCTCAGGCTCTGACGGGGCCACCTTCTCCCTCTTCTGTCTCCACAGTTTGTTGCCTCACGAATTCCAGCAGCAGAAAAGGCGAGTTTATAGAAGAAAAAGATCAAAGTTTTTGCTGGAAGATGCTATTCCCAGTGTTAGTTCCTTGTTTTCTTACTCTCCATTTTCATACGCAGGGTCAGCACATATTAGGGCTTCCTGTGCCGAAAACTAAGTCCCCCAGGCCCAGAGGACTCTCTCATGTCCCTTAAAGAAGCCAGTCCCTATTACAGCTAAGCCAGGCACTCTAAGACCCCTGCTTTATCTCCCCCCAAGTTCTCCCAGGAATCCAAAGTTGGGGGGCAAAGGCAGGTAATATTCTTGTCCCCACTGTCCAGGTAGGGACACTGAGGGAAGGGTGGGGCAGTGACTTTCCTGAGGCCACACATCAAAGTGGCAGAGCCCAGCCTGGAACCAGGGTTCCAGAGCACTTTCTTTCCTCCTTCAGTAACCCCACCACCTCCCTGAAGCCCTCCCTGTGGGCAGTAGTATTAGCAATGCCTCATGTCCCAGCACTTTGCGGTTTAGAAGCATTATTTAATTTTACTGCACTTCCTGACATCTGTAAGAGTGAAGCAAGGCAGGGGTTATTGTCCCCATTTTGCAGTTGAAGTAACTGAGGTCCAGAGACGTGAAGGTCGTACAGTCAGCTAGAGACAAAGGCAGGGCTAGAACTGGGATGACTTTGGCTCCCTGGTCAGGACTTGGAATAAAGGTGATGGTCTTACCCTAGGGAGGGCCCAGCCCTCAGCGGCCCTGGCTGGATAGGAGGCAGCCTGTGTGGGAGGTGGATTTGATACTCGCTGTCTGACCCTTCCTCTCTCCTTCCTGTGTCCACAGAGTGACTTCACCTCAGCCTGGAGCACCAACCACCACCTGGCTAGCATATTTGACTTCACGCTGGATGAAATTCAAAGTTTAAAAAGGTATCAGTGAGGGACCTAGCACAGAGGTCTGCTCTGGAGACAGGGAGGGAACCAAGCAGAAAGCCAAGCCCTCAGTTAAAAGGATCCCTGCTGTGCAGGTCTGTCTGAAGGGGCTTTTTGCAGTAGAGCTTTCAGCATAACATCCCTGTTCCCAGAGCACCACAGCCCTCCCCTCTTCTCCAGCCCTCCCCACCTTGCCCCATGGTTATCCACACTCACCATGCTGTTTGATGCTTGCTCATCTTTGCTCGTATTGCTCCCTCTGCCTGAGATACCCTTTGCCTTGCCCTAGCCCATCTGAAAACTCAGGACCCTGCTTCTTCCAGGAAGGCTTTACTAACCCTCCCCAGGCTGTGCTGGACGCCCTCCTTTGTAGTTCCATAGCACCCCATGCTTAAGTATGTCCAAGGGAGGAACTGCATCTTCCATCATTTTATTTTCCAAATTATTAAAGGTCATTTAGTATTTTCCTGAGGACACAGAGGAGGGCTTTAGAGTCAGACCTGAACTCCAGACCCTGCTTATCAGTACTAGCTATGTAGTTTTACCTAAATCCCTTAACCTCTCTGAACCTCCTCAGCTCTTTTCCTCAAACAAGATAATGCAAATGAAAGCACTTTTGACCTGTGAAGTGTTGCACAGGTGCCTTGGATCACGCTCGAGTTATTGACACCAGTGCTTACGTCACCGCCAGGGGAGGGTGCTCCAGGAGGTTTTTTTGACTTCTTGGACTTTGAAGGGTGGCTGGGTAGGAAACAGACAGGTGTGGTGGTGGGAAGCTCAGCTGTGGGAAGACGGGCCTCCACTGGGATGAAGGATGCATGTTAGGGGAACCTGCGGGCCAGGTTGGCAGGAACTTGCTGGGCCGGGCCACCAGCAGGCTCACGGTCTTGCCCCTCTCAGTGCCAGCTCAGGCCAGACCTTCTTCTCAGATGTCGACTCCACCGACGCTGCCAGCACCTCTGGCTCTGCCTCCACCAGCCTCTCCTATGACTCCAGGTGAGCTTCCTAGAGGTCTGGCCTTCACATTTTGCAAGGACCATCATTCCTCTCAGCCCCTCCACCTCCCACTTCTGTAATGTGTGGCTCATTCTATGTGTCTCAGTCTCTGGCGGGGAGTACCTGGCCTTCTGCAATTGTGAGTCTGGCTCTCGGACCCTCTGGTTCTGAGTCACGGGGCTTTAGATGGGACCTAAGTATAGGCATTCAGCCTCCCGTGGTTCCATCCCTTTGGAATGCTTCACCTGCTGCAGAAGCTTGTACACACCTCTCACTGGACGATTCCAGTTCTGGGGTTGTTGGACCAGAGTTTCTTTCACTTTTGGCCTCCACGTGCCATGAGCTTGGGTGTCTCTCTGCCTCTTGGACTACAGAGTTCCCTGACCTTGATTCTTGGCTGTCTGAATATGGTGCCTGTCTTCCGGGGTCTCTAAGGGAAAGAGCCGTTTATTTAGAAGCCTGACAGAAGATGGCATCCTGCAGGGTGGAAGATTTAGGAGTGGGGACAGAAATCCCTGGGGGCCTATCTCCAGTACAACTGGTCTGGCAACAGCTGGTCCTCAGCAGTACGGGGAGTGGTCGAGCACAGGGCTTTCCTCTGCACTCAAGCTGCACTGTATTTTAAGATACTTGAGGCCCTTGCAAAAGTAGAATTAAAAGTATAATGCCTGGCCAGGCACGGTGGCTCATGCCTGTCATCCTAGCACTTTGGGAGGCCAAGGTGGGCAGATTACCTGAGGTCAGTAGTTCAAGAGCAGCCTGGCCAACATGGTGAAACCCCGCCTCTACTAAAAATACAAAAAAAATTAGCTGGGTGACAGAGTAGGACTCCATCTCAAAAAAAAAAAAAAAAAAAAAGGACAATGGTATAATGCCTGTAGAGGTCTGTCTTGGAGTCTGTGTCTCTTGACATCTGTCTAGGTGTCCTCTGCTGTTGCCTGTTTTTTCTTTCTTCCTGTTTGTTGGTTGGTTTGAGACAGTCTCACTCTGTTGCCCAAATTAGAGTGCAGTGGCATGATCTCAGCTCACTGCAACCTCCGCCTGCCAGGCTCAAGTGATTCTCATGCCTCAGCCTCCGGAGTAGCTGGGACTACAGGCGTGCACCACCATGCCTGGCCTATTTCTTCCTGTTTCTTTGGTTTCACCAGCACTTCAGGTCTTGGTTTCTGTCTCTAAGCATCTGAATCTGTGCCTTGTCCTGTGTGTCTGTGTGTCCATTTCTCTAACACCCGTGTGTGTGTGTGTGTGTGTGTGTGTGTGTGTGTGTGTGTGTGTGTGATGTCTGTCAGTCTCTCCATCCAGGCTCTAGGGTACAGGGTCCTTCAGTCCCTAACCCCCAGCCCTATGTGACCTATCTTGTTCCACCAGTCTGGTGAGAGGCAAGGTGGGATAAGCAGGGCCTCTGCACTGCATGGCCTCAGGAGGCTCAGAGAATGGTGCTCTTGTGCTTTTGCAGTGCCGGGATCCTAGCTCTAAGAGCATATGCTTTGGAGTTGGACGTTCTTACGTTTGAATCCTGGCTCTGCCACTCCCTACCTGGTTTTCTCCTCTGGACCCTCAGTTTCCCTCCTCGCAGGGCTCTTGTGAGGATCTGGTGAGATAATCTATGCCCAAGGCATAGATTATCTCAGGGACTACATAACAGGCACCTTTGAGAGAGCATGGGAGAAGATGGATAAGAGAATGCTGTTCAGCGCTTTTCTCTTCCACTTTCCTGGTACTGAGGGGAGGACTCAGGGAGAGGAATTTACTGTGATTGTTCTACCTCATTCTCATCATCTTCCTCTCCCACTTCTGATACAGATGGACAGTGGGCAGCCGAAAGAGGAAGCTGGCAGCCAAGGCATACATGCCCCTGCGGGCAAAGCGGTGGGCAGCTGAGCTGGATGGACGCTGCCCCTCGGACAGCAGTGCAGAGGGGGCTTCAGTCCCCGAGCGGCCAGACGAAGGCATTGACAGCCACACATTTGAGAGCATCAGTGAAGATGACTCATCCCTGTCCCACCTCAAGTCATCTATCACCAACTACTTTGGTGCAGCTGGGCGGTTGGCCTGTGGGGAGAAGTACCAGGTGTTGGCTCGGAGGGTCACACCTGAGGGCAAGGTTCAGTACCTGGTGGAGTGGGAAGGGACCACCCCTTACTGACTAGCCCCCGGGGGTGCCAGGGGTCCTGAAAACCAAAGGAGGAGCAGCAGAAGCCATAGGCTCCCCAGCTTTCTCCAGGCTGGGGTGGGAGAAGGAAGCAGGACAGAGCTGCAAGTGCCTGGCAGAATGCCCTGCCTGCCTGCCTGCCAGGCCAAGGCCTGCGTCTCTCTGCTGTACCAGCTCTGTTCCAGGGCCTCCTCAGGCTCGTTACCCCTGTGCCTGTGTCTCTACACACTCCACACCCCCTCAAACTCTGTTTATCTGTTCTCTGACCTTGTGTCCCCTGCGCTGGGACCCTTCCTCCTGAGGCCCAGGTCTTTGTCCCCAGTTGTGTGCCTTGACCTCTCTCGCCCCTTTCTGGGTGTGTTCGCACATCCTGTGTGTGCACAGCTGTCCCTCCACTGGATCCCCTTCACACGTGACCCGTGGGGCAGCCAGTCCTCCCAGGGACTACATAACAGGCACCTTTGAGAGAGCATGGGAGAAGGTGGATAAGAGGATGCTGCTCAGTGCTTTTCTCTTCCACTTTCCTGCCACTCCCCACTACCCTCGGAGAGAGGTGGTGGGATGGGAGAGAGCCCCTGTGAAAGCCTGTGAGGATCTGAAGAGTAAAGGGCTGGGTCTGCCTCAGAAGGCACCAGCACCAGGGCCCAGGTATTAAGGCTGAGAGTGAAGGCTGCCAATGTCAGCTTTGGAGGTCCCAGAAGTCTTCTGTTCTCTGGCCTCACCCCCTCAGTCGCCATAGAGCTGGGCCTGGCCTTGCTGGAATGGAGGCATCCTTCCAAACCTGGGGGACGGGGGTGGGGGGTGGTAGTGGTGGGAGGGAAACCATGTCTTGCTAAACCTGTTTCTGGTGCCTCCCATCCCCAGACCCACCAGACACCACACAGCAGACAATACACACCCACTCGCACAAGCTTCCATCCACATGTGTTGTACTTTCAGCTCTAGGCATGCAGACAACCCCACACGGCCACACCACCACATGCCCAAGTGTACACACACAGAGCCACACCGTCCCTCTGGGCCTGCTGGCTCCTCCCTTGGCTTTCCCTTGGCCCACTTCCAGGGCCCAGGTGCTGCAACTAAATGTGAAAGCTCAGTGGCCGCTCCTTCTTTCAGCCCATCAACCAGCATTGGTCCCATAGGGAAGCACAGGGGACTCACCCTCTTTCATATCCCTTGCCCTGCCCTGAAATGGACAATCACTTTTTGGGATAGGTTGAAATTTTTAAAGAGCCTGCATCATTTGGTTCCCTCAAAGGGAAGCCCTTGCCAGTGGGGGTTTGAAAGAGAATTTTTGGAACCAACATTCAAATTCTGCCTCATCTGGAGGGAAACCAAAATTGGGAGGGGGAAGAGGACCCCTGATGTTTTGCTGCTTCCAGAGATATTAGAAACTGACTCACTTGATTGGAAAATGGACAAAAGTGCCTTGACGTGGAGGGTGGGCACCAGATGGGGACCAGCCTTGCCAACTGCTGCTGTGGCCTCCAGCTTGGCTGGTTTTGCAGGCCGCCAGCAGGAAGGCGAAGGTGGTAGTACAGCAAGAGGCACTGGCGGGGCAGCAGGCCTGCAGGAGCTGTTTTTCCATTGCTAGGCCTGACCCCTCTCTACCTGTGAGCGTTCAGGGGGTCCCTGAGATAGTTTAGATGCCCCCCCATCTTAGACCTCAGCTCCCACAGTGCCTTTTAAGGGGGACCTCACCTCCTGTGCACAGCCCACCCACTTTCCTCTGCTTCCCTGGCACAGCCCAGGCATAGACGAGCTGGCGTTGGACCCAGTTCTTCCCCCTTTTCAGCCCCACAGCTGCTGCCACAGGGGCCAACTAGGGCCAGGTGGAAGGGGAGCTGAGAAGCCAACCCCTAGCCCAGGGGTGCTGTGGGAACTGGGATCCAATTTGTAGCTTCCTGCCTGGCTTCAGAGAGCCCAGCAACCTTCTAGGCCTGCTTTCCAGACTTCTGAGATAGCCTGGGATGAGCAATCCTGTTATAGTACATCTGGACCTTCCCTACCTGGGCTCTGGGGAGGCTGTGGGCCTGGAGAGGGAAAAGGAGGGAGGGGGTGTCTGCACCACCTGGGAAGATAGCACAAGGCCTAATGAGGTCACCCTGACTCCCCACCCCAGCATTTCATTCATACCAGATAATAGCTGCATTACTGCCAACTGACCTTATAACCCTCTGCACCTTCAAAAAGATTCATGGTTTTTAATTGCTGCTTTTAATAACATTTGTTAAAGTTATAATTAATGTGTCTGATTTATGATTTAAAACCTCCCTTTGAACAATCACTTGTCTTCCCTATAGTGAATTAGCTGCTGGGTGGCAGAAGGAATTGGCTCTGGCTTTTGCACTTGGTTTACTGGAGGCTGAGGAGGAATGGCAGGACCCTGTCCTCTGGCCACCTTGCCACTCCTACCACTGCCAGCAACATTCTCACCCTTACTGCCAGAGAGAATATGGAATCTTTTGTGAGTACCCGACCTTTGGGGGCAAAAAACATTAGTTGAGTGCCACTGAGAGGTAAAAGATGGAAAATGAACTTAGAAATTGACACTATTATAATACTTAGATCCGGGCATCGTAAAACTTTATCAGTACATCATCACACAATTCTAGAAATATGAAATGAGTTCTAGACCTGACTCTGCTAGTTCTAACCTGTGCCACTTTAGTCAGATTCCTTTCCTTCAGTTTTATCACCCTTCAAATGGCAGTGATAATCCCAGCACATCTGCTCCCCATGTGTTGGGAGAGACTTTGCTGTGTGTGACTGATTATTACTTCAAAATAAACCTCTAAATTTAGGGCAGTTTGGAGAGGAAAAAAACAGGAGATGTAAAGGGGTAGGAAAAAGGTCATCTATAGAGAGGTAAAGGCCATGGATTCCACTGAATTCTACAGTTTGAGGGGTAAAGTGTAACCTGTAATCCCGAATGAAGGACTCAGTGGTGTTAATATCTGCCCTTAAACGTCTTCATTCACTATGGCTCCCACTTCTTTCTACCACTCCATCAGCTTCAACCTTTTATCTGTCCTCAGAATAAAACCACAATGGGACTTGGGGGTGGTGGTGGTTATTCTCTGGGCTATAATTAATGGAATGGAATGAAAAGTGGCACCAGGTGTCAAAAGACCTGGGTTCTAGTGCAAGGTCTGCAATAAGCAGCTATATGGACCCTCCTAAGATCAGTGGGCCTCCCAGGCTAGAGAGTGCCTGCTTTTCTGTAGTCTAGTGTTTCCAAATTCACAACAAACATTTACCTTCGGAAATTAGGGACAAAGAAGTAGAATTCTCAGAAATCCCCCAAATTATAAGTTATTCTTCAAATACTTCATTCTTTATACTGTTTTCCTCATTATTATAGGTATCTGGAAAAACTTTGTTTGCTAAGTAGACATATTAAGCTTATTTTTACTTACAAAGAACTGTAGCGTACAGAGAATATTTAAAAGACAGGAAGATGCCAGGGAACATATATTGGATAGTGTTCAAATAAATATAACATTTGAATAGCCTAGAGCAAGGTAAACAGAATATAGAATCAATCGTGTCCAGACTGTTAACTTATTTTGCTTCCAAAGTTTATTTCTCGGAACACCATAAGATTTGTATAAAGTATGGTAGGTTGTTTATCAAATCATTTTGTTTGCAAGAACTCACCATTAGCAGCTGATATGGCCAGATATACAGATGTAATGGCATCACAACAACCAAAAATAGGGCTAATGAGATGGTGACCGTTTCTCTCTGCTATGCTCCTGTCTCAGTTCTTGTAGCCTTCAACTCGGTACGTTAATATTTGATGAAGTTGGATTCTTTCAAACTAGTGATGTCTCCATAATGGTAAGTGTTACTATTCACAGAATAATTACAATACTTCTCATTTCCTCAACTGATTTTTCTAGGGATTATGGATTCAAAAAACATACATTTCCTAAGAAATACTGGGAGGGAATTCCCACATGGAAACACTGGTCTGTGTCCTAGCCCTAGCCTCTGCAGCATCATTCTGGGATGACAGTTTGTAATAGTGACCAAAACATGTAAGTTGGAGTTAAGGCAGATCCTAGAGATCAGTGAACTCCTGCAGATCTGTGGTGAGTAGTAAACAATATATATATATATATATATTTTAGACAGAGTCTCGCTTTGTTGCCAGGCTGTAGTGCAGTAGCATGATCTTGGCTCACTGCAACCTCTGCCTCCTGGGTTCAAGCAATTCTCCTGCCTCAGCCTCCCAGGTAGCTGGGACTAGAGGCATGCGCCACCACACCCAGCTAATTTTTGTACTTTTAGTAGAGACGGGGTTTCACCATGTTGGTCAGGATGGTCTCAATCTTTTGACCTAATGATCCGCCTGCCTCGGCCTCCCAAAATGCTGGGATTACAGGTGTGAACCACCGTGCCTGGGAAACAATACATTTTTAAGTGCCAGACCAACTTACCACATAGATGTTTTAAAAACTAACAACTTCATTGTTGGCTACGGCAGCTTCTCTGGATCTACAGCCTACAAAGAACTGACTGAACCTCTGAATGAAAGAGTGAGAGCATTAGGTTTAGAATCAGAGTTGGGTTCACATCCTAACTCTGCAATGTACTTTATGTGTTACATGTTCTTTGGTCTCAGGTTTCATCTGTAAAATGAGGATAACATTGCATTATAAGGATTAAATAATGTTAAGAACCTAGGACAATGCGTGGCAGAAACGGCCCTCTCCCCTCCCATTTCCTATAACAGTCAACCTTGACACCAGGGAAGAGGAAGGCCACCAAGAGCTTTCTGGTAACAGAAAACCACTCAATGAAGGCCACACACAGAACACTCTCCTTTGGAATTCATCTCACTTTAAGAATATTCAAGGAAAAAAGTTGAATTTTGCCAATTCATAAATCAAAAGTGAGTATGTACTGTAGAGAGAGCTTTAGTTATTTAAATACTTAAAACATCAATTTGCCAAACAGGTGCAAGAGATTAAATAGATTCAGACATGCCCCTATCCTCAAGTAGCTTACAAGCTAGGAATACAAAGCTGACTGTGATGCACAAAGATGACAGGAATACCACGAAAGAAGAGATTCCTGCCAACCACGGAAGCCAGGCCATACAAAGGAGCAACAACATTTCACAGGCATTCATGCAGAAGGGCATTCCAGGCAGAGGGGATGGCATGAACATAGCAATAACATCACACAGTATAGTGCAGCCATCCATTTCCCAGCGTGGGAGAGGAGATGGAGGGGATGATGACGGAAAAGGTGAGCTGAAGCAAGGTTATAAAAACCAGAGCTAGAAATTGGACTTTATCCTGGAAGCAATACAGGCAGTCCATCTTGGGTCCCCAGTACATTTTAGGTAGGGTTTACTTTACACAGATTTGCATATATATCAGAACATGATCTGTTGTAAAAAGCAGGGACATCACCATTATCATTCTCTTTGTTCTTCTGAGTCAGTCCCTCAAAATCTCCATTGGAATCCTCTGGAATTTTCCGAAGGCCCCAGCCTAAAGTCCCTACAAGATCTTTGCAAAGGACTCTCAGAGATCCTCTTCCATTTGGTATTTGGGAGCACAAAGATCCAAGTAGTACAGTAGTTATCAGCACTACAGCCTGCACTACCCACTTTCTGGATCTCTGTGCAGTTCAGTTCCCTGAATAATCTATAAAATGAAAACAGGCTCAGAGGAGTGGTTTACAAACCTTTAACAAAGAAAGCTTTTTAAAAATCCCCATGCAGGCAGTCTCCAAGGCACCTATTGTCAACCCCTGGGGCTCTGTGAAGCAAACCTGAAAGACACGGGTCTGTCCGATTCCCGGGGCTGTTTCTGTGCTCAAGTGAAAAGATTAGTTGGGTGGGCTCAGAATCTACATCTTCATGGACAAAGCACCAGAATGATCTGATGTCTGTCATTCAGGCTAGGGAAGAGCCAAGACTTACTCCCAACCCATGAGGCTGTGCCAAAGTCCTAATATTCCCTGAGTCATACACAGGCTCATGGAGCCCATTCCTAGTCCCACCTCCTCAGAATTCAGGACCAACAAAATCCTCTTTAGCAAGGAGAAATAATCCTGCTGATCCACGAAATGCCACAATTAGCAATTTATCCTTTTGCTAAAGCACTTGCGAGTCCCCATAGGAGGAGGCATTCATCCCACACTCTTCCAGGTAAACAAGGTCATGAGGGCCACTCCTCCCCATGAGAAGCAGCAGAGCAATTACATCCTAGGCACCTGAGGCAGGCCTACTGACTCAAGAAGATGGCAAGTCTCATCTTCACTGCTTCTTCCCCTCAGTCTGTACATATAACCATCCTCATGCCCTTGTGCCTGCTTAGCCCCCTTAACCATGAAGCACTCAGAGACAAGTTACACTGTGTTCTTGCTTGGCCTGACTGGCCCAGCCTTTTCTTCCAGCTTTAGGAGCCTCAGACCTTCAGCCTCTACAGGCCATTTAGCTCCTCTGTGCTGACAGGAACATGAAATCCAGAGATGCTGGGAGGTAGAAGGCAGCCTCCTCTTCCCCAGAGTGCAGCTGATGGAGGCTGGAGGCAGCCGCTGGAGGTAGCCAGCAGCATGCACAAAAAGCTTTCCCCACTCAGTCCTCTTCCATGCCTTCCTGAAGCCACTTTAAATACTGCACATCTCCTTAATCCACAGGGAGACTGAAGATCTCTGGGATTTCAAAAGGATGTACAGCCTTTGGAGAGAAAGCAAAGCCCTATAAGTGACTATGATTAGAATCAACTCGTGATAAAACCCAACTGGCCAGCCTCAAGGGAGGCCCTCTGCAACCTGCCGCACCCCACCTGTCCAGGCCCACGGCCTGTCACTCCCTAGCCTATGTTTCCCATCTGTCAATAAGTGGCCAGTTAGGCCAGATAGCTTTAGAGTCTCACAGACATGGGTTCAAATTCTAACTTTGCCCCTACTAGCTGTCTGACTATGGACAAGTCACTTAGTTTTCTTTAAATGCTCCTATTTTTAAAAAAAAAAAAAAGGCCCTACATGACTGGACTGCTGAGGATTAATTAACACAAGGTATACAAAGCACTTACCCAGTATACCAGCTGGCACTGTATGCATTCATTACATGTGAGCTACTCTTTTTATTATTATCCTATACACATCACTTCCCAAAACAATCCCCCCTCCCCCAGTATCTCTGTATTCTTTTGCCCACCTAGATTCCACCTGCTCCTGCTGATCAATCAAAAGCCTATTCTTGCTTAAAAAAAAAAAAACTTCTCTGTCCCTCAAGGTCCAATTCAACCACTGACCTTTCCCAAGGGATCTTCCCTGACAAACAAGGTCTACAGGAATCTATCTTCCTCTCCTGTGTCTTTCGCCTGGCCCTTGTCACACAGTGCAAGTTCTCTTCACTTTCTAGACTGAAGGAACATGAGGACTTGGGCCTCAGTGTCCCATCTGTCAAATGAGGATTATAATCCTCTGCCTCCTTTCTGCTGAATGAGGTGTTTTAAAGTTCCCGTAACATGCTTAATAAATCACAGCATATGTATACATTCACATGTTGCTTCAAATGTATGCTTAAATATTCTGTACGTTGGGTGCCTGAGGATAATGAATTTTGTTAACTTATGTGTTTTTATAAGCAGACATACAGAATTCAAAGACATTTTTAACACATTAGGAATAAGAGCTGAGACTGATAAAGCATTTCATGTACAGGTTTCACATATTAATTTCCATATGCATAACAACCCATTAGTATAATCCCAATTTTACAGAAGGGGCAACTGAGGCACATAAAATATTCATATTTTCCAAGCACTATGGAACAGTGGCAGGTGGGGAGCCAGGTTTCAAGGTAGGAGGTCCAACTCTCTTAACCCTGAAGCTGTCCCTCACCAGTTAAATTTTAATTTCTCCACAGTACTGGCTCTACCAATGGTTCCTTACTCTCTCACCTCTGCTGAGGTGGTATCATGAGGGCCTCCTCTAGAGCTAGTTTGAGACCCAGGGGAACGGTGTATTCACAGAATCTTAGTTCCCTAAGGAGTAAAGAAAAGGTTTCATCATCCATATAGGTGGTTTGCATCTCTGGCCCTACGTTAGAGTCAACCTCAGAAGGTTCAGGTGACCACGTTAGAGTCATCTAAAAAGAAAGGTGCTTTTTAGTACCACTATACTTGATCCCCGCCCTGGCCAAATTAAGTCGAAATCTGTGAGGTGGGGCCTAAATTGGTAGTTTGAAAAATGTTTCCAAGTGATGCTAATACATAGCAGCCAGCGGTGAGAAACACTGGTTTAGACCAGTGCTTCTCAAGATTTAATGTGCACAGAAATCCCCTGGGGGTCTTGTTAAACTATAATTTGATTCGGTAGGTCTGGGGTGAGCAGGAGATTCTACAGTTCTTGAAAGCTCCCAGGTGATGCCAATTCCAAAAATTCCACTTCTGAATGATAAAGGTTTATACTAGAGGTTCTCAAAGTGAAGGTCCACTGACCCATGGGGATCTCCAGGACTCTAGGGGGTCCATGGGGTCAAAACTACTTTCATAACAATATTATTTTATTATTTATCCTTTTACTATGTTGACATTTGCACTAATGGTTAAAAAAAAAAAAAAGAAAAGAAAAGAAAAAACAAACAACAGGCTGGGTGTGGTGGCTCATGCCTATATCCCAGCACTGTAGGAGGGCGAGGCAGGTGGATCACTTGAGTCCAGGAGTTGAAGACCAGCCTGGCCAACATAGCAAAACTCTGTCTCTACCAAAAAATAAAGACAAAAAAAATAATAAGCCGGGCATGGTGGCGGGCACCTGTAATCCCAACTACTTGGGAGGCTGAAACAGGAGAATCGCTTTAACCCGGGACACAGAGGCTGTAGTGAGCTGAGATCATGCCGCTGCATTCCAGCCTGGACAACAGAGTGAGACTCCGTCTCAAAAAAAAAAGAAAAAAAAAAAGACTCCCTACACTCACATCCTCACTAACAGGATGTTAGTGGCTTCTATTTTTCCCTCCCAAAAGTACCTGGAGAAGGGAACAAAACCAAATTATGATGCTCCTAAGAGGAGCTCAGTGAAGTGTCAAACCTGGCCCACCTAAGTGACCTACTGAGGAGAAAACTTTAAAATCTTTCCAAGCCTATATAAACAAGTCTAGAGTTGACCAAGGCCTCACATGTCATCTGGTCCAACGATTCCAATGCATGCATCTGGCATTTGCCTGAACATTCCTGGAGGTGGGAGGTTCATCATCTCTTGATGAAGTCCATCTAACTTAAAGGTTTTCACAAGATGCTTTTTCTTATAGTGTGCCAACATCTGCCACCTAGCTTTTTCCCCAACTGGCCTCATCAAGAACCACCCCAGGACAGCCCTGCAGAAACTCCTATGTCTTCTCTGCTTGAGCTCTTCCAGTGCTCATCCTACACACTAGTGCTATTTTGATCACTGACTTTCCAAGGAGAGTGCCCATAAATGAATAACTAAAAACACGGAAGACTGCAGGGAAGAAGTAAGCCTTATAGTTATGGAAACTTTTAGATGCTGAAAACAAAGTCAGAAATGATGATCAGAAGACAGTATAAGAACACCATCAGGGGAAAGGAAAGACATTTACCCTGAGAAGATCAACAAGGGCAAATCTAAGATGACCAAGGCCACTGGCCCTTCCTGTGTCACAGGACTGTGGCAAAATAATACATCACGAGAAAGGATGGGCATATAAAGGAAATAGTAGGATGAAATTCTATTCAATTTCCCAACACTGGTTCCCAGACTGGCTAAATGTGACTTATCTATACAAGTCTTTAAAAATTCAGAGACCTGGGCCCCATCCTCAGGGCGACTAATTGAATAGATTGAGGCTGGAGTTCAGGGATAGACCGCATGGCCAAATTTGGGAACTATGACTACAGATGGTGTGAGCCACTGAGGAAATAACATCACTGGGGAGAAAAAGGTAGCTTTCATTATATAGCTTATATGACCTTGAGAATGTATATTATGTCTCTCTCTTTTGAGGGTGTAAGGGAGAGAGGGAAGGAAATGAGAAACATGATCATCAGGGAAAGGAAGACGTACGACAAATCCTGCACAGCTAGTGCCAGGATGCTAAAGTATTGTGATGAGGGAAATGGTGCAGACCAGGCTTCTAAAGTGAAGTTGTTAATGAAATGAAAGGTAGACAATACGCAGAAGCAGCCTGTCATATATGCTAAACTGTCTGTTTTCTGGAGAATCCAAAAGCATTGGAAACTGTTTTCTCTGATATCCCTAGTTGGTTTACTCAAGGATAAAATGCCCAGACTTCCTTCCTAACAGCAGGCTAATTGATTTAACCAAAGAATGTGCAAACAAGATATACTGTTCCTAAATTATGCAGTTTTTCCTTCCTTCTCTATACAGTCTATTTTTGCTTTTGTTGGACAACATCCCACTGATCGATCGATCTCTGAATAAAAACACTGAAATGGACTGTTGATTATCTAAATGCCTTTGAGTTATTCTGACAATTCCTTTAATTCAGTGTTCTTTACACCAGCCAGGACCTGACCCTAGCACTCCCCACACTCCCCCCACTCCCCCTCCAATGGCAACAGCAAAACTCACAGTGAAGATGCCTTGAGTAGGATGTTCACAGAGGCAGCCAGCTCCTTATCCAGCATGGCCCTGAAGCAAAGGCACAGGGTGGCAGTTACTGGAGCAAGTCCTGGGGTCTCAAGAAAGGGGAAGGGGATGGGGTTCCAGGGACTTACCCAGGAAACCTGACTCTAAGTAGACAGGCTTTTAGCATTCCCTCCCCTTACATCCTCCCTGCTCAAACCAGCACATTCCATAACTATCAGGCACAAAACCTCTGAAGATAAGCTGTTTGTAAGTCCTTCTCTGGGTGAGGAGAGAAGCAGGGAAGCACCTATGGGAAGGCAGTTTGAATAACAGGCCCAGTCTGCTTAGAGAATGGGAGTTAACACTGAACCAAAAATAAGAAGACCTAGGTTCCATTCCCCGTCCTGCAGTAACATGGCTGTGTGATCTTAAGTTCCTTCTTTCATTCTAGTAAGAAGTATTCAAGCACCTACTCTGAGATAGGCCCTTTCCCACCTCTCAACTTGAATCTCCTATTGGTACAAGAGGATTGGTTTAGCTGGTGGTTTCCAACCTTTTTCACTACCGAGAACTTCTTTTATTATGCCACCTTCTGCTGTTAACTCTCAGAGATGCATCTGGTTGATGGGTGCTTTGATTTGTAGATACCCATGTGACCGCACAGAGCTGATACAACTCCAAAGCAAAAGCAAAAAAAGAATCATATCCTGTGTTCATTTTGGCAAATACAAGCTCTTTTCACTTGTTATTAAAGGTTTCTACCACAGCCCTAACAGCATAGTCATCTCCTTTACAGACCTCTAAGATTTTTTGACTGACTCCAGGCTGAAATGCCTTGTCAGATGTTGTTTGTGTGTGTGTTTTAGAGACAGAGTCTTGCTCTGTCACCCAGGCTGGAGTGCAGAGGCACAATCTTAGCTCACTACAGCCTCGAACTCCTGGGCTCATGCAATCCTCCCACTTTAGTGTCCCAAGTAGCTAGGACTACAAGCATGCACCACCATGCCTGGCTAACCTAAAAAAAATTTTTTTTTACAGATGGGGTCTCATTTTCTGGCCCAGGCTGGTCCCAAACTCCTGGCCTCAAGTGATCCCCCTAACTCAGCGTCCCAAAGTGCTGGGATTACAAGTATGAGCCACTGCGCCTGGCCCAGATCACCTTTAATATTATACTGGATTTCAATCTCAGTCTGATTGCTGTGCATAGAATTGGTGAACACAATAAATTGTGTCTGAACTAGTACACGTGTCATAGAAATAGGAGCACCATCAGTGCAAGGAAGAAGTGTTCCCAACCATCCAAACTGCAAGCCCTCAGAGTGTAGCAGGCCCTGACAAATCTTCCTCAGATCTCTGACAGCCAAAGGTCTCCATTCCATGAAGTGCTTGGACCCTGCCAAACAAACCTTATCTGAGCCCTGCTCCCTGCTCTCTCCTTCCCTCAGCTGCTGCCAAGAGAATTGACCTACTCTGTCTTCCCTCAGGTTGAACACTGCTGAATTTAAGGGCTCCATACTAATGTGACATTACCGCCACCATCATCGTTCCTTTGGAAAGTTCCAAGAGGTAAATAAGTTCCTGACTGTGAAGAGTGACACATGGCATGAATCTGCTTTTGCAATTGCTGCCAGTCTTACTCAGTCACCCACTGAGAAATTATATTTTAGTGGTTCTGGAGGTGGCATGCAAACACAGGCAGAGTTACACCTCTAGAAAAAAGAATCCCATTGTCTCACAGGCCTTTCCCAGTCTCTTTGAGAGTGTAGACTCCTTGGGGACTGATCACAGCAACCTGAAAGATTACAGAACTGTTGAGCATTTGGTTATTCAAAAAGCCCATAGGGCTATAGAGTTGACTGAATGTAATTTTAAATCACACACACACACACACAAAACCAGCAGTGAGTCATCCATGGGGTGCCCAGGTTCTAGGAAAGCAGAAGACAGATGTGTAGAGCTACTAGGATCTCTAAAAACTGCAGCCATCACAGAATACTGGCTCACAAACCAGATGCATAGATCAGCTCTCACAGCATTTTTTTTAAATTCTTGATTTTGTTAACAAAATTTCCTTTTTTTTTTTAGTCAGAAAAAAAAAATTTCTTTTTTTGTCTCTCTGTCAACCAGGCTCCCCTCAGACTCAGATTCTGTATCCATCACCTTCACCTAAATGACATCCTCTTCTTCATGTCTTCCTTCTCTTTCTTCAAGTCCTTTGCTTTATTTTGAAGGTTCTTTTGCATCTCTTCATAGGTATAAGCAATTTATTGAAACCTTTTTTAAAAGTCAGGCTTCAATCCAGGAAAGGATCCATATGAATTGTAGCATCAGACAGCATTCAATTTCCTCTGCAAAGACTTCTTCCTATGGAAATAGACTCTCAGTGATGACCAAAGACAGAAACTTGAGTAGCTCATTAATTTCACTTTCCCTAATATCAATAAATCTTAAACCCACCTGTTTTGCAGACACTAAGATTTTTTTTAACTTCTTCATTAGCTCTAGGGAAATATGCATCATTCACACATCCTCCCACAGTTTCCAGCAAGCTTAAGAGTGGCTGATTTTATATCACCCATCACCTCTTTTATCACTACCAAAGCATCGGCAATATTGTACTGTTGCCATGCTTCTTTCAGAGTAAGGTGAGGGTTTTTTCAATACAGTCAGCAAAGTGGTCAAACATATGCTTGATTATGTTCAAATGCTTCAGTTATACCCTGACCCAAGGGCTGAAGAAAGCTAGGGCCTTCCTGAGGGAGAAACACAGTATCAACATTAGAATGAACAAAGAATAATGAATCTGGGTGATTGGGACCTCTGTCCACAGTTAGCAACATTCTGATTTCCAGATTTTTTTTGTTAAATGACTTCGGATTTGATGGATAAAAAAATTGTAAAACTAATCCAAAAAGTGGCAGTGGTGATTCTGGGTGTGATTACAAGAAAACAGGAAGGCGTTTATCTCTAAAAGACAAGTGGGGTGTTAGAGTCTTTGTAAAGCAGCAGTGGTTTTATCATTTTGTCACCTGAGGCACTGCCACAAAAAAATGAGGGAAATCCTGTCCTTAGCTTCCTCTAAGCTTTCCAGATTTTTGTCTTTTGCCCCAAAAGTAGGAAGGCATGCACTGCAAAAGATGGGTCATCTCCTTGGCGTTGAAGACCTGTTGAGGCACAAAGCCTCTCTCCAGTTGCTTGGAATACTCGATACCCACTCAGGATTTAAGGGTCCTTCCTCCCCATCAACTTCGTATGTTGCAAAACAGCAGCGATTTTTAAAGTTCTCAAACCATCCCTTGCTCGCATGATACTTATTTGGGTTGTCCTCCCCAGATGTTTCCCATTGGTTCCCTGTAGATGTATTTGGCCTGGTTGCAGAGGGCCTTCCGGGTCAGATGCCGCCCTCTGTCATCTGGCCTTCCACCTAAAAGGTTAACTGGGTCTCCACCTTCACGATGTTTACATTACAGGGGAATACACAGCAGCTTAGAGCAGATGGGCGACCAACTCTCCACGCTGGTCTTTCTTGGTTTCCTGAGGGTAGTGGAGGACAAGAGGGGAAAGCAGGGTCTTGCTCTGTCGCCCAGGCTGGAGTGCAGTGGCACAATCACCGCTCACTGAAGCCTCGACCTCCTAGACTTAGGGGACCCTCCCGCTTCAGCCTCCCGAGTAGCTGGGACTACAGGTGCGTGCCACCACACCGCACTAATTTTTTTCCTTTTTTTTTTTTTTTCTTTTTGGTAGAGACGGGTTTCTCACTATGTTGCCCAGGCTGGTCTCGAACTCCCGGGCTCAAGCGATCCTCCCGCCGCGGCCTCCCAAAGCGCTGGGATTACAGGTACGGCCACTGCGACCAGCTGCTTCTCCTTGGTGGACTGATCAACACCAACAAGGCGGCGCACGTCCCTATTACTCACGCCTTCGTCAGGCTCCTGGAGAATATTCATCCAGTCTTCCAGAGGCATGACGCTCCGCCTCCTCTTGACAGGTGGCTGGCCCAGGATCAAGATTCCCCTCCAGGCCACCGCTCCACCTGGGGAGGCCTCAGCCGCGGCCGTAGCCGCGGTGGCCTCCATAACGGCTGCAGTCGTCCCCGCCTAGAGCCTGGTTTTGGAGCCTCGAGGACGCCGACGAGGCTGTTTAACTTCCCGTGAGTCCCCACCCTCGCCGCTCCGCTGGCCGGGAATTTGGCAAGGCTTTGCCCTACGCGGTAAACACGTAAGCCTACTGGCCTCCGCATTTCCCTGAGCAGCGACCTAGATGACGCCAGACTGAGGGAGCCGCAACCACTGGCTACAGTTGACACGGCCCTAACGGAGGCTTCTCGCGAGGCTTGGCAGCCCCATAGCCATCTCAGGGACAAGGAGGCTGTGATCAGATCTCGCGAGGTTCAGGAAAGCGCCCCGGGAACTGGGCCGCTGGGCCAGCCCCTGCGTCGGGGGGCAAGATGGCAGCCCAGGCTTTGGCGCTGCTGAGAGAGGTAGCGAGGCTGGAAGCGCCGCTGGAGGAGCTACGCGCGCTTCACTCCGTGCTGCAGGCAGTGCCGCTCAACGAGCTTCGCCAGCAAGCGGCGGAGCTGCGCCTCGGCCCGCTCTTCTCCCTGCTTAACGAGAACCATAGGTGAGAGGACCCCGGGGGCTTGAGCCGAGGAGAGGGGCACCCCTAAATATGGACATGAGAGTGGTTGAGGGCAAGAACAGCGCTTTTCCCAGTCACAGGGGAGGTGGAAAGTAGCCGAAATTTGCAGAGAAGGAAGGATCCTGGGTTCAGAGGCAGGAGATGGGGTTCAGGTTCAGCCTCTGAGAGTGCCCCAGGGTGTTTTCTCCCGTCGCCTGGCCTCGCTGCCTCTGAGCAGTGAGGCACTGCCTTCTTCATCAAATAGAAATTAAAGGAGGAAAGCAAAGCTGTCCACTTACAAGGAGCATTCCACATCTCTTTGTACAGGTTCTTGATTTGTTTCCCCTTCTAAAAGGATCCTATCCTGGCAATGTGGCAAGAACCATCAGCATTTTAAATTCACATGCTTTTTCATCCAGTCATTCTTGTTAAAAAAATTTAATGCAAGTATACGCGCACAAAATGTGCAGTTACTTTGTTCTTTCGAACCCGAGGCTGGAATCGCCCCAAAAGCAGCGGCAAGAGAGTTCCCACGAGGGAGTGCTTCAAACCTTCCCGAGATGTGGCTGGTTGGGATGACAGAAAAAGAAGCACTGAATGCCAAGGCGATCAGTCCAAAAGCGTTTAGGGGGAAACCTGCAGAGGGCTGCAGAAATTGTCAAGACGGACACCGGGAGAAAGGTGTTCCTGGGTATGTCCGCAGTGAGGGGGTCAGGGTATGGAGTTCAGATGAGAGTTTAAAGGAATTTGGCTCAGGGTTGAGGCCAGTTTCTTCCAGTGTTTTGGGCAACAACCTAGGTACCTTTATCAGGCCTGTGAATGTTCAAGGCCCCTGGTTTATGGTCAAGCCTGCTAGGGAAACCTGCCGCTGGCTAGGTCAGAGAGCAATCAAGGCACTCTGATTTTCCATCAGGACAGAGAAAGAAAGGGGGCGACTGGAGGACCCTACAACATTATATGCAAGAATATAACATATCGTGTGTGGCACCAGAACACTAGAAACAATCTAAATATCCGTTAACAGAGGATTCCAAATTATGCGCTATTACTCTGTAACACTGTGCAGTTATTTAAGTTATTGAGGTAGATGTATATATATGTATGTGGACATGGAAAGATCTCTGTGTTTTGTTTTGTTTTGTTTTGTTTGTTTGTTTGTTTTCAGACGAGTCTCGCTCTGTCTCCCAGGTTGGAGTGCAGTGGCGCGATCTCGGCTCACTGCAACCTCCGCCTCCCTGATTCACGCCATTCTCCTGCCTCAGCCTGCCGAGTACCTGGGACTACAGGCGCCCGCCACCACGCCCGGCTAATTTTTTGTATTTTTAGTAGAGACGGGGTTTCACCATGTTAGCCAGGATGGTCTCGATCTACGGACCTCGTGATCCGCCCGCCTCGGCCTCCCAAAGTGCTGGGATTACAGGCGTGAGCCACTGCGCCCGGCCAATCTCTGTGTTGTTGAATGAAAAAGAAAATCGCAGGGTATATCAATCTATAATTTTAACCTGTAATTTTTAAAAAGGATTACAATCTTCCCAACCCCCACAGGCATGTAAAACTTGTATAACATTGCAAATATCTGCAAAGGTACACCAGAAACTATTAATAGGGAAGTGGGTCTGAAAATAGTAGGACAACTTTTATTTTTGATTTTTTACACATCCGTAGTGTTTGATTAAAAACACTTTGTAGGCCCGGTGCAGTGGCTCACGCCTGTATTCCCAACACTTTGGGAGGCTGAGGCGGGCAGATCACCAGGTCAAGAGATCGAGACCATCCTGGCCAACATGGTGAAACTCCGTCTCTACTAAAAATACAAAAGTTAGGCCAGGCACGGTGGCTCACGCCTGTAATCCCAGCACTTTGGGAGGCCGAGGCGGGTGGATCACAAGGTCAAGAGTTCGAGACCAACCCGGCCAACATAGTGAAACCCTGTCTCTACTAAAAATACAAAAATTAGCCGGGCATGGTGGCACGTGCCTGTAGTCCCAGCTACTCTGGAGGCTGAGGCAGGAGAATCTCTTGAACCTGGGAGGCAGAGGTTGCGGTGAGACGAGATCGCTCCACTGCACTTCAGCCTGGGCAACAGAGTGAGATTCCGTCTCAAAAAAAAAAAAAAAAAAGCAAAAATTAGCTGGGCTTGGTAGCGCACACCTGTAGTCCCAGCTAGTTGGGAGGCTGAGGCAGGACAATCACTTGAACCTGAGAGGTGGAGGTTGCAGTGAGCCAAGATTGCACCACTGCACTCCAGCCTGGCAACACAGTGAGACTCCATCTCAAGATAATAATAATAATATAATAATAATAATAAAAACACTTTGTAGACCGGGAGCAGTGGCTCACACGTGTAATCCTAACACTTTGGGAGGCTGAGGCGGGTGGATCGCTTGAGCTTTGGAGTTTGAGACCAGCCTGAGCAACATGGTGAAACCCTGTCTCTACAAAACAAAACAAAAAATTAACTGGGCGTGCGTGCCTATAGTCCCAGCTACTTAGAGGGCTGAGGGGGAGGATCCCTTGAGCCCAGGAGGCAGAGGTTGCAGTGAGCCAAGATTGCACCACTGCACTCCAGCCTGGGTGACAGAGTGAGGCCCTTTTTTTTTTTTTTTTTTTTTTGAGACGGGTTCTCGTTCTGTTGCCCAGGCTGGAGTGCAGTGGCAGGATGTAAGCTCACTGTAACCTCGCCTCCCAGGTTGAAGCAATTCTCCTGCCTCAGCCTCCTGAGTAGCTGGGACTATAGGCACGTGCCACCACCACAACGCCCAGCTAATTTTTTGTGTTTTTAATAGAGATGCAGTTTCACCATGTTGGCCAGGCTGGTGTCGAACTCCTGACCTCAAGTGATCTGCCTTGCCTGCCTCGGCCTCCCAAAGTGCTGGGATTACAGGCATGAGCCACTGCGCCCAGCCAAGACTCTGTCTAAAAAAAAAAAAAAAAAAAAAAAGATTAAAAAAACATTTTATAATTCTTACCTGGATTCTGGGGAAAAAAAGGAAAAAAAAACCACTTTGTATTTGATAATTTGATCATTTAAAAGAGTTTTGAAATGTTTGTGATCAAAGACTTTCAAGTGACCTTACTACTTGAAAAGATTATGAACCACTGAATCAACAGTGGATGATTTCAGAGCGCTTTCTTGGCTCTGACCTTCTAAGATTCCTTCCTTTTCTGTAAGTGTTCTCCATTCATGATGTCTATCAGTTAACATTATTTGGGTCTGCCTATGAAATGTCTCTTATTTGTCTCCTCTTTAATTCAAGCCCTCATTTTTTCCCTATTGCTAGGTCTGTAGTGTTAGTCTGACTTCTCCTTACCTCTGAAATTCCTTTTCTAGCAAATTCCTTTTCTAGCAAATTCCTTCCCACCTTGTAACCCCAGTGAGCATACATCTCGAGTCAGCTGGTGCTAATCTTTTCCGTGGTTTCCCATTGCCTGTAGTGAGTTTTTAGAATGCCATTTGGGCCCTTTACAGTATATTTCCATCCTACTTTTCCAACCTCACTTTTTTCCTCCACTCCACTTCTTTTCATCTGCTCCAGCTACCATGTGGCACCCTTATTTTTCCTTAAGCCTGACTTGCACTTTCCTAACTTTACTCATACCAGCCTTTCTAACTGAAATACTTTGCTGTCTGTCCATATTCTGTCCATCCTTTTAGGCCCACTAAAGAGCCATCTCCTCCAAAATATTTTTCTCAATTATTCCAGTTGCAAATGACTGCTCCTTAGATCTGCTAAAGGACATTATTGTTATTTCTGTTAATGATAATTGACACTATTACCTATGTTATAGTTCTCTGTGTGTCTATTTCCAGTTTGTAAATTCTTTGAAGGCAGTGACCGCATTTTGTTCATGTCTGCATCCCTCTTAGGGCCCAGCACATAATGCAGTATACGCCCAATTAAATTTGAGACTCACAGAGTTTAGAGTGGCCACCTTGTCCAACCTCTCCTATTAGAGATGAAGAGACTTCCAGAGGTCATACCGCAAGTTGACAGCAGAGATGCAGTAGGAACTGAAGTGAGGCAGAATTTGAGGATTCAGGTCCATGGGGAAGATAGTTTGCTGAATGAAGGAGCAGTGCTTTAGGGAACAATTTTAATGGAATTTAAAGACAGAATAATTCAGAACTGGATACATAGTAGATACCAACTGCACCTTGTGGGAATAATTCTCTGGATAGTATCTGGCAGTCTTCAGATACTTTGCTGTTATCCTGGCTAAACCACATAAGTTGTTGTGTGTTGGTTCACAATCTGATCTTGCAGATGTAAGTTAGAATCTTGACAGTTTTTTTTGAGAGAGTTTAAGTCCTAAGATTACTGCTTTAGAACATGAAAATCAAACAAGACTAATTTTAAGCATTAACTCTTTGGCTCGTTGGCAAAGAAGGGTCACATAGGATCTGAAATTTGTGCACTGTGCAGTTTAACGTACCACTACTTTTTTTTAAACAGCTTTCAAAGGTATAATTTATATACAATGAACTGCACTTAATAAAACGTACAAGTTGGCAAGTTTTGACATATGTATATACCCATGAAACCATCGCCACAATTAAGATAGTGAATGTATCTTTCACTCCCAGAGGCTCCCTCATACCCCTTGCTAATCTCTCCCTGTTTCAACCAGTCAACCACTGATCTGCTTTCTCTCACTGTAGATGAACTTGCCCTTTATTTTGGCCAGACATGGGGGGAAGGGATCATACAAATGGAGTCATACATTATGTATTCTTTTGTTTGGTTTCCTTCACATAGCATAGTTATTTTGAGATTTATCTATGTGGCATGAATAAATAGTTCATTCCTTTTTATTGTTGAGTGTAAGTCCATTGTATGAATGTACTACAGTTTTTTATCCATTCCCCTGTTGGTGAACATTTGAGATTTGAATTGTTTTCTGTTTGGAGATATTACAAATGACAGTGCCGTGAGCATTCATGTACAAGTCTTTACATAAAAATATTCTTTCTTTTCTCTTTGAGTAAATAGCTAGGAATGAAATGGCTAGATGGTATGGTAGGTGTATATTTAACTTTTTAAGCAACTGGCAAACTGTTTTCCAAAGTGGTTATAGTATTTTACATTTCTACCAGCAGTGTATGAGAGTAGATCATAGACCTAAATATAAAACCTAAAACTACAAAACTTCTAGAAGAAAACAGGAAAAAAAAATGTATGACTTTGAGTTAAACAGACTTCTTTAATATGACACCAAAAGCATGATCTATACAAGAATAAATTGAGCTGGGTGTGGTGGCTCATGCCTGTGGTCCCAGCTATTCAGGAGGCTGAGGTGGAGGCTACAGTGACCTGTGATTGCTCCACTACACCAGCCTGGGTGACAGAGAGAGCTTGTCTAAAAAAAAGAACAAAGTGATACAAAGTAGAATTAATCAAAATTAAACATTCGGTTCTTCAGGCTAGGTGGTGGCTAACGCCTGTAATCCCAGCACTTTGGAAGGCTGAGGTGGGCGGATCATGAGGTCAGGAGTTTCAGACCAGCCTGACCAACATGGTGAAACCCTGTCTCTACTAAAAATACAAAAATTGGCTGGGCGCGGTGGCTAACGCCTGTAATCCCAGCATTTTGGGAGGCCAAGGTGGGCAGATCACGAGGTCAGGAGATAGAGACCATCCTGGCTAACACAGTGAAACCCCATCTCTACTAAAAATACCAAAAATTAGCCAGGCATAGTGGCAGGCACCTGTAGTCCCAGCTACTCGGGAGGCTGAGGCAGGAGAATCGCTTGAACCTGGGAGGCAGAGGTTGCAGTGAGCCAAGATCGCACCACTGCACTCTAGCCTGGGCAACAGAGTGAGACTCAGTCTCAAAAAAAAAAAAAAAAATCGGTTCTTCGAAGGTTACATACAGTTAAGAGAATGAAAAGAAAAGTCACAAATGGAGAAAAATCTTTGTGAAGAATATATCTGATAAAAGACTTCTTTTCAGAATATGTAAGGAGCTTTCAAAACTAAATAGCAAGAAAATAAATAACCCAATTAAAACATGGGCCAAAGATTTGAACAAGAAGTACAGATGGGGCCAGGCATGGTGGCTCACACCTGTAATCCCAGCACTTTGGGAGGCCAAGGCAGGTGGATCACCTGAGGTCAGGAATTCGAGGCCAGCCTGGCCAACCTGGTGAAACCCCATCTCTACTAAAAATACAAAAATTAGCTGGGCTTGGTGGCAGACACCTGTGATCCCAGCTACTCGGGAGGCTGAGGCAGGAGAATCACTTGAACCCAGGAGGTGGAGGTTGCAGTGAGCCAAGATCACGCCATCGCACTCCAGCCTGGGCAACAGAGCGAGACTCCATCTCAAAAAAAAAAAAAAAAAGTACAGATGATAAATATGCACGTAGAAAGATATTCAACATTAAATAGGGAAATACAAATTAAAATTACAGTGAGATTCTACTGCACACTATTAGATTGGCTAAAATTTTAAAAGGCACAGAAGCAATGCAACCCACATGTGCAACCAAAGTGTCTATGAAGGGATGAATGGATAAACAAAATGGGGTATATACATATGATGGGATATTGTACATCTTGCCTCAAAAAGAAAGGAAATTCTGACAGATGAACTTTGAAGACGTTGTGCTAAATGAAATAAACCAGACACAAAAGGATAAATGTTGTATGCTTTTACTTACATACCTAGAGTAGTCAAATCTAGAGAGACAGAAAGTGGAATGGTGGTTGCCAGGTGCTTGGGGAGGGGAGAATAGGGAGTGTTCAATGGATGCAGAGTTTCTGGTTGGGAAGAGGAAAATGTTCTGGAGATGGACGATGGTGATGGCTGGACAACAAAGTGAATGTACTTATTCCCACAGAACTGTGCGTTTAAGAGTGGTTAAAATGGTAAATTTTACCTGTAATCACATTTTTTTTTTAAAAGGAAAAGAAAACCATACTTGTAAGTATCCTCATTCCTCCTCTTCCCCGTTCCTCCAGCCTCTGGCAACCAGGAATCTACTTTATTTTATTTTATTTTTTTTTTTTGAGACAGAGTTTCGTTCTTGTCGCCTAGGCTGGAGTGCGATGGCGCTATCTCGACTCACTGCAACTGCCGCCTCCTGGGTTCAAGCGATTCTCCTGCCTCAGCCTCCTGAAGTAGGTGGGATTACAGGCGCCCACTACCACACCCAGCTAATTTTTTTTGTATTTTTAGTTGAGATGGGGTTTCACCATGTTGGCCAGTCTGGTCTTGAACTCCTGACCTCAGGTGACCCACCTGCTATGGCCTCCCAAAGTGCTGGGATTACAGGCGTGAGTCACCGAGCCTAGCGGAATCTACTTTCTATATGGATTCGTCTATTCTGGACATTTCATATAAACAGAATCATTCTCAAAAGGAAGCCTTTTGTGTCTGGCTTATTTCACTTAGCATAATATTTTAAAGGTTTATTCATATTGTGATATGTATCATTACTTCATTGCTTTTTATGGCTGAATAATATTCATTATATGCACATAACACATGTTTATCCTTTCATCACTTGGTGGACATTTGGATTGTTTCCACTGCTGTGAACATTTGTGTACAAGTTTTGTGAAAATAGCATGTTTTCAATTATCTTTGGTATAAAAACATTCTTAATACTACCTTAGGTTCAATTATGCAAAGTGAAATTCCTGAATTAAAAGAGTATGTTCATTTTTAAGGCTTTTCATTTGTATCATGTAGTTACCTACCCAAAAGGTTGTATCAGTTGAATTGTGTACTACTACTAACAATATATTAGCCCATTTATTTGTAGTGTCTATTAAGAGACAAGAAAATTGTTCTGAAAACATCTTCTGTATCTACCACTGGTAGTCATCAGTTTCTCTTACATAGTTCTTCCCTCTTCTCTCTATCCTCACTGCTGCTCCCCTGGTTTACTCCTTCATCACCTCTCACCATTTACTGCCTTGTAATTGAAAATTCTTCCCCTAACACTGGTGCAGAGTGAATTCTATAAGTCAGATCTCGTCATTTTACTTCTTTAAGACCACTTATGGCCTGCCATTGATTTTCTGGAAGAAGTCTAAATTCCAAGCATGACATAAAATACCTGTTAGAATCTGGCTTCTGTGCATCTTTTCAGTTTCAGTTCTTGTCCTTCACCTCACCCTTTTACCTTCTCACCACCTCTCTCCCATTCTGACCCCAATCATACCAAACTACTTGTTCCTTGAAAGTATAATACTATGTCTTATTCCTCTCTGCCTTTTCATGTGCTGCTACTCCCTCTACCTAGAACACTTTTCTTCTGGATAACTCCTACTTTTTCTTAAAATTTAGTTTAGATGTTACCCTTCTGGGAAGCCTTCCCTGTACCCTCTGTTCTTTTTTAAGCTCCTATAGTTTCTAGTCTTAGCCCATAGCGTTTATTTATCTGGATTACAGTTGCCTTTTTTTTCTGTATCTTTCATTGTATTGAGCTCCTTAAGACTAGAGAATATATCGGGCCAGGCACGGTGTCTCACACCTGTAATCCCAGCACTTTGGGAGGCTGAGGTGGGAGAATCACAAGGTCAGGAGATCGAGATCATCATGGCTAACACAGTGAAACCCCCGTCTCTGCTAAAAATACAAAAAGTTAGCCGGGTGTGGTGGCATGCACCTGTAGTCCCAGCTACTCGGGAGGCTGAGGCAGGGGAATTGTTTGAACCCAGGAGGCGGAGGTTGCAGTGAGCAGAGATCGTGCCACTGTACTCCAGCCTGGGCAACAGAGCGAGACTCTGTCTCAAAAAAAAAAAAAAAAAAAAAAGGCCAGGTGCGGTGGCCCAAGCCTGTAATCCCAGCATTTTGGGAGGCCGAGGCAGGTGGATCACCTGAGGTCAGGAGTTCGAGACCAGCCTGGCCAACATGGTGAAACCTCGTCTCTAAAAATACAAAAATTATCCCAGCATGGTGGCAGGCCCCTGTAATCCCAGCTACTCGGGAGGCTGAGGCAGGAGAATTGCTTGAACCTGGGAGGTGGAGGTTGCAGTGAGCCAAGATCAGGCCATTGCACTCCAGCCTGGGCGACAGAGCAAAACTCCACCTCAAAAAAAAAAAAAAAAAAAAAAAAGAAGACTAGAGTGCATATCTTATTCTTCTCTGTTGCCCCAGCACAGGCAATGCGCATAATAGGTACTTAGCAAATGTTTAGTAGGTGAGTGAAAGCTGCTGTTTCAAAAAGAAGTCTGTGTGGAGGAGACGCTGACGCAAGCTTCAGCTATTATTAGGTTGTTACTTCCTACCTGGGCAGGATATGAACTAATAAGATTTATGATGTCTCCTTCAGGGAAAAGACTACTTTGTGTGTATCCATTCTGGAGAGATTGCTCCAAGCTATGGAACCGGTTCACGTGGCCCGGAACCTCAGGGTTGACCTGCAGAGGGGACTAATTCACCCTGATGATTCTGTAAAAATCCTCACTCTTTCCCAGGTATGAAATTCTACTAGGAACCGACATTGACCACCTGCTCTGGGCCAGGTTCTGCACTGGGACAGAAAGATGAAGAAAGCACAGTATTTCTCTCTCTCCTTCCCTCTTCCTTCTCCCCCTCTCCTCTGCTCCCTCTTTCCCCCTAGGAAATGTGTGGTCTATTCCAATGTGCATAGCTAACTATAACCTGGGAGATACAAGCTAAAGAAAGAAGTTCCATTAAGTACCATCTAAATCATTCATTAATCAGATACTGACTGAGTTCCTTTTACATGCCAGGCATGGTGCCATATGCTGTTAGAGTTACCAAGATAAACAAAACTGATTACTTTCCTTCAAGGAGCTCCTAGTGTAAAGAAAAAGATTCCTATGTGTTCAAATAGCTCTCTGCCATTTTAGATTCTTTACACTGGATGAACCAAATGCTATTGTAAAGGTCACTAAACCAACAATTAAGACAGTAACTCTTATCATCCTGGTAACCAAAGCATCCTTGCTATTTGAGTGAAGAGCTGCTGCTAAGGATTATCTTGTTGAAATGTTAGGAGCTAAACAGTTACTCAGTAGATACTGAACTACTGTTTTTCCTTTTCTGTGTTTATTCAGCAAAAAAGGGCGCTGGGCACAGTGGCTCACGCCTGTAATCCCAGCACTTTGGGAAGCCAAGGCAGGCGGATCACCTGAGGTCAGGAGTTCAAGACCAGCCTGGCCAACATGGTGAAACCCTGTCTCTACACAAATACAGAAATTAGCTGGGCATGATGGCAGGTGCCTGTAATCCCAGCTACTCAGGAGCCTGAGGTGGGAGAATCGTTTGAACCCAGGAGGCAGAGGTTGTAGTGAGCTGAGATCGCGCCACTGCACTCCAGCCTGGGCGAAAGAGTGAGACTCCATCTCAAAAAAAAAAAAAAAAAAAAAGGTTGGGGGAAAGGGGGAAGATATCAGTTTATTCACTGGCCATTTATATGCCAGACACTGTAGCAGGTGCTTTGCCTGTTCGGTCTCATTTAATCTTCGTAACTATCCTGGAATTAAATATTGTGTTCCCATTTTACGGATAAGAAATGGGGCTAAAATTTGTGCAAGGTCAGTGTAGCTAAACATAGAGCTGGGTTTGTATTGTTTTCACTCACTGAACTATCTTACCTCTTTACCCACTTTCTTTTTTCTTTCCTTTCAAAGATGTGACTATACCATATGTGTGTTTGACTGAATGAATTTAGGTCATTTTGATTTTTTAATGAATTGATATATAGCTGTGATCACTAACTCCTAAAATAACTGTGCACTAAGGAAATTGGACCATCGTGTGTTTACCGTATGTTGCCCTACTTTAGAAGAGTGTTTCTGATTGTTTTTCTTTCAGATTGGAAGAATTGTTGAAAATTCTGATGCTGTTACTGAGATTCTAAATAATGCTGAATTACTAAAACAAATTGTTTATTGCATTGGTGGAGAGAATCTATCTGTAGCAAAAGCGGTGAGTCTACTAGAATCATTGACTTAAATGTGCAGAGACATCGGTGTCCCAAAAGATAAAGAAAGGCCTTCTGAATTGAGAGGTGAAGGTTTAGAATGGATGATTTGCGTAATGGAATTTACAACTTCATATGGATTGTGTAAAATAAATGGTTGTCAAGTAAATACTAGTAAACCCCTTTCATTTTCTAGGATATACATATCTACAGTATCCATCATAATTCTATGGGGGATACCTTGCGTCTTTTCCAATTATAAATAATAGCTAAAACATGGGCAAGGTGCATTCCATGCACTATTTTTACATCACTCTTATGAAGTAGATAATAACCTGCATTTTGGGAATGTAAGAGATATTTTCTTTCGTTATAAGGCTATCAAATCCCTGTCAAGAATATCACTAACCCAAGCTGGACTGGAGGCTTTATTTGAAAGCAATCTGCTGGATGATTTGAAAAGTGTAATGAAAACAAATGACATTGTTCGATACAGGGTGTATGAGGTAAGATAAAAAGCACACTTTCTCATGCTTACAAAGCAGAATGCAGTTTGGCTTATGCTGAAAAGCAAGATGGCTCATTAAGTATATAATCTGTGTTTGGCCCTACAGTAGGTGCTGGGAATATAAGGATGCATTCCCAGCCTAGTATGTGAGACAGTCATAAAAAATACTTACAGCCCAGCTCTATGGGAGGCAAGGGCAGGAGGACCCCTTGAGGCCAGGAGTTTCAGACCAGCCTGGGCAACATAGTGAGACCCCATCTCTACAACGATTTTAAAAATTAGCTGTGCATGGTGGTATGTGCATGTCGTCCCAGCTACTCAGGAGGTTGAAGTGGGAGGATCAACTGAGCCCAGAAAGTTGAAGCAGCAGTGAGCCGTGGTTGCACTACTGCACTCCAGCCTGGCCAACAGAGCAAGACCCTTTTTATATATATATATATATTTACAGTGCAATATAATTACTATGATAGAGAAGATATTGAAACCAGACTTGAAAAAATTTGTAGTAGTAATAAGAAATGGCCCTTATTTGTACCAGCTTTGTACTAAGCACTATGCTAAAATACTCACATATATTATCTTTAATTCTTACAGTAAACTTTGTATGTTGTTATCATTAACCTCATATTGATGGAGCAATTGATCCAAGACCACACAGTTAATAGGGTGCATGTTTGAAATAGAATCCTCTATAGTCTAATTCCATCTTCAGAACACTTTCTTACTTTGCATGTCATGATACCATACTATGCTGCTTTTCCTTCTACCTCTCAGTTTCTTCTCAGCCTCCTGGCTCATTATCCTCCGTTGAATCTTTAATTGTTGGAGTTGATGAAAACAGAGTTCCAAGCCCTGCTTTCACGGTACTCTACTCATTCCTAGGCAGTTTTACTCACTTATGATTTCACTTCCCATCAGTGATGATGCCTCTCAGATGTAAACTTCCAACTGAGACCTTTCTTCTGAGCTCGAACCTTCATGCTCAACTGCTTACTCACTCTTGGCCCCTTGGGTATATTCTAGGCCACTCAAACTCATGCTGAAATCAAATTCCTGATCTTCCTTATCCACCCTATCCCCCTAATAAAAAATAAGACAACAAACTGGCTGTGTCTCACAGTCTGCTTAGTTGGGTATTAGACCTTGGCTCATTCTGAGGCCTGTTTTCCTTGCCACATATCCATTCGGTCATCATATTTTGTTGATTTTATTTAAACCCCTGCATTTCTCTTCATTAGTACAGCTTCTACCACCCTAGACTAACTTACTGGTGTCACTCACCTGGGCTACTATATTTGCATCCAAACTGGTCTCCACTCATCCATTTTTATCATCCCTAGTCTATCTTCTCATGCAGTCAGAATGGTCTTTTAAAAGTCCAAATCTGATTGTGTCATTTCTCTGCTTAAAACCCTTCAGTGTCTTCCTATATCTCTCAGTAAGACCTCAGAACATACTTGCTGAATGAGTGAGTGAATGACTGACTGACTGACTGACAGGATGCCTGAATGAGTGAATGGTTTTATAATCTGTTTGTTGTGGCTGATTCAGGCTTTTGTACCCTGATTGATGATTGCTTGGGCGGGAAAGTGCTGATACACCTAGATATAATGGAACATTTCTGTGCCAAGGTGGCAGGGCATGGTGGCTCATGCCTGTAATCTCAACACTTCAGGAGGCCAGGGCGGGCAGATCACTTGAGGGCAGGAGTTCAAGACAAGCCTGGCCAACATAGCAAAACCCCATCGCTACTAAAAATACAAAACAATTAGCCAGGTGTGGTGGTGCATGCCTGTAATCCCAGCTACTGGGGAGGCTGAGGCACGAGAATCGCTTGAACTCAAGAGGCAGAGGTTGCAGTGAGCTGAGATCACGCCACTGCACTCCAGCCTAGGTGACAGAGTGAGACTCTGTCTCAAAAATAATAATAATAATAATCTGTGCCAAAGTAATTTCTTATGCGTTCACTGAAGTTTTTCTACTTAAAGAGACAAATAATGGATTTTTTAAAACTCATTTATAAAAAGTACCTAGTCCTACATTTAACTTAAAATGAGATCTATCAGGCGTAGGGCTGATTTGACCTTTTTCTTTTTTCTGTGTTTTTTTTTTTATTTCAGCTAATTATAGAGATTTCTTCCGTGTCACCAGAATCTTTAAACTACTGTACCACAAGTGGATTGGTAACCCAGCTCCTGAGAGAGCTGACTGGTGAGGATGTGTTGGTCAGGTGTGTTGACTGAGTTCTTAAAGTGAAATATCCTCTTTTGAAGGGCTGGGAAACAACCTTGGGACATCTGTGATTTTCTCTATTAGAGACTTTGCCCAGGTTGCAATCTCATGACTGATGTGTGTCCTGAAGGAGGGATCTTTAGAAAATTGTTCAAGTTACATCGTGACAACATACTGGAACTTGGGAAAGCCCCACATGACAATTCAGCTACTTTCAAGTGACTCTGTTCCATGTCCCTAGGCCTGTGTGCTCTTAAAAAGTTGCAATCATGTGGTAACTGCCATTTTGAATTACTAATATTTTATCATATTCATTTATTTTGGCATTGTTAAATAGCAACACTATGGCATGATAGAAAAAACATGGGCTAGGCCGGGTGCGGTGGCTCACGCCTGTAATCCCAGCACTTTGGGAGGCTGAGGTGGGCGATTCATGAGGTCAGGAGTTCAAGACCAGCCTGGCCAACATAGTGAAACCCTGTCCCTACTAAAAATACAAAAATTAGCTGGGTATGGTGGCATGTGCCTATATTCCCAGCTACTCAGGAGGCTGAGGAAGGAGAATTGCTTGAACCTGGGAGGTGGAGGTTGCACCACTGTACTCCAGCCTGGGCAACAGAGTAAGACTCTGTCTCAAAAAAAAAAAAAAAAAAGAATATGAGCTTTTCAAAATGAGGAAGACTTGGCTTGCATGCCTCTCTACTATTTATTAGCTGTTTGGCCTTGGACAGATAATTATAAGCTTTCTACATCTCAGTTTCCTCATCTCTCAGAACAGTAACTAAAAAAGATATTGTGCCAGGTGCAGTGGCTCACAGCCTGTAATCCCAGCACTTTGGGAGGCTGAGGCGGATGGATTACCTGAGGTCAGGAATTCAGGACCAGCCTGGCCAATACGGTGAAACCCTGTCTCTACTAAAAAAATACAAAAAATTAGCTGGGCGTGGTGGTGGGTGCCTGTAATCCTAGCTACTGGGAAGGCTGAGACAAGAGAATTGCTTAAACCCGGGAGGTGAAGATTGCAGGGAGCCAAGATCGTGCCATTGCACTCCAGCCTGGGCAACAAGAGCAAAACTCCGTCTCAAAAAAAATAAAAAGATATTGTAAGAATTAAGCTAATTGACCATAGAAAGCAGTACAATGGCTGACATAGGTTCTCAAAGAAATGTTAATTCCAGTCTCTTCCACCCGCTATTCCCTAAATCCCCTTTAATATCTGCCAAATGTTCTTTTGTTGATATTCCACAGTTTACTAATACCTCCTCACTGTTGAACAGTTGATTTGCTTCAAGTATTTTGCTGTTATGATAGCATTATAGTTATCTTTGTGTATATAGGTTTTGATTTTTCTTATCTTAAATGATTTTCTGATTGTCCTGTGTTCTTTAAACATGGCTGAATTTATTAAACCCATATGAGTAAATCAGTCACTAGTTACATTGCTTCAGTGCATTTGAGTGTCTCAACCTAATGAGACAATTAATTTTGTTAATTATTTTTTAGCATTGTATCAAATTTTGTGACATAGAAAAAAACCTGTAAATGGTCAGTCAAAACAGTTTAGGATCAACCACCAACTAAATAAATTTTTTAGTTATTTTCTTTGATCATGGTTGGATATGAGATGATACCAAAGAATTATTGTTAATTTCTTAATATGTGGCAGTGGCATTATAATTGTGTAAGGAAACATATGTGTTTTGTAGAGATGCATACTAAAGTATGCAGGGGTAAATGGCAGGGTGACTAGGATTTGCTTTAAAATAGTTCAGCAAAAAGTAGGGAAAAGAGATGAAATAAGTAAAGCAAAATCTTCATAACCATAAAATCAGGTTATGTGTATATGGGGGCTTATTGTATTCTCATTACTTTTGTGTATGATATTTCAAAATAAAACACAAATTTAGAAAATATTTTAGGAAGCAGCTAGGTTATAGTGGAAACAATAGTGGACTTCAAATCAGAAGGTCAAGATTTAAATCTAAACTCTGCCTATAATAACAATATGATTACAGAGAAGTCACTGCAAATTTCTAGGCCTTAGGGCTTCATGTGAAAAGAGGAGCCAAGATTATTGACCTTTCGAATGTGATAAGAAGAATTAAATAAGATAACCTGTATGAGAGCAATTTATAAACTATGCAAATCCTGTGCAAAATCTCCTTGTTTTTGTCCTTCTGACATTTTAGAGCCACCTGTATAGAAATGGTGACATCACTGGCATATACTCATCATGGGCGACAATATCTTGCTCAAGAAGGAGTAATTGACCAAATTTCTAATATAATTGTTGGGGCAGATTCAGACCCTTTCTCTAGCTTCTATCTGCCAGGTAAGGAACACTGATGCCTATGGAAATGATGGTGCGTGTTTTATTTCTGAGTTATCTCTGACATCAGGGGGTTGGGGTAGGGAGTGGACAGGGATTGTTTTCCTTTAGAGCTGATTTCCTTAATGAGCTGATTTCGTTTAGAAGATATCTAGAGCAACCAAGTTCAAATTCAACAGCACATTAAAAGGGTCATCCACCCTGATGAAGTGGGATTTATCCTATGGATGCAGGGAGGGTTCAGCATATACAAATCAATAAATAAGATATACTATGTTAACAGAATAAAGACAGCAACCAAGTAATGCGGGAAAAGCATTTCACAAATTTCACCTTTCTTTTATGATAAAAACTCTTAACAAATAAAGTATAGAAGGAATCTATCTCAACACAATAAAGGCCATGTATGACAAACCCACAGCTAACATACTCAGCGGTGAAAAGTTGAAAGCGTTCCTCTAAGATCAGGAACAAGGCCGGGCGCAGTGGCTCATGCCTGTAATCCCAACACTCTGGGAGGCCAAGGCAGGCAGATCATGAGGTCAGGTGATCGAGACCATCCTGGCTAACACAGTGAAACCCCATCTCAACTAAAAATACAAAAAATTAGCCGGGCATGGTGGTGGGTGCCGGTAGTCCCAGCTACTCAGGAGGCTGAGGCAGGAGAATCCTTTGAACCTGGGAGGTGGAGATTGCAGTGAGCCAGGATCGCGCCACTGCACTCCAGCCTGGACAACAGAGTGAGACTCCATCTCAAAAAAAAAAAAAAAAAAAGATCAGGACAAGGATGCCCACAATTACCACTTCTATTCAGCAAAGTACAAGAAGTTATAGCCAGAGCAATTAGGCAAGATAAATAAATAAAAGGCATCCAAATCGGAAAGAAAGAAGTGAAAATTTCCCTGTTTGCAAGTGATGTAATGTTTTATTAATATATAGAATAAAGTTTCCACCAAAAAACTGTTAGAATGAATAAATAAATTCAATAAAGCTGCAGGATACAAAATCAGTGCATAAAAATCCGTAGCATTTCTATACACTAACAGTGAACTCTGAAAAAGTAATCAAAGATACATTCCCATTTACAATAGCATTCAAAAAAAATTAAATATTTATGAATAAATTTAAGGAGGTGAAAGATCTGTACACTGAAAACTATAAAAACTGATGAAGGAAATTGAAGAAGACACAAATAAATGGAAAGGTATCCTATGTTCATGGATTGGAAGGATTAATATTATTAAAATGTTCATGCTGCCCAAAGCACTATATAGATTCAGTGCATTCCCTCCAAAATTTTTAAATTTAATGACATTTTTCACGAAAGCAGAAAAAATAATTTTTAAATATACATATTTCAGAATACATTGTTCACAATAAAGATATATGATTTTTTGTCAGTTAAAAGTTAATTTTTTTAAAAAGATACCTATAGCCTCTTATTGAGGTGGAATCTGTTGCTCTTGGAGCTACGTACTGTTGACTTTGGTTTTCTGGAAACATCAGTGCTATTTAGAACATTAGGATATTTTTCTTTTTGAATATCAACAAAAACATAAATAAAAATACTAGTAATGACATTTACAGTATGTTTCACAGATTAATCACATCTCTGAGTGGGAGTCTTTATCTGTTGTAGGATCTACTCTTGCCATTCTATTCTGGGTTTTGGTTGATTAGTCTTTCTTGAACACTTCCAGAAATTGGAGATGTATGCCTGCCTTAGGTAGCCTAGCTTATTTTATTAATGAACATATCCATTTAAAAATTTCTTCCTGGTAATGAGTCTAAACTTGCCTTCCTGTAATTTGTATCCACTGGTCCTTTTTCTTTGTTCTCCCTCTTGCATATGCCAGTACTTCAATAGCTGGTCCCAGCTCCATTGACGCCCTCTCTCAGGATCACACATCACAGGTCCTTCAGAATCTCCTAATGGTCTCTCTGATCTCCAGGCAACACACTACTCTAACCTTTCTATGCTTTTCTGGCCTGCAGTTCATTTCTGTTCCTGTGAAGTCATAGAGCCCGCAATTCATGCTGTCTTGTTCCCCTATTAAAATATATTTTTGTAAATCTCTTTAGGATTCGTGAAGTTTTTTGGAAACCTGGCTGTCATGGATAGTCCTCAACAGATCTGTGAGCGTTATCCTATCTTTGTGGAAAAAGTCTTTGAAATGATAGAAAGTCAGGACCCCACTATGATTGGTGTAGCTGTAGACACAGTTGGAATCTTGGGATCCAATGTTGAAGGAAAACAGGTTTTACAGAAAACAGGTTGGTATGACTTGGCCCTGTTCAGGGATATCTTAATCTTTGACAGGGGTTCAATATGTAAGTTCATTTGCTGGTGGGTTAACTACATTGTAGAAACTATTTTATGGGTGGCAGTCTTGTTAACCATGACCTTGTACTCATGTCTGAAAATCTAATAATTATTACGGAAAACCTTTTTTTTTTTTTTTTTGACTTTTCACTGGTTTAGGTTTTCATTGGTTTAGGTTTCTACCAATCGATTTCAACCAAACATTGTTTCCTGTTTCCCCTCTATGATGTCTTCTTTGACTAGATTTCATGGTACAAAGACCACGGGCTAGAGTCAGAAAGGTCTGGATTCATGTCCTTGGGTTTTCTATTCTTTTTTTTTTTTTTTTTTTTTTTAAGAGATTGAGAGTGTCTCTCTGTTACCCAGGCTGGCCCCGAACTCCCGGGCTCAAGCAATCCTCCTGCCTCATCCTCTTGATTGGCTGGGTCTACAGGTCCACACCATTGTATCCAGCCCTGACTTTGCTTTTTGAACTTCATTTACTCACTTCACTTTTCTAGGCCTCATTTTCTTCATTTATAAAAATGGCATAACAACTGCTTCTCAGGGTTGTTGTGAATATTTATGAAATTTTGAGAAAGGAAAATAAAAGTTTGTTATAAGATTTCATGTTAAGAGATACTTTTGGCATGTTAAGAGATACAATGGTTCATGCCTGTAATCCAGCACTTTGGGAGGCTAAGGTGGGTGGGTTGCCTGAGCTCAGGAGTTCAAGACCAGGCTGGGCAACATGGCAAAATCCTATCTCTACTCAAGAATACAAAAATTAACCAGGCATGGTACTGCACAACTGTAGTCCCAGCTACTTGAGAAGCTGAGGAAGGAGAATCTCTTGAACCTGGCAGGTGGAGGTTGCAGTGAGCTGAGATCATGCCACTACACTCCAGCCTGGGTGACAGAGTGAAATTCTATCTCAAAAAAAAAAAAAAAAAAAGAGGCCAGGTATGGTGGCTCATGCCTGTAATCCCAGCATTTTGGGAGGCCAAAGCAGGTGGATCACTTGAGGTCAGGAGCTCGAGACCAGCCTGGCCAACATGGTGAAACCCTGTCTCTACTAAAAGTACAAAAATCAGCCAAGCGTGGTGGTGCATGCCTGCAGTCCCAGCTACTCGGGAGGCTGAGGCAGGAGAATGGCATGAACACAGGAGGTAAAGGTTGCAGTGAGCCGAGATCACACCACTGCACTCCAGCCTGGGCGACAGTGCGAGACTCTGTAAAAAAAAAAAAAAAGAAAGAAAGAAAGATACTTTTATGGAACATCCATGAGGATCAACAGCACAACAAATTTTACACACAAAATAATATGCAGCCCAATTATTAAAATTCTTGAGACACATATGTTGAAAATTATCTCACCTGTAATCCCAGCACTTCAGGAGGCCAAGGCGGGAGGATCGTTTGAGCCCAGGAATTCAAGACCAGCTTCGTCAACAACAACAACAAAAAAAATTAGCCAGCTGTGGTGGTGCATGCCTATAGTCCCAGCCACTCGGGAGGCTGAGGTGGGAGAATCATTTGAGCCCAGGAGGTGAAGGCTGTAGTGAGCCTTGATCACTCAGTTGCACTGCAGCCTAGGTGACAGAGTGAGACCCCATCTCAAAAAAAAAATTTAAAAAGAGGCCAGGCGAGGTGGCTCATGCCTGTAATCCCAACACTTTGGGAGGCCAAGGTGGGTAGATTACCTGAGGTCAAGAGTTCGAGACCAGCCTGGCCAACATGGTCTCTACTAAAAATACAAAAATTAGCTAGGTGTGATGGCAGGCGCCTGTAATCCCAGCTACTCGGGAGGTTGAGGCAGGAGAATCGCTTGAACCTGGGCCGTGAGTCGAGATTGCGCCATTGCACTCCAGCCTGGGTGACACAGCAAGACTCCATCTCAAAAAAATAAAAATTAGAAAATAGAAAAAGAAAAAAAGAAAATTAATACGCTGTTGTGTATCACAGCTAATATTTTTGTTATATGTCGTTTTCTAAGTGCTTTTACCTATGACAATCGTTTTACAGTCCTGCAAAGAACATACATTGTCATTTTCATTTTCCAGATAAGGTAGATGAAACTTAGAGGAGTTAAGAAAATTTCTAAGGTCATACAAATTATGGCAGCTGCTACTCAAGTCCAGGTCCTTTGATTCCAGTTTTATAACTTTGCCTTATATATGCTGTGTTGCGTGTAATTATGTGTTCTAGGCCTGTCACTGGTTCTCTGACTACATGCTTATTTTTGTATTGGTTTAGGTTGGTAGAGGTCATAGTGTATGAGAGCATACTTTAAAAAAATCTCATTTTTCACTTCATATCCATTAGGATGGCTATTACTTTAAAAAAAAACCCATAAAATAATAAGTGTTAGGATGTGGAGAAATTGTAACCCTTGTACATTTTATATTTCCTTCATCCAGCAGCTCCACTTTCAGGTATATACCAAAAAAAATTGAAAGCAGAGACTCAAACAAATGTTTGTACAGTCATGTTCATAGCAGCGTTATTCACAATAACCAAAAAAAGGTGCAAGCAACCCAATGTTCATTGATAGATGAATCAATAAACAAAATGTGGTATATACATACAATTGAATATTACTCAGCCTTTAAAAAGAATGAGATTCTGGCACATGCTACAGCATGGAGGAAGCCTGCGCCACTGATAACATTATGCTAAGTGAAGTAAGCCAAACACATAAGGACAGATATTGTATGATTCCACTTAGATGAGATGCCTAAAAGAGTCCAGTTCACAGGAGGTAGAATAGTGGTTGGCAGGGGATGAGGGTAGAGAAGAAAGGGAATTATTGTTTGATGGATACAGAGTTTCAGTTTGGGTTGATGAAAAAGTTCTAGAGATGGATGGTTATGATGGTTGCCCAACAGTGTGAATGTACTTAATAGCACTGAACTATACACTAAAAATGGTTAAAATGGTAAATTTTATGTTGTGTATATTTTACCATAATAAAGAAGAATCTCACTGTTATCCTTCAAAGGAACTCGCTTTGAACGCTTGCTTATGAGAATAGGACATCAATCAAAGAATGCCCCAGTGGAGCTAAAAATTAGATGTTTGGATGCAATTTCATCTCTTCTGTACTTACCAGTAAGTAGGTAGGGAAATAATGAAGGACAGTGGGATATGTTTGGGAGAATAAATCTGTATGAATCAACATGATAAATGTGATGAAGTAAATACAAGAAGATAACCCTCATTATATGACTAGTGACATTTTTAATTTAAAATGGAATCATAGAGTGTTAGAACTGAAGAGACTCTAGAGACTGCTTAATCAACCACATTCAAAGAAAACTGGGAAAGGTCTGGGCTGGATTTGAGAAAGAGTCCTCCAGACTTAGCCAGTTTCACACAACAAATTAATGACAGAGTGCCATCAGCACTCAGGTGTCTGACTTCTAAATAAGTGCTTTTCTCCAGATCAGTTAACTTTTGATGAGATTTTCCTTTTCTTTCCTGTAGCCTGAGCAGCAGACTGATGACCTTCTGAGGATGACAGAATCCTGGTTTTCTTCTTTATCTCGGGATCCACTGGAGCTCTTCCGTGGCATTAGTAGTCAGCCCTTCCCTGAACTACACTGTGCTGCCTTAAAAGTGTTTACGGTAGGTATTCACTTCCATAGGTCCTTCTGGGACCCTGCCAGCTCAACACTTGAGTACTTAACAGTGAGCCAGAGCCTGTGCCATCTCTGGGGATGCACAAGTGCATAGTATAGTTTCTACCTTCTGCTACCTTAGAGACTAAGTAAGGAGACAGATGTGTAAACAGATTGTTTCAGTAAAAGATATTAGGTGCTGTTTGAGGTTTGAACAGGATGCTATGGGATCACACAGTTAATTCCAGACTTTTTATCTGCCATCCTCTATTAACCTAGCCCTGGTCTTCCTAATCCTTATTTCCCGTGCAGAAAATAAGGCTTCTGGCACCTAATGCTCCAGTGGTACCAAACTGTTTGTTTTGTGTCTCTGGACCTTTGCTGGGGTCTCCGTATCTAACACTCTTCCTTAACTTTGCTTCTTAACCTCTTACTCACTCGTCAAGGACTAACTCCTTGTCTTCAGCACACTTTGCCCAGATTGACAAGGTTGAGTTAAACAATGTTGGTTCTCATATGTTGCATTTATTTATTCAGCAAATATTTGTTGAGTTTCCGTTTTTGCTCAGTGAAGGGCATACAACAGTGAAGAAAATATATAAAGACCTTCCTTTCATGTAGTTTCCTGTCTATTGAAGGAGCCAGGCAGTAAATATAATTGTACAGTTACTTATATAATTACAGCTGTGGTAAGGATTATACCTTTGTGTTCTATTTGTTATATTATTTTGCAAATGTTTATTTATCGACTTGTCTTACCTATTAAGTAGAGTTGGCTGAGAGCAGGAAGCATATCTGATTTATCTTTGTAGCCCCAGCATAGCAAGATAGTAATCGCTTTAGTAATCATATCAATAATGGGATCTCAGACAGCATACATGGCCTAGACTGGGAGGGAATAAGGAAAATGGCAGGGACAAAAGAGGGAAGGCTTCCTGAGGATGCGATACAGGATCTGGGTCTTGAAGGATACAGGTATTCCTATAATCTTCAGAAACATTTTTTTTTTTGAGACAGAGTCTCGCTCTGTCGCCCAGGCTGGAATGCAGTGGCGTGATCTTGGCTCACTGCAAGCACCACCTCCCGGGTTCACGCCATTCTCCTGCCTCAGCCTCCCGAGCAGCTAGCCTACGGGCGCCCACCACCATGCCCGACTAATTTCTTTTTGTATTTCTAGTAGAGACGGGGTTTCACTGTGTTAGCCAGGATGGTCTCGATCTCCTGACCTTGTGATCCGCCCGCCTCGGCCTCCCAGAGTGCTGGGATTACAGGCGTGAGCCACCGCGCCTAGCCAGAAACATTTCTTTAAGACTGCTTCACCCTTGTAAATGGTCATTGTATGAGATGGCCATTTTGGATCCTGCTTAGTATTTTCATTATTAGTTTATTTTGGTTTTGCTCTTCTACCTTATCCTGTGCTTAGCTGGTTCCATTGTAGAAATAATTTTCTATTTACTGGTTGGGATAACTATTTTTATTTCTGCCTACTTTCATGCTTGGTTGTGAAGCAGGCCAAAGTTTCTCAAACATTAATCTTAGGAATCTTATTAAAATGTAGATTCTAATTCAGTAGTTGTGGGGCAGAGCCTGGGATCCTGAAAGTCTAACAAGCTCGCAGGTGTTGCTGATGCTACTTGTCTGTGGAACACATTTTGAGAGGAAAAAACTAGGCCATAAACTTGTTACTTCTTTTTCATTAAAACGTAATAGGTTTTGAAAAACTTAATCTTAAAATTTGGAAAAGACTTAGAAGTAGAATTTTTTAAAATCACAGAAAGTTCTACCTTTTGGTGTATTTCCTTTTAGTTTTTGTATTAGTGTGTGTTTATTTTTGGTGAAATATTTCAAATATAGTTGTATCTTGCTACCTCTGCCCAGTCCTATTCCCCTTCCTCTGTTCTTAGATAAAATCACTATCACAAAGTCAGGGCCCATAAATGATTTCATATTTCTACTACATATTGTGTGTATCCTTAAATAAAACACAGTATTTTAGATATTCATAAACTTTGTAAGTGGTATCATGCTGTTTGTATCATTCCATTAGGTTGGTGCAAAAGTAATTGCAGTTTTTGCTTTTTTTTTTTTTCTCTTCAATGTTACGTTTTTTTAAAATTTGTCTATGTTAAAAGAGGCAGTTAGAAAGTTGGTATTTCATTGAATAGCCACAATATATCATTCTCCTATAAATGAAGATTTAGATAGTATCTTACAAATGATACCACAATGAACATTCTTGAAAATGTTTGTGCACTATATGAGTATCTTGAGGTTAGTCTTTTCTACTTTAGTTTTTATTTTTCCACTGTTGTAATCATGCATTGTTTATAATTTGAATCTGCTTTTTTTATATAACAGGTTTACCTGTATCATTTCCTATTTTTTGTAAACATTATTGTTAATGTTTATTTTTATTGCTATATACCATAATTTACTTAACCATTCTCCCATTATTAGATATTTATATTGTAACTTTCACACTATTATGAACATTTTTGTATACAAAGATTTTTCATATTTAAGATTATTTTATTAAGTTAGATTCTCAGGAAGGAATTTACTTAGACAAAAGGTAACATTTTTAAAGTTCATGTTGCCAGATTTCTTTGTAAATATTGTGCCATCCCATTAACAAACAACTTCCACTCAGGGGAATTGTATTCTTTCTGCCTTCCATTTCAGGCCATTGCAAACCAACCCTGGGCTCAGAAACTTATGTTTAACAGTCCAGGTTTTGTAGAATATGTGGTGGACCGGTCTGTGGAGCATGACAAAGCTTCAAAGGATGCCAAATATGAACTAGTGAAAGCACTTGCCAATTCCAAGACAATTGCAGAAATCTTTGGGAACCCAAATTATTTGAGGCTCAGAACTTACCTGAGTGAAGGGCCATACTATGTGAAACCTGTTTCCACGACAGCAGTAGAAGGAGCCGAATGATTTCTTCTAGAGCTCATGTAGAGGACCACGTTTTGACCAAAACTTCTCCTAAGGCATTTGACTCCATCTATATTTCACAAAAGAGACTTCCTTTCCCCAAGAATTATCATGGAATGTCAGATGTTACTTTGTTACCAACACTGTTATATTTCTACATTGAAATGCAAAGTGGAACTAGGAGTTTGGAATGCATTAAGAGCAGACAAGCTTGGTCATAATAGATCCAGTGTTTTTCAGATTCCTTTCACTGCCTTAATCTTTGCAACAGGGTGGAAGTTTTTTTCTTCCCTCAAAATTTTCATGGACATGCAATCTTATCTAAAAGCCTGCTTCAGGGCTGGGCGCGGTGGCTAACACCTATAATTCCCAGCACTTTGGGAGGCCAAGATGGGCAAATCACTTGAGTCTAGGAGTTCAAGACCAGCCTGGCCAATATGGCAAAACCCTGTCTCTACTAAAAATATAAAATCAGCCAGGCATGGTGGCGCACACCTATAATCTCAGCTACTCAGGAGGCTGAGGCACGAGAATCGCTTGAGCCTGGGAGGCAGAGGTTGCAGTGAGCTGAGATCTTGCCACTGCACACCAGCCTGGGCAACACAGCAAGACTCTGTCTCAAAAATAAATGAATAAAATAAAAACCTGCCACCAAATTATTTCTGGATTCTCTTCACTATCTTTTTTTTTCTTTTTGGTCCTTTTTCCATTTCTGATTCCACTTTCAAAGTCTTGGATATATTCTTTGAAAAATGAGTAGTATGGAATATTAAGATTATGTTCCTTATACTCAGAATACTTTTTATGAGCTCTCTTGTTTTTTTGTTACTATTATTCCTTTGAAAAAAAGACAAAATATCTAAAAAATGTTTATAGTGTTCATGTAATTTTTTTTGCTGTTTACCAATGAACTTTGCCCTGTTGTGGTTTTGGGGGATCAGAAGGATTCCTAAACTGTCATTTCATTTATTGGTAGGTCATGATTGCTGAGGGTTTTGCTTTGGATTTTTCATACCTATAAAGTCAATCTTGAGTTGATCAGAGAAAGGGAAACTTACTCCTAATAAACAGACTCAGAACAGAAGGGACATATGCATAAATCAGGATACCATCTCATTAATTTACAAAGGATAATCTTTCTTTTCATTGACAACACCTACACCCACCTGTTTTCCAGTGTTCTTCTCTCTAAACAGCAAAGCCAAAGCACTCTGCACACCAAATCACCTGTTCAGAGGTTTATGCATGAGCATATTTCTTTTAGGCCGTGGTGAAGTTGATAAACCACCCCTGCTTTGTAACAAAATTATTTTAAAGTGACTGGAATTATCTAGTCCCCAGATTGATCATCTCCCCTGGCAACGTGACTCTGTTTTTTGTGTGTGTTTCCATGCTGACTAGTCCCCTACTGTTAATATCACTACTAATTAGGCTATAACCAGGTCTTTCCTGGCCTGAGAAATATTCTCTTAAAATGACCTTTGTTTTAATCTCATTCATGATGTTGATTTTTTTTCAATGTGGTGCAATATATACAATAAAATTTGTCATAACTATTTTAAGTGTACAGTTCAGTATATTACATATGTTCATAAGTTGTACAACCATCACCACCATCCATCTTCAGAATTATTTTCATCTTATACAATTGAAACTGTATTCATTAAACAATAACTGTCTATTCCCTCTTTTCCCCAGCCTCTGGCAACCACCATTCTGCTTCATGACATTGATTTTATTCACTTAACATCAGATTTTGGGGGGATGCCCTCTCTCCTATGTATGGTCTACACATTCTGATTTTTTTTTTAGATTGAATAAAATTTGTAAATCATTATTTTCATTTCATAAGTAAACACCTGTTGACTGCCTATTATGTTCTTGGGATTGGGGAAGGTGCTAGACATTGGCCTAAGTGCCAAGTGCATCTCATTTAATTTTTACATCCCTGTTTCACAGATGAGGAAACCAAGACTTTAGTAGCTTATCTGAAAATCACACAAGAAGAAAGTGTCTTATATTGGAAGAAAATAGGTCAATAGAAAATTAGAGAGTATAAGAAGTACAATAATAGAGGAAAACAGAAAACACGTCCCCTGACTTTAGGAAATGTTTTCCAGGGAAGGAAACACCTGCATCTTGAAGAACTAGTAGGAGGCAATCAAGTGAAGAATACAGTGGAGTAGCAAAGCAAGACAGCAGGTACACATGAAAACAAGAGAACATGTTTGAGAAACTACAAGTAATTCAATATGACCAACGCCTAGGATTTAAAGGGAAATTTTTGCAAAATTCTTTATCATTATTACTAATAATAGCTACCATTTCTTAGCATTGATTTTATGTTAGGCACTTGGCATGCATTTCTTACTTTATCATCATAATAGCCATAAAAGTTACGTATCATTTCACAGACAAAGGCACTAAACTGGGAAATTAAGTACTTTGTACAGGTCGCAAAGCCAGAATATTAATCTGATTTTCTGAGGATTAGTTGTACTCCCCTTTTGTCACTTGGTTATATTTTGAAGGTAATAGTAGCTAACAGTTACTGAGTTTTTAATGTGTCCCAAGCATTTTCTAAGAGGTTTTCATGTATGAACTCATGTGGCCATCGTCACACTTCCAGGAGTTATATAACAAAACCAAGGCACAGCAAAATTCAGGAACTTGCACGGGATCGCATAGCAAATAAGAGAAGTCAACATTTCAACCTAGGCTGTTTAACATAGAATATATGTTCCTAAATACTGCCTCTTCCTCTTAGTGAACATTTACTATGGACCAAATCCATTGACAAACACTTGACATATCTCATGTAGACCATCAACCACACAAAGATTGAGTTTGTACATAAACAGGGTCAGGATGACTTAACAACATATCAAAAAATCTGGTCTAATAAGTGTCATGGCAGGGACTTTCAAGGTATATAACTTTGGGAACACCTAAAAATCTCAAGAGCCCCAAGATGGGAACTACTGATCTAATCATTACACAAGAGAAATCAGAAAGTGTGTGTTGTGGGTTGAATAATGTTCCCCAAAAATATGTGTTCAAGTTCAGGTACCCCCAGTACCTGTGAACATGATCATATTCCTCAATGGAGAGGAAGCCAGGTGCAGTGGTCACGCCTGTAATCCCAGCACTTTGGGAGGCGGAGGCGGGTATATCACCTGAGGTCAGGAGTTCAAGACCAGCCTGGCCAGCATGGTGAAACCCCATCTACTAAACAGAAAAATTAGCTGGGCATGGTGGCACATGCCTGTAGTCCCAGCTACTTAGGAGGCTGAGGCAGGAGAATTGCTTGAACCCGGGAGGCAGAGGTTGCAGTGATCCCAGATCACACCACTGCACTCCAGCCTGAGCGACAGAGTGAGACTCTCGTCTCTAAATAAATAAATAAATAAATGGAGAGGAGGTAGGGCATCTTTGCTGATGTAATCAAGTTAAGATGACATTAGGGTGGGCCCTAATCCAATGAGTAGTGTCCTTACAAGGAAATTTGGACACAGAGACACCCAGAGGGAAGATGATGTGAAGTTACTGACACACAGCAGTCCATGTAAAGGTGAAGGCAGAGGTTGAAATTACACGTTTGCAAGCCACAGAACGTCAAGGATTGCTGGCAACCAGCAGAAGCTACAAGAAACAAGGAAGGATTCTCCCAACAGGCTTCAGAGAGAACAGGGCGCTGACACCTTGATTTCAGCCTTCTAGCCTCAAAAACATGAGAGAATAAGTTCCTGCTGTTTTAAGTCACCCAGTTTGTGATACTTTATTATAGTGTCCCTAGGAAATGAATATAGGGTATATTTCATGACATGAAATGTGAATTTGTTGCACCCATCTGTGAAATACTGCCTAAGTAGAACTTGACAAAAGTTAGACATCCAACTCTTTACACTAGTGAAGTTTTAAGCTAATATAAACTAGAGGGCTAATAGATTCACATTACTTGCAGTTCTACCACCCAGATTACTAAAATGTTTCCTGCTTGCAGACAAGAAACTTTTTTTTTTTTTTTTTTGAGACAGAGTCTTGCTCTGTCACCCAGGCTGGAGTACAGTGGTACGATCTTGGCTCACTGCAACTTCCGCCTCTGGGGTTCAAGCGATTTTCGCATCTCAGCCTCGTGACTAGCTGGGATTACAGACGTGCGCCACCATGCCCGGCTAATTTTTGTATTTTTAGTAGAGACAGGGTTTTACCGCGTTGGCCAGGCTGGTCTCGAATGCCCAACCTCAGGTGATATGCCTGCCTCAGCCTCCCAAAGTGCTGGGATTACAGGCATGAGCTGCCGCGCCCAGCCAAGAATAACATTTTATTACAAAAATTCCCCTATTTAAGGTTTTCCTTTTAATTCTGAGCATTCACCACCATCACTGAGTCACTGCTGCCATCACTGAGTCATAACAGTACCATAGAATGATTTTTAAAAGTCCACTAATTATAAAGCAAAATAAGACTTGGTTACATTTTTCTTGGTTATAGATATGTAAGCACACACACACACACACACACACACACACACACACTTTTTTTCCACAATGTATTCTGTGTATAAGGGCCCTTTCTTCCCTTGGTCAGTCCCTGTCATATAAGTCTGATGGGAGAAGGTCTACAGGGAGTATCCCTGGCAGACTGACAAACTCAGGTGTATGTATGTAGGATGATTAGGTTATCCTCAAACAGGTATTGAATACTTGAATCTACTTCACCAGGGCAATAAGTTAGGCACAGAAGGTGGTTTGGACCTTTGGGATGCACCTGTGGATTTTAGGGCTCTGTCGTGGCTGGCAGAGTCAGAGGATGATGGGAGCCTTTTTCTCCGGTCGAAGGGTGGGATCCTGCTGCCTGGTCACCCCAGTGTAGTGTAGGTGCCACAAGTGCTCAGGGCTAGGATACCACTGCCCGCCTATATCACACCAGGTACCAAGGGCATCTGAGGGTAACAGATGTGAGGAACTGGGAGGCAGGGACAGAGAAGAGAGAAATATCTGGCTGATTCTTGGTGGAGGGGGGTGGGAAAAGCAAATGGGAGCTAATATTATCAGGGTGTCTCTCATTCAAGTTCTGTTAGTCTTCAACCTCCCTGAGCTTCAGAGAACAGAAAAGATGGCCCCCAGTGAGGACAGTGGTGGTGTTCCTGCCATGGCCCAACTAGGAGACACCCATCTTCTGAAAAGGAGGCCCCCAGGCAGCATGTGTATCACAAAATTCATGAATAAGCACAGCCATGAAAGGCAGATTGGAGCTGGGGATGTAGATGGCTTCCAGGTGGACGCAAGAGGAGGAAGAGTGACCATATGTTCATGGACACCCAGATGTTAGGAAGTCCAGGCCCCATGTAGCACCATTTCTGGAGCTGAGGGTTCAGTTGGAATGTACACTAGTGAGAGCCTGCTGCCCACAAGTTGCTCAGCCCCTCCTGAGAACATGCCCTGACAGAATGACCAATCTTGGTGTATGTGTGTAGAATGATTAGATTATCCCCAAGCAAATATCAGATACTTGAATGTACTAAGATTTCTGGGTATAGTATACTTTGTCCTCCTTCACAGGCATCCTCAGAGGTTTGGAAAGTTTTATATAGGATGCTTGATTAGTCCTTTCTGATATTTGTAAACATTTCCCAATAAAGCTGCATATTCATCTGTCCTTTAATAAAGCACTATTGAAATATGATGACATATAGGGAAAGCCTGTTTGTGCTCTACAGGCTTGTGAAAAGGTGCTAGAATCAAATACTTGAAAATGAGTTGAAACATCAGAGACACCCCATAAGCCATATGTGGCATGGGCATCTGAACCTAATGTGGAAGCGTATAAACATATTCTCTAGCCCTAAGGAAAAAAAAAAAAAAAAAGAGAGACCATGAAGAGAACATCTTGAAAGAGCCTGAGAGGGGAGGTCACCAAGATGGCAGGATAGGAGTTACCAACCTTCAGCCTTCCACAAAAAACAAAACACAAAAACAAACAAATATAGACAGCTATTTACAAACCAAACTAGCCCAAAAGATCTGAAGGGTTCATTAAAGAATCTGCAGCAAACTAACCTGGGCTACATAGCAAGACCCTGTAGTAAAAAAAAAAAAAATTAATTAGCCTGGCATGGTGGCACACACCTGTGGTCCCAGCTACTTAGGAGGCTGAGGCAGGAGGATTGCTGGAGCCCTGGAAGTTGAGGCTACAGTGAGCCATGATCATGCACTACACTCCAGCCTGGGTGACAGATACCCTGTCTCAAAAAAAAAAAAAAAAATCTTCAGCAACACAATGAAGCAAAAAATACAGAGAATATAGAAAGGACTGCTGGTAACATTGGCATAGCTGAGAATTGGCATCACTCACTGCACCCCACTCAGCAAGTGCCCTTGCCACCCCTACACAGGGGAAGATCTTTACATAGTGAAACTAGCCTATAAATTCTGGAGGAGGTGACTGTTCCATCTCATGTGCATACATTACCATAAAAGCAACAAGAAATATGACAAAACAAGGAGACATAACATCAACCAAAGAACACAATCATCTCCCAGTAGCTGACCCCAAAGAAACAAAGGTAACAAATTACCTGACAAAGAATTCAAAATATTTCTTTTAAGAGAGCTGAGCAAACTGCAAGAAGATATAGAGAAACAATTCACGAAATTGGGGGGAAGTGATCAAAATAAGAAATTTAACAGAGACTGAAATTATTTTTTAAAAATCCAGAAATTCAGGAACTGCAATAAGCGTCCAGGAAATGCAAAGTAAAACCATAATGAAATATCATCTCACCCCAGTTATAATGGCTATTATCAAAAGAACAAAAAATAATAAATGCTAGCAAGGATGCAGAAAAAAAGGGAATGCACTATCGTAGGAAGTAAATTAGTACAGCCATTATGGAAAATAGTCTGAAAGGTTCTGAAAAAAACTAAAAATAGAACTACCATATGATCCAGCAATCCTGCTGTTGGGTATTTACAGCTGTTGGGTATTTGATGTACTGATGTACATCAAATCAGTACATCAAAAGGATACCTGCACCCTCATGTATATTGCAGCACTATTCACAATAGCTAAGATATGGAATCAACCTAAATGTCCACTAACAGATGAATGGAAAAGGAAAATGTGATATATATATACACAGTGAAATATTATTCAGCCATAAAAAAGGATACAAATCCTTGTCATTTTCAGCAACATGGATTAGCCTGGAGGACATTATGTTAAGTGAAATAACTCAGGCACAGAAAGATAAATACCACATGTTCTCATTCAATTGTGGGAAGGAGCACAAAATTGAGCTTATAGAAATAGAAGAATTATGAGCCAGGCGCAGTGGCTCATGCCTGTAATCCCAGCACTTTGGGAGGCTGAGGCGGGTGGATCACCTGAGGTCAGGAGTTCAAGACCAGCCTGGGCAACATGGTGAAACCCCATCTCTACAAAAATACAAAAATTAGCCGGGCATGATGGCAGCTGCCTGTAATCCCACCTACTCAGGAGGCTGAGACAGAAGAATTGCTTGAACCTGGGAGGTGGAGGTTGCAGTGAGCCGAGATCATGCCATTGCACTCCAGCCTGGGCGACAGAGCGAGACTCGGTCTCAAAAAAAAAAAAAATTGAATTGAAAAAGAATTATGGTTATTAAAGGCTGGGAAGCAAGGACATAGAGAGGTTGGTTAACAGATACAAAATTACAACGAGATAGGAGGAATAAGTTAGTGTTCTATATAGCACTGTAGGGTGAATATTACTGACAATAATTTACTGTGTATGTTCAAAATCTAGAAGAGAAAATTTTGAACATTCCCAACACAAGGAAATGACAAATTTTTCAGGTGATAGATACGGAAACTAGTCTCATTTGCTGATTATGCATTGTATACATGCGTCAAAATATCATTCTTTATCTCATAAATATGTATAATTATTACATGTCAGTTAAAAAGGGGGAAAAATTACCTTTTGTGTATGACAGATAAGTAGCAACATGAAAATAATAGCATAAATATATATGGTACTTACTATGAGTTCTAACTGCTGAACATATTTTAACTCATTGAACTCCGTTAAGAACCCTATGAGCCACATATTATTTTTACCCCATTTCACAGTCGAGGCAATGACTGCACAGAGAGGTTAAGAAAATTGCCCAAGGTTACACAGCTGGGCAGAGCTGGGCTTTGAATCGAAGCAGTCTGACTACACAGTCTGTGTTCTTAACCATGATTCTGTATAGTCTCAATGCACTTGTAATAAATATATTCAGTTGGATTAAAAAGATTCTGGAATTGAAAAAATACAATGAATGCAATGAAAAGTGCAATAGAGGCCAGGTGCAGTGGCTCATGCCTCTAATTCCAGCACTCAGGGAGGCCGAGGCAGGAGGGTCACTTAAGTACAGGAGTTCGAGACCAGCCTGGGCAACGTAGTGAGACCTCATCTGTTCCAAAAATAATGAAAAATCAGCCAGGCATGGTGGTACACACCTGTTGTCCTAGCTAACCAAAAGACAGAGGCAAGAGGACTGCTTGAGCCCAAGAGCTCAAGGCTGCAATGAGCCGCTGCACTCTATCCTGGGTGACAGAGTGAAACTCTGTCTCAAAAAAAAAAACAAAAACAAAAAACAAAAAAACAAAGACATCCAATGAAGGAAAGGAATGTAGGAAAGCATTTAATTATCCCAGTTCCTTTCCAACACATGAATAGATTAAAAATGGAGAAGGATCCTATGAGCATTAAAAAAATGTGGCCTTTCCAGTTTCTGTCAAATACATGAAATAACTCAAACTGCATAGAAAACCTGTTCCTTGTAAGGAATAAGGAAAGCATTCAGATATATCAGGTACCTTCAAAAACATAAACAGATTCACACTTGAGAAAAATCCTATGAATATAAAAAATATGATAAAATCTTTTGTTCCAGTTTCTTTCAAAAACATGAAAGAACTTATACTGTAGGCAGGACATGGTGGCTCACACCTGTAATCCCAGCACTTTGGGAGGCCAAGGCGGGTGGCTGGACAGATAGGTGAGATTCTTCTCCTATATAAGGCCAGCCTCACAATACTGGACGAGTTATTTGTCTTATCTAATGCACAGAAACCAACACAGAGAGTCAAGGGAAATGAAGAAACAAATAAAAGAGCAAGATAATTCTACAGAAACTAACCCAAACGAATGGGAGATATTGTTTGACCTGACAGCAATTCAAAATAATGGTGATAGGCTGCTAGTAGTGGCTCATGCCTGTAACCCTAGCACTGTGGGAAGCTGAGGTGAGTAGATGACTTGAAGCCAGGAGTTTGAGACCAGCCTGTCCAACATGGTGGAAACCCATCTCTACTAAAAATAGAAAAAAAATAGCCAGGTGTGGTGGCACATGACTGTAGTCCCAGCTACTTTGGAGGCCGAGGCACAAGAATCACTTGAAACCAGGAGGTGGAGGCTGTAGTGAGCCAAGATCATACCACTGCACTTCAGCCTGGGCAACAGAGTGGACTCTGTCTCAATAATAATAATAATAATAATAATGATAATAATAATAGTAATAAAGATGCTCTCCAAAGTCAAGAGGTCAATATAAGAACAAACTGGGAATTTCAACAAAAAGAAAGTATAAAAAAGTACCAAACAGAAATTACAAATCTGAAGAATACTATAACTAAACTGAAAAATTCAATAGAGGGGTTCAACAGCAGACCAGATCAAGCAGAAGAAAGGACCAATGAACTTGAAGACAGGTCACTGGAAATCATTCAATCTGGGAGCAAAAATTAAAAAATTAAGGAATGTAGATAATTTAAGAGACTTATGGAACAACATCTATTGAAAAACTTATGCATTGTTAGTGTACCAGAAGAAGGAGAGGGAGAAAAAGAAAAGCATAGAGAATATATTCAAAGAAACAATGACAGAAAACTTTCCAAGTCTAGGAAAGGAAATTAAAAGCCAGATCCAAGAAGCCCAAAGTACAGCAAATGATAAATCCAAAGAGACCCACATCAAGACACATCATAATCAAATTGTCAAAAGTTAAAGACAAAGTGAAAGTGCTGAAAGCAGCAAGGAAAAAGCAAATTGTCACATACAATGGAACATATATAAGACTATCAGCAGATTTATCTTCAGAAACCTTGCAGTCAAGAAAGGAATGGAATGGTATATTCAAAATCCTAAAAGGAAAAAAAAAACAAACCTGCTGACCAAGAATACTATATCAAATAATCCTGTCTTTCAAAAATGAAAGGGTGATAAAGACTTAAACAAAAATTGAGAGAGTCTGTCACCACTAGGCCTGCCTTACAAAAAATGCTAAAGGGAGTTCTTCAAGCTGAAGGAAGAGGATGCTAAGCAGTAACATAAGAACATATGAAAATATAAAAGTCACTGGAAAAAGTAAGCACATTGTCAAATCCAAATTCTCTATTTCTGCAGTGGCAGTGGGCAATGAATTATATCTCTGGTATAAAGTATAAAGATTAAAGTATATAGTATAAAGATTAAATGCAAAACTATTAAAAACAACTAAAGCTATAATAACTGGTTAAAGGATACAAATTATAAAAAGGTATGAAGTGTGGCATCAAAAGCATAAAACATGAGAGGAGGGGGAATAAAAGCATACAGTTTGAGTATGACATTAAAATGAAAATTAAGTTGTTGTCAACTTAAAATAGCCTGTAGTAAGGTGTTTTATGTAAGCCTCAGGGTAATTACAGAGCAAAGCCTATAGTAGAGAGACTATAACACAATAGTAGTAGGGATTCAATACTTCATTTTTAACAATAGACAGATCATTCAAACAGAAAATCAATAAGAAAACACTGGACTTGAGCTACACTTTAGACAAAATGGATCTAACAGAAATATACAAAACATTATATCCAAAAGCAATAGAATACACATTCTTCTCAAGCACACACATCACATTATCCAGGATACATCATGTTAGCCCATAGAAAAGTCTTTAAAAATTTAAGAAGATTGAAATCATATTAAGTATCTTTTGTGACCATATTGGTACGAAACTAGACATCAGTAACAGGAGAAATCAAGGAAAATGAATAAATACTTGGAAATAAAATAATATGCTCCTGAACAAATGTTGGGTCAAATAAATTAAAAGGGAAATTTAAAAATATCTTGTGACAAATGAAGACTTGTAAGATACATCAAAAGCAGTTCTAAAAGGGAAGTTCATGGTACTAAATGCCTACATCAAAAGGAAAGAAATATCACAAATTAACAACCTAACATTACATCTCAAGGAAACTATGAAAGAAGAATGGCCGGGTGCAGTGGCTCATGCCTGTAATCCCAGCACTTTGGGAGGCCGAGGCGGGTGGATCATGAGGTCAGGAGATCGAGATCATCCTGGCTAACACAGTGAAACCCCATCTCTACTAAAAATACACAAAAAATTAGCTGAGCATGGTGGCGGGCGCCTGTAGTCCCAGCTGCTCGGGAGGCTGAGGCAGGAGAATGGCGGGTACCCGGGAGGCGGAGCTTGCAGTGAGCTGAGATCGTGCCATTGCACTCCAGCCTGGGTGACAGAGTGAGACTCTGCCTCAAAAAAATTAAACAAAATAAAAAATAAAAAATAAAAGAACAAACTGGCCAGGCACAGTGGCTCACGCCTGTAATACCAGCACTTTGGGAGGCCGAGGCGGATGGATCACCCAAGATCAGGAGTTCAAGACTATCCAGCCTGATCAACATGGCGAAACCCCATCTCTACTAAAAATATAAAAATTAGCTGGGTGTGCTGACGCATGCCTGTAATCTCAGCTACTTGGGAGGCTGAGGCAGGAGAATTGCTTGAACCTGGGAGGTGGAGGTTGCAGTGAGCTGAGATTGTGCCATTGCACTCCAGCCTGGGCAACAAGAGGGAAACTCTGTCTAAAAAACAAACAAACAACAACAACAAAAAAAAAAAAACAAGAAGAAGAAGAAGAAACTAAGGTAGCAGAAGGAAGGAAATAACAAAGATCAGGGCAGAAATTAAAAAAGTAGACACCAGAAAAATGACACAAAAGACTAATGAAACTAAGAGTTGTTTTTTTTTAAAAGATAAAGTTGACAAACCCTTAGGTAGACTAAATAAGAAAAAAATAGAGATAAGACTCAAGCAGAATCAGAAATGAAAGAGATATTAAAACTGATAACACAAAAACATAAAGAATTGGTTGTGCATGGTGGCTCACGCCTATAATCCCAGCACTTTGGGAGGCTGAGGCGGGTGATCACTTGAGGTCAGCAGTTCAAAACTAGCCTGGCCAACATGGTGAAACCCCATCTCTATTAAAAATACAAAAAATTAGCCAGGCATGATGGCACGCACCTGTAATCCCAGCTACTAGTGAGGTGGGAAATTAAAGAAATAAAGAAAAGTAAAATGTAAAAAAAAGAGAGAGAAATAAGCTTTCCTGTATTAGGCTGACTTGTCCCACAGCAGCGACAGGCACAGCCCAGACCCAGGAAAAGTCTTGCTAATACTATCTAATGTGCCCCGAAGAACTCTTCCAGCACTCCCTCAACATCAGGAGGAGAAAAACAAATTTTCCTTTCTCTTATGGTATGAGTTTATAGATTCCTGTTCTCTGTAACTAGTAACTTCAAGTATTGTTTTATCTAAGCAGTGGAGTGAAGGCCATAAACCATCTGAGCAGGCCTGAGATACAGCCACCTGGGCACCATAGTGAAAGTTATGGATAAGCCCGTGCTAGGCACTAGAGCAAACCTAGATAACAGACATCTGGGCTGCATAACAACGGCCATGTGTAATCCTGAGTTATGAACCTGTCACAATTTGATTAACTGTCTTTGTTCTGCCTCTGTATCCTTGCTTTCATGCCACTATAAGCCTGCTTCAAGCTAGCCCACCCACTTTTTGAAGTGTGTATAAAAGTCAAGTGCTGTCTTTTTTCCAGGCCTAGTTTTTGGATGTTAAGTCTGCTGGGTCTGAGTGCACTCAATAAAGATCCTCCTGTATATACCCCAAGGTCTCTCTGGTCCTCCTGATTCCCACAACACTAGAGAGGCTGAGGCAGGAAAATCACTTGAACCTGGGAGGTGGAGGTTGCCATGAGCCAAGATAACGCCACTGCACTCCAGCACTCCAGCCTGGGCGAAAGAGCAAGACTCCGTCTCAAAAAAAAAAAAAAAAAAAAAAAAATAGAATTTTTAGAGACAACTATGAACAATTATACAACAACAACATGGATAACTTAGAAGAAATGGATACATTCCTGGACACATACAACTTATCAATCCTAAATCATGAGGAAATGGAAAATCTGAACCGACCAGCACAGAGTAAAGAGATTGAATCAGCAATAAAAAATCTCCCACCAACTGCTGAAGCCATCTACCAAACACTTAAAGAAGAATTAATACCAATCCTTCTCAAACTCTCCCCTCAAAACAGAAGAGGGAATACTTTCAAACTCATTTTGTGAGGTCAGCATTACCCTGATAGCAAAGCCAGACAAAGAGACTACATGAAAAGAAAATTACAAGCCACAAATAAACAAGATCCCAGCCAATATCCCTGATAAACATAGGTACAAAAATCCTCAATAAAATACTAGCAAACTAAATTCAACAGCACATGAAAGGGATTATTCATCATAATCCAGTGGGATTTATCCCAGGGATGCAAGGATAGCTCAACATACACAAATCTATAAAGATGATACACTACGTTAACAGAATGAAGGGGACAAAATTATATGAGCATCTCAATAGATGCAAAAAAGGCATATGGTAAAATTCAACATTTTTTCCTGATAAAAACTTTCAAAAATAAAGTATTAAAAGAATGTACCTCAACACAATAAAAGTCACACATGACAAACACATAGCTAACATCATTCTCAACAGAAAAATAAAGTTAAAAGCTTCTCCTCTAAAATCAGAAACAAGACAAGGATGCTCACTCTCACTTCTGTTCAGTATAGTATTGGAAGTCCTAGCCAGAGCAAATAGACAAGAAAAAGAAATAAAATTGGCTGGGTGCAGTGGCTAATGCCTGTAATCCCAGCACTTTGGGAGGCCGAGGCAGACGGATCACCTGAGGTCAGGAGTTCGAGACCAGCCTGGCCAACATGGTGAAACCTCTTCTCTATTAAAAATACAAAAATCAGCCGGGAGTGGTGATGGGTGCCTGTAATCCCAACTACTCGGGAGGCTGAGGCAGGAGAATCCCTTGAACCCAGGAGGCGGAGGTTGCGATGAGCTGAGATCACGCCATTGCACTCCAGCCTGGGCGACAGAGTGAGACTCCATCTCAAAAAAAAAAAAAAAAAAAGGAAAGAAAAAGAAATAAAATTAGCCAAATAGGCCAGGTGTGGCAGCTCACACCTGTAATCCCAACACTTTGGGAAGCTGAGGCAGGAGGATCACTGAGGCCAGGAGTTCAAGACCACCCTGGGCAACATGGCAAGATCCCATCTCTGTAAAAAATACAAAAATTATCTGGGCGAGGTGGTGCACACCTGTATTCTCAGCTACTCGGGGGGCTGAGGCAAGAGGATCTATTGAACTTGGGAGGTCAAGGATGCGGTGAGCTGTGTTCATGCCATTGCATTCCAGCCTGGGCAACAGAGCGAGATCTTGTCTTGAATATATATATATATATAATATAAAAATTAAAAATATATATATTTCCAAATAGGAAAGGAAGAAGTGAAACTGTCACTGTTTACTGACAATATGACCTTATAAGAGAAAACCCTAAAGACTCCATCAAAAACTGTTAGAACTGCACTGGGCATAGTGGCTCACGCCTGTAATCCCAGCATTTTGGGAGGCTGAGGTGGGCGGATCACCTGAGGTCAGGAGGTTGAGACTAGCCTGATCAATATGGTGAAACCCCGTCTCTACTAAAAATACAAAAATTAGCCGGGTGTGGTGGCGGGCGCCCGTAGTCCCAGCTACTCAGGAGGCTGAGACAGGGGAATTGCTTGAACCTGGGAGGCGGAGGTTGCAGTGAGCCGAGATCGTGCCACTGCACTCCAGCCTGGGCAACAGAGCGAGACTCCATCTCAAAAACAAAAACAAAAACAAAAAACAAACAAACAAAAACTGTTAGAACTGACAACCAAATTCAGTAAAGTTGCAGGGAAAAAAATCAACTTATGAAAATCAGTAGCATTTTCATATTCTAACAATGTACTATCTGAAAAAGAAAACTATCCTTTTTATAGTAGCATCAAAAGAAAAAAAACCCAAAATACTTAGGAGTAAATTTAAATAAGGAGGTAAAAAAATCTGTGTAATAAAAACTGTAAAATGTTGATGAAAGAAATTGAAGATGACACAAATTACAGAAAAGATATGCCACGTTCATGGATTGGAAGGACTAATGTTAAAATGTCCCTGCTACCTGAAGCCACATACAGATTCAATTCAAACTCTAGTAAAACTCCAATGATATTTTTCATGGAAATAGAAAAAAAATCCTAATATTCATATGAAAATGCAAAAATCTTTGAACAGCCAAAACAATCTTGAGCAAAAATAACAAAGCCGAAGGCATCATACTACTGGATTTGAACATCTGTTACAAAGCTACAGTAATCTAAACAGCATGTACACTATAAAAATAGACACACAGACCAATGGAACACAATAGAGAGCCCAGAAATAAATTCATTCATTGATAGTCAATTGATTTTTGATAAAGATGCCAAGAACACTGAATGGGAAAAAGATAGTCTTTACAATGAATGGTGCTGGGAAAACTGGATGGATATCTACCTGCAGAATAATAAAAGTATACCCTCATCTCACACTATATACAAAAATCAACTCACAACGGATTAAAGACTTAAATGTAAGACCTTAAATGTAAGACCTGTACAACTACTAGAAGAAAACATAGGTGGGGGAAGCTCCATGACATTGGTCTGGGCGAAGATTTTCTTGGCTATGACCCCTTAAGTATAGGCAACAAAAGCTAAAATAGACAAATGAGATAATACCAAACTATAAAGCTTGTGCATATCAAAAGCAGCAATCAGTGAAGAGATAAGCTATGGAATGGGAGAAAATATTTGCAAGCCATATATCTGTTCTGGGGTTAATATCCAAATAGATAAGGGACTCAAACAACACAATAGCATGAAAGCAAATCACTTTATTTATTTTATTTTATTTTGTTTTTTGAGATAGAGTCTCAGACTGTTGCCCAGGCTGGAGTGCAGTGGCATGATCTCGGCTCACTGCAACCTCCACCTCCTGGATTCAAGCGATTTTCCTGTGTCAGCCTCCCGCGTAGCTGGGATTACAGGCACGTACCACCGGGTCCAGCTAATTTTTTGTATGTTTAGTAGAGGCGGGGTTTCACCCTGTTGGCCAGGCTGCTCTTGAATTCCCATCTCAGGTGACCCACCTGCCTTGGCCTCCCAAAGTGCTGGGATTACAGCCATGAGCCACTGTGCCCTGCCCAAATAACCTGACTTAGAAATGACCAAAGGCCCTAAATAGACATTTCTCAAAAGAAGAAGTACAAATGGCCAACAGGTATATGAAAAAAAAATGCTCAATACCACTAATCATCAGGGAAATGCAAAGTAAAACCACAATGAGCCATTATGGTAAACCAATAATACAGCCATTATGGAGGTTCCTCACAAAATTAAAAATAGAACTGCCACACAATCTAGCAATTCCGCTACTGGAAATATATCCAAAAGATATTAAATCAGTATGTTAAAGAGATATCTGCACTCCCCACATTCAATGCAGCATTATTCACAAGATTAGTGGCATCTATCTAAGTGTCCACCAGTGCATGAATAAAGAAAATGTGGTATATATCCACAATAAAATGCTATTCAGCCTTATAAATGAAAGAAATCCTGTCATTTCCAACAACATGGATGAACCTGGAGTGCATTATGTTACATGAAATAAACCAGGCATTGAAGGACAAATAAGCACATGAGCTCACTTATATGTGGAGTGTAAAAAAACTCAAATTCATAGAAACAGAGAGTAAATGGAGGTTACCAGAGACTGGGGGTTGGGAAAACTTGGCAGATATGGCCAAGAGATCCAACATTTTTGTTAGACATGAGGAATAAGTTCAAGAGCTCTATCATACATCATGGTCATGACAATTAACAGCAATATATCAATATCTGATAATTGTTAGTAGAGTAGATTTTAAGTGTTCTCACTACAAAAAAGTATGTCAGGTGATGCATGTGTTAAATAGCTTGATTTAGCCATTCTATAACATATACATATATCAAAACATGTTGTACAACATAAATATACATAATTTTTACTAGTCAGTTTATAAAAAAAAAAACTTAGTTATAATGAATTGTGTACTGGCCAGGTACGGTTCCTCACACCTATAATCCCAACACTTTGGGACTTTGGGAGGCTGAGGTGGGAGGATCACTTGAGCCCAGGAGTTCAAGACCAGCGTGGGCAACATCATGAAACCCCCATCTCTATAAAAAAATACAAAAATTAGGCCAGGCGTGGTGGCTCACACCTGTAATCCCAGCACTTTGGGAGGCCCAGGCGGGTGGATCACTTGAGGCCAGGAGTTCGAGACCAGCCTGGCCAACATGGTGAAACCCCGCCTCTACTAAAAATACCAAAAATTAGCCAGGCGTGGTGGCAGGCACCTGTAATCCCAGCTACTTGGGAGGCTGAGGCAGGAGAATTGCTTTAACCTGGGAGGCAGAGGTTGCAGTGAACAGAGATGGTGCCATTGCACTCCAGCCTGGGCGACAGAGCAAGACTCTGTCTCCGAAAAAAAAAAAAAAAAATTAGCCGGGTATGGTGGCACATGCCTATAGTCTCAGCTACTCAAAAGGCTGAGGTGGGAGGATCCCTTGAGCCCAGGCGGTGGAGGTTGCAGTGAGTCGAGATTGCGCCACTGCACTCCAGCCTGGGTGACAGAGCCAGACCCTGTCTCAAAAGAAAAAAAAAAAACGAAAACTAAATAAACAATGAAACATAATGTTCTCTCTTTTGAGAGAAATATTTCATTTTGAAAAGAATTATGCTACACCAACTTAAATTTTTTAAAAATTTGAGATCTCAGTAATTGAGCACACCAGAGCACAGAAAACATTTTGTACCTTTGCAAATAAAATTAAAGATTCAGAGAACCTACATAAAACATGGGAAAGAAGGGATGCTTTCCATAACAGGGTAGAAGGTAACTTTAAAATAGTAGACTCATAAGGAAAATTAAAGAAATCCTAATCAGCAAAATACATGAGATTGTTTTTTATGGTCCCCATGTGAAAACGTTTAAAGCTGTCAAGGTACGTCAGAAGTTTGCAGGAAATGAGCTCATAGGATGTCTCAAACAGTGTACATTCTTTTCCATCATTAATTTCCTTCCATGCTAGGGGCATTTCAGGATCTGCAATTTCTGAGGATGTAAAAATGAACTTATAGCAACATCTGTTGTATCTAATGTGCCTTTTCCCAGAAAACCTTGAGCTGTGGATGGGTATAAGGCCAATGAACTTAGCACAAATTCCTACAAACACATCAGCTGGCACCATCATGGGTACTTCTTTGAAAACCACATACATCATTCGAGCCACATCTTGGGACATTATAAAGGCCTCACCACTGCAGTAATCTGGGTAGTATTTTTCTGGGTACTCACTAAGAGGGACAAAGTCTCTGTTCTGAGGATCTCTATTGGGTGTAACCTGATGAAGAACTCTTCCTACATAGATATCTTCTAGGTGTTCTTTCAGATTGAGAAGATAGTCTACCAAGCTTGGTAGATTGACAAACGTCTCTTCATCCACCTTGAGAATGAACAGGGCATTAGGGCAGAAAGCCACAGCCCACTGTATCATTGCAATGATCTTCAGGGTTTGGTTCTCAGAACTGTCCAAGAAGATTCCTTCAATTATATCATTATTCTTACAGGATTCTTTGTTGATCTCTTTCTGGGTAGTTACCGAAACAGGCATTCCCAGAGCAAACAGTGTGAGAATGGGATGCCCTTGGACACTGGTCACATTGCCCCAAGTTTTCCTAATGAGGTCCCGTCTTGTTCCATTTCCTGGGCTACTGAAGATAAGAGACAGCAAAAAAATGTTCTTCCCTTTACATATTTCTGACTGGCTCAGGACATAATATTTGGAGAGATTACTTCTTAGGGGTTCGATGTTCAATTTTCTTGCCTTATTCTTAATTTCAAGAACTTTCACATCTATATAAGGCAAAGAATGCAGAAAGTATTCCTCCACAAAGTCAGTCCCAAAAAGCAAGGCATGAAATAGGATGACATTAAATAGAATGAAACACCACTGGTGAGTCCGAAGTCTGCAGAAAGTCACCTAAAAAAGGAAAGGACACGTGTTCATTCAGGCTTCACCTCTATTCCTGTTTTTGCCCTCATTGAACCCTATACGGACCTCTCACAGCATTTAGCAGTACACTCTATTTTAAGTGTTTATTGTGATATATTATCTATTTCTTCCACTAGATTATGGTCTCCTGGACAGCAGGCATCGTGTCTCTGTCTTCTCCAGTGCTGCTGATTCCAGTATTTGGCACAAAGTGAACACTGAGTAAAGTGTTAGTTGGTTGTTTTCTTGCTTGTTTGGATAAAAGCTTATTTACTATATACAAGGCACTTGTCTTGGACATTGGGATTACCAAGAAGAATTGGACACAGACACATGGATATAACTTAACAAGTGGTATCACTGTGATAAAAACCTGTAGGAAAATACATGATGTTCTTTCTTGAATGGGAACACCTGGATCCATTTCTTCTCTAATTACAAAAGTCAGGGGCTATTTTTCCATGAAGTGGCTGCTTTTGTTAGCCATGACACCCTGGCTACTATCAAATATTTACATTCTTCTAGTATGACTTTCCAATTTAATCTAATACTGAATCAGAGTTTCTTTTGACAATGGCTCCTAATCTATCTGACATTTCCATCAATATGGACAGATTACTGCTATCTGCATAGCACCTCTTCAGAGATGTAAGATAGACCTAGGCCAAGCTTACTCTACCTCATCAACACAGATGGAAACTTTCTGTCTGAAAGGGCATGTGCAGAATTGTAGTATAACAGAGCCAGGGAACATTAAATGAATTAAATCCCTTTTCATTGGATCTTCAATCAATAAAGCCTCCCATAATAACTGTTACCTCCTATTATGCACTTGCTTTTGTGCCAGGCATTGCGATAAGCACTTTTATGTGTCTTAATTCATTTAGCCCTGGTAATATCCCTTTCAGATATGTTATTTTCGTAATTAAGCTGAGCATCTGAGTAGCTTAATGGTTTAGTAATTTGCCCAGGATCACAGTGGGTAAGAGGTTGGGATAGGGCATGATTTGAACTCAAATCTGTCATATTCCAAAGCTCATTCTTTTTTTTTTTTTTTGAGACGGAGTCTCGCTCTGTCACCCAGGCTGGAGTGCAGTGGTGCGATCTTGGCTCACTGCAACCTCTGCCTCCTGGGTTCAAGGGATTCTCATGCCTCAGCCTCCTGAGTAGCTGGGATTTCAGGCGTCTGCCACCACGCCTGGCTAATTTTGGTATTTTTAGTAGAGATGGGGTTTTGCAATGTTGGCCAGGCTGGTTTCAAACTCCTGATCTCAGGTGATCCACCTGCCTCGGCCTTCCAAAGTGCTGGGATTACAGGTGAGAGCCACCGTGCCCAGCCCCAAAGCTCGCTCTTAACCATTGGAGAATCACAATTCCTATCTTTACTTATCTCTTTCTTTCTCTTTCTTTCTTTTCTTTCTTTCTCTTTCTTTCTCTCTTTCCCTCTGTCTCCCCCTCCCTCCCTCCCTCCCTTCTTCCTTGCTCTCTCTCTTTCTCTTTATTTTTGAGACAGAGTCTCACTCTGTGGCGCAGGCTGGACTGCAGTGGCATGATCTTGGCTCACTGCAACCTCCGCCTCCCAGGTTCAAGTGATTTTCCTGCCTCAGCCTCCCAAGTAGCTGGGATTACAGGCATGCACCACCACTCCCAGCTAATTTTTGTATTTGTAGTAGAGACGGAGTTTCACCATATTGGCTAGGCTGGTCTTGAACTCCTGACCTCAGGTGATCCGCTTGCCTCGGCCTCCCAAAGTGCTGAGATGACAGGCGTGAGCCACCGCACCTGGCCCCCATGTCCTTTAAACAGTCAAAAAACACAACAAAACAAAAAAAACCCAGCAATTATAATCTGAACTCCTTTCCATTTTCTCATTTACACATAGAAAAAAATTTCAGCTTCCTCAAAGCCTATTTTACTAGATATCAAATGCTTTAAAGATTGTAAGAAACTTACTTGCATGTTGCCTGTGAGCAACTTCAGGGTCTTAGAAATTATTGAGTCCAGGTGCCAATTATGCCCAAACGCATCTCAGGATCACTCTAGTCTAACAGCAATTGCAGTAAAGTACTTTGTGCCTCAACTTTTGAGGATAAGGTTTCTTGCCAATCAACCTGAGCTTTTATCCTAGAATACCTGCTGACTGCATAGGAGAGTGGGTGCTGATCATGTTACAGCTAGAGTGAATCCAGAACAAAGAACAGACAAAGCAAACCTCTTCAAATGCTTCCAACCCTGTGTACTTCATGAAACTGACCCCATGTCTTTATGCTGAGTTCCTGGTAAAGTGTGTGTGGAAGTTCAAAGAACAGTTACCCAGATCACTTCTCCATAGCATCATTGCACAAGTAGATATATCCTATACTTTTTTTTGGAGTGCATCTCAAGAAACCAAACAGCTGGAGTAATGCCTGCTCCCTGGTACATACACATGCAAAAACTGTACTAGACATAGAGGAAGATTTTTCATCCCTAGTGGGTGCATTATTTTCTCCCAAAGAAACATCATATGGTGAGGTCTGGTGTATGGCTCATTGGGAAGGATTCAGAATCCCTAGTATTGGCTATGCAAGCACTTTACTAAATCAATTTTAAGTCATCTAAACTACCTCCCCAGGCAAGTTTAGCTCAAAATGGAAGACAACATACAGTCCACTTTAGCCGGAATTGAAGAAACTAAACATTTGATGTTTTCTCCTTTCCTGGAGTATGCATGTGTAGGAATTATCCCAAACATCATTTCTACCAGCAAGTTTATTTCGAGAAAAGAAACAACATTCAGCATATTTTCATGTTCCTGTCACACAAGCAATTATACTGAGCATTCTTTTCTCATGCCAGGCTATATTTCGTCCTTTCCTTCAACATCCAACATGTTGATCTTCCTATCTGCCATTTACAACAGCTTTTGTAATTATTTGGCCAGGAATAACTTCTTATATTTAAAGTTGGCTATGTTTTCTCAGCAACCATCATACAATCTTGAAAATCTTTACAAAGTGGGAAAAATCTAACCTAAAAATATCAAATGAAAGGGAATTTTTACATATTCTGAATTTAACAATTCAATAGGTCTTGTATTTAATTAAATATTACGTCCACTTTGCAATTTAAAAATTTTTTTATAGTCATGAATTTTGCTCCTGGATCCCCTCTGGGCTTAAATTTGCACAATTTGGTTTCTTTGTTATGAGAGGTCCAAACAATATTATCTCTGGGGCAGCTCCATCTGGACTTTTCAATTTGATTCATCAAACTGTACTGGGGTTGAGAATGTTTGCTCCAAAGAGATATGGGTGCTTGATTTTCTTGATTACCCTGGTACTGCCTTCCCTTTCATAGAGAGTATCCAATCTGTATATCTGTCTTCCTAAATGTCTTATAATGCTGTGATCAGTCACGTTCTGACTTAGAAGTCTAGAGTGACATCCTGTTGCTTAGCAAATCAAATTTGCTCTCTTGAGACCTTACTTTTAGGACACCGTAGTTGACTTCCACCCCACATAATCAATTTTTATTTCCCATGTTTCAAGTACCCTAAATGAAGTCAGGATGCTTGGAACCTTGGCCATGCTCTACCATCTACTGGATATGTGTCTCTCTTATTGTCTATATTATTGGACTGTGCTATCAAGCATGGTAGCCATTAGCCTCATGTGGCTATTAAATTAAAATTAAATAAAATTAAGAATTTAGTTCATTTACATCAGGTACTTTTCAAATGTTCAGTAGCCACAAGAGACTAGTGACTGCCTTATTGGACAGCACCAACAGAACAACTCCATCACTGGCAAAAAGCTTATTGGACAGTGTTGGTATAAGATGTATGTGAATGTGCGTGTATGCATGTATGGCTTAGGAACCCTTACAGAGAAACAAGGATAACTTGTGCGCTGGGCATTGTGGTTCACCCCTGTAATCCCAGCACTTTTTGGGAGGCCCAGGCAGGTGGATCACTTGAGCCTAGGAGTTCAAGACCAGCCTGGGTAACATAGCGAAACCCTGACTCTACAAAAATACACACACACACACACACACACACACACACACACACACACAACTAGCTGGGCATGGTGACACGCGCCTGTGGTCCCTTCTACTCAGGAGGCTGAGGTGGGAGGATCGCTTGAGCCTGGAGAAGTCGAGGCTGCAGTGAGCCAAGATCGTGTCACTGTACTCCAGCCTGGGCGACAGAGTGATACGTTGCCTCAAAAAAAAAAAAAGGATAACTTGTGCTCTGAAGTCGGTTTGGGTTGAAATCCTATGACAGCCATTTACTATGACCTTAGGCAAGATGCCTAAACCTCTTTTGATTTCAGTTTCCCCATCTCTAAAAAGGGGCCTAATAATAGTTACTAGCTTGTGGGGTTGTTGTGGGAACTGAGTGAGATGGTACACAAAAAATGTTGAGAAAGAGTGCGTGGGATTTTTTAGCTCAGTTTTAGTTCTTGACGCCAAAAGGTTTGCATGCTTCATTTCCTTCAATCCTCAGAGCCTTCGGATGGGGACCTCACTATAATTGCTATGCAGATGAAGCAAAGTCTGAGAGGTTAAGTAACCGGGCCACAGCCAGAGTGTAAACGTTGTGATTCATTCAAATCTACATCACTTGACTGTCTCTTTTCATTCAACAACCTCCTTACCTTGCTTTATTTTTCTCCTTTGCACGAGCCTTAGTTTATCTGTCTTCCTCCTCCTAATAGATGTAAGGCCCAGGCGGTCAGGGGCTTTTGCGTTTTTTGTTCACTAACCCTATCCCCTAGAACAGCGTTCGGGATAAAGAGGTGCCCAACAGGTTGTATGAATTTGGACACGTCTCTTAACTTCTCTAAGCCACAGCTCCCTCTCCTCCGTAAAATGAGGATAATAAGAAAAACTACTGCAGAGCTGGTGCAAGATCAGATTGGAGGAGGGACATAAGCGCGCTGTGCAAACCTGGATGTACGGTACGAAAGGAACCTCCGTTCTAGGTTGCACCCAGCCTAAGCACCGTGAGGGCCGCGCGGCACGCGTTCAGCTTCCCGGGACGCTCTTCTCCCCACCCCTACTCCCGGCCTCCAGCCTCCCACCACCCACCTCCGGGCGGGGACCGGAAGTGCAGCCGCTTCCGCCGGGAGCCGCGGAGCTGAGGGACGCGCGGAGATGACGCAGGCAGCACCGGAAGCCGCTCCCCTGTGAGGCTGCGGACCGGGAGCAGCGGCCGCAGGTCCGGGTCTGTATGCGAGGCGGGGCCGGTCGGGGAGGGGACTCTTAGGCGCCCGCGGCTCTGCTGACCCGCCGCGCCTTGGCTGTTTTTCTTTCCCTGCAGGCGCCATGGCTGCGGAGCGGACCCGGCCGCTGCAAGGCTCTGGCGGTCCGAGCGTGCCTAGTAGCTGTGAACCCGGCGCGAGGTCCCGGGCCCCGGGGCGCTCGCTCAGGTCAGTGCCGCGCGGAACACGATTCCGAGAGCAAGGGACCTGGGAGCAACGAATGGGTTGATGGGATCTGGATTTTAGAGACGGGAAAACAGGGTTTTGGAGTTACTGCCTCCTACTGCCTCCATTTCCTTAGCTGCGAAATGAGTTAACAGTGATGTCCCAGGGCTACCAAACGTTTGAAAGACGATGAAGTGTGATGAGGTGGTTTATGAAGTACAAAGCGCTATACTGCGCCATAATTGTGGGTATGCCATGAAAACAGGTGTGTATGTGGGGTGCTGCTTGAAGTAAAGCAAAGATAACAATATTAATGCTAAGTAATAATGGTAACTGACATTTACTGTAGGCTTACAGCGTGCCGAGTACTGTGCTAAACGCTTTACTTGCACTGTCTTGTTTAACCCTCATAAAAACCCTTGTAGGTAATGCTCTTGGCTGTATTTTACAAGTGAGGAAACAGGGCATGAGACAGGTGAAGTGATTTGCCCAAGGTCACCCAGCAACAAGTGGAGTTGCAGAACACATATTTTATAAACATTATTTGTATTCTTTCAAAGCTTTAAAAAAATTCACCTTAAAACTAAAGGCTATTTTTTGATAGTATATTATACTTAACATGGTTTTCAGTTTTAAAAGGTATACAATAAAAAGGGACCCCTCATTCCTATTCTGCAGCTCTCCAGTTCTCTCTGGAGGCAACCAGGGTTATCAGTTTCTTGAATATTCAGAATACATTTTATGCATATGTAAGTTTATAGGTGTGTATACATTTTCAGCGCCTCTGTGCTCTTTGTTTGATAAGAAAAGGGGGAAATGAAGCCTCCTTCCCTCTACCACTAACAATTATGTTGCTTTCACTCTTGACTAGGCCAGGTTCTGATAGAGGAGGAGGGGAAAACACATTTACACTGTTTTCCAGAAGGTCCTGTCTCTAATACCTCTGAGTATAGGTTTTGGGAGAATGGGTACTGGGCAAAATATTGAGCCTGCTACTTCCTGTGCCATTCTGGGAAGGCCACTCCACTTCTTGAGCCGTAAATTTCCTCATTAATGTTAGTTAAGGGCGGCATTACTGATACCTTCCATGAGGTTATGAAGATGAAATGAGATAATGTTTACCAGTGGTACTTTTTCTTTAAAACCAATATAAATATGTGAGTTGCCTAGGTAACATAGGGAGTTAATGGCAGAACCTGAGACCAAACCCAGGCTCTCATTTTCCAATTTAGGAGTCTTTTTGTTGCATGACCCACTTTGTGATTATTGATACTGAAGGCAAGAGGGCAAGTTGAATGTTAACTCTGGGGTAGGGACGTAGGGTAAGGGGGCCAAACAGCAGGGAATGTGGGTAGAATAAGGCACCTACTGGGAAACTAGAGCCTCCAATAAACAGGTGCTCTTCTTTATAAAATTAAACCCCTAGTAAGTTTGAGCCCTTGAGTTTTTCTTCCAGGTATTTTGAAGAGAAACTTAGTGATAAGATGATAGGGTCAAAAGAGATGTTAGTGGTCATGTCCATTCCACCCTTAGTGTCACAGAAATCTTTACTGCCAGGTGTTCATAGTAGTAAAACTAACAAAAAGTACCATTTGAGTTTTTACCCGCTAGACTGTACACTGTGCTAAGCATGTCCCTGCTATATTTCTGAGTTTCACCCTTCAAGTTGGATGATGGCTTCCATTTTACAGATGATAAAACTGAAGCTTAAAAGTTAGTTGGACATGCCCATAATCACATAGGAAGTGGCTGAATCAGTAAAACATCTGGCCAACCTCCAAAGTATTTTCATTTATCACATTCTGCCTCTGTGTCCAACTGTCCTTGACTGTTCGTGGTAATGGGAAACTCACTACTCTGGAGGTAGCTATTCCATTGTTGGAAAGCGCTGAGATTTAAAAGCTCCTCATGTTGAATTGAAATCCCATTTCCTGAGGTTTGTGCAACCAGTGTATGATATTTCTAGAGGCTGCCTAAAAGAGTCCAGTTTAGACCTGTTACCTTAGAAGGCCCCCTCCAAAGTTAGTTGATCTGTTCAGAAAAGTAAAAATTGGTGTTTTTTAAATAGTGCATTCTGCAGTTAGTGAGACTTGCTTTTTTAGGGAAAAAAATGCCTTTTTCAGAATAATCAGAGGTGAACTGCTCAATCTTACAAGGGATTGAGTGGTTTAAAAGGCAATCTAAGAGTTGGGAAAATTTTTTTTATTAAGAGTTAGGAGAATATATAAATCTGAGACATGGCTGAATTTTTTTAGATGTGCTCTCTGAAAAAGCTTCTTCCGTAATCTTTAGCGGTGTCATGGGCACATTAATTTGGCATTTTTTTTTTAAATTTAAGTTCTAGGGTACATGTGCACAACGTGCAGGTTTGTTACATAGGTATACATGTGAATTTGGCATATTATAGTATGTCTCTTAGATATTTGTGAATGATGGGAACCTGATAATATTTTAATGAGTATTCTAAATTTGCCTTGTAGCCGTTTGAATAACAGTTCAGCTCACTTAAATACAAGCATTTCTACAATAGATGTGTGTCAGCATGTGTATGTATGTGTGTATATATGTATGTGTAGATGTGATGGAGGAAGCTTGCCACACCACACTTTTCACTGTTAAAAATGTTTCAGGAGCAGGTGTGTGGTTTTTTTTCTTTTTTTTCTTTTTTGAGATGGAGTCTTGCTCTCTCGCCCCGGCTGGAGTGCAGTGGCGTGATCTCGGCTCACTGCAAGCTCCGCCTCCTGGGTTCACGCCATTCTCCTGCCTCAGCCTCCCGACTAGCTGGGACTACAGGCACCCACCACCATGCCAGGGGAATTTTTTGTATTTTTAGTAGAGATGGGGTTTCACTGTGTTAGCCAGGATGATCTCGATCTCCTGACCTCGTGATCCGGCCGAGCCCACCTCAGTCTCACAAAGTGCTGTGATTACAGGCGTGAGCCACTGTGCCCAGCCTGGTGTGTGTTTTTAATTGACCAGTATTAATTAACTAGCTATTGTGACAATATGCAGATGCCCACAGAAGATAATTGCTTTGTCTTGTTGCAAATTATTATTTTTTAGAAGTAGAGATTTTGAAGAAATGTTGTATAGATAAGAGGGTTGTTAGGATTTAGAGGAAGGAGGGGGCTTGTTATTGCGTGATAAGTCGATAAAACTTTTAGCCATCTGATTATTTTTTGTCAGCTAGGTAAATTTTTAATACAGATTAATAAATCTTCTCTAGCCCAAACTTTGGCTTGAAACGTATTATCTTGAAGTCTAGTCACAGTTCCAGAAATCAAAACTGTTAGCAGATGATGTGATTGCAAGGTTTGGTTGCTTCTACTAATAAATCAGATTGCTTATTTGTCTAAGAATGTTATTGCCAAATTTGATATTGGACACTTACAATTTTACTCACCTTACATTATCAAAGTTGAAAGATGAGATCTTGCTTTTTGTGTAGACCTGATCTAGGTGATATGTCTGGAAAGAAATTAACTTTCCTTTTTCACATTAATTTGGACATATGTTTTTAAAATTAATATGACAGTCTTGTGAGAAACTGAGTATTCAGAAGGAAAGTTTTTATTAAACCATGGAAATATTTAAATATATGGAAATAAAGAGAATAATAAATCCCTATGTACACATCACCCAGCATTAACATCTATCAACACATAGTCTTGAGAAAGATAGTTTTTACTGGTTATATTTTTTGTAATCTTTCATTAGTCTAATCCTCATTAAGAGTGAATTAACACCTGTTGACACTAATACAGGATACTTTAAAAAAAATTATTTGTTACAGTTAGCTCAGGAGCAATTTGTCATTCTCCTAAAGGAGAAAATGGTCTAACGGGTAGACACACTACCTCCAGATCTTACCACTTGGTCGTGGTTCTCCTGGTTGTCACTTATTTTAGAGAGAGAGCTTGGTACCTGATCTTGAGAGCACTGGCGTCCAGTCTGTTCTGTGGCTATTTAGTAGCCCTGTGAATATAGGCAAATCACATACCTTCTCTAACCTGTAGTTTCCTCATTTGCAAAGTGAAGATGATAATGTCTATTTTCTGGTGTTTTATAAACATCAGGATTATTAATTTGCTTTATTTGTGCAGGCCTCCAGGACCCCTCATGGCTCTCGGGGGCACGTGGTTAAGAGTTGTCACTAGCTCATATGAGGTTTAGAAAAACAGACTAAAGCCACATAAGTTCTTTTATAATTCATGTTCTAAACAGGCAGTGCCATAAAGAAGTTGGAAGAACCAGAATTCCTGAGGCAGATAACTTACCACACCTGCTTTTCTTCCCTAAACCTTTTCATCTGAACATCTGTTGCAAAACCAAGTAGTCAGTTCTATGATTTTGGTGACAGGTTGTGCCTGCCATGACAATCAGTGTCTCAGGTTACTGCTCAGGAGACTGTTTCTGATTGTCACATCCTGGTGCTTGCTTTTGTGATTTTAGTACCCAAATAGAATGTATTAAGGAATTCATTAAGGAAATTGTTTTATAATGGTTTTGATGGGGGAAGGGTGTATTGTAAAATATACTGTTTTATAATGAATTGTTGGTAAATCTATTACTATGAAGATGCATGTAGCACGTGCTAGACTTCAAGAGGAATAAGTCACACACGCCAGTCTGTTTCACTGACATGTTTTGGATTCATGATTTGTTAAAGTATGTTTTCTCAAATGTGTTTTCTTTTGTGTGCATGGAAAGTGTTCAGATAAATATGGTGTATTAACTGTAAAGTTGTAATGTAACTACGCATAAAGTTGTAATGGCAGATTTTTTACACTAATTTTTAATACTTCATTTGTTAGCAGTCTTGCTTGAACAGTCTTTTTGAGCAGAACTAATACAATATTTTGATGTGCCACAGGTAAATTTTTCCATAACCTTATGGAGAGAAAGGACTTTGAGACATGGCTTGATAACATTTCTGTTACATTTCTTTCTCTGACGGACTTGCAGAAAAATGAAACTCTGGATCACCTGATTAGTCTGAGTGGGGCAGTCCAGCTCAGGCATCTCTCCAATAACCTAGAGACTCTCCTCAAGCGGGACTTCCTCAAACTCCTTCCCCTGGAGCTCAGTTTTTATTTGTTAAAATGGCTCGATCCTCAGACTTTACTCACATGCTGCCTCGTCTCTAAACAGTGGAATAAGGTGATAAGTGCCTGTACAGAGGTGTGGCAGACTGCATGTAAAAATTTGGGCTGGCAGATAGATGATTCTGTTCAGGACGCTTTGCACTGGAAGAAGGTTTATTTGAAGGCTATTTTGAGAATGAAGCAACTGGAGGACCATGAAGCCTTTGAAACCTCGTCATTAATTGGACACAGTGCCAGAGTGTATGCACTTTACTACAAAGATGGACTTCTCTGTACAGGTAAGAGATGTTGAAACTGCTTTTTGGGTTTTGTTTTGTATTTCATAGGGTGTAATCTTGAACCAGTCTTGAGCTTTGAGAATGACAAGTGTTGATTATATGAGATATGTACAGTGACTTTTTTTCTCTAATCCTGAGTGGTTCCCCCCCCTTATCCTCTTCCTTCTCTCTAGAGAACACAATCATTTTTATAAAATTTTATGAGAAAAACACTTCAGACTGTCTTTTAAACATTATGTGAATTACAAAGCTATAGATTACTTTTTCTTTGTGTTTCCTCCATGTGTAGTCCTCTGTTGCTAAATTCTGTTTCTTTTTCTGTTGGCACTGATATTTGAGGAAAAAAACAGTGGAAAAATTGGTATCTAATCCTAGCAAGTAGTTAGATCATTATGGCCAAATTACTTAACCTCTCTGTATCTTTAAAATATGGGAAAGGAGGTCGGGCGCAGTGGCTCATGCCTGTAATTCTAGCACTTTGGGAAGCCGAGGCGGGTGGATTGCCTGAGCTCAGGAGTTCGAGACCAGACTGGTCAACATGGTGAAATCCCGTCTCTACTGAAATACGAAAAAGTAGCCGGGCGTGGCGGCATGCGCCTATAATCCCAGCTACTCGGGAGGCTGAAACAGGAGAATCGCTTGAACCCGGGAGGCGGAGGTTCCAGTGAGCTGAGATGGTGCCACTGCACTCCAGCCTGGGTGACAGAGTGAGACTCCATCTCAAAATAAATATATATGTATATATGAAAGGAGATATTTCTTCCTTGCTCTGAAATCCTGTGATTCTAAGTAGAAGAAGTAGAAGTTGGAGTTTGGGCCTGGGAACAGAGAGAGCTGGATATTTTTTAACTAGGCAATTAAGTAATTTTATGAAACAATATAATTATTAAAAATTTAAAATTATATGTTATTTTCCATTTGTAATGGACGTGTGTTTCTGTATATGATTATAACTAATGCCCATGTGTTAGATAATACATTTTGACAGGCAATGTAAATAATTCTTAGGCAGCATTTAGAATAACTCCAGGCAGTTCTTGCTAATAATCCCAATGCCTGTTTCCTTACATTGTATATAATATATAGAAATACTTGGTGTTCTTTTTCATCCAAGATAACTTCCAATAAACATTTGTGTATTACGGTATAAACTGTTCCTTTTTGTAAATATATCAATAGTCATTATTTAGCCATTTCCATATTAATGCATATATTAGTCCATTCTCAGACTGCTAAAAAAACTGCCTAAGACCGGGTAATTTATGAAGAAAAGAGGTTTAATTGACTCCTAGTTCCACATGGCTGGGGAGGCCTCAGGAAACTTACAATCATGTCAGAAGGCAATATGATCATGGCGGAAGGCGAAGGGGAAGCAAGCACCTTGTTCACAAGGCAGCAGGAGAGAGAGAGTGTGAGTGAAGCAGGAAGAGGCCCTTATAAAACCATCAGGTCTGGAGAGAACTCACTCACTATCATGAGAACAGCATGGGGGGCCACCCCCATGATCCAGTCACCTCCCACCAAGTCTGTCCCTCAATACCTGGGGATTACAGTTCAGGATGAGGTTTGGGTGAGGACACAAAGCTTAACCATATCAATGCATATTCAGATTGTTTCTGTTTTTATTAGTGTCTTTGTATTACCTCTTTTTCCCTTGAATTCATTTGGGATAGAAGTCTAAAAGTAGAATCACCAGATACAGAAGTATGAATTATTTTATAGCTCTTTTTTTTTTTTTTTTTTTTTTTTTGAGATGGAGTCTCACTCTGTCACCCAGGTTGGAGTGCAGTGGTGCAATCTCGGCTCACTGCAACCTCTGCCTCCAGGGTTCGAGTCTCCTGCCTCAGCCTCCCGAGTAGCTGGGATTACAGGTGTGCGCCACCACACCCGGCTAATTTTTTTTGTATTTTTAGTAGAGGCGGAGTTTCACCTTGTTGCCCAGGCTGGTCTCAAACTCCTGACCTCAGGTGATCCACCCTCCAAAGTGTTGGGATTACAGGCGTGAGCCACCGTGCCCGGCCCAATTTTATAGCTCTTCTTAGTGCCCTTTCCAGATAGATTGAATTGATGCCATACCAATATAGTGTTAAGTAACTTGCTTCTCCCTCAGGAGTCTCACCAGACTCAATTTAAATATTTTTAATGTTGAGATGTATCATTTCTCAAGACCGTTTTACAATGCATTTCTTTATTCATTAAGGGTATGTATTATGTGGTGATATTTTCTCTGAAATGCTAGACACTCTGCTGGTTTTGGAAAATAAACATTTGATTTAAAGCATTTCATGGTTTGGTTTGTCATCCTGAAGTTATTTCACACTTTATTTTCCTTGTGTTACAAGCCTGATTACTAGAACAACATCACCAGTTCTTCTAGGCTTTGATGTACTTTCTCTGTTGTGGTGATGGCTTTTCCATGTCTCTTTTGCCTCATGATTTTAAAAGATTAAGATGCAGTTGACCAAATGAGGGGGCTCATGCCTGTAGTCCCAACACTTTGGGAGGCCAAGGCAGGCAGATTATGTGAGCCCAGGAGTTTTGAGACCAGCCTGGGCAACATAGCAAAATCCCATCTCTACAAAAAAATAAAAAAACAGCTGGGTGTGCTGGCTCACACCTGTGGTCCCAACTACTTGGGAGACTGAGGTGAGAGGATCGCTTGAGCCCAGGAGGTGGAGGTTGCAGTGAGCTAAGATTGTGCCACTGCACTCCAGCCTGGGCAACACAGCAAAACCCTGTCTCAAAAAAAAAAAAAATATTAAGATGCAGTATCATCTTGGAGCTTGGAGCTCCTACTGGCAGTTGACCATTTTTTCACAACCACCTGTAGCATTTTTTTTTTTTTTTTTGAAACAGGAGCTCCTCTGTCACCCGGGCTAGAGTGCAGTGGCGCAGTCTCGGCTCACTGCAACCTCCTCCTCCTGGGTTCAAGCGATTCTCTCGCCTCAGCTTCCTCAGTAGCTGGCATTACAGGCACGCGCCACCACAGCCCGGCTAATTTTTGTATTTTTAGTAGAGAAGGGGTTTCACCATGTTGGTCAGGCTGGTCTCAAACTCCTGATCTCAGATGATCTGCCTGCCTCGGCCTCCCAAAGTGCTGGGATTACAGGTGTGAGGCACTGCACCCAGCCGCATTTTTTTTTTTTCTTTTTTGGAGACAACCTCTCACTGGGTAGCTCCATCCTGGAGTGCAATGATGTGATCTTGGCTTTCTTCAACCTCCACCTCCTGGGCTCAGGTGATCCTCCCATGTCAGCCTCCCGGGTTTAGCTGGGACTACAAGCGAGCAACCCTATGCCTGGATCCTTTTTGTATTTTTTGTAGAGACAGGATTTCACCATGTTGCCCAGGCTGGTCTCGAACTCCTGGGCTCAAGCACTCCGCCCGTCTCAGCCTCCCAAAATGCTAGGATTACTGGTGTGAGCCACTATGCCTAGGTCCTCTTGCTTTAAAAAGTTTTTTTCTTCTCTCATCAAACCTTATTTTTGAAATGTAGTAAAAACTGCAGTTACTTGGAGTGGAAGTAAATGGGAAATATTCACTGAATTCTCTAACTACCTGGAAAGTTAATATCTACAATTCTACATTTTAAGATTATTCTCTTGGTGGGTCTGTATGTTAATGTGATTTTTATTCTGATTAAATTCATCAGGTTTGCATATTTAAAATTACGCTGTGCAGTGGTTGAAAATGATCCAAAGTATTAGTTTAATTTTTCTAACAGCAGCATCCCTGGAACTGTGAAGAGAGGTATTTGTGACAGAATTGTACATGTGTTTGTGTCATCTTGTTACTTAAGAGATTGAATTCTCATTGTGGTGGAATTGGGAAACCCTGAATTTGGCAATAAACTTAGTGACTCTCACATTAGTGCCTTGAGTAAGCAATAGACAGTTTTATTGAAGAGATTAATGGCTAATGACATTGAGGTAGTTATCTTTCTCTTTCGCAATTTATTTCTGAAATGGTAAGAAAGGAATCTATTATGCTTTGTGCTGTTCAGTAGATATTTACTTATGGGATGCCTACTGTTTGAAAAACAATGTGAGGGCATACACGGATGAATTAGAGCAGTTTTTTCTTGTGGAACATACACACTGGGACCAGGAAGATGACCTGACTGAGGTAAAAGTCTCTGTGTGGACTATAGCAAATCAAGAACACTTGCCTTTCTAAAGAGTGCAGCTGGTGCTCCATTGTAATAAATTATTGCCATGTGGGTGGGATTCAGGGTCAGAGTTGTTAGATCTGACTTCAAGAGAAGCCTGAAATCTAGAGTTCTGTGCAATAGTCTGATTTTTTTTAAAGTATTATTAAGATTTTTAAGATACTGAATGGGGAGGGATTTTTTTCTTTCGTGCAGTGTGAGAGTCCACATTTCTTTAGTCCTCTTTCACCTCTATGCTGCATCACTGGTGACCTCTTTGAAAACATGTTGGGTTAGCCAGTGCAGCAAATGGGAGTCCAGAGGGGAGGCTGACATAAAGCCAGAAAGGAGCAGAGAACAGTGATTCCTAAAGGATTCTCAGGAGTAGACTTGCATCACTATAAATGGAACTCGACTCAACCTGATTATTATTATTTTTTTTTAGGGTGTAAAACTGGCACAATGTTTTCCTATAAAAACTAGTTTAAATAATTAGTTTGGATAACCTTTTTTTTTGCAAATTGTGCGAAAACATACATAACATAAAATTTACCATTTTAATCATTTTAAAGCATACAGTTGAGTGCCATTAAGTACATTACGTTGTTGTGCAGTCATCACCACTATCCATTTCCAGAACTTTACATCTTCCCAAACTAAAATGGTATCAGTTAAACACTATACAGTGTTAACTGTATAAACAGTATATAATACACTATATAGTTAAACTGTATCCAATTTTTTTGTTTGTTTTTGGGGGGGTTTTCTTTTGAGATAAGGTCTCACTCTGTAGCCCAGGTTGGAGTGGTTGGAGTACAGTGACATGATCTTGGCTCACTGTAACTTCTACCTCCTGGACTCAAGCGATTCTTCCACTTTGGCCTCCCAAGTAGCTGGGACTACGTGTGTGTGCCACCATGCCCAGCTAATTTTTGTATTTTTTATGGAGATGGGGTCTCACCATGTTTCCCAGGATGATCTCTAACTCCTGGGCTTAAGCACTCTTCTTGCCTCAGCTTCCTGAAGTGTTGGGATTACAGGCATGAGCCACCATGTCCAGCCTAAACCCTGTCAGTTAAACATTGCCCATGCCCCTTCCCCCACAGCCTGTGGCAAAACAACCATTCTGCTTGCTTGCTTGTTTTATTTTTTTTTTTGAGACAGAGTCTCAATTTGGTGCCCAGGCTGGAGTGCAGTGGCTCAATTTTGGCTCACTGCAACCTCACCTCCCAGGTTCAAGCGATTATCCTGCCTCAGCCTCCCGAGTAGCTGGGATTACAGGCATGCGCCACCGTGTCTGGCTAATTTTTGTATTTTTAGTACAGACGGGGTTTCAACGTGTTGGCCAGGCTGGTCTCAAACTCCTGACCTCAGGTGAACCAGCCTCGGCCTCCCAAAGTTCTGGGATTACAGGCATGAGCCACCATGCCTGGCCCACCATTCTACTTTCTATGAATTTGACTACTCTAGGAACCTAATATAAGTGGAATCATACAGTATTTGTTCTTTTGTGGCTGGCTTAGTTCACTTAGCATGATGTCTTCAAGGTTCTTCCATATCATAACATCTCAGAATTTTATTCTTTTTTTTTTTTTTTTGAGACGGAGTTTTGCACTTGTTGCCCAGGCTGGAGTGCAGTGGCGCCATCTTGGCTCACCGCAACCTCCGCCTCCCGGGTTCAAGCAATTCTTCTGTCTTAGCCTCCCAAGTAGCTGGGATTACAGGCGTGCGCCACCACGCCTGGCTAATTTTTGTATTTTTATTAGAGATGGGATTTCTCCACGTTGGTAAGGCAGGTCTCAAACTCCTGACCTCAGGTGATCCTCCCGCCTCGGCCTCCCAAAGTGTTGGGATTACAGGTGTGAGCCACCACACCCGGCCAATTTTATTCCTTTTTAAGGCTGAATAACTCCATTCCATGTATGTATATATGTGTGTGTGTGTATGTGTGTGTGTGTGTGTGTGTGTGTGTGTGTGTGTGTGTGTATGTATATAAAATATATTCCATGTATGTGTCACATTTTGTTTGTCCTCTCCCCTGGTTTTTAACTGCCTTCTTGCCTCTAGTTTTCCCCCCTTCAAACCTTTTTCCATGATATAGCCATAGTGATCTTTCTGATATGCAAATAAGGTCATAGTTAAACAACCTCCTAACCCAGTTCTGCAGCCAAACCTTGCCACTATTTCGCAGTCAGACTGAACTGTTTTCATAATCAGTGTTCATGTTTTAGGCAGTGCTTTTGACAAGCATTGTAAATAACTCCTAGACGGTTTTTTGAATGATTCCAAATAGTTCTTTATGACTTGATCCCAGTTCCTTTTCAATAATTTTTGTGTTGCATATAGAGATATTTAATAGTTGCTTTAATAGGTATATACCAGGGATTGGCAAACTGTGGACTGTGGGCCAAATCCAGCAGAAGAGAGTAATTGCAACTCAATAGGTCAACGTCTAAAATACTTACTATCAGGCCCTTTACAGAAAAAGTTTTGGTATATACTATTCCTTTTGTTTTGTTTTGGCCTGGCTAACTTATTCATCCTTAGGTTTAAATTAGTTAAAACTTAAAGGTTTTTTTTTTTTTGCCATGATATTCTTTCTTGAAACAGTCCTATACCAAAGCCCAGCTTAAAAACAAAAGAGGAGTGTAGTTGAAGAACCAATCATGCCAGTTCCTAAGGCACGTGTTATAGAGCATGGTCATAAATTCAGTGGAGCCTCGTCTGAGATGTTTTCTCTTCTTGTCCTCTCCTTGTATTTGCTATGGGCTTTTGTAGTGCCTGCCAGCTACTATACTGAATTATTATTGCTTGTTTAGCCTTTTTGTCTTCCCAAGTAGACTGAGTGCCATGAGAACAAGAATCCTGCCTGACACAGAAGTTCTATAAATATATGTTGAATGAATGAATGAGACCCCAGTTGAACACTGGTAACCAAAACCAAGCTCATAAAGGACCTAAAATGATTTCCTTTCCTACTCTAGCTCCTTAGGAATACAGTCACAACATGCCTGAACTGAAGGCCTTAAAGACTATCTAGGCTTACGCTCTCCGGTACAGTAGCCACTAGCGCCATGTGGTTTTTGAGTACTTGAGCTGTGGCTAGTCCAAATGGAGGTGTGAAATACTGGGTTTCAAAGACATACAATGTAAAAGAATATAAAATATCTCAATATTTGTATTGATTACATGTTCAAATGACATTTTTGACATACTGAGTTAAACACATTTAATTATTTTAACACATTTTCTTTTTTTTTTTTTTTTGAAACAGAGTCTTCCTCTGTTGCCCAGGCTGGAGTGCAGTGGTGTGATCTTGGCTCACTACAACCTCCTCCCGGGTTCAAGTGATTCTCCTGCCTCAGCCTCCTGAGTAGCTGGGACTACAGGCGTACGCCATCATGCCTGGCTAATTTTTGTATTTTTTTTAGTGGAGACAGGGTTTCACCATGTTGGCTAACATTTCTTTTTTTTTTTTTTTTCTTTGAGGTGGAGGCCCTCTGTAGTCCAAGCTGGAATGCAGTGGCGTGATCTCAGCTCATTGCAACCTCTGCCTCCCCAGCTCAAGCGATTCTCATGCCTCAGCCTTCCGAGTAGCTGGGAATATAGGCGCGCCATCATGCCCGGCTGATTTTTTTTATTTTAGTAGAGACAGGGTTTCGCGATGGTCTTGAACTCCTGAGCTCAGGCAATATGCCTGCCTTGGCCTCCTAAAGTGCTGAGATTACAGGCATGAGCCACTGCGCCCGGCCCAACATTTCTTTTTTAATGTAACTATTAGGACATTTTAAATTATATCTGCAGTTTGCATTATATTTTCTGTTGGATAGCACCGTTCTAGACCATTGGCTCTCAAAATATTGCTGATGAGTTAGAATCACCTGGCAAACTTTTAAGATTATTGGACCCTGCCTCAGATGTTCCCCAAGTTAAACTCTCTGAAAATAGGGACCTGCCTGTGTGTTTTGATAAAGTTGTATCACATGGCCATTGAGAACCAACCAAGTCCTACCCCTCTTTTTATACAGAAGGAAACAGTCTAAATAGCAAAGTGACAATAAATACAGTCTTTATTTCAGTATGCTATCATAGTTTTCCCAGGTTAAAATTCATACTCTAGCTCTTTCATAAGTGATGGCTATTTTTCCATTGTCTCAAACAGTGGTTCTTGACTGAAGGTAGAATTGTGGCTGGCTTTAGTCATTTCAGCTTTTTAAAAACTGGTCATTTGGTGCTTTCCTAGGATACTGTGCCATTATCATAGTGACTGTATTTAGTGGATTCTCAAAAATGTCTTTTTATTTGTTGAGGCTTATTGAAGGGTCATTGTAAGAATGAATTAATCATTAGGATTTTAAACTTAAAGCAAAGTCCTGAATTGTCACCATGATTAGTATAGAATTTTCATCAGAGGCAGAAATAAAGCCAACTTTTCCCTTCAGAATCTTAAGAGGCTTTACAAACTTTTTGTTGAGTTGTGAATATCTGGGGATAATTTATCCCAGGTTTTCCTTGAGGTTTCTTCCTTCACGTATTTCAAGATGACTGGAGCAATTAGCAGTTAGCTTTTGCAGAAGTTAGCCCAGGCTCTGAGGTTTGTCCTTGACTTGCCTTAGAGTGGAATATATTTCAGCAAACACCTTTACTATTTAACAATCCTTATTTGTTCAGAACTGTTGGGTAATGGACAAGCATGCAAGTGTAAACATGCAGTCATGTGTAATACCTATTTATTTGAAGTCAAATCAGAGAGCTCGTGATAGCCAAGGATTTATGAAATTTTTCAAGTGGAAGCACCAAGGGATGCTTTTAGTCTAATGACCTTCTGTAGCCTGAAAAGTTAAGGGAAAGTGTCTCACCCAAAAAGCTTGGATTCTGTCCTAGTGCTTTTGACTCCGTTTTGGTGACTCTAAGCAAGTTGTGTTACTCTCTCCGTGCTTTGATTTCTTCAGTGGTAAAGTAAAGTGCTAGAGGAAGGGACCGTTAATGTTCTTGAAGAACACCATGATTTTGGGATTGATTTTCCTTCTTTAGTGTGTTTGTTTTCTTATTAACCTCCCTGTTTTTCTCTTGAAGGGTCAGATGACTTGTCTGCAAAGCTGTGGGATGTGAGCACAGGGCAGTGCGTTTATGGCATCCAGACCCACACTTGTGCAGCGGTGAAGTTTGATGAACAGAAGCTTGTGACAGGCTCCTTTGACAACACTGTGGCTTGCTGGGAATGGAGTTCCGGAGCCAGGACCCAGCACTTTCGGGGGCACACGGGGGCGGGTGGGTTGCCCTTTTTCAAGGGTTTTTACAACTTAGCCTCATCCTTTTAAGCCAGGAGCCAAGAATGTGAAATGCTTTTTTTTTTTTAATTTAACCTGCTTTTTTCAACCCTCTTTCTTAGTCATTGCAGTTATTTCCCTTTATTCTAGTTACTCTTATTTCGAATGTTTTACCCAGTTTTGCTTTTTCTTGCTTTCTTCTATGTGTGTACCCTTCTGGTGGGAAGGGTAGTTTTCATTCTCTCTCTGTTTCTCTCTCTCTCTCTCATTCTCTCTCTCCCCCCTCCTGTTTCATTTATATCCTATTGAACAGACAGTCCCTTGGCTTTTATCAGATTCCATACCTCTGAACTGAGTAAATCCTACTTGTGTAAATTCCACTTTATTTGTAGCATTAGGGCTGAAAGTTCTTTGGTGTGACGGTGGTTCTTAGATTGTGTGGTCTACACAGATTACATCCAGTTTGAGCTTGGTTGACAGTTGATTAAAACAAGCTACCACCTAGAGATAAGGCGAAAGAAACATACCTGAATGTTTCCTAATAAATGTATAGCATCCTTATTTTGCAAAAACTGGTCATTTGAATATAGCCTTGAGATTTGAGCTTCTCTCTCTGTTGCTTTTTTTTTGGCGGGGGCGGGGGTGGGGAGGCTTTGTGTAGAAATTGAGCTATTTCCCAGCCTCTTGTGTTGAGCAGCTCCCTTCCTTTCCCCCATTTACCCACTGCTTTAGCCTCTGAGAATCATAGTCTGTAATGTCAAGCATTACGTTTATGAGCAGCCTTCCAAAACTCCCTTAACAGGTTGCGTCCCTCTATTTCCCAGTAACTTGTATTACTGTAGACCGCTCATCATACAAATATAATCTTGCTTCCCCACCAGACTAAACTCCATAAGGACAGTGATCTTATCTGTCTTGTTCACCCATGTGACTGGAGTTACTTGCACTGTACCTGGTGCTTAGTGATTCTTTGAAGTAAAACTAGCCGTTAGGCTAATAAAAACACGTATTTTTTGCTTCATTTTATTTGTCCTCCTATATACTCTTCTTCAGTCTTTGCTGTCTGCTACCACTTGTTAGAAATTAATATTTGAAGGTGCATGTATGCATGGAAGTATATGTTAAATTGAGTGTTATGTTCCACAATGTTAAGATGTACCATGACTTCCAGGTGATTTTATTCCTGATCAACTTTGAGAACCCTGCTCTAAAAATTTTTATTACTGTTGCCTAGACATTGCTGAGGTTTTTCTTAACTTCATACCTTTACTATTCCCTCTGCTTGCAGTATTCTTTTTTCTTTCCTTGATAAACTCTGCTCATCCTTTAGGGCCCATCTCCAATATCGCCTCTTCCCTGAAGTCCTCCCTGATACCCCTGGGCAGAGTTAGTCATTCTCCTTGATGTTTCCCTAGCAAGAGGTAAACATTTATTTTTTTCTGGGCTTCCTCCTCCACTCCCTACTTAGATTGAGTTCCTTAAAGGAAGAATCAGTGTCTTCATCTCTGGGTCCCTAATGTTCCTTTAGAACTGGTATACATTTGAAAACAAATATTTGAGTACACACTATACAGCTTACACTGTTTTTGGCGCTGGGGATACAGCTGTGAAGAAATTCAGACACTTTTGAGTTAATGGCTTAATCTAACCTTTGAGATCCTTGTTTTTGTTTTGTTTTTTCTCTCTTTACATTGGGTTTTCTTGAGTCTGGGTGCTGTTTTGCAGCTTCCATTCTTTATATTTTGTCTTACTGTTAGTGTGTATCAGAGTAGGACCATGTACGTTTTGTTTTCCTGCATAAATTAGATAAAGTATTGTGTAGTGTCAGGCAGGCAGTCCTAAGAAGGAATGCCATTATCTCCAACATTTGTTTTGCCTCTCACTGTAGCTACCACAAATAAAAGAGATTGTATTATTCCTAGGACTTTCCACCTTAGAATAATAAGCTATAATAGTAAGAATTTTGAAATAGTTTTATCAGAAAATTGCTAGTTGAATAGCATCATTCTTACGGTGTCTCTGGTTGGGAAATTATATAATTGGGGAAAATAAACATTATTGAACTCTATTATAAAAGACCCACTGACAGAGACATGTTTTAACTTTGTGTAATTATATGCACTAGTATTTAGCGTGGACTACAATGATGAACTGGATATCTTGGTGAGCGGCTCTGCAGACTTCACTGTGAAAGTATGGGCTTTATCTGCTGGGACATGCCTGAACACACTCACCGGGCACACGGAATGGGTCACCAAGGTAGGAAGACTTGGAAGAAGTCTCCTGCTTATCAGGCTTTTTGAGGGAGGGCGTGGAGGATGGTAGACACTGCCTTATAAGTGTTAGGTGAGTCATAAGATGGAATTGCTGTACCTACAAAGCATAATGGTACACAACAGTGACCAGCAAGTAGAAGGTACTTAATACATGGTTTAACAAATAAATGACTTATGGACATGGAAAGTTGCCCACAATATATTAGGTGGATAGAGGGGGCAAATAAAACAGATTACATACAAAAAAATATGTAGAGTGTGATACCGGTTTCTGAATGTGTTCATGCATCAAAATGTTGAAGGTGGGTATTTCTGGTGGGATTGTGGGCGTGTTTTTCCCTTTAGAATAAACATGTTTCTTTCTTAATCAGAAAAGCAATTTTCATTTTGAAAAAATAACGCTTACAAGAAGTAGGACAAAGAAAACTGTACAGGATCTTTAGTAAAATATTGTAATGTTTTCTTTTTTAAAAAAAACAAGATTGTTGTGAGGATCAAATGCAGTATTAATAATGGATATACCACGCAGAAGCACTTTTCTTGAGTTTACCATCCCATTCTATGAGGGGGCTGAGAAAACAGGAGTAAGCAAAATAGACCCAGTCCTTACCCTGTGGATGATAGTCTAATAGGAGAAATAGTTTTATTAAACAATTTCATGGGTAAATATATCATTTCAAATTGTGTTAAGTTTTGTGAAGGAACAGTACAGTGTTCTATAAGACAGTCTAGGGCCAGGCACAGAGGCTTACATGTGTAATCCCAGCACTTTGGGAGGCCAAGGCGGGCGGATCACCTGAGCCCAGGAGTTCGAGGCCAGCCTGGCCAACATGGTGAAACTCCGTCGCTACTGAAAGTACAAAAATCAGCCAGGCGTAATCCCAGCTACTCAGGAGGCTGAGACAGGGGAATTAACTTGAAGCTGGGGAGGCGGAGGTTGCAGTGAGCCAAGATCGTGCCACTGCACTCCACCCTAGGCAACAAAGTGAGACTCTTTCAAAAAAAAAAAAAAGTATAGGAAAGTAATTAGTTCAGAAAAAAGTTTTTGAGAAGGGGGTTAAACATGAAGAATAAATAGGAGATAGCTGTGGAAAGAGTAGCTGAAAGATTGTTTCAGAGGGTGCAATACATGCACGGGCCCAGCGGGTGGAAAGAACTTGGAACATTTGATGACCTGGACATAAGCCAGTGGAGCCATGCTGTAGTTGGGAAGATGGGCAGAGAGGTGGTAATCCTGTATGATTTATAAGGCCACAGTAAGTATGGTGGATATCATCAGAAGTGTACTAGGAAGCAATCCACGAGTTCTGAGCAAGTGTCTGGTGCGATCTATGTTTTAGGAAAATTAACTGCTGAATGAAGAATGGACTAGAGTTGGGCACAAGTGGATACAGGGTGACCATTTAGGCTTTGGCAGTAATCTAAGCAAAAGATGCCCATAACTTAGATTTTCCTGGCAATAATGAAAAGGGCACCCATAAAGGATATGTCTTTAAGGTAAAGCCACCTGGCTTGCAGATTCACTGTGGGAAACAAAGAAGAATCATTTGTTGTTGTTTTAATACAGACAGGGTCTCATTCTGTTGCCCAGGCTGGAATGCCGTGTCATGATCATAGCTCTCTGCAACTTTGAATCCCCAGGCTTAAGTGATCCTCTCACCTCAGCCTCCCGAGTAGCTAGCACTACAGCCACGTGCCACCACACTGAGCTAATTTCTTTTTTTTTTTTTTTTTTTTTGAGATGGAGTTTCACTCTTGTTGCGCAGGCTGGAGTGCAGTGGCACGATCTCGGCTCACTGCAGCATCCATCTGCCGGGTTCAAGTGATTCTCCTGCTTCAGCCTCCAGAGTAGCTGGGATTACAGGCGCCCACCACCATGCCTGGCTAATTTTTTGTGTTTTTAGTAGAGACGGAGTTTCATTGTGTTGGCCAGGCTGGTCTCGAACTCCTGACCTCAGGTGATCCACCCACCTCGGCCTCCCAAAATGCTGAGATTACAGGCGTGAGCCACCGTGCCCAGCTGCTAATTAAAAAAAATTTTTTGTGTGTGGAGATGGGGGTCTTGCTGTGTTGCCCAGGCTGGTCTTGAACTCCTGGCCTCAAGCAGTCCTCCCTCCTCGGCCTCTCAAAGTGCTGGGATTATAGGCATGAGCCACTGTGCCTAGCCCATGTTAACTTTTTACATGGAAAAGCTATATAGTGTAAGGCAGTTTGGTGTTGTGGAAAATAGTTGATTGGGGCTAGGACACTGACGGTGATGTCTTGGACAAGTTACTCCACCTTCAGGACCTGAGCTGTGTCATCTGCTAAATGTTCCTGTGAACACGAAATGAAATGTTGGGACAGCACCCAGCAAGGTGCCTGATACTTAGTAATAGGTCTGTTTCAGTTGAGTCTGCAATCCAGACTTCTGAATGAGTGAACCCTGCTTCCCCTCTCACCTTAGCCTGATTGATTGCAAAAATAGCTAGAACCTGATGTTTATATACTTATCTCAAGTGCTAACAGAATGTTAGCTTTTATTTTGTTACTACTATAATTTACATTGTTACTTTATCTTTACTGTAATTAAATGAGGTAAGATAATAGGTGCTTGTCTCCTGTTTTAAAGATCAAGAAACTGACCGAGTTTAGATGGTCTTGTCCAAGGTTGCAAAGTCAGCATATGGCAGATTCTGGTCCCAAGTCCAGTGCTTTTTCATTTATGATTCACATAGTTATGAAAGCAGATCATTTGCATCTACGTCAGTGTCTACGGGCTTTTTTCTTTTCTGTTCCCTCTCTTAAGTTACATTTTATAATTTTAAAAAATCAGTCCTAATGTTTGCTTCTAGACGAATGCTAAGATTAAATGCTGCCAATGTTTAGACTGTTTTTTTTTTTTTTTAAGCGTTGTGGTCTTGCTCTGTTGCCCAGGTTGGAGTGCAGTGGTGCAATCATAGCTCACTGCATCCTCCAACTCCTGGGCTCAAGCAATCCTCCCACCTCAGCCTTCCGAGTCACTGGGATTATAGGCGTGACCCACCTCATCTGGCTAACGTTAGACACTTTTAGATACTGCTAATAACAGAGAATATTGTAGTAAAACTTTTAGTAGAGGTTAATTTGGTAATGGAGTTATGGCTTAGCTATTCTAGCATATGTTAAGCTCATTTTTGTATTTTAATTTAAAGAATAAAATCATTATAGGAGCAGCATTAAAAGGATCTTTCCGTAACATGGTTTACATTTGCAGGTAGTTTTGCAGAAGTGCAAAGTCAAGTCTCTCTTGCACAGTCCTGGAGACTACATCCTCTTAAGTGCAGACAAATATGAGATTAAGGTGAGTTTTTTTCTCCATTAATTTGCTTCATTAAAGAAAAACTGGAAAACATAAGAAAATGAAAGTGGTATGGCAAAGGGTGAACATTCTAGGAAGAGGAGGGGGAGTGTCTTAGTCCAAGCCATTTTAAACCCACCGGAAGAAGAGATGATTTGCTAGCTCTATGTCCTGTGTAGTTTCTTAACTTGGATTTGTAAATGAAAAAGAAATTCACATAAATTTATGTTCAGCTTATTCTTAATTTTTGTTGTTGGTTTTTTTTTGAGACAGTCTCGCTCTGTTGCCCAGGTTGGAGTGCAGTGGCACAATATTGGCTCACTGCAACCTCCGCCCCCTGGGTTCAAGTGATTCTCCTGCCTCAGCCTACCGAGTAGCTGGGACTACAGGCGCCTGCTACCAGGCCCAGCTAATTTTTGTATTTTTAGTAGAGATGGGAGTTCACCATATTGGCCAGGCTGGTCTCGAACTCCTGACCTTGTGATCCGCCTGCCTTGACCTCCCAAAATGCTGGAATTACAGGCATGAGCCACCACGCCCGGCCCATTCTTAATACTTTTTTACATATCTCCTACCGTCCTTAATTCTTAGATCTGAACTATGAAAACATAAATATTTATTGTAATGAATTGCAAAGAGTTCACAAAGTACTCTCACATTCTTACTGCATCTCTTTTTTTTTTTTTTTTTTTTTTTCTGAGACAGGGTCTCACTCTGTCACCCAGGCTGGAGTGCAGTGGTAGAATCTTTGCTTACTGCAACCTCTGCCTCCCAGGTTCAAGTGATGCTCGTGCTTCAGCCTCCCAAGTAGCTGGGATTACAGGCGTGTGCTATCACGCCTGGCTAATTTTTGTATTTTTAGTAGAGACAGGGTTTCACCATGTTGGCCAGGCTGGTCTTGAACTCCTGACCTCAGGTGATCCACCTGCCTAGGCCTCCCAAAGTGCTGGGATTACAGGCGCGAGCCACCGTGCCTGGCCCATTATTGGATCTTTTATACTGTCCCGTGTGATAGGCATTATCTTCATTGCAGGAGCTGGAGTTAAGAGAGATTAAATAATTTACCCAAGATTGCACAGGAGAATTAAGACTTGAACCTGTGATTCTTGGCTATAAAACCTGGGGTCTTTCCAGTATACTTCACTTTCTATCTGACTTCACAAATGCAGACCATTTTAAGGACAAGCTTTTCTGTAGTGATGTGATCTCTCATCTTTCCTCATTTTCTTTTTTCTGTAGATTTGGCCAATTGGGAGAGAAATCAACTGTAAGTGCTTAAAGACATTGTCTGTCTCTGAGGATAGAAGTATCTGCCTGCAGCCAAGACTTCATTTTGATGGCAAATACATTGTCTGTAGTTCAGCACTTGGTCTCTACCAGTGGGACTTTGCCAGTTATGATATTCTCAGGTAATGTTTCCTTCGACCTCACGCTTTACCTTTGAAAGCCTGCTGCAGTTCAGTAGTAAAGACAAGACTAAATGTTTGGATGTACCAGTCAGTAGCTGGCTTTTAGGAAATGTATACTGTATCACTTGTAAACAGGGTTATATATACTGAACATCTCAGACAGGAAAAATATTTTAGAGGAAGTAAGCAAATGAAAAAGAGTTACGTACTGGAACGTCCGCTGCCTGACTGTGAGTCATGAGCCACTTCTTTCAGATTTAACATGCTTTTCTGGAAAATGAGGGGCATGGATGAAAAGATCTTTCAGATCTCCATAAGTTCTAATATTTTAAGTCCTATTTCATATTCTGTTGAAATTCTGCATTGTTTTACAAACTTGGTAAACTTTAGTGGTATCTAGGGATCAAGTGACCTTCTGTTGACTAGTAGAAAGACAGAGACTTAGAGAAAAATAAAATTTGCAGGGTTTCCCTCCAAAGAAGTAAATAAGCAGCAGTCCATAGACAAATAATTTTGTGATTCACTGCATACCATAGGCTCTTCTTGGAGAAGGACAGTATCTGTTAGCATATTTGGGGCTGATGGAAGCCAGTGCCATGTGGTCATTAAGAGAACTTTGGTGATAGACAAACCTTGGTTTAAGATGTGGTGCCATCTCTAATGGGCTGTGTGATTTAGTATAAGTTTCTTAACTCCTCTGTAGCTCAATTTCATCATCTATAAAGTGACTATTAAATGAAATGCTTGTGATGAGGACCTAGTATACCACCTGGCAGATCTTTATTAATAATAAGTCTGAGAGGACCCATGTAAAGAAACCTGTTTGAATTTGTTGAACCTACTGTACTTCACACCTGTTGTGCACACACTTATTAATAACAACTCAAAAAGTTAGCGTCCCATAGCATGGTTCAGGACTTGGAGGAGTACAGAAAATTGAACATTCTCTTCATTGTTTTTTTTTTTTTTTTTGAGATGGAGTCTCGCTCTGTCGCCCAGGCTGGAGTGCAGTGGCACAATCTCTGCTCACTGCAGGCTCCGCCTCCAGGGTTCACACCATTCTCCTGTCCCAGCCTCCCGAGTAGCTGGGACTACAGGCGCCCGCCACCATGCCCGGCTAATTTTTTGTATTTTTAGTAGAGACGGGGTTTCACTGTGCTAGGCAGGATGGACTCAATCTCCTGACCTCGTGATCCACCCGCCTCGGCCTCCCAAAGTGCTGGGATTACATGCGTGAGCCACCGCACCCGGCCTCTTCATTGTTTTTATGCATGACTATTTGAGGTCAGCTCGTGTGGATCTGATCACAATAACCACAAAACTTTGGTGGGCCACATCTCTCTGATCACAAAGTTACAACCCCATTTATGTCTTCCTGGAATCAGACCAACATTTCTAACCAGTTAGGTTTCAGAGCTGTCAGAATCAGTTATAGAAATGATTGATATTTATGCTTTGAGAAAAAAGACTGAAACCTTTCCTAGAAAACATCTGTTTAAGCTTTTCCTCTTGTAGGTAGGGAAACTGAAGCTGAGACAGGGTAGGGGCCTTGCCCAGCATTCCACCTCTCACTGTATTCCAACATTCGTCCATTCATGCATGGCTGGATTATCCAATAGGTATATACTTATGGTACTAGAAAGCCAGGGACACCAAAAACAGGGGAAAATAAAGTTTTGAAAGAATCTGATATTTTGTAAAGCAAAATATTCAAGTAATCACCATGGGAAAATCACATCTTTTATAGTTCAATATTGTTTTTGTTTTGAATTAAAATTTTAGGTGGGAAGGTGCAAAGGCAAGGTGGGCTAGAGATGTCATAGTTGTTTTAATGCTTAGCATCTCTAAAGGGTTTAATTTGGTCCCACATCTGCTTTCTCATGTATGCTTGTGACTCAGAGTGGCATATAGAGACTCTAGAGTCCTAGATGAAAGTTGCTAGTTTTTAGTGTTTGAATAATAGTTTTAAATAATAAACCTGTAAGATTGTTTGCGGGTAGGAGTTGCCAGGTTCAGATTTTTTCTCCGAAAAGAGTCTGTCTTGTGTCTGCTTTTTTCCTCCCAAACACAGATAAACCAACCTCTGTTGAAACCTACTACAAATCCTCTGGCTTCAGTTGCTAGGACCAGGTAGGGCTACTTAGCTTTGAAGCTAATTGAAAAGAAGCAAAGCACAAATAACAGCATGTTACTCAATAAGTCTGAGATATGATGTGATTGCTTGAGTTAGGTTATCTCTACAGCATGTAAGGTTACTTAGGTTCAAGGACCCAGACTCTGCACAGCAGGGATGTCTGGTTCCATTTCTAAAGTGATCAAAGTGAAAGCCACAAACCTGTCAAGACCTGTGCTCTATTCTGCAACATATTTGTGTTTCAGTCTTTGGAATCAGCTCATCTTCACAGATCTTGAGCCCTAACCCGGTAGCCACCTATTTTTTGTGTTCTGTTATGATGTGGGACCTACCAGACTTTCTAGCTGTTTTTCCTAGCCTCTTTTTTTTTCGTTTTTATTTTATGTTTTTTTGAGACAGAGTCTCACTCTGTCACCCAGGCTCTAGTGCAGTGGTGTGATCTCGGCTCACTGCAACCTCTGCCTCCCAGGTTCAAGCGATTCTCCTGCCTCAGCCTCCCGAGTAGCTGGAATTAAAGGCACCTGCCATGATGCCCAGCTAATTTTGTGTATTTTTAGTAGCGATGGGGTTTCATCCTGTTGGCCAGGCTGGTCTCAAACTCCTGACCTCAAGTGATCCACCCGCCTCCCAAAGTGCTGGGATTATAGGCATGAGCCACCGCACCCGGCTTCCTAGCCTCCTTTAGATCTCTTTTGTAGGAATTTGCACTTGCCTTTGTTTATTTCACCACTACTTTATTCTTTAGATATTCATTGAGCACCCACCTTTGTGTCAGGCATTGTGGTATGCATTGGGAAACAGCAGAAGTACTTACCAAACTCAGGGAAATTACCGATCAGCAGGATGGGGAAGACTGATGTTAAACAGCTAATTGCAAACAGGTTGTTTAATGGTTGGGTTAAGAGGAGCCTAGCCTAGTACAGAGTACTTTGAGGCCCTGCCTAGTTTGTGGAGTAAGGGAAGGCTTCTAAGAGGAGACATTTGGGCTGAGCTCTAAAGGGTGAGTATAAATGCCTTAACTAAGTACCAGGAGTGGGTGTACAGTGAGGAATTTTAGACTGAGACACTAGTCCGTTCGAAGGCCCTGAGGTTAAAGGAGCCTCAGGTACATTTGAGAAATTGAAGGAAATTCCTTAAATGCATCAGCATGGCTAAAGATGGGGGCACAATAAGGAGCCATCAAAGAGTTTAGAAGTTGAAACAAGGTGATAACATCAGGTTGTATGTGAGGTTAACTGATTCAAAGGGACTAAGTAGATGTGGGGAGGTCAGTAGAAAGCTGTTGGCAATAGTGCAGGCAAAAGATGGTGTCTTGGACTAGAGCTGTGGTAGTGCATATATTAGTGAACAAATTAGAGAAAAATTTAGGGCATAAAATCAATAGAGCTTGGTGATCGAATTTGTGATTTGAATGAGGAGGAGGAGGAGAATTGGATGGTTGCCACGTTTCCTAGCTTGAGCACCTGGGTGAATGAGCAAGTAAAGAAATAGAAAAAACAGGTTTGACTAGGAAATTCAGTATTGGATAGTTTGAGTGTGAGGAACTTTGTCTTATTCACTGCCGAAATCCTGGTACCAACATTGGCTAGCTCACTTTAGGCTCTTAGTAAATATTTGTTGAGTGAATGAATATGAGTCATCTAAGTAGAAAATGATGGATGAGTTATCAGTTATAACTCATTTGGAACACACATATTGGGACCTCTGATTCCCCTTTACTTGAAGTTAATCTGAACTTACTGCTTTCCCTGGGATCAGACTCCATCTTGTAAACCTGTTTATAAAGGCTGACACCATAGGGAGTGTTCAGTGATTGATTTTGGATGTTCTCAAACATGTCATCTAATCTAAATGTCTACCTCTTTTAGCAGAAGTTTCTTCCATTTTCAGTCTGGGAAGGTGAGCTTACTCTCTGCTTTTCAAGCAGGGGCCAGCACCTGTTAACTATTTTCTTAGTTTCATAGAAGTGATGTCTTGTTGATATTCTTAGTATCATAGATTTTTTTTTCAGATATTAATTATAAGAGAAACACATGCCCATGAGAGAGAATTTGTAAAATTTAGACAGGCTTTCCGTATTCTATCTATATTGCCCAGTTGCATTTCTTCTTCAAGAAAGAGAAAAAATATTCTTCCAGGTCCAGCTATAAAAGACAGAAAGATTTGCTCACTCCTTGATACTCCTGTTATATCCATTGGAGTGTTTGTGCTGAGCATGTTCTCACATACTCTGGCAGTTATATGCTATGCCCTCCCCTTCTAAGGGGCAAAGACTATCTTGCTTATCTCTCTTCAGGGGCCCAGCCAGCACTCAGCACCTATGATACTCAGAAAACATTTGCTAGGCCTGCATTATGTTAGCTGTATGACTCATGGCAAGATGTTTTAGTCTTGTTTACTGATATAGTGGAGAGAATACCTCTACCTAACTGCATTATGAGGATTGAGATAACACGCTGGGTGCAGTGGCTCACGCCTGTAATCCCAGCACTTTGGGAGGCTGAGGCGGGTGGAACACAAGGTTGAGATCGAGACCATCTCGCCAACATGGTAAAACCTCATCTCTACTAAAAATACAAAAATTAGCTGGGCGTGGTGGCGGGCATCTGTAATCCCAGCTACTCGGGAGGCTGAGGCACGAGAATCGCTTGAATCCGGGAGGTGGAAGTTGCAGTGAGCCGAGATCACGCCACTGCACTCCAGCCTGGTGACAGAGCGAGACTCCATCTCAATAAATAAATAAATAAAAATAATTAAAAAAGATAACATGTTAATTATGAAGTTCGGTGCCTTGCACATGTAAATGCTTGATAAATATTGAATGTCCCCCATCCTTCCTGATATGAGACTGAAATTGGCTCCTTTGTAACTCTTTGCCTCTGATCCTAGTTCTGTCTTCTAAAGCTTATAATGTCTGGGCTGTCTCTTACACATCTTTCACTATTCAGAAGTGATCCTCATATACAGTTACCCTATGCCTGCCAACTCTTTCCTTCCCCATCTCAGCTGATAGCCTTCAGCTGTTCTTCCTTGTCCTGGTCTCCAGGTCCTCCCATTCTGGTTGCTCTCTTGAACCTATACTAGTTTGGTGGTGTCCTTAAAACCTAGGCTAAACTCTCCTCCCACAGGAGCCCCACCATATGTCACAGAGCAGTATTTGTCTACTGCTTGTCTGGTAGCTCAGCTCTTAGTTCCTCCAAAGAGGACATCAGCTTTTCTTGTTAATCTTTTGCTTCACTAAGGGCGCAGACAACAGAAGCTAAGTTGTTTTTTGTTTTCCTTTGTGCTGCTGTTTAGCTAGGTGTCTCCTAGCCTTTGTCATTGATGTCTTGGAAACTGCCTCTGAGAAAGTTAGGGCTGTCCTCCCAACTCCCTACTTTTCTCTGCTTCCCCTAGTTGTTTCTTCCCTAGTTTTTTTCATAATAACTTTTTATGAATCTATTATTAATAAATGTTTCTAAGTTATTTGGGAAACTTTAAATATTTTCAGCCTTTACTGTTTTTAGAGAGAAACCCATTTGTTTGCTGCCTGCTGAGTAGAGTAGCACTTTAGTCACTTGGCTTTCAGGTTTCTTCTGGGCTTCAGGGTGTTCCAGTATTCTAGGAGTTGATGAATACATCTTTTTACCTAGTGGTAAGAGTTAACTCTTGCCTTCTAGTTCTCACTGGTAACTGACAAATTGTGAATCCTTAGCCAAAGCATTTACTCTGCCTGAGCTTTGGTTTTCACAGCTTAAAAATAGATTGTTTAGTTAAATGTTATCTGTAAGATCCTTTCTAGCCTGGATAGATGTTTTGTACTTTTATAAACTTTCATCAGGCCGGGTGCGGTGGCTCACGCCTGTAATCCCAGCACTTTGGGAGGCCGAGGTGGGCAGATCATCTGAGGTCAGTAGTTCGAGACCAGCCTGGCCAACATGGTGAAACCTCGTCTCTACTAAAAATACAAAAATTAGCCAGGTGCAGTGGCAGCCGTCTGTAGTCCCAGCTACTTGTGAGGCTGAAGCAGGAGAATCACTTGAACCTGGGAGGTGGAGGATGCAGTGAGCCGAGATCACGCCCCTGTACTCCAGTGTGGGCAACACAGTGAGACCCTGTCTCAAAAAAAAAAAAAAAAACTTTGATCAAACACCACCTTTCCCTTCCATGCCAATATTATATAATGACTGAACGCACCTCTCCCGCTCCCGGCTTTTTTATAAGTGGGCTGAGCTTTTCTCCTTATATTTTACTTTTTATCAAAAACATTTAACTCTAAATTTGCTTGAATTTAATATTGGTTTTAAATATCTCCAGAAAAGATTACAGTAGCATAAACAGAAGCAAGGTTGCCTTCTTTCACAGTCCCTAACTCTCATCCTTGTAGGGTCATCAAGACTCCTGAGATAGCAAACTTGGCCTTGCTTGGCTTTGGAGATATCTTTGCCCTGCTGTTTGACAACCGCTACCTGTACATCATGGACTTGCGGACAGAGAGCCTGATTAGTCGCTGGCCTCTGCCAGAGTACAGGAAATCAAAGAGAGGCTCAAGCTTCCTGGCAGGCGAAGCATCCTGGCTGAATGGACTGGATGGGCACAATGACACGGGCTTGGTCTTTGCCACCAGCATGCCTGACCACAGTATTCACCTGGTGTTGTGGAAGGAGCACGGCTGACACCATGAGCCACCACCGCTGACTGACTTTGGGTGCCGGGGCTGCGGGTTTTGGGTGCAACCTCTGCGGCAGCCGACTGCATGAACCAAAGTTCTCACCTAATGGTATCATCACGCAGTGCACAATCATTTATCTATGTTTTGCCAGGGGCCAGGGCTCGGGGTGGGGGAGGGCTTGTTTTATTGACATACAACGCAGCATGCTAATGGGGTACACCATTGACTTCATTTGTACTTAGTTATGTTGGTCAGTGTTAGAGGATGCATTTTGGGTTCATCTTTCTTGAGTGGAGTATTGGTTTTAAGTAAAGAAAGTTAAATGATCCATTAATCTGCTAATTGGTTGCCTATGAAATCACATTGTCTGTTATTAAAGCTTTTTACCATAGCCTTTTTTTCTTTTGAAGTTGAAGCAAAGGTGCTATGATGTTGTTACAGCAACTTTCCTCACACGGGGTTTAGCTCTTATAAGAGCCAGTGTTAAAACTTCCACCAAATACCAGTTTATAAACTTCCACCAAATACCAGTGCTAAGGAAAGTCTGTCTTCCAGTTCAAATCCAATTCTGTAAATTGAATGTTAGCAACTCATTCTAAACCTTATATCTTGGCAGAGTCAAGGTTGGCCATGTTTAAGATGTGAGCGAGTTCTGTAGTTTTTGTTGCCATGTCGGGGAAGCTAGTCCCCGGCAGCCTGGATGACTGCACAGCGGTGCCCTGGTATAGCAGAAAAGAGCAGTGAGCTGGAAGGTTAGAGACCGGGCCTCTTACCCTGGAACTCTGCACCCTCTCTGGGTCCCAGCTTCCTTGTCTGTACAGCCAGGTATGAAGCTCAGTGATTTCTAAGATTCTTTCTGGTCCTTCACCTACTGAAATGTGTAAAAGTTGATCATGTATTTTTGTCTGATCCCTGATTCATGGTTTCTTTCAGGTCGGATAATATTTAAATGAAATGACTGTTACAGAGTTTTCTATAAGAACATCAATTATATGAAAAGGATGAATAAAAGGGAAATGTAGAAAATATAGCTGATTCCACTTAGACAGTTTAAGTAATTGGTTGAAGAAATGCTGATAGAAGCCATGGTTTAAATAGGGACACAGTATGCTATACTAGAAGGATACCTGAACCCAACCTAACTTCCTCCTTTGCCTCTAACTTAATCTGCAGCCTCAGGCAAGTTAACTTTCTCTTCTAAGACCATCATTTTCTTCATCTTTTAAGTGAGGGAATTGTCCTAGATGAGGGCTCACAAACCCAAATGCCTAAGGGAGCCGTGCAGGTAACATAAATGAGTAAAACATTCTGGGGAGGATTGTGCTGTCCCCTGGAAAGTTGATCTAATAGGGCAGTTATTCAGCTCTGTTTTGTCATTAGGAGAAGCAAGCCCAGGGTTGGCAGGTCTTCACATTGTTTCAGGAGGAGCTAGAAATCCAGATTTTTATTTGAAATCCTGGATTTTTAAAACGTTACAACTGATTAAAGAAAATTTGAAATAAGGTGAGCCAAACAAAACATGTCCCTGGGTTGCCAGATTGTGTCCTCCTCCCTCTCTAAAGTTAGGTAATTTTGTGATTCAGCAGTGGAAATGTTAGTGGTCACAATCAGGGAGAGAGTAGAGGGAGCAAGCAGTAGAAAAATCTCAGCCGCTCTTCAGCTGTCTCCCCTTGTATTACAAGGGTGGTGGGGAGGGATGTATTTCATTCACAGACCAATAGGAAGGTAGTTTGAAGATGAACATAAGAATTGGAACCTCAGTGACAGCTTATGTCTGGGAACATGAGTTATTCCTTCTTGCTGACTCCAGTATAAAGCATATCCATTTTACAGGTGAGAAAAAGGGTTGCTGGCAGAGCTGAGAATGATGTGAACTCTAGAGTGGGGACCTATCTCTTGCAGAATCTGCATTAGCATAGAGCCAGACTCTGGACCTCTGAGTGCTGTGAAGTTGATAGAAATTAATGGTGAATTTCAAGGACAGATATCATTAATATCCATGTTGAAACTCTGTGGGGTTTAAGCAAAAGAACAATATCTTCCCCCATCCCACAAAATCTGGGTTTAATCTATCTCACATTGAGTTCTGTGCATCAGCTCTGCTTAGTACTCTAGAAATAGAACCGGAATCACAACTGAATCTATTTTGCAGAAGCCCCAGGAGACTTTGGGCAATGATGATGGTAAATGACTTTTTACTTTATTATTATTTTTTTTTTTTTGAGACAGAGTTTCGCTCTTACTGCGCAGGCTGGAGTGCAATGGCACGATCTTGGCTCACTGCAACCTCCGCCTCCTGGGTTCAAGTGATTCTCCTGCCTCAGCCTCCTAAGTAGCTGGGATTACAAGCATCTGCCATGACACCCAACTAATTTTTATATTTTTAGTAGAGACAGGGTTCCACCATGTTGGCCAGGCTGGTCTTGAACTCCTGACCTCAGGTCATCCACCTGCCTTGGCCTCCCAAAGTGCTGGGATTACAGGCGTGAGCCACCACGCCTGGCCGAGTTTTTACTTTTTATCGAGCCTGAACAGATAACTATTACTGATCTAATGACCATCCCCACCCTACCTCACTTTCAGATCTATCCAATAGCTTCAAAGGGCAAGTAATTATAATCATTTGTGGGAAAAGTTTTATTAAAAAGTGACAAACTTGAAGCTGTATATAGTATGTTCTATTTCAGTTTTTAGTGGTGAATACAGAAGTCATCAAGGTGGTACTTGGTGCCGCTGGAATTTTTTTTTTTTCCTAGGCAGTCTTGCTCTGTCATACAGGCTGGAGTACAGTGGCATCATCATGCAGCTGGATTTTGACAGCAGAACTTCAGGCAGTAATTGGAGTCCTAATGTCAGTTCTTCCTTATGGAGGCCTTTATTTGGCCTGAGATTTTATTCAACTACTTTATAGATGCTGGGTTTATTCATACTATCGCCAGTTTTTATAAAAATGGAAAACTAGCTCATCCTTTTTGCAAAAGAAAGCAAAGTGGGGAGTCAGAATGAGAAGTGGATAGGGGATAACTAAAACTATTCTTTACTCTCCTTTCATTGCCTTTGAGAGCTAGCTCTTGCACACACTGACTTTGGCTTCCTTAGCGCATAGGTAAGGGAATTGCCTTTCCCTCTTTTGTGAATATTCTCATTTCTGAAAAATTCTAAGTCATGAGAAGATAAGCCCTATCCTTTCTTACAAGGATTGGATTTCTTGGGTGACACTGTGGTGTGGTGGAAGCCAGCGGCTTCTTTCAGGTTCATAAAGGCCATCATAACAACTTCAGGCTTCATGGTGTGGACAGGGATCCAGGAGAGCTGAGTGGATGTGTGAAGTTTCTGATAGATTCTGTCATCATTCCAAAGGAATGTAGTTTCCTCCAGCTCAATCATTTGAAGTAATACACATTGCCAAATCTGACTGTAACCTGACATTTTAGACCTATTGGAGAAATAGGAAGAAAGCCCCTCCAGTGGAAGGACTGGACTTGGAAGAAGTTCTGCAGGAAGGTGCATGCAATTGGATAGCTGTTCATGAGTGAAACGTGGGGAACATTGCTATGAAATTGTAAGGTTTGCACTTCATTTTTCGTAGTTTAAAAATTGCTCTGTTCTGGCTGTTGAAAACACTTGGTGTGAGGTTTGAATGAGGATTATATAATCATTCTAGTATTCATAGGAAAATGATTACTGCTCTCTATTTGTAAAACAAAAGAAATAACTTTCGGAAACAGTATTTTAGACATGAGGAAATTGTTTGTATTAGGCATTTTGATCTAACAGAATCAGCTAAGGATAGTGGATCCTGGCTTTACACATTTCTTTGACCAAACCCAGCTGGCAACTTGAAGTTGTTACTGTGTGGCTTCCAGATTGCCTAGAGGTGAATCCTACCAACATCACTGTTTTTTTTGTTTTGTTTTGTTTTTTTTGTATGTTTTTGAGACAGAGTCTTGCTCTATCCCCAGGCTGGAGTGCAGTGGCGTGATCTCGGCTTACTGCAACCTCAGCCTCCTGGGTTCAAGCGATTCTCCTGCCTCAGCCTCCTGAGTAGCTGAGACTACAGGCGCGTGCCACCACGCCCAGCTATTTTTGTATTTTTAGTAGAGACGAGGTTTCACTATGTTGGCCAGGATGGTCTTGATTTCTTGACCTCGTGTTCTGCCCGCCTCTACCTCCCAAAGTGCCGGGATTACAGGCGTGAGCTGCTGTGCCCGGCCCCAGCATCACTTTTATAGCTTTCTGTGCCTCTTCCTCTGGGCCTTGGTGTATGAAGCCACTTGCCTTTCTCTGTTGGGAAGCGAGCAGAATCAGATTGCTACTCATGATGCAGTCCGGGCAGGGCATACTGTCACCTTTGCCTGTGGACACAGTTGTCAGGATAGGGGAGAAGCCCTTTAGGTCCGTCTTCTTGACACAGCCCTCCTACCTGGTTACGCTGGTGCTTTCGCTTGGTTTAGACAACCAAGACACTTGAGAATTATGCTGTCCTCAGAATGTCTGATGAAAAGAACAGATTCACTTTTTTGACACAATGCCCATTAGCCATCTTTGGCAGTGTTTCTGATCAAAGGTTCCCCATGCCTGCTCTAGGAAAGTAAACTTTTTTCAGAATAAATCCTCAAATGGATTACTGAGTAGTCTTTGCACCATTCCCATCAGCCTAATCAGACTGAATGGTCACGCTCAGTGCAAAAAGCTGTTTTGCTGTTAGGATGTTTCAGTGTTTCTTGTCTTTCCTGGAACAGTTCAGTTGTTTAAATTTAGTAATTCAATCCTGACCAGTGTAAACCCACTTAATTATTGCAGCCTAAAGAATTCAGCTACTTCTACTCTTCATAAATGTGCCCAAGTAAATATGTGTTTTTAATATTCAACCCTGGAAAATTAGTAATTCAGATGATAAAAGCTCATGTTTTGGTGTCTTTGTACTCAGATTGTGAACAGGCATATTTCACTGATTTAGACTTAGTATACTTGATGAGAATGCTCAGGTTGAAGAGATAGTTCTGTCAGCAATCCAACATCTATAGCAATGTGGAAAAAGTAATCAACTCATATTTCACGAATTTGATGTATGTTGTGATTTAGAGGGCATGAGATAAAGTTTATATTTGAACTGTGTGGGGTAGGGGGAAGAAGAGGTTGCTTAAGCAAATAGTGGGGTGATTGTGGAACAAGATGTCTCTAAGATGAGAAGTTATTTTCTTGCATCATAGAAGCACTCTTTTTACCCGTGAGTGATTGTGTTAACTATAAATCATTTATATCTGTACATTAAAGCAGATTCCCTCAATTAGGCAAATTTGGTTAGCCAAGCCCAAGTTATTGTTTGTACTTGAAAGTAATAAAGCTGCATTTCCTTAAAAATATATTCTGTAGTTAAGACTTTGTCTTGCTTTCCCCCCAACCACTTCAGACATTTTATCCAACCAATGCAGGGACTTTTCAAAAGTCAGTGTGTTTTTGAAAATAGAACAACCCCTTGAGTGATCTGAGGTGGCTCTGTTTTTTTACTGTTTCTGCATCTTCTAGAAGGTAAACTCAACAATATAACCATTTCTGAAGGTGATCCAAAAAGCAAAACAATAAAGGTAAAACACAAGGAAATAATTTTGGTGAATTTCATGAATAGTTGCAAATGAAGGGATGGGGTGGGTAAAAGTCCCATTTTGCTTCCAGACCTTGGAATAGTCTTCCTCTCTTTTGCCCAAGGATGTGTCTATCCAGCACATCTTTGCATGAGTTCTTTCTTACTAACTTAAACTTACGGGGCTTCTTGTCATTTGAGTACCACGGCCCTGCACCTTTGATCCCCTGACAGCATCATTAAGGGCAGATTGTCATTCCTGTTTTACAGATGAGAAAGCTGTGGCTTGGTAAAGTGATTCATTGCCTAGAGGAGTTATAGTAAGTGGTGAGGCTGAAGCCCTGATTTTCAGCCCCCACACACCTGGATTTTTTCCATGTTTTCATGTTTGTCTGTTCTTTCTGTATTTCAAGTCTCTTCAAATCCCGACTGCTGCCTTCTGCCTTCACCACTTGTGTGCACTGTTCAACCTGTCTTATGCTTTGCTTCCAGGGAGTCTCCCCAACCACTTCTTTGAGCACTTACTTGCTCTTGTTCAATCTTGGTAACTCTCCGTTACCATCAGGGCACATCTGGATTCCTTAACATCATGGAGCCCTAGCTAATTTCTTCGAGCAAACAGTTCTTGCTCCTCTATTTATTTCCACCCTTGCGCTTTGGGTGTTAATCTCCCATCCTCGTGGAAAGTTCTTGATGTTCCTTTCCACCAGTCCTAGGGCCAGGCTTTAATCCCATTGATCTCCCACTATCTTTAAAGCCTCTGCTGACCACCATACCCCACTCCAGCCTCACTGAGCATTTTTGTGTAAGGTTAGTGGTGCAGTTCATTTAGCAATAAATACTGTTGTACCTTTTGCAGTAGACAACTATTAACTTTCATCCTTGATTCTCAGTTTTTTCCAAAATACAAGTGAATACCTGGTTTCCCCAGCAACATTGTAAGATTGAGAGTAGGAATTCATTGAGATTTTAATGAATTCCATGGATTGTCTTAAGAGCTATCTAAACTTGGAAGAAAAATAACTTCCAGAGCATCTAAAATTGAAAATAAAAGATCAGAAGCAAATGAAAGATCAATTCCACACAGCTTTTCCTCTCTTAGACGTCCCTCTTCTGCCATATCCTGTAAACATCTGAAGTGTTCTGAGTACATTTGGAGAGAATATTTAATGATCACACTGTGATTAGACATGAGTAGTCCCTGCCAGTGGGATGTTCCTGTCCTTTGCATTTTAACCACATGTTCTGTGCTCTCTGTGGTAAAGATAATCTAACAGTAATAAAAACTTATGGAGAAAATTACCCAGAGCTCCTTTATCATTACGATTTTTAATACTCTCTTCTAATCCTTATGCACATGTGTATGGATTTATGTACTGCAAATCATTGTTTTGTAATACATTCTCAAAAATGTGCTTTAGGTTTTTACAACTACCATAATATTTTGTAATTTTCCTTCATTACTGTAATTTGCTAAACCATTTCTGTTTTGGTAGATAATTAGGTAGTTTCCAGTTCTGCTTTTTAGAAGATACTACAGAGAACTTCTTTGTGCATATTTCCTTAGAACAAGTTCCAGTAGAAGACTTACTCGCAAAAGCAGTGGAATTTTTTCTTAGTATTTTCTGTTACAGGTACAGAAGAGTGCATACAACACACAGTTTTGTCGAATAGTTATGAAGTGAACACTTGTCTAACCACTGCCCGAGTCAAGAAAGAACATTTCTAAACATGTTTGCCAATTTAATAGATATAAAGGAAGTATCTCAAGGTTGCTTTAACTGACATTTCTTTAACACATGACAACATTTTTATGGGGGAGGGGACTAGAGAGAAAATGACATATTTTTATGTGTGCTTATTTGTATCTCTTGAATTCTGTCTGCATCTTTTACCCATTACACTTTCAAATACTTGTGAAATCATTGGTCGAGATGAATTATGGCTATAAATAAAATTTCACTAATCTAATTATCACTGATTTAGAAATAATAGTTCAACCCAAGACATGCGTTGAAGTGTTCTTTCATTACATAAAAAGGATTTGTGTCAAGTAAACCTATACACAATCTGTTTACATATTACTGGTTTATATGGTACATCACAAATTATGCAAAAAGTAGATCTAGTAAGACCCAGTACCAAAGATTAGAGCTAGTCAACAATACTATTTAAAGGAAAATATGGACAGTCATGAGTCAAAATGTTTTTTCCCCAAATTAACCATAATATATATTGAAGTTTAAAATGAGGAATTCATTTTGGAAAGCAGCCAAGCACAGATTCTAAGAACATAGTAATCCTGTGTTTTATTTTTACTCAATGCAGACTCGAGGGTGTCAGGTGTGCTTTTATATCTCCAGCTTCTAAGTTCAGAGAGGAGATTTTCTATCTGAAACTTTTTATAGGATAGCAAACATTCCTGAGTTTCTTAGTTCAGCAGGTTTAGCCATGTAAGGCAGCTCTTGGGCTAGTTGATCTTTCAGGCTTTAAGGGCACAAGGCTTAAACTCTATTTGACAGAAGAAGAGAAAAACAACACTTAGGAAGTCTGTATATTGGAAGAAATGGAGAGGTGGAAATAATAGACTAAGAGTTATTTTTTTCATTTTCCTTTTCTCCCTCACCCGACTATGTCTTGAGAACAAACCATGTCTCATTCTTCTCTGTGCTCACATCACCTAGAACTACAAAGTAAACTGGAGGAAGGATGGATGGATGGATGGATGGGTGAATGGGCCTTGGGTTGGTCTACATTGATTTTCTGTAATCCAGTGTTCACAAAATGTACTTTCCTTCCAGCATCACCTGGAAACATCAGCATCACCTGGAAGCTTGTTAGGAATGCTAATTATCAGGCCACACCCAGACCTAATGAATCAAACTTTGGGGCTGAAGACCCACAGGTGTTTGTGATGCCCACTAAGGTTGAGAACCCCCGGCTATTATCTAGCCTGTTCTGCCACCTAGTGGAAAATTTGGGAGTTGCAGCTAGTAATGAGAGCCAGATTCCGTTGCTGTAGAAGACGTTTAATTATACCAAGGACTTTCTTGCACTTAAGGTTACTGCACATTCTGAGACTGAGTTTTGTTCTTGTCGCCCAGGCTGGAGTGCAGTGGCGTGACCTCTGCCTCCCAGGTTCAAGCAATTCTGCCTCAGCCTCCTAGGTAGCTGGGATTACAGGCGCACACCACCATGCCCAGCTAATTGTTATTTTTAGTAGAGATGGGGTTTCACCATGTTGGCCAGGGTGGTCTCAAACTCCTGACCTCAGGTGATCCGCCCACCTCAGCCTCACAAAGTGCTGGGATTACAGGAGTGAGCCACCGCACCCAGCCTAAATGTGTTCTAATACTGTACTTGCCTTCTACTTTATTTCCAGTTATCATAGGGCATGTCATGCTAAGACATCAGTAGGCAGCAGAAGGAACTGTCAACAGAGTAAATAGACAATCTACAGAATGGGAGAAAATATTTGCAAACTATGTATCTGACAAAGGTCTAATATTCAGCATCTGTAAGGATCCTAAGCAAGTCTACAAGAAAAAAAAACCATTAAAAAGTGGGCAAAGGACATGAACACTTTTCAAAAGAAGACATGTGTGTGTCCAAAGAAAGCATATTTAAAAAAGCTCAATAACTGATCATTAGAGAAATGCAAATCAAAACCACAGTGAGATACCATCTCACACCAGTCAGAATAGCTATTAAAAAGTCAAAAAATAACATGGCCAGGTGCAGTGACTCAGGCCTGTAATCTCAGGACTCTAGGAGTCTGAGGCTGGTGGATTGCTTGAGCCCAGGAGTTTGACACCAGCCTGGGTAAGAGGGTGAAACCCCATCTCTACAGAAAATACAAAAATTAGCCAGACGTGGTGGCATGCGCCCATAGTCCCAGCCATTTGGGAGGCTAAGGTGGGAGAATTGCTTGAGCCAAGAAGGCATATGTTGCAGTGAGCCATGATTATGCTACTGCACTGCAGCCTGGGAGACAGAGCAGGACTCTGTCTCAAAAAAAAAAAAAAAAAAAAAAAAATTTTTTTTTGACCGGGCCTGGTGGCTTACGCCTATAATCCCAACACTTTGGGAGACAGAGGCAGGTGGATCACCTGAGGTCAGGAGTTTGACACCAGCCTGGCTAACATGGTGAAACTCCGTCTCTACTAAAAATACGAAAAAAAAATTAGCTGGGCATGGTAGCAGGTGCCTGTAATCCTCGTTACTTGGGAGGCTGAGTCAGGAGAATAGCTTGAACCTGGGAGGCAGAGGTTACAGTGAGCCGAGATCACGCCACTGCACTCTTGCCTGGGCAACACAGTGAGACTTTGTCGTATCAAAGAAAAAAAAGAATGAACTTTGGAGAGGTAGAGAAAAGGGAACACATATACACTGTTGGTGGGAGTGTAAATTAGTTCAACCATTGTGGAAAGCAGTGTGGTGATTCTTCAAAGAGCTTAAAAACCAGAACTGCCATTCAACCCAGGAATCCCACTACTGGGTATATGCCCAAAGGAATATAAATCGTTCTACCATAAAGATACATGCACGTCTGCTGGGTGTAGTGGCTCATGCCTGTAATCCCAGCATTTTGGGAGGCCGAGGCAGGTGGATCACCTGAGGTCAGGAGTTTAAGACCAGCATGGCCAACATGGTGAAACCCCATCTCTACTAAAAATACAAAAATTAGCCGGGCGTGGTGGCACGCACCTGTAGTCCCAGCTACTCGGGAGGCTGAGGCAGGAGAATCGCTTGAACCCAGGAGGCGGAGGTTGCAGTGAGCGGAGATTAAGCCACTGCACTCCAGCCTGGGCGACAGAGTGAGACTCCATCTCAAAAAAAAAAGAATGAGAAAAATATTTTCTATTTGCTTATTTTTGTATTTTCTAAGTTTCCCACAGTGAGCATGAGTTTTTGTTGTTGTTGTTTTTGTTTTTTGTTTTTTTTTTGAGACGGAGTCTTGCTCTGTCGCCCAGGCTGCAGTGTAGTGGCACGATCTTGGCTCACTGCAAACTCCGTCTCCTGGGTTCACGCCATTCTCCTGCCTTAGCCTCCTGAGTAGCTGGGACTACAGGCACCTGCCACTGCACCCGGCTAATTTTTTGTATTTTTAGTAGAGATGGGGTTTCACCGTGTTAGCTAGGATGGTGTCGATCTCCTGACCTCGTGATCTGCCCACCTCGGCCTCCCAAAGTGCTGGCATTACAGGCTTGAGCCACCGCGCCCGGCCGAGCATGAGTTTTTTTAAGAATAATTAATTTTTTTTTAGTTATATAATACAGCTGCAGGCATCTTTTAGCTCAAACTCCCTCTTTCAGGAAACACGTATGAGGTTTCTACTCTGTATCAGGCATCGTGCTGGAGCCTGGGGATATGTAGATTAATCGTGTATGGTCACTGTTTCTGGGAGCTCAGGTTCCCTAGGATAGTACACACACAAAACCCAAGAGGTGTCATGAAGGAAGCACCAAGAAGGAAGAAGTTCTACTTAAGGGTGATAACCAAGGTTCCATAGAGGAAGTAACTCTCCAAGAGATTTGTAAGCTAGTAGAAGGATTCTAGATACAGACTTTCTATAAACTGATACTCTTTGTTTGCTGGCTCTAGGTTGCTAACCTAGATGCATGGTTGGTGGAACTGTATCACTCATCGGGTCTTTATTAAATATAGGAACACAGAAGACACTGCTAGAACTTGAAGGCAAAAATCATTAAACAACTGAAAACACAAAATGAGCAGGTTGGTGGTGGTGCCAGCCTGGTTTTTAATCTCTTCAAATCCACACAAAGAACAGCAACTAGGCCAGGCGCGGTGGCTCACGCCTGTAATCCCAGCACTTTGGGAGGCCGAGGCGGGCGGATCACGAGGTCAGAAGATCAAGACCATCCTGGCTGACACGGTGAAACTCCGTCTCTACTAAAAATACAAAAAGTTAGCCGGGCATGGTGGTATGCGCCTGTAGTCCCAGCTACTCGGGAGGTTGAGGCAGAAGAATCGCTTGAACCCAGGAGGCGGAGTTTGGGAGGTTGCTGTGAGCTGAGATCATGCCACTGCACTCCAGCCTGGGCGTCTCTGTCTCAAACAAACAAACAAACAAACAAAAAACCCAGCAACTGAATAGCAAAACCAAGGGCCCAGACAGTACTTTCAACAAAGCTAGGTACAAGGTAACTTCATGAGCCCCAGAATACAGTAGTTGAGGCGAAATACCTATTGCCACAAGAACATTTTTGTAGGAGGAAAATGAAGGAAGGAAAAGAGATAGTATATGAGAGGCCTGAGAACAGGAGAATCCAAAATAGGCAACAGGTGATCAATGGAGAGTTGGGCTGCCAATCCTAAAATGTCAGCTGAAGCTGGGAGAGGCTCTCCAACAGTGGATGAGAACAAGGACCTAAGGCAAGAACGCCTGAAAGGGCTGGAGCACTGTAGCCCTTATAAACAGTTGAGGCTGATCGGCTCTCTTTTAGGACAAGGCCCCACACCAGGGAAAACTCCTGGGGCTAAAACTCCTGGGAGCAGGACAGGGACAAGAGAGGAAAGTAAGAGATGGCCCAGACTCAAGAAAGGATAAAGACAGAGGCAGGAAATGCCAGAAAGCAACTTGCAATATGTTTGAATCCATACATAAGAGAAGAGGGACTGCTCTGAGAAGGTTGAAAAGCTTGCCTGAACATACACTCATTCCAAAAAGTCAGGAAAACAAATTTTACATAAAAATAATATAAAAGTATCAAGATCAAATTCTATACACAGTTATTAAGAAAAAAATGCGAAGAAGGAGCAGATTAACATCCTTACAGACAATGAAAACACACCAGGGAGACACCATAAAACAGACCAAGACTAACTTAAAAACAAATACATCAGCCTGGGCATGGTGGTTCACACCTGTAATCCCAGCACTTTGGGAGGCCAAGGCAGGCTGATCACTTGAGCCCAAGAGTTCAAGACCAGCCTGGGCAATATGATGCAACCCCATCTCTACAAAAAAAAAAAAAAAATTAGCTGGGCATGGTGGCATGTGCCTATAGTCCCAGCTACTCAGGAAGCTGAGGTGGAAAGATCACTTGAGCCTGGAAGGTCCAGGCTGCAGTGAGCCATGTTTGAGCACTGACTCCGGGCTGGACAACAGAGTGAGACCCCATCTCAAAAATAATAATAATAACAGATAAACAGATAATGATTTAAGAGATAAAAGACAGTGAAAAAGAAAGATATGTTTAAATAAAAAGGAAATGAAGAGATAAACAAGATTTGAGGGAAATTGACAAATATTGAAAGCAGCAAAGATCAAACATACAGGTAATAGGAGTTCCTAAAGAAGAAAATCAAGTAAGGGAGGAACAGAACAAATGCCAAAAGATATAATTCAAGAAAACATTTCAGAAATTTAAAAATGTTGAAACTACAATTGAAAGTATACCAAGAGAATATACACCCTGAGTGACCAATATTAAAACATTCCATTAAACTTATTAAACTTTAAATAAAAAGCAAATATTATTTGGGCATCCAAATAGTAGATGGGGAAAAATTCCTCTTAATAAAAGTATTCCAACTCTAAATGGGAAAAAGATAGAATATAACCAGTTTGCAACTCCTCTGAATGAATAGATAGGCATTGAGCTTCACCCACTCCTAAGATCACAAAGAGACAACAAATCATAATGTGTCTCCTATAGTCATGCCAAATACCCTCAGTAATCTTGCCAAAGGAACCAAACGTGAGTTTGAACCATTCTCTGAACTTAGGTACCAATTTGCAGGAAATACCAAGGATAGAGAAATATGTTGAACTGCAACAGGAGTATAAAATCAGCAAAATCCAGACTGCAGGAAACTGTAGCAAATGGCCTGGGTTTTTCAACAGATACATTCTAAGGAAATGAAAGGGGTGGAGGAAGAATCTATAAATTGAAAGAGACAGGGCCAGGCATGACGGCTCATGCCTGTAATTCCAGCACTTTGGGAGGCTGAGGCGGGCGGATCACCTGAGGTCAGGAGTTAGAGACCAGCCTGGCCAAAATGGTGAAACCCATCTCTACTAAAAATTCAAAAAAAATAGCTGGGTGTAGTGGCACATGCCTGTAGTCCCAGCTACCTGGGAGGCTGAGACAGGAGAATCGCTTGAACCTGGGAGGTGGAGGTTGCGGTGAGCCGAGATCACGCCATTGCACTCCAGCCTGGGCAACAAGAGCGAAACTCCGTCTAAAAAAAAAAAAAAGAAGATACTTGAATAAGAACTTAAGAAGATGCTTAACATCATTAGTCAACAGGGAAACATCTAAATAGAATGGCTAAAATTTAAAAAACCAACCAAACCAAGTACTAGAGAAGATGTGGTGCAACTGGGGATCTCATACACTGCTAACAGGAATGCAAAATGACACAACCACTTTGGAAAAATATGTGGCAGGTTCTTAAAGTTTAATAGACACCTACCATATGACACAGCCATTCCAGTCTTAGCTTTTTTTTAATCCAAAAGAAATAGAAACATATATCAACACACAGCCTGGCCAACATGGCACAAACCCGTCTCTACTAAAAATACAAAAGTTAGCCAGGAGTGTTGGCATGCACCTGTAATCCCACTTACTTGGGAGGCTGAGGCACAAGAGTTGCTTGAACCCAGGAAGCAGAGGTTGCAGTGAGCCAAGATTGCGTCACTGCACTCCATCCTGGGCAACAGAGTGAGACCCTGTCTCAAAAAAAAAAAAAAAAAAACCCATACATCAACACAAAGATTTGTACCTAGATATTTATAGCAGCTTCATTTGTAATACCCCCAAACTGGAAACACCCCCAAATGTGTATTAACAGATAAATGGATGTATAATTGAGATCTATTTATACAAAGAAATACTACTGAACAATAAAAGGAAAAATTATCAATATATACAATAATATGAGTGAACCTCAAAATTATGATGCTGAGTAAAATAAGCCTGATAAAAAGAATGCACACTATATGCTTCTATTTATACAAAATTATATCTATAAAATCAATCTCCAGTGACAGAAAGCAGACCAATGGTTATCTGGGATGGAGCTGAAGGAAAGGATGACCACAAAGGTGCTATGGTCTGAGTTTGTGTCCCCCCAAAATTCATATATTGAAATCTTAACCTCCAAGGTGATGGTATTAGGACGTGGGCCTTCGGGAGGTGATTAGATGGTAAGAGCAGAGCCTCCATGAATGGGATTAGTGTCCTCATAAAAGAGACTCAGTGAGTTTGTTTCCCTCTTCTGCCTGGGAGGTTACTGTGAGAAGACAGGTGTCTATGAAGAAGCTGGCCCTTACCAGACATCTTGATCAAGGTCTTCCAGCCTCCAGAACTGTGAGAAATAAATCTCTGTTGTTGGCTGGGTGCAGTGGCTCACATCTGTAATCTCAGCACTTTGGGAGGCCAAGGTGGGCAGATGGCCTGAGGTCAGGAGCTCGAGACCAGCCTGGCCAACATGGTGAAACCCCATGTCTACTAGAAAAAAAAAAAAAAAAGTTAGCTGGGAGTGGTAGTGGGTGCCTGTAATCCCAGCTACTCAGGAGGCTGAGTCACGAGAATTGCTTGAACCCGGGAAGCAGAGGTTGCAGCAAGCCGAGATCGCGCCACTGCATTCCAGCCTGAGTGACAGAATGACACTCTGTCTCAAAAAATAAAATGTAAATAAGTAAATACATTTCTGTTGTTTATAAACCACCCAGTCTATAATATTCTGTTAATAACAGCCTGAACAGACTAAGACAGAGGGGTACAGGAAGATTTAGGGGTGATTGAGATGTTCATTATCTTGATTATAGTGATGGTTTGACAGGTGTATACTTATGTCAAAGCTCATCAAATTGAATGTTTTAAATATGTGTAGTCTATCGTATGTTAAGTATACTTCATTAAAGTGGTACAGAATGATTTCTTGTTCTTGCTTTATCTTTATTTTCCTAAGTTTATTTACCGTGCATGTTCTTGGTTGGTCTATTCCAATAATTTTGCTTCAGATGGTAGATGTTCGTTGTCCTCTTTTTACTGTGTTTGTACTCCTCAGGTGGCTAATTAGTTTGGTCAATGAGCTCCTGTTCCCCTGGGGTATCAGCCACTCTGCATGGCAACTTCTGGGGGAAGGGCTGAGGACCAGTCTCTAGTCTGTCTCTCCCACTGGGTTTAAGGAGAGAGAAGGAGATAAGCCCTGGTCACAGAGTGCCCCCCGAATTTTTTTTTTTTTTTTTTTTTTAAGAGATAGAGTCTCTGTCGCCCAGGCCAGAGTGTAGTGGCGTGATCACAGCACACTGCCACCCTTAACTTCTGGGCTCAAGCAATCCTCCCACCTCAGCCACCCAAGTAGCTAGGACCACAGGTGTGCACCACCACACCAGGCTGATTATTTTATTGTATTTTGTAGAGATAGGGTCTCACTGTGTTGCCTAGGCTGGTCTCGAGTCCTAGCCTCAAAGGATCCTCCCACCTCAGCCTCCCAAACTGTTGGGATTACAGGCGTAAGCCACCACACCTGTCCAAAACCCTTCTTTTTTTTTTTTTTTTTAAATGGAGTCTTGCTCTGTCGCCCAGGCTGGAGTGCAGTGGCGCGATCTCGGCTCACTGGAAGCTCCGTCTCCTGGGTTCACACCATTCTCCTGCCTCTGCCTCCTGAGTAGCTGGGACTACAGGCGCCCACCACCACACCCGGCTAATTTTTTTTGTATTTTTAGTAGAGACGGGGTTTCACCATGTTTGGCAGGATGGTCTCAAACTCCTGACCTTGTGATCCACGCGCCTCGGCCTCCCAAAGTGCTGGGATTACAGGCGTGAGCCACCCCGCCCGGCTCCCAAAACCCCTCTTGATCCCTCTGGTCTAATCACATCTTTCTAGGTGAGAGTTATCCTCTGGTCAGGTATTTGCCCTTAAATTTATACTAAACAACCAGCAGTGATAGGAGGCATCTTTCCGGGAAATAATCTCTAATTTCACTTAACTTTTCTCCTTATTAGGGCATGTTGCTTTCCTGGAAGACTGATTCAGGTGGCCTGGCTATGCTGATGGTTTCTAAAGGGAAGAAGTAGGAAGTAGGTCGTGATTGTCCCAAGACAACACCTGGGTGAGCAACAGCTGACCTTCCTGGCCTGTAGTCTCTCTCTGCCACCTCCATCAGCCCTTCACCCAGGCTGCAGGCACTTCCCTCCTTGCCCCTAAGTATAGAAATCATTGCAGAAAGATTTCTTTCACCCCAGAGGCTTCTTTTTTTTTTTTTTTTTTTTTTGAGACGGAGTCTCGCTCTGTCACCCAGGCTGGAGCGCAGTGGTGCGATCTCAGCTCACTGCGATCTCCGCCTCCTGGGTTTAAGCGATTCTCCTGCCTCAGCCTCCTGAGTAGCAGGATTACAGGTGCCCGCCACCACACCCAGCTAATTGTATTTTTAGTAGGGACGTGGTTTTACCATGTTGGCCAGGCTGGTCCTGAACTCCTGACTGCAGGTAATCTACCTGCCTCGGTGTGTCCGGAATTCATGGGTTCTTGGTCTCACTGACTTCAAGAATGAAGCCGTGGACCCTCGCGGTGAGTGTTACAGCTCTTAAGGGGGCGCGTCTGGAGTTTGTTCCTTCTGATGTTGGGATGTGTTCAGAGTTTCTTCCTTCTGGTGGGTTCGTGGTCTCGCTGGCTTCAGGAGTGAAGCTGCAGACCTTCGCGGTGAGTGTTAACAGCTCATAAAGGCAGTGTGGACCCAAAGAGTGAGCAGCAGCAGGATTTCTTGCAAAGAGCAAAAGAACAAAGCCTCCACAGCATGAAAGGGAACCCGAGCGGGTTGCCACTGCTGGCTCCGGCAGCCTGCTTTTATTCTCTTATCTGGCCCCACCCACGTCCTGCTGATTGGTAGAGCCTAGTGGTCTGTTTTGACAGGGCGCTGATTGGTGCGTTTACAATCCCTGAGCTAGACACAAAGGTTCTCCACATCCCCACCAGATTAGCTAGATACAGAGTGTCCACAGAAAGGTTCTCCAAGTCCCCACCAGAGTAGCTAGATACAGAGTGTACACTGGTGCATTCACAAACCCTGAGCTAGACACAGGGTGCTGATTGGTGTGTTTACAAACCTTGAGCTAGATACAGAGTGCCGATTGCTGTATTTACAATCCCTTAGCTAGACATAAAGGTTCTCCAAGTCCCCACCAGACTCAGGAGCCCAGCTGGCTTCACCCAGTGGATCCCGCACCCGGGCTGCAGGTGGAGCTGCCTGCCAGTCCCGTGCCGTGCACCCACACTCCTCAGCCTTCGGGTGGTTGATGGGACTGGGCGCCGTGGAGCAGGGGGCAGCGCTCGTCAGGGAGGCTCGGGCTGCACAGGAGCCCACGGAGGGGTGGGGAGGCTCAGTCATGGCGAGCTGCAGGTCCCGAGCCCTGCCCCGTGGGAAGGCAGCTAAGGCCTGCCGAGAAATTGAGCACAGCAGCTGCTGGCCCAGGTGCTAAGCCCCTCACTGCCTGGGGCCGGCAGGGCCGGCCAGCCGGCCAGCCGCTCTGAATGCGGGGTCTGCCAAGCCCACGCCCACGCGGAACTCGCGCTGGCCCACAAGCACAGTGGGCAGCCCTGGTTCCCGCCGGCGCCTCTCCCTCCACACCTCCCTGCAAGCTGAGGGAGCCGGCTCCTGCCTTGGTTCCTGACTTCAGGTAATCTACCTGCCTCGGCATCCCAAAGTGCCGAGATTACAGGCGTGAGCCACTATGCCCAGCTGATCTTGTTCTTTTTTATGACTGCATAGTATTCTACGGTGTATATGTACCACATTTTCTGTACCCAATCTGCCATTGATGGGTATTTAGGTTGGTTCCATGTATTTGCTATTATGAATAGTGATGTAATGAACATACATATGCATTTATCTTTATGGTAGAACAATTTATATTCCTTTAGATATCTATCCAGCTGTGGGATTGCCAGGTGAAATGGTAGCTGTGGTTTTAGTTCTTTGAGGAATTGCCACACTGCTTTCCACAATGGTTGAACTAATTTGCACTCCCACCAGCAGCGTATAAGTGCTTTCTTTTCTCTGCAACCTGGCCAGCATCTGTTATTTTTTGACTTTTTTTTTTTTAAGACAGAGTTTGGCTCTTGTCGCCCAGGCTCGAGTGCAATTGTGCAATGTCAGCCCACTGCAACCTCTGCCTCCCAGGTTCAAGCAATCCTCCTGCCTCAGCCTCCCGAGTAGCTGGGATTACAGGCGGCCGCCACCCTGCCCAGCTAATTTTTGTATTTTTAGTAGAGACAGGGTTTCACCACTTTGGCCAGGCTGGTCTGGAACTCCTGACCTCAGGTAATCCACCCGCCTCGGACTCCCAAAGTGCTGGGATCACAAGTGTGAGCCACTGCGCCTGGTCTTGACTTTTTAATAATAGCCATTCTGACCTGTGTGACATGGTATCTTGCTGTGGTTTTGATTTGCATTTCTCTAACAATCAGTGATACTGAGCATTTTTTCATATGCCTGTTGGCCGCATGTGTGTCTTCTTTTGAAAGTGTCTGTTCATACTCTTTGCCCACTTTTTAATGGGGTTGTTTGTTTTTTGCATGCACAGTTGTTTAAGTTTTTTGTACATTCTGGATATTAGACCTTTGTCAGATGTATAGTTTGCAAATATTTTCTCCCGTAGTGTTCTTTGATGAGGTAGTCTAGATCTGAAGATTAGATTCTGAGCATCGTAACACTAAAGGCAATAAGAGCTACAGAAAAGTGTAAAATAGTTTACTGATTCAAAAGCCAGAAAAATAAAGAACTTTTAAACATATTTTGACAAATAGTTTAGAATGATATTCATTTGAGTTAGCATTCAGTGAATGTGAGTGACTGACATGACCCTGTTCTTAGTGTTAAGAAAATTGAAGTATAGGGAATCCTAAATAAGTTAAAATGGTATCTTACACCAGTTTAACAAGTTAAACTTTTTTTTTTTTTTTTTTTTTTTTTTGTGACGAAGTCTCACTCTGTCACCCAGCCTGGAGTACAGTGGCACTACCTTGGCTCACTGCAACCTCCACCTCCCAGGTTCAGGCGATTCTCCTGCCTCAGCCTGCTGAGTAGCTGGGACTATGGGTGCGCACCACCACGCTCAGCTAATTTTTGTATTTTTAGTAGAGACAGGGTTTTACCATGTTGGTCAGGCTGGTCTCCAACTCCTAACCTCATGATCTGCCCCCCTCAGTCTCCCAAAGTGCTGGGATTAGAGGCATGACCCATCATGCCCGGCCTAACAAGTTAAACCATTAATTCACATTTGACAGTTGCATTTAACAAATTTGTATTAATTTGCATTTAACATTGCATTTAACAAATCCCACTGGCCTTCAGGCTGTACTCTGCGTATACTAAGATGTTTCCCGCTTTGGAGTTTTTTAGATATTGTTCCATTTGCCTGAAATGGAAGTGTTTCTCCTGGATCTTCACAGGTTTTGCTCCTTCTCAGTACTCACAGCTATCCTCAAATTTCACCTTTCTAGAGAAGATTTCCATGACCACTCTGTCTATAAGAACCTGATCTCGACCCTCAATCATTCTTGAACTCCATACTTTGTTTTTCTTCACAGCCCTTATTCCATATGGTATTATACTGCCCCGTATATCTATCCATTTACTAATTTATTGTGCGTCTTCGCCCATATGAGGCTGGGGGCTTTTTCTATCTTGTTCCACAAGGCACAGATCCCTAACACGTGAGATAATACAATACTTGGTACAAAGCAGGCACTCAGTTAAAGAATTGCTAAATTAATTTAAAAAATCCCCTGTGCATGGCCGCGTCTATCAGTTATCTATTACTGTGTAATAATCTACTCTGAAACTTAGTGGCTTAAAATAATGATTTGTTATTTTTCACAATTTGGCGGGTTGACTGGGTCTGCTGGGCTCACCAGGCAGCTTACAATCACTGGTGGCTGGTCCGGGAATATGTGGGCTAAGACAGCTTTATCCACGAGGCTGGGGCCTCAGCTGGGACAGCTGGGCTTCTCTGCATGGCCTTTCAACCTAGGCTTCTGAACTCAATGCCAGAAGCCTCCCAAGAAAGCAAAGGGAGAAGCAGTGAGACCTTGAGGTCTAGGCTCTGGAACTCTGCAAGTCACTTCTACCATGTTCTCTTGGTCAAAGCAAGTCCAGAATCAAGGCGTGAGGAAATAGATCTACCTTTTGATGGGAGAAACCACAAAACACCGTGGTCCTGCTTTTCAACATACCACATTACTCCACAGCAGCCTTCTTTCTTTTTTTTTTTTTTTGAAATGGAGTCTCACTCTGTTGCCCAGGCTGGAGTGCAGTGGCACGATCTCGGCTCACTGGAAAACAAACATTCACATTGATAGAAACAAGATATGAGTACTTCATTGATTCATTCATTCAAAAAATATTTGTTGCGTATCTACTACATGCTGTTTTCAACACACTAGATCCTGGTAATTCATGGTAAACAGACATGATTCTCACTCTTCTGGTGTTTACAGTATTTAAATTCTGCTGATGTTTGTTGGATATCTACTATACATTATACATTTTTAAAAAGTTTTTTCAATATAGAGATGGGGGTCTCACTATGTTGGCCAGGCTAATCTCAAACTCCTGACTTCAGGTGATCCACCCACCTCGGCCTCCCAAAGTGCTGGGATTACAGACCTGAGCCACCGCATCTGGCCCCAAAGCAGCTTTCTAAGTTTGTAAATAGCATTACAGAAATCATCCACCTTTGCTCAGCCCAGTGCCTGGCAGCCGACAAGCCCTCGCTGTTGGTCCAGGGATGAATGAATGTCATCAGTGATTGATTCCACAGTCTTCCACAGTGTGCCACTTGTCTAGACATATTGGCCTATACTGTCCCCTAGTGGAATTTGAGAATTGGTACATTCCACCTGAGACCTAAGGATACATTCTCTAATGGGAGATTGAATTGTAGGATTCCAGGTTACAGATAAGGGCGGTGGCCCCTGAACTTTAGCACAGATACAAGTTATAGAGTGATCTTATCAAGAATGACAGATTTGGCTGGGCGCAGTTGCTCATGCCTGTAATCCCAGCACTCTGGGAAGCTGAAGCGGGCAGATCACGAGGTCAAGAGATCGAGACCATCCTGGCCAACATGGTGAAACCCCATCTCTACTAAAAATACAAAAATTAGCTGGGCATGGTGGCGCATGCCTGTAATCCCAGCTACTCAGGAGGCTGAGGCAGGAGAATCGCTTGAACCTGGGAGGCAGAAGTTGCAGTGAGATCCGCCACTGCATTCCAGCCTGGCGACAGAGCGAGACTCCGTCTCAAATAAATAAATAAATAAATAATAATAATAATAATAAAAGAATAGCAGATTCCTGGGCTCCATCCCAATAAGTTCAATAAGTCTGAAATGGTCTAAATTCATTAAGTCCTAGCCCTTTATTTAACCTCTGTAATGAGTGGGTGCTCGAGGTTGAGGCTACAGTTGTGGGAAGAGGACCCTATGTTTAAGGGCAATGAGATGAGCATTAGAAAACAGATCTGTCACTTAGTCTGTGTAATCTTGGGAAATCCACTTAATATCTATGATTCTAGTTCTCTCATCTGTGAAATAGAGTTAATGATACCTATCTCATAGGGCTGTTGTAAGATTAGAAATAGTGCCTAGTTACAATGCTTAGTAGCTAAATTATAACTCATAAAGTGGGGGTTAATATTATTGGTATAGTACAATGACAAAGGTTTGTAAAAAATGTATAGCGTTGGCCAGGTGTCGTGACTCATGCCTGTAATCCCAGCACTTTGGGAGGCCAAGGCAGGAGGATTACTTGAGCCCAGGAGTTTGAGACCAGCATGGGCAACATAGTGAGACCCCCATCTCTATATTGAAAAAAACTTTAAAAATATGTAAAGTGTATAGTAGATGTTCAACAAACATTAGCAGAATTTAAATACTGTAAGCACCAGAAGAGTGAGAATCATGTCTGTTTACCATTGATTACCAGGATCTAGTGTGTTAAAAACAGCATGTAGTAGGTGCGCAACAAATATTTTTTGAATGAATGAATGAGACACTCATATCCTGTTTCTATCAGTGTGAATGTTTGTTTTCCCAATGTATATTTCCTTATAAGCACTGGATGTACCAGAAATTTGTTGTGTGTGTATGTTTTAAGTTGTTTTGTTTTAAGTTCTCCAAGGACTTACAGACACTTTGTTTTTTTGTGTACCTCAACACTGACTAAGCTGCCAGGAGTCAAGCTGTTTTTAGAAAAGTTCTTTTTATTCAGCAGAACATTGACTACAAAAAGAAAAAGAAAAAAAAAGGTGTTTTTTTTTGTTTTTTTTTTTAGTTATATAGTGATAAGAACACCAGCCTTGAAGACAAACTACTTCAGTTCAAATCTCAATTCTAACTAGTTGTGTTACTTTAGCAAGTCACTCACCCTCTCTGGACCTCAGTTTCCCCATTTGAAACATGAAGGAGTTCAAGGATCATTTCTGCTCTAATGTATTAGGATTCTGTATGTCTAATTCAGTGTTTTAAATAACCCCTTTATTGTAAAACTAATACATGTCTATTGCCAAATATTTGAAAAATATCAAAAGGAGTAAATAAGGAAGTAAAAACCGCTGTCAATAGCACTCACCCAGAAGAACCACTGTTGACATTTGGGTGAATATTCTTCTAGTCCTCTTTACAGCTATGGATAATTTTTACCAAAAATTATCAGAACATATATTCCATTTTGTAATGTGCTTTCTCACTTAATATGTTAGCAGACTTTTTACATCATCAGTGTTCTTCAAGAGCATGATTCTAATCTCTGTGGAAGGTTGAATCATAATTCATTTAAACAATCCCCATTGGATATTTAGGTTAGTTCTATTTTTTAGCATAAGTAAGGCTTCGACAACCAGCCTTTATACAAATCTGTACCCACATCTCTACATTTTTCCCCTTAGGTTAAATTGTAAATTTTTTTTTTTTTTTTTTGAGACAGTGTCTCCCTCCATTACCCAGGCTGGAGTGCAGTCGTGCGATCGTAGCTCACTGCAGCCTCAAACTCCTGGGCTCAAACCATCCTCCCGCTTTAGCCTCCCCGTGTAGCTGGGGATACAGGTGTACACCACCAAACCTGGCCAAAACTTTTAAATGTATCACCAAATTGCCCTCCAAGTGAAGTTACACATGTGTACACTCTCATGAGTAACGTTTGAGTGGCTATTTCCCCATGATCTCTCCAACACTGGTTATTGTGGTTTTTTAAAAGACCTTGCCAATGTCATAGGTAAAAAAATAGCATATCATTGTTTGAATCTAATGTTATTTTCATTATACTGTTTTATTTCTGGTAGAATGTAAAATTGCATACATACTATTTTTACAACTTTATAAAAATACATGGAACACACATGTTTCAAATGTGGAAAGAACAATAGAAAAATGTCAGTAGTTGTATGATGGGATTGTAATATAATTCTTTTATGTTGTAAATTTTTTAAATTAAAAAGAATCTCTGTAGCAGATGGCTACTTATTCCTCCAAATTCTTCCCCTCTTCCTGGGCACAGTTGCCCAGCTACAGGCTACATTTCCTAGACTCCTGTGCAGCTGGATGTGACCATGTGGTTAAGTGTGGACTAACCAAATATTGAAAGGAAGTGATGTGAACATTTTCTGGGTCATCTCCAGATTTAAGCTCCTTATCTGGAATGTTGGTTCTTCCTCCTTTCCCAGAGTTAGCAACCCAGCCTTGATTAAGCAAATAATGACACCTTAGGGGATGGAGACCAACAGGGAAACTACCTGTTTTTTGTTTTTTGTTTTTTTGACAGAGTCTTGCTCTGTAGCCCAGTGGCATCATCTTGACTCACTGCAACCTCCGCCTCCTGGGTTCAAGCAATTCTCCCTGCCTCAGCCTCCCGAGTAGCTGGGATTACAGGTGTCCGCCACCACGCCCTGCTAATTTTTGTATTTTTAGTAGAGACGGGGTTTCGCCATATTGGCCAGGCTGGCCTTGAACTCCTGACCTCAGGTGATCCACCTGCCTCGGCCTCCCAAAGTGCTGGGATTACAGGCATGTGCCACCGCTCCTGGCTGAAACTGTATCTGTTTATGGCGGCATCACTTGACCAATCCAGCCTGGTTGTTTTGTTTTGTAAGAGAAAAATTAATTTTGATGTTTTTGCACCCACGATATTTTGGGGCCTCTTTGTTACAGCAGTGTAGCTGTGACCCTAATAATCTCAAACTTCTCCCTAAGACTGGGGACATTTTAGGGACAGTTTCACAGTTTGTGGAGCTGATTGGAAGCTGGTAGCAGAGGACTGGGAAGCTACTATATACTTTCCTGAATACTAGAAAATGTTTTTTTTTTATATTCCTTCATATAAACTTTAACAAAATTCTGTGTTAGTATATTTTTTGTTTACAAGGTTTAGAAATAAAAAAATATAATTTATGGTCGATACAAAATACAAAATCACAACGTAAACATCACAACTATAAGTATCCAAAAAAATAAGCTGCCAACCAACATGCTCCATTGAGGATAAATTTCTCTTATTAATAATACTTTGAAGGCTACAGGTTATCACTGGTTTTGCTACATTGTGTACTTTTAATGGCAATGATTGTGGTTTACATGATCATGACAATAAGAAGCATACTTTTATTTTTTTATTTTTATTCTTTTTTTTTTTGAGACGGAGTCTCACTCTGTCGCCCAGGCTGGAGTGCAGTGGTGCGATCTCAGCTCACTGCAACCTCCGCCTCCTGTGTTCACGCCGTTCTCCTGCCTCAGCCTGCCGAGCAGCTGGGACAACAGGCGCCCGCCACCACGGCCGGCTAATTTTTTTTTTCTTTTTTCGTATTTTGAGTAGAGATGGGGTTTCACCATGTTAGCCAGGATGGTCTCGATCTCCTGACCTCGTGATCCGCCCGCCTCGGCCTCCCAAAGTGCTGGGATTACAGGCATGAGCCACCGCGCCTGGCCATTTTTATTCTATTTTTTAAGACAGGGTCTCACTCTGTTGCCTAGGCTGGAGTGCAGTAGCGTGATCATGGCTCACTGCAACCTCCGCCTCCCAGGTCCAAGTGATTCTCCTGCCTCAGCCTCCTGAGTAGCTGGGACTACAGGTGCACGCCACTACGCCCAGCTAATTTTGTATTAGTGGAGACAGGGTTTCACCATGTTGGCCAAGCTGGTCTCGAACTCCTGGCCTCATGTGATCCACCCCCTTGGCCTCTCAAAGTACTGGGATTACAGGCAGGAAGGATACTTTTAAAAAACAGTTTCAGGCTGGGCGTGGTGGGTTTCATCTTTATCCTAGCACTTTGGGAGGCCGAGGCAGGTGGATCACTTGAGGTCAGGAGTTGGAGACCAGCCTGGCCAACATGTGAAACCCCGTCTCTACTAAAGATACAAAAATTAGTTGAGCGTTGTGGCAGACACCTGTAATCCCAATTACTTGGGAGGCTGAGGCAGGAGAATTGCTCAAAACCCGGGTTTCGATGAGCCAATATGGCACCGCTGCACTGCAGCCTGGGCAATAGAGTGAGACTCCATCTTATAAATAAATAAATAAATAACAGTTTCACATTATTGGTTCAATTGAATGGATTCACAGTTACTGCTGTTGAATGTAGTTGCAATGACTACTCTGGAAAGTACAGTGCCAGGTGGCACTCTGAGAAGTCAGCATTTGTCCTAGGTATTGGACGTTGGCAAGAGACCCCAGCACCACACACAGGAAGTTTGGAAGGTACTCATCACAACAGTTCACCCACTATCTTCATGAACAACTGGTTCCACAGCCACCAGGATGACTTGGGTCCACAATTCTCGTCACCATTATACAGCCTAGCTATGACCCACTCCCTGGGGACCTAGGGAGTCAGGACCTTCAAAATCTAGGGAAGGCAACAGTGACTTCAGCTTCCCCTCGTCACGTGGGAGGGGAGCCTTCCTTTCTCCTGAGCGGGCCCTCTCCTAGAACCCACAGTAGTTGTAGGGTGGCAGTGATCCCCAGCCTGCTCCTTAGTGAGGAAGCCTGGATTCTGTTCCTCCTTGTGACATGGCAGAGACAGGAATTTCAAGGCCAGAGGGCATGGATGTGCTTCCCAGCCCTACTTCTTACTATCGCGAGAACCAGTGTGGGCAAGGGATGCCATTTTGCATTTTGTCATGGTTTTTCCTCCACTTAAGATCACCATTTGCAATTCACTTGTTGCTATATTGCCTTCATAGTTATCATTTTAGTAATTGTACATTATTTAATTGAACAATAGAATTTACTTAAAGAGCTCCTTGTTGTGGACTCTTTAAGTAGTTCCCAATTTTGTGTTACTACAAAAATTGCTGCAATTAGTATATTTTGCAATACAACTTTTTGCTTCTGTTGGATAATTCCCTCAGGAAATGGGGTAAGTTTTGACTATCTCTTAGACTAGAAGGATGTTGTGGTAACAATATCTTTCTTTGCTTAGCAAACAATGAAGAAGACCAGAACTATCCTTCAGTAAGAAGTGCTTAACTAAACTATGCTACCTCTAATTAATGGAATACAAGGCAACTACTTAAAGAAATTAGGATTACTTTATAATAGCCAAAAATGGAAGCAATTTAGATGCTCATCAGCTAATAGATAAATAAAATATGGTATTATATCCATACAGTGGAATATTACTCAGCCATAAAAAGGAATGAGGTACATACTACAACATGGATGAATCTTGAAAACATTACGCTACATAAAATAAATTAGACACAGAAGGCCACATATAATATGATTCCATTTGTATGAAATGTGTAGAATAGGCAAATCCATAGAGATGGAAAATAAGATAAGCAGTCCTTGGGGGCAGGGGAAGGGGGCAATGGGGCATGATTACTAACAGATACAGGGTTTCTTTTTGGGATGATGAAATTGTCCTGAATTAGGTAATAGTGATGATTGCAAGAAAGACCTCATGAATATGCTAAAAACCACTGACTTGTACACTTTAAAAGGGTGAGCTTTAATACTGTAATAATACTGTAAAATTCTCAATTTTTAAAAAAGAGAAGGGTTGGGCACAGTAGCTCACGCCTGTAATCCCAGCACTTTGGGAGGCCAAGGCAGGCAGATCACCTGAGGTCAGTAGTTCGAGACCAGCCCGGCCAACATGGGGAAACCCCGTCTCTACTAAAAATACAAAAATTAGCTGGGCATGGTGGCAGGTGCCGGTAATCCCAGCTACTCCGGAGGCTGAGGCTGAAGAACCGCTTGAACCTGGGAGGCGAAAGTTGCAGTGAGCTGAGATTGTGCCATTGGGCTCCAGCCTGGGTGACAAGAGCAAAACTCCGTCTCCAAAAAAAAAAAAAGAGAGAAAGATCTAAATGTATTCACATGTTGTATTATTCATTGAAAAAAGCAAAGTACAGAATAACATCTATCCTATGCCATTTTTGTGAAAGTCTTTTTTTGATATTTCATGGTCGAGATTGTGGGGCTTCTTCCAGAATATGTCAGTCTTGCCTTCACTCTGCCATAAGTTCAGGCAAGAAAGCAGCTCCTTTCTCTAAAGAATAGATAGCACCTGCCATGCACCAGGTACTGTGATAATGTATAACAATTTCTGTGTAATGTATAATTATTCCCATTTTTCAGATGGCAAAACTGAAAGATAAGAGAGATGAGTGACTTGCCAAGTTTACACAGCAAGGACAGGAATGAAAACTCAAGCCTGTCTAACTCCAGAGAAGGAAGAGCGTGGGCTCTTGGAATCTGATTCTCAGCTTTGTTTGTTCCCTGTGGATTGTCAGGCCATGGGCCTGGAGGCTGCTCCATTTCAGGAAGCGTAGCTAACAAGAATGCTGGTTTATGAATTTACACGGAGAGGTTGTTCATGGTCCTTTATTTGAGAATAGTAGTAAGTGGACGTCAGAGAGTCATCTTGCCCCAGGGGTACGCCCCTGTATTTTGATGGGAATATTTCAGTAGCTCCTAACTGGTCCACTCATGTTGCCTGGATGTTCCATGCTCCTTCACAAAGCTGTCCTTGCTAAGTTGCTAACTAGAAAACCCTTCCTGCCTACCAGCTAGTCAACAAACTCCTACTTCCCCATCAAAACCCAGCTAATATGTCCCTTCTGTTTTCTTTTCAACAACACCATTTATAGATCCTCCAACTGAGCCTTTTTAATAACACTAGTAATGTTATCATTTATTGAGCTCCCATTATCTGCTAGGCAATTTTAAGTATTGATATACTTGTACCTTTTAATGTTCATGGTAATTATGCAATACAAGTATAACTATTTACATTTCTTCCAGATGAGGAAACAACCTCGAGATGTTAGGAAATTTGCCCAAAGTCTCACAACCAGGACATGAAGAAACAGAACTTTCTGACTCCAAAGTTCATACTCTCCCCCTTACACCACATCCCCTTTTCCTTGCACCATTCACTTTGAATTGCAAATACTGCTTGTCACTTGTCACCATCTTCACCCTTGCCCCACAAGCCCTGGCAGGCAGGTGGTGGCTCTGATTTCAGGACTGCCACCCCATTGTCCAGTACAAGGCCTGCTCTCAAGTGGCCAATCCTAAAAGTTGCATAGCAGTGAATTGTTTCATTTACAGGAACACACCTTGGAAAATAAAAGCAATGTGTTCATTCTTTCCCTGCAGATGGGATAGGCCCACTCTCTCCCCCGAAGAGGTGATAAGGGGGCAGGTCTTGTCTCCTTGAGGACTTGCAGATGTTTCCTGAGGCCCTGAGAGCATTTCTGCTTCTGACCTGCCTTGGCTGCCACTGCCAGTTAATGTGAGCTGCTGGGAAAGCCAGCTTCATGGCTCTGCTGCGTGTGGATGCCAACCACTGACTCCAGCCAGCTCTCCTGGAAACTGCCCTGAAATATTAAGGCTAGTAGGGGCCCACCAAGGATGGAGGCTGCATCACCAGCTTGCTGGATTCTCACTGAAGCCCAGCAGGATTTTCATTGCAGAAACTAAGCTTGTTAAGACCTCAAGCTTGGCAGTCAGCTCTAGCTTTGAAAATCTCCTCTACCACTTACTAAATCTGTGGTCTCTGGGCAAGTTTCTCAGCCTTTCTTAGCCTCAGTTCCTTCATCCATAACAGGAAGTAATTGCCTTCTTTTCTAGGTTGTTGATAAAAAGAGATAATGCACATAAAACCCTTCCCATTGAGCCCAGCACAGTGCCTGCATACAACAACTGCACCAAAAGTGATGATAATAATGATCATTGTTATGCAACTATCCATGGCAAATTTTTTCTTGTTTGCAGCTAAGAATCTTGATATGGCTAATATTATTAGTTGGGGGAGCAGAATAGTTTCTTTGGAAGGACAAGTCATTTGGGCTAGATGAGTAGTTTTCCCTAGTCCAGGACCAGTCCTGCCTGAGAAAGTGATCTCCCACCTTTGGGTGTAAACATATGCTGTTCTAGATCCCAATTCCTGGAGTAACCCTGGGAAGGCAGAGGCCTGGTCAAAACAAGACCCGTACTTTCCTGAATGCCAGGAAGCAATTACTTCTGTATCCCAACCACCTAACTCTAGACAGAGCAATTAGCAATTATTAAAATAATTTATTATTTTTTGAAGAAAGTGAATGATAATTTTATAGTGAACAATGTTTAAAAGTTAGAAAGTATTTTCTTAGGGATTATGATACTTACATTACTTAAGCACACAAATACCCACAAAAAAGAACATGGACTTTATTTAAATTTTACATAACTATTTCTTGAACTCTTCCAGTTTTCATCAACAGGGCTGCAGGGAGAAACTGATTGATTTGTGCAGTTTGGGTTTCCAATATTTTCCCTGGACATTCTTTCATATATACTTTTCTATATTTTGACGAATTTCATTTTGTCATTTTTAAGCTTATCATAGTATTCTTTCAAATGGGGGCCAAAGTTTGCTCATCCACCTGTCATTTGGGACCTGGGTAGGCCCCACTTTATGTAATCATGCATAATACTAGCAACCTTTATTTAAAAAAAGATTTATTTATTTACTTATTTTTTGAGACAGTCTCACTCTGTTGCCCAGGCTGGAGTGCAATGGCATCATCTTGGCTCACTACAACCTCTGCCTCCTGGGTTCAAGCAATTTTCCTGCCTCAGCCTTCCGAGTAGGTGGGATTACAGGTGTCCGCCACCACACGTGGCTAAATTTTGTATTTTTAGCAGAGACAGGGTTTTGCCATGTTGGCCAGGCTGGTCTCAAACTCCTGACCTCAGGTGATCTACCCACCTCAGCCTCCCAAAGTGCAGGGATTACAGGCGTGAGCTACCGCTCCTGGCCTGAAACAAGATTTAAAAACAATTTTGGAAATACATCCTTAGGACGAATCACTTAGATGTGGACTTGGGAGCCAAAGGATAGGAATAGATTTTTCTGCTTTTGTTACTAAAGGTTGGATTATCCTGAAGATAGAGAAAACCAGCTCACAGAGATCCTCCATGCACTCACTTCTGGTCTGAAATAGGAAAGAAATACAGAAGCAATGCCAATGAGATGACAAGGCACTCTTTGCAGAGCCAGGCAGCATTTGCTGGAAGGGGCTGGACTTTTCTTTTCCATGGGAACGTTCTCAGCTGATATCCCAGTCCTCTGGCTGTCAGTTTATTCAGGGCTACTCCACCCCCGCCTCAACTGCCTTTGCAGGAATTGCACAGTGGTAGTTGACACAGAGCCGGACGCACTCTAGAACCTCCCATGAATTCCAGAGAGTCAAATGCCTGTGGTGGGCAGGAATAAATGTTCTACTTGAACAAGGTGACATGGCCTGGGAGAGGGAGAACCACACCGACCAGGCAGGGCCCCGCCATCAACCTGCTGATGCAACAGGTACCCCCTCCCCACCTGGATGGCAGATTTCTTAATTTACACAACTATAGATGCATTTATTTGGCTTAGGAATTTGATTCCTTTTTTTTTTTTATACAGTTTCACTCTGTCACCCAGGCTGGAGTGCAGTGGCGCCATCTTGGCTCACTGCAACCTCCGCCTCCTGGGTTCAAGCAATTCTAGTGCCTCAACCTCCTGAGTAGCTGGGACTACAGGTGCGCACCACCATGCCCAGCTAATCTTTGTATTTTTAGTAGAGAAAGGGTTTTACCGTATTGGCTAGGTTGGTCTTGACCTCCTGACCTCAAGTGATCTACTGGCCTCGACCTCCCAAAGTGTTGGGATTACAGGCGGGAGCCACTGCACCCAGCCAGGACTTTGACTCTTGATAAAATACAGGACTCCTGGGAGAGGGTACAGTACCATTTATATCCCAGAGTGAACTATTTTACCAAAGCTGACTCTGAGAACAGGCCTGGTTGGGGAAGGAGGTGAAGAGACCCCATGAAGATCCTGAAAGCAAGGCCGGGTGCGGTGGCTCACGCCTGTAATCCCAGCACTTTGGGTGGCCAAGGTAGGCAGATCACTTGAGGTCAGGAGTTCAAGACCAGCCTGGCCAACATGGTGAAACCCCATCTCTACTAAAAATACAAAAATTAGCCAGGTGTGGTGGCACAAGACTGTAGTCCCAGCTACTCAAGAGGCTGAGGCAGGAGGATCACTTGAACCCAGGAGGCGAAGGCTGCAGTGATCCGAGATCACACCACTGCGTACTCTAGCCTGGGACGCCATGAGAGTTTTTATTAAAAAAGGAAAGAAGAGAGAGAAGAGAAGAGAAGATCAGTTCCTGAAAGCAAGAAAAGGAGGCCCGTGAAGGAGGTGAAGCTCATGGTCTAGCCTTCTATAGTTCACAAAAACTCTTAAGATGTAGGCTTCCTTCTCTAGTTGCCTCTGCCCCAGGGGGCTCCTTGAGAAGAACACTGTGCTTTGGGGGAGCAGCAGACAAGCCCCCCTGAGGTCATCTGGCTTAGAAACAAACCTGGGATGGGTGTTTCCTGTTGGATTGGAGAACTGACTGAGCTGCAGTTACAGTGGAGTTGCCCCAGTGGGCATCTGGCCTTCACAGTTAGCACCATGATGATGCTGTGATTTCTGCTTTGCTGTGGCTCTGTTTCTCTGGAAGCGGAATCATCACCATGATTTAACCTTTAGCCCAGCTCAGCGCACTAGACTGTGGCTCAGACCAAAACTTCCTTTCAGATTTTCTCTCTCTCATTTGCTATATTCTACCCATTCCAGCTTTTTTCTCCCTCTCAAACACATACGAAGCTTGTGTCTGTCTATGAGACTTTGCATTTACCATTCTGTCTCCCTGGTCTTCCCCAGCCTGCCTCCTCGTTCTCATTCAGGCCTCAGCTCAATGTGTACCTTCTCCCAGATGGCTTCCTTGACCATGCTTGTGAAAGTGACATGCCACCCCGGAGTCATTTTCTATCCCATTATTAGTCTGTGTTTTCTTCTTAGCACTGTCATTTTCTGAAATTATCTGATTTATTTAGGTACCCATATACTCTCTGGCTCCCTAACCAGAACATAAACTCCATGAGAACAGCAACAGAGCCTTTCTGTTCTCTGCTAAGAGCTGAGAATAGTGCTGGCACATACAGGGGATCCATCCAAGGATCACAGGCAGAGCCGTCCTTGCTTTTCCTCATTTGGCTTTAGAGTTTTTCTCCTAAGTGGTATACAGATATTGGCTTGGCAGGGAACAGAGCCAGGCAGCCAGTCCTGCATGCAGACCAGGGTTCCCGCCTAATTTAGCAGCTTCACAAGGGGTGTGGCCTGGGCTCCAGGGATCTGAGCTGGACCCAGTAGACAGAAGTTCACAGAGATGGGCTTTAGTGTAATAGCAAAAGGACTTGAGAACAGAGCTGACAGGAGACAGAATGGGAACGCCGATGCTTAACTGCACCAGTTCCATGCCCATCCATCCCCCTGTGGTCCACTCGCCACCCTCTGCTTCTGTGCAGCCTGCCCACACACCTGCAAGCTCACTGAGCTCATTGGTCACTGGAACTGCTTCCCAGCACAGAGGGTGGGGATTCGGCATCACTGGGGGAACTAAATTGGATGGTCTCTGTGGGCCATTTCATCTCCTATTTCAGGGGCTTGGCTGAGAGCAGTTTATTTCTAATCCTGAGGACTGCAGGGCCTCCAGGGAGGAGAGGGTGACAGACTGGGTTAAGCTGTTAATGGTGCTCTGGGGTTAAAGCTCAATGACCCACAGTGCCAGTGCACTGATTAGTGACCACATCCGCCCACCTGCTGTTTGCTTAGCAGGGAGAGCTGCTCTTCTGAATCAGGAATGCAGCACCAAGAAGAAATATGCATTCCAGGCCTGGTTCTGCTGCCAAGTTATCATGTGAGCTTGAATGAGTCCTTTCCTGCTCTGAGCCTTGGTGTGTCTTCCTGGAAGAATGTTTGGATTAGACCTAGATGCTTTTTTTTTTTTTTTTTTTAGATGGAGTTTCGCTCTTGTTGCCCAGGCTGGAGTGCAATGGCACGATCTTGGCTCACTGCAACCTCTGCCTCCTGGGTTCAAGCGATTCTGCTGCCTCAGCCTTCCAAGTAGCTGGGATTACAGGCATGTGCCACCACGCCCAGCTAATTTTGTATTTTTAGTAGAGATGGGGTTTCTCCATGTTGGTCAGGCTGGTCTCGAACTCCTGACCTCAGGTGATCTGCCCGCCTTGGCCTCCCAATGTGCTGGGATTACAGGCGTGAGCCACCATGCGTGGCCTGACCTAGGTGCTTTTTAAGGCCATCTCTTCTAACTCTAACGTTCTAGGATTAACTGGTGAACCTCACACATGAAAAAAGTTCCATCCATGGCAAGAGCTCATGCCCAGGCTCCAATTCTTCAGCAGATCCTCTTTCTTAGCTGACAGCCTGGAATGGAACCAAGACCCCTGACCTCTGTCATCGGCAGCTCAAGTCTTCTCGGAGAGTCTGTGTTTATTCACAGCTCTGGCTGGGCAGCTGAAAAAAGTATGTGATCTGTCAGTGGACAGATCCTGAGCTGTCCATCAGGAGGGAGATGAGCTAAGTCTAGAAGCCACCTGGGGGCTGTCCCACCAGCGCCCCCAACAGGTCTACTCATCCAAAGGGCAGGAAAGGGACTTTGTGCCTCTGCCTTTGATGGTGTAAGGACTCCTTGGGCAACATTTATGCCAAGACCTCGCTGTATTTGGCAGCCTTAGGGAAGCCTCCCTGTGGTCTTAAACCTGGAGCAGGAAGGAAGTGTAATGACAAGAAGCCTTTTCGTGAGGCCCATGACTATTTCATGATGTGATAGTTTCACTGCTGATAGTTTCACTGCACTTTCCTGAAACTCAACTCATCTTTGGCACAGCCATGTAGGAAGATCAGGGAAGCCTGACACTGCATTCTGGGGCCATTCTTTGTCCTGAGCCAGCAATTTCTTTTTCATTCTGTAGGGTTCTTGTAGGAATGAAAGATTCAGAAAGCCCAATAGTTGAGTAAACATTTCTCAAGCATCTTCTCTGAGCTAACCCCAACTTGGGAACTGGGGATTAAAAATGAATTTATTAACTTTTTAATGTTCTGTGCAACATATACACCTACACAGACACAGGGCATAGATTCTCTATTCATAGATGAATAGGCTTTTCACAAAGCATAAATCTTTTAGATCACTGCTAAATGGACTGATACACTGGCTTTAAGGGAATATACTTCTCATGTTTGAAAAAAATATTTTTAAAAAGTCAGACATAGTCCCTGCTCTCAAGCAGTTTGGGTAAAATCCTTTCATCCCTTTGAGCTTCAGTTCTGCAAAATGGGACTGTTGATCCCATCAAGGGCTGCTAGATTTAATGGATCAAATCACAAGATGCCTAGTTAAATTTGAATTTTAAATTTAACTGGACATCTTGCATTTTATCTGGTAATCCTAGCCCTGCCCAAACTAGGACTTTTATAAGGTACAGAAGGAATAATATGTGAATTAATAATGTACAACAGTGCTTTACAGTTTACGGAGTTCTGTGTCAGCGAGAAGGGTTTGGATTGAATGACTTTGATGTAAGGGGATCTCTTGCAGGCTTATGATTGTATTCTCATGATGAAGATCCTGAGACATGAGGAGAAAGACTCAATGCTGCATCCCTTGAGAACACTTTTAATTCCAGGACAGTGAATACAAAACCCTCAATGGCAAAAGATGGAGCCTGGAGCAGCGCATGTGAGAAAGCCCTGGGGTTTTTGGCTCACAGAAAAATCAAAACGGGACCCCTTAGGATGTAAACTCCATCTGCGTCTTCTGGCCACATCCTGGAAAGGATGGTATCCAGAATGCTGTCATTACTCAGACTCCCACTGGAACATTAAAAGGGACAGGAATGGGCCTGGTTCAAGGAGCTTGAAACCAGTGAGTGTCCTGGCAGGGACAGGAGTGATGAGAAGCGTCTGAACTGGAGATCTGTGGACTCAGGGGACATAAGCCATGGGCTTCCCATCCAGCATGGGTCCTGCTTTCTGGAAGGTGCCACTGCCATCCGAGGTTGCCAGCAAGCCTTTGTTTTGGTAAAGGGCCCCAAGGTGACATTCTTTTTCGGTCACTGTCCAGCTCGGAGAAGTGGAACACCAACAGTAGCAGCGATTGTTCAAAATGTGAAGGCTGAAAAAGGCCTTAGAATCCCCACTCTTTTATTTGTTAATTGATTATCTTACAGGTGTGAGCCACCTGTAATCACAGCACTTTGAGAGGCCAAGGCAGTCAGATCACATGAGGTCAGGAGTTCAAGACCAGCCTGGCCAACATGGCAAAACCCCATCTCTACTAAAAACAATACAAAAATTAGCTGGTCATGGTAGCATGTGCCTGTAGTCCCAGCTACTCAGGAGGCTGAGGCAGGAGATTTGCTTGAACCCGGGAGGCAGAGGTTGCAGTGGGCCGTGATCGCACCACCGCACTCCAGCCTGGGTGACAGAGTGAGACTCCGTCTGGAAAAAAAAAAATCCCCACTCTTTCCTCCTTCTATCTTAGCAATGGGGAAACTAAAGACAGGGTGGGGAGGTAACCCACCCAAGACCACATAATAAGTTAGGTGCAGAGCTGGGACCAGAGCCCACATCTGCTGCTTCCCAACTCAGGGTCAGATTCACGTCAGCCCATCCTTTCCCGAGATTCCCTCTGTCTGGGCAGGCCCTCCAAGCAGCCACTTTTTTCCAAGGCCAATAACCCAGAGATACTGCTGAGAAGCCTTCATTTTTCACAGGGAGGAAAGGCAGTTATTTATTATAATAGTAGTGATGATAATCTGCTTGGGGACAGCACTTTATAGTTTGCAAAATACTTTCATGTCATTTACGTGACCTCCCATCAGTTCCTACCTTCCTACACCTTATACCTCCTGCACCTGTTGTCCGCCCCTAAATGTGCGGTGACGTCCCACAGTGAGGCAGTTTCTTGCGGTGTTTGGAGCATAGTTTCCAGCGCCAAAATGCATGCGATTAAAGCCTGGCTCTGTCATTATGAGTGTGATCTGGGGCAAGTTATGTAACTGAGGTTAACTGTGCCTCTGCTTCTTCGTCTGTAAAGTGGGGATGATGGTAATAGGATCTACTTTATAGGATTCTTATGTGAGAATTAAATGATTCATTTATGCTTACAACAGTACCTAGCACATTGTGAGGCCTTAACAAATATCAGCTGCTATTACTACTACTACTACTACTACGATTGTTATTATTTCAGAGCTCTGTTCTATAACCCCAGAGCCCTTCTGCTATTCCTGTTGCTCCTTCAAGGCTTAGCTCAAACTCCCCTCCCCTAGGAAGACTTTTCTTTGATTCTTTCCCCTCAGCAGAGTTCGATGTTCTTTAATATTTACTGCACTTACTTAAATGCATTATATTTGCCTATTTTCTGGTCCATTTCCCTGACAAAGCTGTGATCTTCATCTCCATCTTTATCCCCAACACCATGCCTAGAGACAGGCAGGTATATGTGCTTAATTGATGTTTGTTGAATGCATGAGTGAGTGAGTGATCCTGTGGATTCCAAAATCTAGGAGTAACTTTTTATTTCTGTCTTTCCTTCACCCCACACCAATCCAACAGCAAGTCTTGACAATTCCACTTCTAAAACAGATTCTGAATCTGCCTCTAAGCCAGTCCAGGCCACCATCTTCTCACGCCTGGACAACTCAGCCTTCTGGCTGCTATCTGTGCTTCTGTCCCTGCTGCTCTATAATCTGCCCTCATCTCCCTGCTTAAAACGCTCCCTGACTTCTCTTTGCTCCTAGAATGAAGCCCAGTCTTCTTCCCTGGCTACAGAGTCCTGCCCTCTAGCTTGTACCACTCTCTCCTTCACTTAATATGCTTCACCCATTCTGGTTTCCTTTCTGTTTCTTTCCAACTTCAAAGTCTTGCACTTGCTGTTCCTTCCAGTGTTGGTAGAGTTGACTCCTTTTGCTTTCAGGTTGAATGTCACATCTCAGCAAGGCTTTCCTTCATCACTCTAAGGGGATATTATTCTGTGTCACAGCACCATTTTTATCTCCCTCGTAGCACTTGCTTAATCTGTAAATATCTTGATTATTTACCCATTTATTTGTTAATTGATTATCTTACTATATTGTATGCACCTTTTTTGTTGTCTTGTACACTAGGGTATCTCTATATCAGTGTTTAACACATTTCTGCTGAATGAATGAATGAATGATTCCTCCTAGCAACACAATAGGTAGACCAGGTATTGTATGCTTATTTTACAGCTGACAAAACTGAAGGTTAAAATAGGTGATTCTTGCTCTAAGTAACATAGGCTGGAAGTAGAGCAGCCAGGTATGCTAGATCATGGACTTTTCCCATTAGACCATTTTGCCTTGAAGGGAGATGGATGGAGGGCTGGGAACCCATCTTGGCTGATTCATAGATAGTTCCCCAACATGGGACCGGATGACAGAGATAACAAGTTCCTGCCTCTTAAAGAGGTCATGCTGCCAGTATGTGACAGTTCCAAATTCCAGACTGCACCTGACACATTGCACACACCCAATAAACACTCCATAATCATAAGAAAAGTTCAGTGGCTGTTTGAGAAAGGAAATCACACCCATGGGCCTGACAGGAGGACTGATCTACTAGGACCCTCTGCAGAGGCTGTTCTAATCTGGGCCTGATGAAATGGGAAAGATGTTTCTAATTCCTTTACACAAATGTGACCTAATTTGGAAGATTTTGTAATTCCTAAGGTCCCAACTGCTGCCTGAGAGCAGATCCTGATTATTATCATTTTATTATTATTATTATTATTATTATTATTATTATTATTATTAGAGACGGAGTCTCGCTCTGTCATCCAGGCTGGAGTGCAATGGCATGATCTCGGCTCACTGCAACCTCCGCCTCCTGGGTTCAAATGATTCTTCTGCCTCAGCCTCCTGAGTAGCTGGGATTACAGGCACCTGCCATCATGCCTGGCTAATTTTTGTAGAGATGGGGTTTCACCATGTTGGCCAGGCTGGTCTTGAACTCCTGACCTCAGATGATCCGCCCGCCTCAGTATTGTCATTATTTAAAATCTTGCCATGGCCATTGATAAGAAGCTGGCAGCAGGGTGCCATTTCTGTGATTCTAGGAGGGAAATTCCTGGAGAGGGAGCCTGGGGACATAAAGAGAGCCTTGAACCAGAGTCAGAAGGTGGGAAGGTCCATCGGTGTCCAGCCAGTAGCCTCTAGGCCTCTCACTGGCCCTTAGCTGCCTCCTTTGTACTGACTGATTTGGGTCTGATGGTGGCCTGGGAGTCAGAGGGTTTGAATATGACCCTGGCTCTTGACAGTGTGGGATCTTATCAAGATGCTTTACTTCTGTGGTTCTTGGTTAATTATCTGTACAAGGACATGTTTGAAGGGACTGATGCCAAGTCCCCTTCCAGCTGTGATAGTTGCCATTTTTGTGGTCTTTTCAGGGAAACAGTTGCTCTTCTAGAAGTGGATTTCCTTATTATCGAGCCCCCAGAAGCCAGCAAGAAATCAACATGCCTACCTCAAATAGTTCAACAAAGGGCATCATAGTCCTAAAGGCCTAAGGATTTCTCAGAAGGAGTCAAGTACTCATTCCTGCCAAGTACTCTCTCAGTCCTAGAAGCTACCCTCTGACAGGCACACACTCCAGCAAAGGAGGCTCTTCAAAAGGGCTGAGGCCATGGAAATCAGAGAGTATGACTCTTCTGAAAATCTAGAAGTTCTGGGCATTGAACACAAGGACATTGTACCCTCCTGACCTTGACTGACTATGTGAGAAGGCAAGGTATAGGAAAATCAGACATGTACCAAGGTCTTTTGAGTGTTCATTATGGGGCAGACTTTGGCTCAATGCTTTATATTCATTTGACTTTGAGGCCTATGAGATAAATTTTATGATCCCCATTTTACAGAGGAGGAAATTGAGACACAGAGCTAAAGTGACTTGTCCAAGATTATACAGCTAGAAAGACCAGATTTGAACCCGGCATTCTTTACTGCTAAACTACTGTCTCCTCTAATAACGACAGCAATAAAAAATACTCAAAGTTGAGGAACTATAGTAGGCAGTTGTGGAAATCTGGACCTGAGGTCTAAACAAATGACTACAAGTTCTATGCTTTCGTTTGTTAGCGTGGCGATCTCGGACAAGTCATTTGACTACTTTGAGTGACAACATACTGGCTTGCAAAGTGGGGGTAATCACTCTTTCTACTTCACAGATAAGGCTAAAAAGATTAAAAGGGGAATGCACAGTGGTTCAAGCCTGAAATCCCAACACTTTGGGAGGCTGAGGGGAAGATTGCTTGAGACCAGGAGTTGAAGACCAGCCTGGGCAACATAGCAAGACCCCAACTCTACAAAAAAATTTTAAAAGGTAATGTGCACCTGTAGTCCCAGCTACTCGGGAGTTTGAGGCAGGAGGATCACTTAAGCCTAGGAGTTTGAGGCTGCAGTGAGCTATGATTATGTCACTGCAATTAAGCTTGGGTGACAGAGCAAGTCCCTGTTTTTGTTTTGTTTTGTGTTTGCTTTTTAATTAAGAGGCACAATGTATGTGAAGTGTTTAGAATTGATTCCTGACACATAATAAGTATTCAGTAAATGTTAAGTCTCCATCATTGTTGTTATTGTTGTTGTTACTATCAACGTCTTTCCTCCAGAGTTGTTGCCAAGTTCACATGAGATGATGCCTGGGAAAGCTCTGTGCTGTGCACCTGTCAGTAATCCCCTTTATTACAATGATAGCAACCTAAGGGATAGAGTTATTTGTGAAGGTCTAACCCTATTCCTCCCCCAAATGGTTCAAATTCTTTGTATTGCAGCCAACACTGATGACGAGTGAGGGTTTGACTTGGTGCCCACTGTGAATGACGTCCTTCAGTAGATCTCCAAGAACTGCAGCAAATGCTTTTCTGGGCTTATTTTAGCATCAGAGGGCCTTTGAAGCAGGATTTCAACATTTAGCTTCATTGTTTGGGGATGGTGCCTTGCATTTAATGTAGGTTTACAACTTGAGCCTTCCTTCCTCTCATCATCTTGAGATACCATGAAGGCAGGTCAGGGATGTGGTTGGCAGAGACATATCTTCAGATTCAAATGAATTCTGTTGTTGATTGTTATTGATTTTGAGAGTAATAAGTGCTCACTATTAAAAAAACTGGAAAATGTAGAAAACTATGAAGGAGAAAAAAGTTAAATATCCATAATGCAGTCACTCAGAAAAAAAGAATGTTAACATTTTGGTGTATTTCCTTTTGGTATTTTATTCTCTGCACATATTATCATTTACACAATTTGGGAATCATGGCATAAATAGTTATATTAATGATTTTTTCCACAATTTTATAAGAATTTCCTTCATAAGTATCTTTTTTTTTTTTTTTTTTTTTTTTTTTTGAGACAGGGTCTCACTCTGTCACCCAGGCTGGAGTGCAGTGGCACCATCTCCACTCACTGCAACCTCCACCTCCCGGGTTTAAGTGATTCTTCCACCTCAGCCTCTAGAGTAGCTCAAACTACAGGTGCAACGACGATGCCAGGCAAATTTTTCTGTATTTTTGGTAGAGATGGGGTTTCACCATTTTGCCAGGCTGGTCTCGAACTCCTGAGCTCAAGCAATCCACCCGCCTGGGCCTCCCAAAGTGTCAGGATTATAGGCATGAGCCACTGTGCTTGAGTATCATCTTTTTTTTTTTTTTTTTTTTTCAGGCACCAAGATTTTTATTTACCCACCTTCCTGCTTTCTTTTAACATTAAAACCATATTATTCTCTTTTTGAACCAGGGTTGTGATAGGAACCATCTTGTTACAAAGTAGTAGCAGATCTATGCTTGCTTTTATGTTTTTATAGCCCCTCTGGCTGTCACTTCTCTGTCCTTTCTCAGTTATCCCTTTACAGTCTATTCTGACCCCTGTAAAACAGGGACTAAAAGTACCAACCTCATTGTTATGAGGTTTAAGAGAAGGCCCAGCCCTAAGCCAGGCTCTCAGGAAAATTCAAACAACAGTTCCTCTTTGCCTTTCAATATAGCTCCTTCTCATCTGTCATGGGCTGGGGAACCACTGAACCTGTAAACCACGGGTATAAGTCCACAGACCAGGAACACGGTATAAGTCCACAGACCAGGAACCTTACCTGAATGGTAAGGTACATGGGCTTTGTGACTCCACTACCAACTTCCAAACTAAGGAAGGACTGACTGGGCGCCAGTGGCTCATGCCTGTAATCCCAGCACTTTGGGAGGCCGAGGCATGAGGGCAAGAGATCGAGACCATCCTGGCCCACATGGTGAAACCCCGTCTCTACCAAAAATACCAAAAAAAAAAAAAAAAAAAAGGAAGGACTGACTTAGTGAGCAGTTCCAAGACCACTCAACTCATGGTTCCTTGTGGATGCCTCCCTTGTACCTCCATCATGACCAGGGCTTGAGGAGGGGCCTCTCAATTTCCCCGCCACACTTGATATAGTGTTAGGGATGCAGCAGAGGCCAAAAACTGAGTGACCAGCCCCATCGATGGGGGACACTAACCAACCAATCACAAAGTTGGTGCCATTTGCTCTTAGGGAGAAGAGGCGGGGCCTGAGCAAGGACAGCAGCTGGAAAGTGAAGGGCAGGCCTGACTCTCAGCAGCAGTAGTGATCCGGCTTGAAGGGGCCATCACGGGACGTGCTCAGCTACTGGGCTTGCTTCTCAGTTAGCTTGGTCAATTTCACGTTCATCTTGCCCAGGGGGGCGCCTCAGCCACTGCCTCATCCAGCTTCTTGGGCAGGAAGTGAACCCCAATGGGGTACTTGTCTGGGTGGGTCCACAGCGCAATCTGCACCATCACCTGGTTGAAGGAGTTACTCCCCACAAAGCTGGGGCGGCCCATAGCACAGCCCAGGTTGACCAGCCAACCCTCAGCCAGCACGATGATGTGGCACCCATTCTTCAGCCAGTACCAGTCCGCCTGGGCTTGATGTTTGCCTTCTCCACAGCATTGTTGTTGAGGCACCTGACATCGATCTCCACGTCAAATTGTTCAGTATTACATAAGATGGCATCATCCTTCATCTGCTCAAAGTGCCGGCCAAGGATGATATTGACACAGGTTGTGGTGGTGACAAAGATGTTGCCCTCCTGACAGGCCTCGTCCATGGTGGTCACCTCATAGCCTTCCATGGCAGCCTGCAGTGCACTGATGGGGTCAGTCTCGGTGATGATTATGCAGGCCCCAAAACCCTGCAAGGCCTGGGCACAGCCCTTGCCCACACCACCATAGCCTGCTACCACTGCTACCTTGCTGGCAATCATCACGTCTTGGTCCACTTGGTGCCATCTATAAGGGACTCCTGGCAGCCATAGAGGTTGTCAAATTTTGCTCTTGGTGACGGAGTCATTGACGTTGATGGTAGGCACCTTCAGGATTGCACTGGCCATCATCTTGTGTAGGTTGTGGACCCCGGTTTTGGTCTCCTCAGAGATGCCTCAGATGCCCGACATGAGCTGTGGGTACGTACTTGGTGTGGATGAGGTTGGTAAGGTCACCCCCATCATCCAGAATCATGTTGAGGGGCCCGTCCTTGAAGTACAGTGTCTGTTCAATGCACCACGGGTACCCCTCTTTCATTTTGCCCTTCCAGGTGAACACTGGCATGCCAGCCTCGGCAAAGACAGCCACTGCATGTTCCTGGGTGGAGAAGATGCTGCAGCTAGACCACTGCTCCTGAACACCCAGGGAGAAAAGGGTCTCAATGAGGATGGCCGTCTCCACAGTTATTTGCAGGCAGTCAGCAATGCAGGCACCCTTCAGTGGCCTGGAGGCCGAGTAAAGCTCCTGCATGCCCATCAAACCCGGCATCCATTCTCCACAATGTCTAGGGCCTTGTGTCCCCAGGTGGCCAGGCCGATGTCAGCAACTTTGTAGGGCAGTTTGTCAGACATGCTGGCGGCACCTTTGATGGACAAGGGCAAAGGGGGCTGGGCCATAGTCTGGGGACAGGCACTGGGTGGGCAGTGTTGGGCAGGCAGTGCTAGGCAGGTGAGTATCATTTTTTATAGATG